>NC_000012.12:14584650-15209650 GCF_000001405.40 Homo sapiens | reverse complement strand
ATGGCAAAGCCCTCTGGGAGTACCAGGTGTGTTATCAACCAAAATAGCCAAAATTCTCAGCAACTTTTATATAAAAGAGCGTTCTCCTGTAATGCAGTATTCTATTTCTTATAGCCTCGGATCAAGTGTTAAAAAAAAAAACTGATGAATCATCTTTTGCTAAAGAATATGTTTCTCATTGTTATATAAATAGCCTACATTACACTGTGTCCTGTCCTTATGATCTAATAATGAAGACGCACACAATTGACTGTAGGATTAGAACCTTATTTTAATTTCATCCTTATCTCCTTTTATTCATCTGCCCAATGATGGATTCAATTGTTCTTTTTTCAATTTTTACAGAATGCAGGTAGGACAAAATGAAATTATGGCACTGAAGGTACTTTGAAAAATTACAAGTCTGATACAAATGTCGGCTTAATAGTAAGGTTCTGTTATTATTGATCTTCATCCATTTTTTCCCCTTATGTTCCTTAACATTTGTCTTTGGAGAAGCAGCATGGTGAATTCTCTGGCTGTCCGCTACTGAAGGCCAGATGAATACACTCAGTCCAGCAGTTGGCTGTTTGTGTTCCTCCATGGACTGCCTAGCAGGGAGGAATGTGACAGCATATCCGGAGGTTGTAGTTTCAATGCCTTAGGAATTTTTGGTTTCAAATATGTCACATGAAGAGACATTGAGTTGATTTTTTTTTTTTTAAGTATCAGTATGTAAAGTGGGCAGTCAAAAAGGAGAGGAGGGTTTAGGACAATAACTTAGACTTACGCCTTATCAGAGAAGGACACATGGTGTGTTTATATAATGTTTTAATAATCAAATCTTATCGTTATAAAAATTAAAGCTTTAAAACCTTCTAATATTTTTGCCAGATTTCTCAATTAACATGTATGTACATGTATGTATATATGTGTGTATTTATATATTTCCCTACAATCTTAAAATATATTTTTATTCATTCATTCAGTTGTTCATTCAACAAGTATCTGTTGAGCACCAATTTTGAGTTCTAGAAGAGCTGATCTGGTATCCCTGCATATCGTACAGGATCCATGTACCTTCCAAAAAGGCAAAGCAGTAGCTGTTTCTGTTCATTATACCTCTAGAGCCTCACACAATATTTGACACATACTAGGACTTAATAAATAAATGAAAAATTTGAATTAGACTATGTTGTCTAGTTTGCCACACGTGCTTTAAAATTATATCAAGGGTCATATATTTTAAATAGTCTCCTTATTATGACCAAAGTGGTTTCCTTGCCTGAACTTGACTGTCTCCAGTGACAGGAATGCAACATGACCGGAAGTAGATCATTCTTGCACATCCACCTTTGCACAACTGTATTAGTCAGGGTTCCCCAGGGAAATACAACCAATAGAATACACACACACACACATTCATTCATTCATTCAAAGCAATTGTCTCTTTTGATTGTGGCAGCTGGCAAGACTGAAATCTGTAAGGTTGGCAGGGTGGAAACTCAGGCAGGAGATAATGTTGCAATCTTAAGGCAGGATTTCTTCTGCTCTAGGAAACCTCAGTTTTTTCACTTAAGGCCGTCCAAGAATTGGATGAGGCCCATCCATATTATCAGGGGTAGTCTCCTTTACTACCACTAGTCTACTGATATTAACTACATCGACAAAACCCTTACATTAGTGTTTGATTGAATCAATGGATACTATAGCCCAGCCAGATTCACACATTAAATTATCCCAACAGTTCTTCCTGTTTGTTGCTTTTCCTTCTTTGGAACCAAAGGTTTTTCTGTAGCTTCTAGGCATTGACTTTAACTTTATCCCCTCAGTGTCACGTAGAGCATGATAAATCCCTCTCCTTATGACAGCCCTTCACAAAATTGAACATAGCCAGCATGCCTTGACTCATGCCTGAGTCTCTTCTTCTATAGTCTAGCTACAAAAAGTCTCTTGGTTTACCCCTGTGAGGTTTTCAAAGCATCATCCTCTCTCTTTCGCTCTACAATGCACTCCATGAAATGTGGACCTGGAATCAAAGAGACATTTCAGATGTGGTGTACCCAGAACAGATCAGAGCACAACTGTGATTTTGCTTCTAGATCCTTTGCTTCTGCTGAGGCATCCTGAGGTCACTGTTGGTTTCAGGATAAGAGACAACATAATGTTGGCTCATGGGGAGTTTATTGCAAATGGAGATGGTTGTTTTTGTTTGTTTGTTTGTTTGTTTGTTTTTAACGTATGCCATTGCTGAGCCAAACCTTCCCAAATCTGTACCTGAGCAATGTGTGTGTGTTTAACCCAGGTATAGATGTTCATTTTCATCCTCTTAAGCATTATTTTATTAGATTTAATCAATTCTCCTGGTGCATCGGGAGCCTTTTGGATCCAGCATGTCTCTTATCCCTCCCCACTTTCTATCATCTGGAAATGTTTGTTTTGGAACTAATGTTTTGGAACTAATGGACCCTTGTGGCACTTGAATCACAGAATTTTCCACTCAATGAGCTATTATTTAGTTCTCGAAACGATGAGAAATTCTAGTGAAATTATGTCACTTTTTGGGTAACTTACAACTGGTTAACAAAAGCATAGGTCTTTGGTTCTTGGTGCAGGCACGTTAACACTGTATCACATTACTTCTGTGGTCAGTAAATAACTTCTGTTTAGGAGATTTGCCATAACAAAGGTGAGCTGGGGAGAAGCTTCACAGTTACAATCTCCTGCTTAATATTGTATTTTATGTCTCTTGTTTCTCTCTCCCATGCTTTTCTTAGGAATCAAGACACATTGCTACAGAAAGTGCCTAACAGTGATCAACCATTATTGGCCCAAATATCTATCCTATGCAGAAACTCATTTCCCAGGCATTTATTCCAAGATATGAATGAATACTTTTGTACTAAAATGGCTGAATTTATGTGATTTAGCACTGCTGCTGCAAACCAGAGCTGAGTTTGGAAATGTGTTTTTTTATTGGGTTATAGCAGTTGATATCAAACTTTACCATGCCTCGGGATCACCAGCAGAGCTTGTTAAAATGTATGTTTCAGGACCCCACCTCCACAGGTTCTGACTCAGTAGGTCTGCACCGAAGCCAGAGAATTTGTATTTCTAACAAGTTCTTCAGTGATGCTGATGCTGCTAGTCTAGGACCCACATTCCGGGAATCACTGTGTTAAGTTTGCTGAGTACTCAATTTCCATTTGAGGTATGTGTTTTCAGCTTCAGAAAAGCATATAGCTTTTTGTGAGCTGCACATTCAGCGCATTGAGTGCCATGCCCTGTTGGGTGTACTGACACTATAGTAATAAAACAAGGAGCTCTCTGCCTTTATGGAGTTAACATTTTAGTGAGAAGAGACAAAGTGAGTAAAAAAATATTCTGTGGGCCAGAGCACATGTGAAGCCTTCCTGTGGTTCCTTAAAACTAGAACTTTTTCTTTACATCATAGAAGGGTGAATTTTGTTTAAAAAATAAAATGTAAGCCTCAACAATTGTGACAGGATGAACTTTGATTTTAAGATGATACTTTGTGCTATATGATAATAGTGGGAAGGGATTGAGCTAGATTGCATGGTAAGTGTTTGGGGATTAAATATATAGTCTATGACCCTGTTACAAATTTTCTGCTGATAGAATCTCAGTAGCTGTATAGGAGTTGAACCCATAACCTTGAGTTATTGACACCTCGCTCCATATAGTTAAGTCTTAGATAAAACCAAATTAAAGTCAGATCGTTTTTCTTTCCCCAGTATTTGGAAAAATGATATTAAATTGCTCTTTGACAGTGGTATTTATAAAACTTATGCAATGGTAGATAGAAAGAACAGCAGTGTTGAGAAAAGTTCCTAAGTTTCCACTGTTTTAGGTACAAAGATAACGTCTTTTCCTCAATGATGCATTTCCTGTTTTTTAAATCTTTTAAAAAGTTCTTTCTTGTTTTGTGCCATTGGACAGTAATTTAAGAGGTGAAGTCAAAAAGAAAAAGTACAAATAAAAAATTGTGACTTTGTCTGAAAAGTAATTGAGTTATTTTTGCACTAAGAACCCCATAAATTACAACTGAATCTAACAACTGAGCCAGCTTCCTAGTCATTTGGCAACACATGTTGAGTTTGACGGTTTAAAGGAAGACTCAGCCATACATGGTAGTATGAATAACAGTGATCTGTTCCAAAGTCTGGGACTTTCTTTTCCATTCAAATATTTCGTATCTTGAATCTACTTCTTAGCGGTTCTCCAAAAGAGGTAAAATCAGGAACACAGTACATGTGAATCTTCAGGTCCCAAAATTTAACCCACGATTTCTTAGGTCTCCCACTTATCGGTTTACAAATATTTGTGAAAATCCTACTGTGTTCCTAATTCTTCCACCCTTTCTTCAGTCCTCCCTCTATAAGCCCAATAAAATGCTAATATTTGTGGGAGAAGTCCAAAGAACTATGTAAATTTTTTCTTGTCCTCAGGGACCATAGTGTTTTCCTGAGCGTGTATAACTTACAATTCAAAATCAGCCAGTGATAGTATGTATTCAGCAGAATAAATGATTTTTACAACTTTTTATATTGAAATAATATTAGATAATTATACAGAGTTGCAAAAATAATAGAGAGTTCCTGTGTACCCTACACCTAATTCCCCTCAATGATGATATCTTACATGACCACAATGCATTAGCAAAACAAGGAAATTGATGTAGATACACAATTAAGCTACAGATCCTAGAATTATTGTTTTTTAACTCAATTCAGGCCCAAGGCCTGTTTGAAAATATAACTAGGGAAGGACAGAGAAGGAGAGACTTTAAGAAATGACAGAGCTCATTATGAGTTTTTAAAAAGTGAAATTTGGTAAGCTATTTATTATCAGAAATGTACATCTTGTGTTATGTGCAATTTAGCTATTTAAATTGTATATAACAAAGTTTTAGCCATTTTTTTCAGGCCATAAATGCTATAGGAGTCAATGGGAAGAACAGAAATCAGTGAGAAATATTTGGGGAGGCCTTTAGGGAGGCAGTAAGTTTGAAATACTGTAAATTCAGTGGGATTTTTATGGTAAGAAGTGGAAAAGCTTTTCCTCTTATTTATTGTATTTCAAAATTGTATTATCTTCATAGCAATTCACATGTTATTAATGTTGGAATTAGAAGGAGAAAAAGACCAGTGTCATGAAGCTTTTCCTCTATCTTTTTTCTAGGGGTTTTACACTTCCAAGTTTTACATTTAAGTCTTTAATCCATTTTAGTTGATTTTTGTGTATGGTATAAGATAGAGGTCCAGTTTCATTATTTTGCACACGAATACTGAATATTCAGTTTTCTCAACATCATTTGTTGCAGAGACTATCCTTTTTATAATGTGTATTCTTAGTGCCTTTGTTGAAGATCAGTTGACCATATGTGTGGGTTTATTTCTGGGCTCTCTATTCTGTTCTGTTGGTCTATGTGCCTGTTTTTATGCCAATATGATACTGTTTTGATTACTATAGCATTGTAATATAGTTTGAAATCAGGAAATGTGATGCCTCCAAGTTTGTTCTTACTTGAAATTGTGTTGGCTATTCTGGGTCTTTTATTGTTCCATATAAACTTTAGAATTACGTTTTCTATTTCTGTAAGAAATAGAAACTTGTATTTTGGTGGGAATAGCAGTGAATATGTAGGTTTCTTTGTGTAGGATGAACATTTTAACATTATAAGTCTTCCAATTCATTAACACAAAATGTCTTTCTATTTATTTGTAGATTCCTTAATGTCTTTCATCAATGTATTATAGTTCTCAATTTATAAGTCTTCAACTCCTTGGTTAAGTTTTTAAGTTTTCCCCAAGTTTTTTATTCTTTTTGATACTGTTGTAAATAGGATTGTTTCTTAATTTATTTTTGAATAATTTGTTTAGTATATGTGCAATCGTTTTTTGTTTGTTGATTTTGTAAATAGTATTCTACAGCTTTACTGAATTCATTTATTAGTTCTAAGAGTGTTTTTGGTGGAGTCTTTAGGGTTTGCTACTTATAAGATCATGTCATTTGCAGAGGTAATTTTACTTCTTTCTACTTATTTGGATGCCTTTTATTCCTTTTTCTTGATTAGTTACTCTGGTTAGGACTTCCAGTACTGTGTTGAATAGAAGTCATAAGCATGGTCATCATTGTCTTGTTCCTAATCTTAGAAAAATAGCTTTGATTTTCAACATTGAGTATAATGTTAGCTTTGGATTTGCCATATGGAGTATTACACTGAGGCACATTCCTTCTATACCTAGTTTGTTGAGTGTTTAATGATTTCATGAATTTGCCACCAGAAGCACAGATGACAAAGCAAAAATAGACAAGTGGGACTACATCAAACTCAAAAGCTTCTTCAGCAAAGAAAACAAACAAGCAGTGAAAAGGAAACCCAAAAATGGGGGAGAATATTTGCAAACCATATGTTTGATAAAGGGTTAATTTTAAAAATAGATAAGGCACTCCTACAGCTCAGCAAAAACAAAAACAAAAGTCTAAATCTAAAAATTTAAAACTGAGAATAGTGTTTAAATTGACATTTCTCCAAAGAAGACATAGATATGGCCAGCAGGTATTTGAAAAGGTGCTCAACATCACTAGTCATCAGGGCAATGCAAATCAAAACTGCAATGAGATATCACCTCATAACTGTTAAAATGGCTGTTATAAAAACAGCAACAGCAACAGCAAAAAGACAAGAAGTGTTGATGAGGATATGGAGAAATTAGAATCCTTGTATACTGTTGATGGGAATATAAAATGGTGCAACCACTATGGAAAACAGTATGGATGTTCTTCAGAAATTTAAAATTAGAACTACCATATGATCCAGCAATTCCACTCCTGGATATATGCCCAAAAGAAATGAAATCAGGGTCTCAAAGAGAAATCTATACTTCAGTGTGCATTGGAGCATTATTCAGAATAGCCAAGCTATGGGAATGATTCACATGTCCCTACTGACCTACAAATGAATAAAGAAAATGTGGAGTGGATATATGTAATGAAACATTATTCATCCTTAAAATGAATAAAATCCTACCATTTGCAACAACATGGATGGGCCTGGAAAACATTATGCTAAGTGAAATAAGTCAGCCACAGAAGGACAAATACTTCATGATTCCTCTTATATAAGGCAAATACAATAGTCAAACTTACAGAATTAGAAAATAGAATGGTGATTGGCAAGCATGGCAGTAAGGTGAAAGAGGGAGTTGTTATTCAATGTGCATAAAGTTACAGTTATTCTTGATGAGTAAGTTCTGGATATCTGCTTTACAACAAAGTGCCTTTAATTAACAATATGGTGTTGTGCGCTTAAAAATTTGTTAAGAGGTTAGATCTCATATCACGTGTTCTTAACATACACACAGACATATAAAATAGACACAAAAGGCAAAGGAACACAAGGAAACTTTTGAAGGTGATGGATACTTTTATTACCCTTAATTGTGGTGATGGTATCATGGATATATGTATATGTCCAAACACATCAAATTGTAAACATTAAATATATACAGTTTTTTCACCTATTAATTATATTCCAATGAAACTGTAAAAAAGAATGTTTAAAAGGACAACAAAGTAATGAAAGAACGGGATAGGAACTAAATGTTGATTAGGAAGGAAGAAGGGCTTTTGAGATCTTACTGATTCAGTCATAGGAAAGGTCCTTTTAATACCTTACAGAGCTTACTCATTAGCCCTCTTTCCCTTCGTTGGCAGGACCATGTGTTTGGAATAAGACAGACCACTTATTAACTGTGTGAGTGATCAGCTTATTTAACTTTGGTGAACCCTAGTCTCCTCTGCTGTAACATGCTGATGAAAACAGCCATCTTATATTAGGGCTTTTATGGACCAAAATCAAGTGAGATAGAACAATAATAATAGTAATTAACAATTACTAATAATTAATATTAGCTAATTACTAACACTAATTATTACTAATAATTAATATTAGCTAATTATTATGATTGTTAATTACTATTATTACTAATAATTATTACTATACTAACAATTACTAATAATTAATATTAGCTAATTATTATTATTGTTAATTACTAATAATTAATATTAGCTAATTATTATTATTAATTACTATTATTAGCTAATATTAATTAGGTAATGATATTAGCATATCATTTACCATAAGCCAGCCATTGCCATGGTACTTCACACAGATGAACTCATAAATTCATCAGAACTACTTTATGTATTCACCTTGTTCTTATATATGAGAAGATTGAGGTGCAAAGTAAGTAAATTGCCCAAGATCTTACAGGCAGTGATGGGATTTCAGCAGAGCTAGTATTCAGCTCAGGCAATTTGGCTCTGGTGTCTGAGTTGATTTACAGAACTAAAAATTTCTAACAAAATGCCAAGTACATTGTAGACACTCGACAAATATTTTCTTCCCTTCTCCCTCCCTTGTCCTCTCTTCCATGTTACTTAGAATACTCATTTAGATTAATCAGTATCCATGAAAAGTACTTAACCTGAGCCATTGCTAGAAAAAAAGTGAGGAACCAGAATGGAGGAAACTGTGATTAAACTACTAAAAGATCTTATGGCCTTACCTTATATTGTTAGTCAACTCAGTTTTAAAAATAATATTTTTGTTCCAAATTCTGCCTATGATTTCATGTTAAAACCTCTTATTTGGCTTTTAGGGCCCAGCAGTATGTGAAGGAAGTGTTAAGGGAGGAGGATGGAAATTGTAAAGGAAGATAGAAGAGCATAATATTTAATATGTAAAAAATGCGAAGCGTGTCAAATATCCTCAGTGGAAAGGGAGGATACATTAATAATTTGACCTGGCATAGCCCCAGAAGCAAAACTCAGAAGCCTTTTAAAAACACAAAAGTCCTAACATGTCAACATTAAGGAAAATATATAGTCAAGTTGGAATTTTTAAATGATGATATGTGTTCAAAATATTGGATTGAAGACATTTTCTTCATTATTCATCACAATAGGAGGGTGTTTTATTCTTCACTAAAATACAAGATGTTCTTGTGAATCAAATAACTGGAAGAATCAAGCCCCTACAAAGGGCAAAATGCCAGGAAGCTTCAAACATTTTATGAGGGCAGGTTGGGTAGAATTGGATCCCATCAGATAACTAGAGATCTTTTATCTGCCATGAATAATTCATGACTTCTAAGTCAATAAATATTGTTAAAAACGATGATGCTTTTCATAAATGCAAAAGACCACTGTCATTTATGGTTGCTATGTTTTCATTCTGTAACTGATTATTCAGAATTACATGATGATGGTGCTTTTTGGATGAATGATTGGCACACATAGCTTTGATGAAGAACTGGAAACTTTACCATACAGTTTTCTCAGGTCATTTTTTCAGGTTCATTAGAAAGGAAGTTTTGTTCACTACAAATTAAAAAATTCCTCAAGCCAAGCATCACTAAGAAAACACGAGCTCTTGTAAATGTGTTTTATTCAAAGTATGATGAAACAAGATTTTAAAAATTATCTTTAATTATGCAATGTAGCATTGCCATAGTTTTCAGTAAATAAACATTTCTTTCTTGGTCATCTACAGAGTATTCATTATAGTCTACCAAATGCCTTTGTCTACTCAGCCAAGTTTATTCTAAGTTTGTGCACTTCGTGTGGAGTTACAATATTGTTCCCAGTATTAATATGTTTTATTTCTAATGTGTATTAGTTTGAATGGCCCAAAAGTTACTGTAAAATAATTTTTTTACAATGAAGGAGTTTCATTTTATAGAGGAGCAAATGCAAACGTACTAAAAGAAAGGAATTGCCAAGAAATCTGAAATTTATTTTAATCTTAGAATGCTTTCTCTATGAAGGTGCATTGGTACAGGTAGAAATAAAACGAAACTTCTAAGGCACTAAAGACACTGCATTAACTGCTATATTAAATTGTATAATTTTCAAATCCCCGCTGTTATTTGATGAATGTGTGTATATGAGTGAGTGTGTGTGTGTGTCTGTATCTATATGTATGTTGGCTAAAACTACTATCCTAGAAAATCAGAACCTAAATCATCTATGGATTTTGATGTTTTTTAGATTTAAAAGATGGAAAACATTGAGATACCAAGGGGTTCAATATTTAGTCTTATGTTTAGCTTTTTCCTCCATATGTGGTAAATACCAGTCTAGAATATAGGAATGTAAGGAAAACAAGTGTCTACCTCCAACGTAGACTCAGAGTTGGACTAAGAATACGAAGATTGAAATGACATACAGTAGACATATGGGAACTTGCAGAAAACAAAAAACAAAAAATAAAAGCCACTCATGGCACTTTTGATAAAAGTGCCTCAGAATGCCATAATCAAATGGAAACATTTGATAAAATGTGTAAACCAATAGAAATGATAGCAACTAAATTATTTCAGAACATTTACATTGAAAAAGAGTACCTCACGTTGCCAATTTGAGCTTCACCCATGCCTGATTTATATAAGGTAGATGATGAGATATAGGATTTTTGAGCTGATGAGATTTTGGACTTTGAGTAGACACTATTATGGGTTGAGAATATTGAGGACCTTGAGATGAATATATTTTGCATGTGAAACAGATGTGAATCTTTAGGGACCAGAGAGAAGACTGTGATAGGCAGAATAATGACCTCCAGAGATGTTCATGCTCTAATCTGTAGCACCTATAAATATGTTTCTTTACATGGCAAGAGGGACTTTGCAGATGTGATTGAAGTAATGGACCTTTAGACAGGGAAGTGACCCTAGATTATTGGGTGAGCCCAACCTAGTCACATGATTCGCTAAAGGCGAAGAACCTTCCCAGGCTGAGGTCAGAGGCTGAAGTCGGGGGAGATGTGACAAAGGAAGAATGGTCGCAGAAATATAAGGTTACTGGCTTTGAGGATAGGGGAAAGGGATAATTAGCCATGAAATGTTAAGTGGCTTCTAGAAGGTGAAGGAGGCAGGAAAATGGAACCTGTTTCAGAGCCTCCAGAGAGACCTTCATGACCTGTGTCATACTTCTAATCTACAGAACTCTATGATAGTAAATTTGATTGTTGTAGGCCACTAAGTTTGTGATAACTTGGATTCTTATACATAAAAATTGAATGTGGCTCCCAGATGCTTTGATTTCATATGTATACTGAAATTAAACAAGAAGATATTGCTGAGTATCAACATATTCTATACAGAGTGAAGTTTCTGAGCCTATGCACACATATTCCCCCTTGCTCTGAGGTTCAAAATAGCATTTGGAAACTCAGGAATGGAGCCCCAATCAGATGGGAACACCAAATGGATGGAGCTGACCAACATCCTGAAGAGTCATAGCTGGTTAATTTCCAAATTTAAAGGATCACATTGAGTGATCACTTGGGTTAGGCATGGCCTGAATGGAGTTGAGTTCTGCACCCCTTTCGACCAAGAAAGGGGTGCATTGAGAGCGGTACACAAAACAGAGGAGCTCATAACAGTAAGTTGAACCATCTAGATTTATAAGTGAATGCCTCCTCACCAAGAGACAAGATAGGAAAATGGAGAGAAAAGGAAATAGAGCCAGAGGTTGAGAACTAAAAAGAACCAATGCATCAAGCGTAGAGTGGCCAGGCCAGGTGATGTCCTTATAGACAAATCAGTTTGTGATTCTCAGGCATCTTTGCTTTATATGAGTCCTGGATGACACAGTTATTCTGAGGGCAAGACCTACAGGAAGCAAAGCTGGTGACACAGGAGGAAAGAGCCAGTCTCCTTGGGCAAAAGGGACTCAGCAACCAAGACAGGCTGAGCTGAATGGTGCTCCTGGGTAATACAGGCCCAGCCCGTCCTTTTTCTCTGCACCGCCCACCACTGTGCACACACATACTGAAGACAGGTGGGCTATAGACCAGTTCTGCTTCCTTCCGTATAGTCAGGAATTTATAAAGTGCAAGGCTCACATTCCTAAAATGACTTAAATTAGGTTCTTATATTTTATTGTCTAGGTTTGAGGGCCCATAAAGGCAAATAATAAAAATGGCTTACTTTATACAATATCAGGCACTCTACCGACTATTTTATTTGATCTGTCGCCTTTAATAGCTTACCAACATGCAATGAATTAAGTTCTGTTATTTTAAGTCCCCTATTTTATTGATGAGGAAATTGAGGCTCACATAGGTTTAACAACTTTCCCAAAGCATGTATCTACTAAGTGGCAGAGCTGGTACCTGAACTCATATGTGCTCACTCCAAATGCCAGATCTTTTCAGTTTCTGGCCTTGCTCAGACTATTCCAGTCAAGAATAGCTCAGTCTTAGGAATCCAGTAATATCAGGCCTAGGACACAAACATCTCCCAATTGTTTCACATTGAATTGTTTATGATTTATGAGATTCTCATTGGTCTCCAAGAGAGACTGCATTTTATGATGCCTGCTAACTATAATAGTTTTATAATCCAATAGTCAGACTTCTTGGATTCAAATCTTGGCTTCTCTGCTTCCTGGTTGCACTACAATCTAAGTTACAGAAAACAGGCATTTTTGTGTGTTTGTCTGACATATTCTAGTTGCTCAGTAAATATTTGGAGAATAAAATACTGCTTCAGATTGTCATTGTAAGTATTAAGCAGAATAATTCATGAAAATGCTTTAGAACATTGCCTGACACGTAATAAATACTCAAAGTTAGCTCTCATTATACATGAAACTGAAGCCCAGGACCTGTGATTGAATAGACCTGTGGTCTCATGAGATACTAACAATTAGGAGGTTTGGTTATTTTATGATTAGAATTCTCACTTCTCTTCTCATTCTCACCTACGACTGTTTCGTTTCAGTGTCAGCAGTCAAGAAGGATTGCACAACATTTGTAAAAATATAAACTGCTATGAATGCTTAAGAATAGCCTTTCCTCTCTAGTACAGTATAATTATGTACAAAATACCTACCTCAATGAATTACTGACAGTAATTGTAGAATCACCACTTCTAAAGTTCTTTAGAAATGATTTCTCATCCCAGAGAGCGGCAGTATGTGTTTCATTTTTAGTGTAAACTAAATGCTCACCAATCGCTAAAAGCTTTTCTCTCATTCATGTGTTTGAGTTGACCCCAAGCATATTTTTGGTGCAAGGTCTACAGTCTTGGGAGCTGAGGACCTGATTGACCTTCATACCAGGGCTTAGACGTTGAACACGGTTGTTAATATGAAGCCCTAGCTTGAGGTTGCATCTGTTTGAGAAATACTTCCTCAGGGGAAAAGAATGATTAAGACAAGGTGTCAATTTCCAGCATGTTTATGCCAGCCTTGTAATAAGCTGACAGTGTTAATTATCTCAGTTCAGGAAGCTGAAGCCACAGTCATTTCTTCAGTCAGAAGAGATGGTAAAGTGAAATGATTTTTCTTTCCTTTTCCATAGAGCTGCATCCATACTGTTAAACAGGGATGGGCAATGTGCTCACTCCTACGTATCTATAGATATTACCTGACTGCTTTCTCATTTGACTTAACATGAATCCAGTTCAACAAATTGTTGACCAGGCAGAGCTTACCCATGGAAACTTGAAGAGGAATAGAAATGCCTTTCTCAGATTTTAAATGGCCTGAAAGAGGGAGAGAAGTCATTGAATCATACTCTTTAGGCAGTCAAAGTTCCCACACCTAGCTTTGGGGTATTGTTTTGGATGGGGCACATATGCAAACCATTGAGCATTATGCTGGACACCTATGTCCCTTCCACGTATGTTTGTCCATATGGCTTGAAAAACTTTCCCAAGACACACAAAAGCAGCTGGTGGAGTGGCTTTTCACCTTAAGTTATTCATGCATTTGATTTAAGTCATGAATTGGAGATATTAATAGGGAGCAGGATGAGAACCAAAGCTGTGAGCCTTCCAGGAAGGTGGGTGGCATATTAGCAATGTAATTATTATTAGTGATGCAACTTCTAGGTATCTGCATGTCTCAGTTTGGTGCCATATGGCAGCAGTTACTGATTTCCTCCCATCCTTTGACCGCAGTTCAATTTGAGACGAATAGATGCTGAATGGATTTGGGTAATTAACTAAACCAACAGAATACAACACACACATGCACACACACACACACACACACACACACACACACACACACACACACACACAGCCAAGCTTGCTGTGCCTTAAGAAGTTAAGTGGAAATTTTCCATGGGAAGTTATGGAACTGGAATACATAATCTTTTGTGGAATAGGGTGAAGGCCACCTACTTAGCAAGAGGAAAATGAGTGGGCAAGAAAGCAAAGATTAACAATGGCCTCTCTGTTGCTCCAACTCTTCGTTCCCTAATCAGGCACCCTTGGCATTCTGAGCAGTGCCACTTGTGTGAGAGGTGGAAAGGGGAGGCAGGATGGTCTTATAGGGTTTGTATGTCATTCCATTTGTGACAGCTTGGGCTCATCCCAGTCGTTTTGGACCTTACCCAAGGCAGTATTCCTGGAGGCATTTTGGAAATCTCCTCAACTCTGCCATCATATCTCGTGGGCTATCTAGAATCTTCCCATGTCAGCAGTTATTTATTCATTAGCCATGACTATAATGATGTTCAGAAGGGCTTTATTCAAGCCACTTTGCAAGCATTAATTTGACAAGCTCTCTAGCTTTCTGGGTAGTAGATTAAACCTTTCCACAAAGTGTTTGCTGGAAGGTAATGTATATAGACATTTAGAAAACAAAACAAATGGAAAAAAACTATCAATTTTTGATGGCTATAAAGGACTGAATCCTTGGCATCAGTTACCATGTGCCATCTGGCAGCCTGGAAATTGGTCTTATAGAGATAGTGGATATTGACGTGGTTGTGGAAATTGCACCTAGAGAACCCATTGCCCCGTGTAAGATTTCCTCTGTGAATTTCATTAAGTTCTCAGTGGTCAGACACATTCAGCCCAACATCCTGCAGCAACCAGAGGGTGAAAAATGGACACAGCAAGAGATCCTGCTGTTGTTAACCAATAAAGCAAAATAGAACTCCTTTCTTGGCATCTGAACGCTGAACATCATGTTAAGCATTCTTGGAAGAGATGGGCTCCAAGATTTTAAGCAACACCAAGGCTCTATATACAGTGTATGAATCTGAGATGATGGAATGGCAGGAAGAGTGTGGCATTCATAATAGAGATTTCATTGAACACCAAGCTTTTTTTTTTTAGGGAGATCGGGCTCCTTCTTCCTCTTCTTTGTTTTTTAAGTTAAAAACATTCAGTCTAATAAAACTGATTTTCAAAAGCACATGTTCTGAGGGGAGAGTGTATATATTTTGAGAACCGAGGAGTAGCAGACAATATGTGAGAGAATAGGAAAAGAGTGTTTCAAGAGGCCATTCAGTGACTTCTGAATGATCATTCACGATTATACTTAAATATGTCTTGCCTTTGCTCCCTAACAGCAAGGCCTGGAATGTGCTGTTGAAGGAAACCAGTGTTTGTTATTTAGAGCGCAGCCTGAACCCTGCAAAAGTTTTTCATGCAAACATAGATGTCCCCCAGCTGCGCACTCTCTCCTTTTCACCTGTCAGCATATGATTTAGCACAATCCCCTGAAGGTTCTCAAAACAGGGAAATAATCTTAAATTCTTGCACAGAGTTCATGAGTCATTGTTTTGATTGTTCTTGTAAAGGTACTTACTTTTTTTTCCTGCTGTCAATGTGAAATCTCACATTCAAATCCTTTTGGAGGGAGGGATGGGAAAGTAAGAATAAAAAGAAGCAAGCCTCTTTTCACCAATTTGCTCCTTTCTATAGGATTAATAATAACCTGAATCGTTTACCTACCACTGAAACTTAGGAAATAACACATCCAGGGGAAATGATAGCCAAAGCGTTCTAAGGCAGATTTCTCTCATTTGCAATTATACTTGTACTTTCTCTTACTTACAATATTTTTCCATCCAAACCAGACCCAGAGTGAAAATACCAGATGATCAGGAATATCTTCCAGCTCTAAGTACAGCACTCTTGTTCCTATATTATATGGTCATGTGTTCATTATTATATTGTGGACCCATAAAAGTTTCTAAAGCTGTCATCTTGAGTTTATCTTTCTTTGAGGGAACCAAAAGTGAGACAGAGAGCCCCAGTGTGGGCAGCATGGGATGAGTGTAGAGTTAAAGCCATCACAGTGTTCTCAGACACAGATATAAATTCTCCAATAGAAGGCAGATGGAGTTTTTGGAGAAGTGATTAGATTCAAGGTTGGGGCATGGGATGAAGATTGGTATGGAACATCTTGTGGTGTCTGAAAGTAAGGAAGTGCTGAAAAATGAAAGGGTGGAGGCATGTCTACCAACCTCAAATAAAAACAGTTCCCCATGGCAGGAGTTATACAGTTTAAGCAAAATAAATAACAGCGTAAAGCCAAAAATATTACTGAATATAACTCAAGGGATAAAATGGATATCCCTGAGGCCATACCGAAACAAATAACTGAATAAAGGCAGTAGAAACAGCAAGTCATCCTTAGAACACAATTCCAATTAACAAATTATAGAATGCATGAGTGGAATAGAACATTAGAATACCAGAGGAATAATCACTAAAAGCAGCCATCAATAGATTTAGTGGGTAGAAATTTAAGCAGAAACAGGATATTTGCATAATCCCATAGTTCTCCCCTTAAATAAATATTTATTCATTACAAAGAGAAAAGTGGTAACTTTATGGTGAAAAAAATCCGGCAGACACTATGTTAAGCAATACTAAAGGTTAGCATAGCTAGGAATGAGACATACTGACATGATTATATGATGCACTGAGAAGGGCACGTCACTTCTCTGGCATTCTTTCCAATAATGCTTATCCTCATTATGGGTTAACATCAGACATACCTGAAATCAAAGACACTCTGCAAAATGGCTGGCCAGTACTCTTTAAAAGTGTTAAGGTCACGAAAGACAAGGAAAGACTGAGGAACTGTCACAGATTACAGAAAGCCAAGGAAACATGACAAGTAAATACAGTGTGGGGTGTTGAATCATATACTGGAAAGAGAAAAAAACAGCATTATTGGAAAAAACTGGTGAAATCCAGTTGAATCAGTTGTTTAGTTAATAGTATTGCACCAATATTAATTTCTTAGTCTTGATAATTGCATTTTGGTTAAGTGAAGGAATACATAATTCTCTGTTCTGTGCTATTTTCATAACTTTTATATGTCTAAAATTATCTCAAAATAAAAAGGTATTGCATATGCAATATTTAGGGTTTTTTAAAATACATTTTAACCCTGTAAAAAAATAACTGTAAGGTGTTGTGTTAGGCTATTATTGTATTGATATAAATAGCTGAGACTGGGTAATTTATAAAGAGGTTTAATTGGCTGATGATTCTATAGGCTATACAAGAATCGTAGCAGCACCTGCTTCTGGGGAGACCTCAGGAAGCTTCCAATCATCGCAGAAGGCAGAAGGCAAGCAGGCATATCGCATAGCAGGAGCAGGAGCAAGAGAGACAGCGAAATGCCGCACACTTGTAAACAGTCAGCTTTCATGAGAAGTCACTTACTATCGCGAGGCCAGCACCAAGGAGATGGTGCTAAACCATTCATGAGAAATCTGCCCCATGATCCAAACACCTCCCACCAGGCTCCACCTCTAACACTGGGGATTACAATTCAACATGAGATTTGGGTGAGGACACAGATCCAAACTATATTAGGCATCCAGGACAATGACAAGATAGTGCTTACCATGATACTTGGCATTTGTTCATTCAACAGCAGCTCAGCAATCACTAGGTCAGGTCACCATTAGCCTTAGGGATTTGTGGCTAACAAGTCAGGCAGATCCTGATAAAGCAGTAAGTGCCAGGATAAGAGAAGTGCATGGATCTATGAGAACGTATAGAAGCAACACTGAATTCAGGCTTGCAGGCATCAGAGGTCACAGAGCTGAAGATGAGTAGGAATGGGCCAAGTTGGAATTGACTGAGGAGAGAGGGGATAAATGATAGGGATGTCTTTAGAGTGGAAGAAATAGCATAGCAGAAGTGGAGACAAGGGAAAACAAGGAACCTTTGTAAAATGAAGAAACAGTTAACTTGGCTGGATCATGGAGTTCAAGGGGAGGCTGGAGAGAGATGAAGCTGGAAAGTTAAGTAGAGTGCACATTGTGTTAAGAAGTTTGGGATTTAACCTAAATACGATGGCAGCTAGTAAAGAGCTTGAATCAAGAGTGATGTTATTAAATTTACAATTTGAAAAAAAATTCTCTGGCTTCCCTATGAGGAATAGATTATACTGGGAGGATGAGGCCCTGACACTATAGTGAGTGGCTTGGAGAGAAAGTGGACAGATTTCAGAGGTCTCAGAAAGGCATAATTAACAAAAGCTAATGCTTGATTGCATAGAGATGATAAGGGAGAGAAAGGATTTACTGTTTAGAATGTTCAATTCTACATCTAGAATTAGTAAATCATTTTAGTCTACACAGAAGTCCATGCTACCATGTATGGCAGCAGCCTGTGACTGAAATATGATTGTCTGAAGATCTATGATCCTTGTGTGGGTGTGACAGGCACCCCTAATGAGTCCTGTCCTCTCTCCTTGAGTGTGGGTAGAATCCGTAACTGTCTTCTAACCTATAGGAAATGGCAAGGGTGATAGGATGCCACTTACATAATTAAAAGTTACATTCCATAAGACTGTTAGCTGAGAGTGGCCCCAGCTGACAGCCAGCAAAACAGTGAAACCTTAATCTCACAACTTTGAGGAATTGAAGTCTACTGACAACCTGGGGAGGCTTGGAAGTAAATCTTTTCCAAGTCAAGCCTCTGAAGAGGCTGCAATCCCAACTGGGACCTTGAATGTCGCCTGGCAAGATGCTGAGCAAAGGACTTCTGACCACAGAAACTATGGGATGATAAAGGGTTCTGTTCAGACCCACTAAGCTCATGGCAATTTGTTATGCAGCAACAGAAAATGAATATACTTACTCCAGATACTGTGTTCTTCCTTCTTTTGTATTTCCCATCTTTGGCTCCGTCCATTATCAGGGTCTTAAACTGGGCTTTCTTCTTGTTTTTGCCTATCATTTATGTTTTCAGCTACTTAACCTGTATATTCTAAATGTTGAAAACTCTCTTTGGCTCTATCAGAACTGGGTTGACCTACAAATCAAGGAGCATCTTTGCCATCTTTGGGTCAACCTAGAACTATGTTGTGTACATAACCCATTACCAATGACATTTGCTTTGGGGTGTCTGAGCACCCCAAGACATTCCCACTATTTACCAAACTTGTCCGACCTGCGGCCTGTGCACAGCATATAGCCCAGGACAGCTTTGAATGCAGCCCAAAACAAATTCTTAAACTTTCTTAAAATGTTATGAGATTCTTTTGTGATTTTTTTAAAGTTTATCAGCTATCATTAATGTTAGTGTATTCTGTGTGTGGCCCAAGACAATTCTTCTTCCAATGTGGTGCAGGGAAGCCAAAAGATTGGACACCCCTGGAACCCTGAGGACCTGTTGTAGGCCCAAACTGGCTTCCCATGCTTTCTTATGTCCCTTACCACAGAAGCAACAGGCCTAAGCTGCTTTAAGCCTTTAAGCTATCCTCATCTACTTTAATTCTTACAGAATTGAACTCCCACACCTGTAATCTTATTTTTAAACTGGACTTCATATACTGTACCCTTCTCTCTTATCTTACTGTTACTGAGAAGTGTAACATTGTAAACTACTACCTAGAAATGGATAGAGAATTATGAAAATAGCATATTTGGGAATGTGTAGAGTTTAAGAAATCATGCAGGTTTCTTAACGTCAAGCTCCCTGGTTTGTAACCTTGCTGACATAAGTGATAACCAGGAGGCTGTGGCCTTCTGCCTTTTCCATGAATTTTTGAGAACAGATTCAGTGAGCCCTCCATTTCTTAGTCCTCATGTTTGGTTAAGGTAATGCAAAGTCCTTTCTCAGAAGACACTTCTTTCTAATCCTCTAGCTGTAGAACCATCTATTCAACAAATGTTTATTTACCACCTACTATATGTAAGTCACTGTTTAAGGCTATGGGAATATAGCAATGAACAAAAGAGCTTTAAAAACAAAATTTGCATTCTAAAGGGAAAGAGACATAATAAGAAAATTAATACTTCAATACACAGTGTGTCAGTAATAGCTATAATGGGGAAAACTGATGAGACTAAAAATAATATTAAGAGTTGCAATTTTTAACAGAATAACCAGAATATTTCAGCGAGAAGATTGCATTTAAGCAAAGATCTGAAAAGAGTGAGAGAGTGAATCATGTGGATATATGGACAAATGTATTTTAGGAAAAGGAAACAGCAAGTGAAAGGGCCTATTTCTGCAAAAAGAAGGCCAGTTTAGGTGGAGTAGAGTGGAATGGAAGAGAAGAAAGAGGTCAGAGAGATTCTTGGGGAGGTGAAACTATGTAGCTTCTTGCAGGTCACTATAAAGACTTTGACTATTACTGGAATAAGATGAAAAACCATTGGAATATTTTAAGCAAAGAAATGACATGTGACACATTTAACAGTCTATAATTTCTATGCTAAGAAAACAATATGATGTGTGTTTACAGGAGAGAGGTTGAAAACAAGGGTAGGAACCTAGAAACCAGTTAGGAGGCTACTGCAATAATCCAAGTAAGGCAGGGCAAACATAGAACATTACCATCACTACACAACATCGTAGTGGACTTATGGGGAGAAGAGACAATATGGGACACCTTGTGTTTTTTGGTGACTGATCAAGAAATCAAGAAATCTGATAAAAAGAACAAGTGATCTCTCATCATACTCTGAGAGTGCGTGGGCGTCTGAGGCATTCCCATAACTACTGCCCATAGAGAACAGAAAGCCATGGAAAGGACAGTTGATTTCATCCTTTCTCCAAGTAGCATATTTACTTATCTCTAAGGACTATAATTTCAGCTGAAAAACCCTTTTAAGGAAGAGCAAATAATCTCATACTATTGAGCACCTATTACATGCTAAATACAATTTTAATATGTTTTTGGTATAAGCACACATCATGTCCACCTGTTATGTGCTAGATACACTTAATTTTTTTAAAAAAGTTCATCTTTACATTAAATATGAAAAATATATTACATCTTTATTTCTGGAGTTCAGGGAAGATGAATGCCATGCCCAGGGCAGGAGTCAGAGTTGGAGCATGAAATAATCCACAAGATCATCACTTTTTGTTGATGTACTTGATGCTGCCTCCTCTTTGGGGATTTCTTCATGCATGACGATCCAAAGAGAATGTTAATAGATTAGAAAGCTTTGTGTGTTTGTGTAACTTTCTGAATATATCTGTAGAGACACTGTGACCTTCTCCAAGTAACAGTGGTTACCCAAGCTTGGGTCTCTGGACAGAGCGTTCTGTCTTGTCCTTTGTCAAAAACCTATTCTATTAGAGCATGCAAGATAAATATCTCTTCACCAAGGAGGCATTAAAGGCAACCATGTGAGAAAGAAACAAAACACTGCTGGAAATACATGAACATTGGACTGGTGAACAAGGAACAGGAGTTAAGGCCTTGGCTTTCTCACTAATTAGCCACGTGGCCTTGCAAACCTAGTAATTCATCTCTCTGGATATCTATTTCTCATCCTTAAGATACAAGTATTTCCTGTTGAAGGACCCATTCTAGCTCTGGAACTCTATAACCCAGTTTGGTGTTCTCTATAATTTACTCCACTGGGAAAAAATTCTCCATGTCCTCCTATGTTCAGTATTTATTTCCTGATAATAAAAGGGAGAACAATATGTAGTCTCATAAAATTATAATAAAGTCTGTAATTCATCTAGTATAACTCAAGAAAAAGTTCTCAGCCAGGCACGGTGGTTCACACCTGTAATCCCAGCACTTTGGGAGGCCGAGGCGGGTGGATCACTTGAGGTCAGGAGTTCAAGACCAGCCTGGCCAACATGGCAAAACCCTGTCTCTACTTAAAGTACAAAAAATAGCTGGGTGTGGTGGCGGGTGCCTGTAATTCCAGCTACTCGGGAGGCCGAGGCAGGAGAATTGCTTGAATAAGGCAGGAAAATGTTGCAGTGAGCCAAGATTGCGCCGTTGCCCTACAGCCTGGGTGACAACAGCAAAACTCCATCTCAAAAAAAAAAAAGGTTCTCAGAGCATTTATTTTTGCTATTAAGAATAGCTAAATGACTAAGAAAATGTAGTAAATATGTTTGGCCTTAATTCATGTTTGTAGCTGACATTGTCAAACTTAAGACCCATCAGTGTTATGGCTGGTCACCAAATAAAGTGTGAACAAGTAAGCAATTGTGCTAAGACCCCAGACTTAAGGAGTTTGCTGGCTTCTAGTCAAATCACATTTAGTTTGTATTAATATAGTTAGACTTTGGATGTGCTAAGTACTGCATTTACTCTTGGGCACATTTTAAGCTTTGCTTTCCAACAAGAGTAGTGTGTTTTACTAGTATTCAGCATTGTGCCTTACTCCTACTTGTTGCCTTGAGAGCTGGTTCTACCCCTCTGCTCTTGAAAGGTCAATTTTCAGAGTCTATTTCCTCCCACCATCTCCTCAAAGATTATCTTGGTCGTAACTTCCAGTTTAGCCTGAAATAGTGGAAAAGTTTTATCCATCGTTAAGATAGTTGAATAGTGAGTGTGATGAACTAGATAGTCTAATTATCTCTGTAGGAATCTTAATTGAAATCAAATTATCCCCATGTTAATTTTTTTCTAATAAGAAGAAAAAGAGGAAAACAAGCCAAGCACCCAAGTTCTCCTCCATTTTCTGCTTAATAGTGAAGTTAACAAGAAGCTTTTCCTGAGTATTATTCATTGACTGGGATCATATTGGCTGTCCCCAGGGCCATCGACTCTTCCCAGCTGCTCCATTAATCTCTGGGAAATCCCCAGTGCTGCAACTGTCACTGTATAATTAAATGCTTTGTTATTTTCTGCATGGTCCTGTACTTTGGCAGCTTATTTTCATTAAATAGCAAGGCCTGTTCTTTGTCATTTATCCCATATGGCTGTGAAGAAGTGGCCTCCAAATCTTTCTTTGTTTGATTCCTTCTTCTAAATTAATGTTTTCTCCTCCTCCTTTTTCACTTCCTCCTTCTCTTCTTCCACCTTCTCTTCTTCCTCCTCCTCTTCTCTTCCTCTCCTCCTTGCTCTTCTTCTTTTCTTCCTGGTCTCTTTGACTCAAAGCCAGACTATCTAAATAATATATCAGATTGATATAAACTATTTTTTATCTTCCTTTTAACCTCTTCTGAGTAGAGAAAATTTAAAACATTAGAATTAAATGTACATTTTTAATTTTTTAAATTTTTCCTGCAAAGGTTAATCTTTGACTGGAGCACATGGCCCAGCAAACATCCAGACAAAATGAATTGCTATAAATGCTGAACAGGAAAAAAATAAATAATTTCACTTCCTGATGTCATCATGCTACTGATTTATATATAATATAAAATATAATGTATTTTTAAATATAATTTGTATAGCTATTTGGGTATCCTCTGAAATAATGTATATAAGAGAAAGCTTATCTATTCCTCTAAGATTTGGTAAAACATGACTAAAACATTTTTCTAAGTCTTGTTTGTTCAACTTTTTAATGGTCATTGGTCATTGAAAAACAGTTTTCCAGGCTTTCTCAGTTCAATTTTTGATGTTATATTTTTCTAAAATATTGTCCATTTTTATATCTTAATATATGTTGGCATAATTTGCTTCATAGTATTCTCAAATATTTTTATAAATATCTACTCTATCTGTAGTCATTCCTCAAATTTTTAATTTTTTTCTTCTGTTCTTTTTTCTAATCAGTCTTATTAGTGTTTTATCAAATTTATGTTTTGTATTTTTTTTTCTTTTCAACTTTTGTTTTTGTTTAGGGGATACACGTGCAGGTTTGTTATATGGGTAAATTGCATGTCACTGAGGTTTGGTGTACAAATGGTCTCGTCACCCAGGTAGTGAGCATAGTTTTTGACCCTCACCCTCACCCTCCTCTTACCTTTCCCCCTCTAGTAGACCCTGGTGTCTAGGGCCATAACCTGATAATATGGGAAGGAGTTTAAAATAATTATTTTCCCCCAGAGAGCCCAACTTCAGAATTTTCCCTTAAAATACCGTACTGTTGCTAAAAAATGACGCAATTACTTTCATACAGGTTGGAGTGTTTCTTGACACTAACTGAGGTGTCTTCACCTAGCGGGAGGTAGGGGCATTCCAGGAGATCCAGGGGAGTGAGGGATTCTAAGAGCAGGTAGCCACTCTGCTCTGAATCACATTGCAAGCTCCCTAAAGAGCTTCTCTGTGAGTTTCTGAGTCCCCTGTCCATTGATTCTCAGTTTTGGGGTGTACATTACAATTATGTGAGAGCTTTAAAAATCTTGATGTCTAGGCCACGGTTAAGAATATTGTGAAAGAGGATTGATATGAGATTGATATCACAGGAGCAAAGGAACTAAATATTTCATGTTCTATATTCTAGTTGTTGAAACATGGCAGAATTTGGGTCCGATTTATGTGTATTCTGACAATTGTGGCAATTAATCTAAGATTAAATATTTCAGGGGAATGAGCATTATTTAATATAAACATAGCCATCAGAAAAAATAATTGGGGGTCTGCACCTGTCCCTGAGATCTTGCCTGCATAGGAATGAAGTGAATACTGGGGGAATCATATTGAGGCTATTTATGCAGTGCTTAGTCTGCGTTTGACAAATTACTGGAGCTGCTTTTTTGTCACTTTCCATTGGAATGTTTTATTAGGTTAAGGGAAAATAAAATTACAGGAAAATAGAATGTCCTTCTCTATGCCTGCCCCCATTCTTTCTTGTGGTGTTTCAAGTTATGCAATCTATGAGAGACCTCCTAAGTGCCTCAGTTCAGATTCTGAAAGGACTCCTGAAGGCTGACCTTCTTAAAATGTTAGAAATACAGGGAAAATCACATAATTTCCCACAAGCTGACTTGGCAATATTCATGTTTCACAACTCGTCTCTGACTGATTTTATGACACACCTTCTGTCATTATGATTTGCTGTCATCGGACGCTATTAAATTCATCACTTCAAACACACTGTGTTCCCAGGTTTACAGCCTGTAATAATGATCCGGATCTCAGTGCATTCCTGATAAATAAGACCCATCCTGATCATGTAGTGTAAGTGGGGGGAAAAGTTTACTGGATTTAGAAATTTCAGACATTCTGGTTTATCACATATTCTCTAGAAAATTTTTCACTCATCATATTTCTTTTTTTTTCTTTCTGTAAGAAGCAAGCCAGTTTAGAAAAGCAGAATACATCCACTTGAGCATAAAAAAGTCCTTCTTCCCTGCAAGACTGCTCTCATATACAAAGGAATATTTTTCCCTCTTGTTTAAACTAGGTTCGTTTGGAATTACTACCTGTCACTACTGTATTAATATATTATTCACATTATGAGAAATATAAAATGTAGACATTTTGGAAGAATGAGATTAACATAATAGAAATAGAAGTTTGAATATTTTCTTCTTCTATATCTTTGGAGACTAGTGGTGTAGACGAGGATATGGACATAAAGACATTAAGTGATTGATTTCTTCCCTTATCTGATTTGCGTTCACCATCACATTCTGACTCATGAGTGTCACTGGGTTTGATGTGTCCTGGAGAGTGACAGGGATGTAGAATGCATTTCCATAAATTCGCATCACACGTTTTACTTTTAGAAAGATTATCTGGCTTCCTGCAAAACTTTGATAGGCAAACAGAGATATTAAGTGTTTGTTTATAGGCTCCTCATTCTACTCTTTATGGAAGATGAAGAGATACATAGTTCTGATGAGACTGGGGACTACTCCCAGCTGGGTTCGTGACAGGTTAACCCTGAAACAAGTAAGTTTAGGGTAAATCTGGATGACCCTTTGCTTTCCACACTATTCATGGGTCTGTGTAAAAGCTGTGCTTTTTCTGGATTTGGGACAAACTACAATAAAATTATTTTTCTAAAATAATATATGGGGATCATTTATTTAAAGAAAATATCCTAATAGCTTTCTAATATCTCAGAATGACAGATAGTAAAATAACATGTTGTAAGCATAAAACTTTACATAACTTGAGGGAAAATATTCGTCCTGGGTTAAAAATTGTATACCTGAACTAGAAACTTCGATTGAATACTGTATTTCATGTCTCCATTGATTTTCTTTCACTAAAAATTGAGATAAATGCCTTTTTTATCTAAAAAAGAGATACTTTATTAATATATATTTCAGGAAGATTACAAAGTTTTGAATTTATATACAAAATTATTTTAATTTTGCATTTACTTTTTAAAATTGAAACTAAATTGATTACTCAATTTCAATATTCTGGAGCTTTCTTGATTACAGATTATTATATGTTTGCCCACGTATCTCAGAGATTTGTGTTGAAATTTAAATGATATCATGCATGGGAAGATATATTCTAAACCATTAAAGACAATATAATAATGAGTTATTATTACATTTCAAAGATTTATCATTAATTTAGATCTTACATCCCCATATTTTCTACTCCAACTTTTTATAATATTTGCATAGAAATCTCCCATTAATACTTTCTTTTCTGTTTTTGTTTTTGTTTTTCGGCCAGGGTCTCTCTCTGTTGCCCAGGCTGGAGTGCAGTGGTGCAATCATGGCTCACTGCAGCCTCAACCTCCTGGGCTTAAAGGATCCTCTCACTTTTAGCCTTTCAGGAGCTGGGACCAATCACAGGCACACACCACCATGCCCAGCTAATGTTTTAATTTTTTTTGTAGAAACAAGGTCTCCCTATTCTGCCCATGCTGGTTTCAAACTCCTGGCCTCAAGCGATCCACCTGCCTCAGCCTCCCCAAGTGCTGGGATTATAGTCTTAAGCCACCACACAAGGCTTAATACCTTCTTAGTTAGATAATGTCTGTTAAGTATTTTGAGATCATCAGGGAGTAAAAATTATTATTGTTAAGTCAGAATATAAAGATGAACAGTTTATATCACTTTACTTTGATGTCATTCTAGAATCAACATGAATATGTAGAAAGCATATGTTTTGCAATTTAACAATTGCTATTGCATCACAATTGGCTCATCTTTTTTAGAATTATAGAAATGTTTAATTGTTTTAGATGAGAAAAAATAAGATCTGTACTTTATAATGTGATATTATATCTTTGAGTCAATATTCGATTATTTTTAACCTTTGAAACTCTTCCTAGCTAACAGTTGCCCCTTGGTGCCATTATGGCTAAGACTTGGGAGGAGGTATTTGGTGAGGATGGAGAGTTCTTTTAGCAAGAATCCAGGAAACCTTTTAAAAGTTAATTATAGGGCCGGGCACGGTGGCTAACACCAGTAATCCCAACACTTTGGGAGGCTGAGACAGGCGGATCACCTAAGGCCGGGAGTTTGAGACCAGCCTGACCAACATGGAGAAATCCCGTCTCTACTAAAAACACAATATTAGCCAGGCATGGTGGCACATGCCTGTAATCCCAGCTACTGAAGAGGCTGAGGCAGGGGAATTGCTTGATCCTAAGAGACAGAGGCTGCAGTGAGCCAAGATCGCGCCATTGCACTCCAGCCTGGGCAACAACAGCGAAACTCCATCTCAAAAAAAAAAAAAAAAAAGTTAAAAGTTAATTAGTTTAGTGTTACTTTCTGCTTCTGAGATAGGATTGTCTGGTGAACAGTAATTTAATTCTTCAAAGTACAAGAGAGAGAAAATGACTGAATTTTCAAATGGCTCCTGCCAGTGGTCAGTGGTTGTAATGACATTCTCCCAGAGTTTGCTCTATGAATAGCGAAGCCCTGCAGCCACACCTTTGCAATGCCCTGCAGGTATTTTCCACTTGGTTCTATGTGTGACCTCACTTCTCACTTTCTTTTCTCCATTCTTTACTCTCTCCTCATCAATATAAACGTAACCACCCCAGCAGGCTTTAGTCGTTTGCCTTCTTCCTCTGTAAATGGAGAAAAGATTCACCCAGACATAATAGTATCTCACATTTATTGAACTCCTATGATGTCCAGGGATTATTCTAAACAATTTACATATAGTAATTAATTCTCATAACAATCCTATGAAATAACTAACATTATCCCCACTTACAGACGGAGAAATGGAGGAGAGGGAGGTTAAGCATGATATCCAAGGTTATGTAACTAGTAAGTGGCAGGGCCAGGATTTGAAACCTAGCAGCCCAGGCTGCCAACACCCTACACTGTCATCTTACAATATCTCATTTCTCACATTTTAAGTCTGCAAAGCCCAGCCATTAGCAATCTTGATGAATGGGGTATTTGTGAACACAAACAAAGAAAGAAATTTCATGCCAGTTTCTGAATTGATATGGAATTTCATAAAAGTGCTCTAGCTTAATATTTCACATATTGTTTGGATTATTAAGATTTTTCAAGATGAAGAAGACTAGCTTGCTGGCTGTTGGGTTTCTGGGTTAAATCCACATGACTCAGTCATTATCAGTCTCTCCAAGGGCCTCCACTATCCAGGGCTGGTTGAGGACTTTCTTTGGACTACTGCAATGTTATGTGCTGTGCTTACTAGAGTCTCAGCGGCAGAAGGTGAACCAAAAACAGAGTTTTAAAGCTATTGATGTCTGTGTTTGGTTTCTTAGTGGCTAAATGACATTTCCCCAGCGAGGGGAGGGGGTGGGAAACAATTGGAAAAATGAATGTCTGGATGCAATAGAATTGCTGCTATTAATCATTTGTACATGCTAGAAGAATTGAGTCTGAGAGCGTTTGAAGTATCTTTACAACTCATGGGGCTGCCTAACTAGAAGCCACCTGGCTGTGTGGTCTTACTCCCCAGTTTGGAGCAAGAGTATTGGAAAAATTCTGCTTCCTACTCACAAAGCTGGGAGATACAAACCCATGGAGTCAGAAGTGAGGCTTTTAGCCTGTGAGTGGGGCTGACAGATCCACTTCAGAGATCTCTTTATTGGTAGTGCATGGGACAAATGAGCATTCAGGATCACGTAGTTTCTAGCAGATAGAAGGGCTCTACCTCGTCCCTATTTACTTCAGCCAGTGCACTTCCATCTCAAAGTCTGTGCCTCCAGTTAGAGGGTGCTGTGGATGATATATTAGATTTGTCTCATGGGTGTGGGGTTTTGCTTTTGATCATTCTTGGCTACAGTCTCCAGAGCTACTGCTTGCTGGAAGCTTGGCTGTGGGGCCTGTACAGAGAGATAGGGCTTGTTTTCATGTCAGAGCCATTGCCAGTAGCTCAAGCCTTTCAACTCAGGACCCCAGCTCTCCCCACCTCTCCAAGATGAGAAGGAAACTGTCTACTGGTTTGTGGACAGTTCTGGGAGACTGAATGACCCAAGACAGGGACCCCCAGGCACATAGTGGATGTGGCTTGTCAGCTCACTTCAGCCTGGAAATAGGGCTACATTTTTATTTTTGATTTTATAATTCTGATCTTTGTTCACTACATATGTCAGCCCTTTGCAGTAAAATTCCAAGGCCTTGCTTATGGAGTCATATTCTTCTCTGTTTAAAAAGACACTATTATATTGTATTTCTTGGTTTTCCTTGTTTAAAAAAAGTTAAATTTCTAACTAGGAATGCTCTTGTTCCATCTTTTTTTCTTTCATTTTCCTCCATCAGGTTTCTCCCAAATAAGTTCATATGTGTGAATTTTATATCTCTTCTTCGTCTTTCTTCTGAAAACTTCTAAACTTGTTGTAATGCTTTTCATTACAACTTTGGCCTGGCCCCTGACCCAGATGATGTGGGACCCAGCTTGTGATGTCCTGTAACATGTGCTTCATGGAAAGTCCAGCTGTGATCTTTTGAAGCTCCCATTGTGCAGTGTGCAAGCTGTGATAATGAATGACTATAACTAGAGCTGCCCACACTATATCCCTCAGTGTCTCCTTTTTTTTTCTCTGTTGATTGGTAGTTTTCTCCATGAAAAACAGTGAATCACTCTGTTGTGGCTTTCAGGGATGGCAATTGGAATACAAAAACCCGTAGGCATTTTCTCACATCTCTTAATGTCTTTATATTTTTAGATGTTACATGGCAGTAAGCAAATGTTTCCTAACAATTTTTGGGGGAAAGATATAACCTAAACATGGAAGATAATACAATCAGGGGCATAAGCCAGATACTGTAGAAAGTTTTGGTGGAAATTCACAAAAATTATACATTTGATTGCAGCACTGTGGGGTGGGAGATTGCCTTCCAGCAGGTACAGATCTTTTATCCTGGGTTTGAACAGTGATTGATGGCAACAGCCTTAATGCACTTCTGCACTTCAATTTAGAAAGAGACAAGCAGTGCAGAGCCCTGGGTTTCAGACTTTCTCCAAACTGCATTGGCTTTTGATATCCTTTGGTTTTGAACTGCTTTTGAGATTGCAGAAAGTGACTCTGATAACATAAGGAAAGAAAAATGCATCTGTCTTCAGAAGGGATTGTATGAATTAAAAGACAATAGAGAGATTTAGTTTCATCCTCAGATAGCTGAGAAGTAGCCACTCTTATCAGCACCTCTGCTACACACATATACACACATTGCTACTACCCATTTCTCTTCCCTACCCCCAAAACATACATTCTCTCTTGCGCTTCTCCTTCCCTTCCCTTCTTTCTTTAATTTCTATATTTCTGATGCCTGAAATCTTTAACTGGGGCATGGGGAAACAACCTTGTTCTAGGCAGAACAGCTGGAGAAAGTAATAGGTTAGGATTTCAATACAAAGTATTGACAATTAAGAAACTTTTACTTTAAATGCTCACTTCCTACAACAGATAAAAGAGTTGATGTAATTTTTAACACAGTTGTAACTCCAGAAAATAAAATAATTTTATATTGACAGGGGTAATCTCTTCAGGAAAACATTTTTTCACATCTCTAACGAGATGGTCTTTTATTGAATCTCCACATACATTGAGGAACTTGGAGGTTGTTCCTGTACAATGAATGTCTTAGAGGTTCGTAGGAGTCAAACTCTCCTTTCAGTGCAGTCATTTAATTTATGATTTGGTCCTGCCAACAGGTTTTATTATCCGTATTTTACAGATGAGGAAATTGAGACTCAGTATATTTTAGTATATGTAAGTAACTCGCATAAGTTCTCACAGTTAGTAAAGAGATAAACCTGAAACTCAAATCTAGGCCACTCTGAACCCAAAGAATCTTCTCTCACCAAATAAAATAAGTCTACAAAATTAAGGAAGAAAACCAAATGGATATTGTCTTGGACTTCTCCCTAGATAGTGTACTGATTATTTCTGATACCTTTTGCATAGTGTAGATCAAGCTCATTTATTAGTGCCAAGGTTCCATATTCATATTTTTAACAGAGGCTCAAAGACATATATAATAATGAATATTGTAGAAAAACTCAATGCTGCCATTTTAAGTGGGGGTGAAGAGGTCGCATGTTTTATTTAGAAGGTTGAAATGAATAAGAAGAATATAGTTAGCCATTTTGTAGAGAGCTTAGAGCTACTCTTGAAGTTATTCCATTATAGAATCAAGTTGTTAATATACATTTAAAATGAGAGGATTGCAAAGTACGCCTCCATTATAGCACATGGCTTTCTACTTTCTTATTCCCCTTTAGCAATAAAACTCCAATCTGTTCCATCAGTCATCCAGGGAAGGGTTTCAATCTATTTGAGAAAGAAGCTAAAAAGTAGAGATCTAGGGATTATAAAATTTAAATATGTAAATATATGCATCCAGCTCCCCATTTCTGTGTGCTCTGTGCCTCTGGTTAACACCACAAATAGAAAAGTATAATATCCTTGTTATAAATGGCAACAATTATCTAATAAGTCATACAGCTAAAAAAAAAAAAAAAAAAAACAAACAGAGGGAGCCAGAGAGATATCAATTTTAGTTTTTCATGTTTTCTCTTGCTTCTTTGTTCCTCACATTCTTCTTAGACTCTGTCAAAACAATGTTTTGGTCTTTGCTCTAGATTTTTAGGTGGAGCCTAAATGTTTGTAAGATAGAAGTTTGATAACAAGTGTTCCTTTAAACTGACAGTTTAGTTGTCTTCAGTTTTAAAATATACTTTGATTATTTCTGCTGCTTTTCATGCTCAAATGTGGAGCCACTGAATTTATCAGAAAGAGATTTTGAGGTATTCTATTAAGCAATGGTATGAATTTCAGATGAACATCATAAATAAGAAGGCTAAATTATAGTGGGAGAATTGCTCTGTATGAATTGTAAATTTTTTTTTTCTTTGAGGCAGAGTCTCATTCTTTCACCCAGGCTGGCGTGCAATGGTGTGATCTTGGCTCACTGCAACCTCCACCTCCTGGGTTCGAGTGATTTTCCTGCCTCACCCTCCCATGTAGCTGGGATTACAGGCATGTACCACCACATCCGGTGAATTTTTGTATTTTTAGTAGAGACAGGGTTTTGCCATGTTGGCCAGGCTGGTCTCGAACTCTTGACCTCAGGTGATCTGACCTCCTCAGCCTCCCAGAGTGCTAGGATTACAGGTGTGAGCCACAGCGTCCAGCCATGAATTGTACAAGTTTTAAGAAACTAGAACTTATCATGCCAAAATATGGTCTTAAATTTATTTGAATGTTGACAAAGGATTATGCATACTGCATATCACTTAGATATAGATGAACTGAATGAGGACATCTTCAATAAAATCAATTATTTTCATGTCTTATGATAAGATTTTAATAAGATGCCAGAAAGGTTTAATGGCCAAATAAGTGTATTTTCCCTTTTTGTATTCTTGATATTTAAAATATTTAAAAAAGTGTATGTGTGTGGCTAGTTAATAGGAAAGAATGAGCTCTTTTACCAAATGATCAGATATCAGAAAGATATTTGAAAATAACGCATTTCACAATGGAAGAAGAAATCTTTTGTTAATCTACTTTAAATAAATTTTATAAAATAGTTTTAAAGAATAACAAAATAAAATAACAAGTAAATTTGTGTGCTTTGGTATTTTGCTAGCTTTTTTGGGTATTTTCAGATCTCACTGGACCCAAGTCCCCAAAGTCCAAAAGAGAAAAACCAACCTGTTCAGCATTTATCTTGCAATTTCTATTATCTCGTGTCTTGCTTCAAGTTGATTTGAATCTGGGTAGGTTTATATACTCAGTCAAGTGTGTTTGCTAATAAACAACAGCAATAAAAACATAATACCCTTAACAGGAGAAATGTGAAAGCCCTCGTATGTCCTGCAAAGATCTGATTACATAAAAAATAATATGTCTGGCTCTGGGTACCACATGTTAAAAAAAGCATAACTAAATTAAGGGGAATAAAAAGGAGAGTTACTTGGGAGATTCAGCCCTCTATATAACACGAGGAAATATGTGATATGAAGAAGGTGCTGAAAGAAACTAGGAAAATGTAGGCTTCTGTCACACTCTGTAAATTAATATTGAATTTTGAACTACAATATGCAATTGCCTAAATAAAACAGTTGAAAATAAAGATGAAGAATCATTTATAATGCACAAAAATCTTCAATTAAACTTTGTTTTCCTTTAAAAATAATACTAGTAGGAAACTTCTGGAATGGCAGTATGAGGACCTCTACCTCTATAATTTGCCCTGCCATAAAAGCCATGAAAACACTGGCACACTAAGCCATGAAAACACTAATAACGTTTTAGACTTCTAGAAATTAACAAAGTCTTGTAACAATCTGAAAACTGCTTATTCAGGAAAAACTGCTGAACCTCATTAAGAACTGCAGAGTTTGTGGTACTTTATCTCCTGTTATCACTCTTTCCCCATCTCTGCAGTAGCCTGGAAAATCAGCAGCCTCACAATCATAGTAGCTATGAAAAACAGCAGCCATGCAGCCACTGGCGGGGTAGATGGGGTTTGTAACTCCACAGAATGTTCTATCTGCAGAGCACTGTCACTGTTTGACCTATCTCACAGCCTCTGGAAAAGCCCACTCAAAAGGAGCAGTTGTTATTTGATCTGATTCACAACATATGTTAAAGGAAAAGCCCTATCCCCAGGGAATTTTTCAAAAACAATTAGTGGTAATTACTTAACATGAGAGATAAACAAGAGCCTGGCCAGAAACTTAAAACGTAGATAAGGGAAATGAGATGTCCCTGGGGCTTTTCAAGAGCTCTAAGATATTCCTGGGGATCTAGATGGCTGCACTTACATGCAAGGTTGTGTGTATGCCCAGTAAAGACCTGAGACGGCCCCAGTCTCTAGTCTTTGGCTGATCTTGAAGCCCTGTGCAAGCAGGAAATGAAGTCTAGGGTAGAGTTTGTAAACTGGCTGCCTGAACATGGAAAGCATGCCCCAACACACACACACACACACACACACACACACACACACACACACACACACACACACAGAGCCTGAGAGTAAAGGTTGAAAGATTTAATTTTTGGAGGCATTTAAGAAATCTCTGACCAAGCATTAGCTGATTAACAACGTAACTGAACAGAACCGTGGTTACACACTATGAAGAATATAGACTTTACAGGATTAGCTTAGGAAAGTTACAAAACAAAAAAAAAAACAACAAATACAACAAAATGATAGCAACCTTTCTCACACACACCCACACACCTTGGTTGGGAGGTGTTGATCTGATTTCCAGAGTTGCCACATTATATTATTTAAAATGTCCAATTTTCAACAAGAAATTATGAGACACATAAAAAAGCAAGAAAGAATTATCCATACACAGGAAAATAGGAGTCAATGGAAACTGGCCCTGAGGGATCCCAAATCTTAGAGTTATTAGACAAAGATTTTAAATCAGCTTTTATGAAGTGTTTAAAGAACTAATAGAAAACATGAAAATAAATCAAGGAAAGTATGACAACAATATCTCACCAAATAGAGAATATCAATAAAGAGATAAAATTATAAAAAACAAAATAGAAATTCTGGTATTGAAAAGTATTAAGCTAAAATGAAAAATGCACCAGAGAGGCCCAAGAGCAGATTTTAGCTGACAGAAGAAAAAAAATGGTGAACTTTAATGTAGATCAATTGATATTATCCATTGTGAGAAACAGAAAGGAAAAATAAACAGAGATTCAAAGATCTGTGGGACCATCAAGTATACAAATGTATATGTGTAATTGGAATGTGAGAATAGAGGAAAGAAAGAAGCAGAATGATTACTTGAAAAAATTATGGCCCAAAACTGCCTAAGTTTGATTTTAAATATATATATATACACACACACACACACACACACTCAACAAACTCCAAGTAGAATAAATTCAAGGAGATCCATACCTATACATTATTATAGTCAAATTTTCAACAGACAAAGGCAGAGAGAGAATCTTAAAAGCAACAAGGGAAAAATGATCTATCATGTGTAAAGAATCTTCATTAAGATTAATAATTAGCTTCTCATCAGAAACTACATAGGCCAGAAGGCAGTGGATAACATATCTATTTTTTTTCCTCAAATTACTTTTTACCGGGGCTGATGTATCTAAAGTGCTGAAAGAAAAAGACTGTAATAGAAGAATTTCACATCCAGCAAAACTACATGTCAAAAATGAAGGAAAAATTAAACACTACCAGACAAACAGAAACTGAGAGAATTTGTCTCTATCAAGACTGCCTTACAAAACGTATTAAAAGGAATCCTTCATACAGAATTGAAAGGATGAAAGGACAATAGGGAGTGCTTGACTCCACGGGAATAAATAAAGAGCATTAGTAAAGGTAACTGCATAAGTAAATATAAAAGGCAGAATAAAAGTATTTTTAAATAAAAGGTATCCATATTAGAAAGGAAAAAGTAAAACAACTATTTGCAGACAACATCATCATGTATATAGAAAATATTCAGGAATTCAATTAAAAATTATAAATGAGTTTATCAGGGTTTCAAGATGCAAGATATTTACAAAACTCTATTATATTTCTATATACTAACAATGCAAAATTAAAAATGAAATTAAGAAAACAATTTTATTAACAATAGAATAAAAAGAATAAAATACTTAAGTATAAATTTAACAAGTGTCATACTTGTACAATGAAAAGTATAAAATATTACTGAAAGAAATTTTAAAGGACTGAAATAAGGGAAAAGCCCATATTTATTTATGAATTGGAGGAATTAATATTGTTAAGATGACAAGATGGGAGTATTCTCCAAACTGATCTACAGATTCATTGCAATCCCTATAAAAATTTTTTTATCTGGAATTTTTGCTGAAATTCACAAGCCGATCTTAAAATTTATACGGAAATGCAATAGACCCAGAATAGGTAAACAATCTTGAAAAAGAGGAACAAACTTGGACACTCATATTTCCTGATTTCAAAACTCATTATAAAAGCTACATTAATCAAAACAGTGTGGTACTGGCACAAGGATAGGTATATAGATCAACAGAATAGAATTGACAGCCCAGAAATAAACCCATATATTTATGAAGAATTGATCCTTGGCAGAGGTACCAACACAGTTTTGTAGAGAAAGAATAGTACTTCCAACAAATGGTTCTGGGATAACTGAATGCAAAAGAATGAAGTTGGACCTGTACCTCACACTATCTGCAAAATTTAACTCAAAATGGATTATAGACCTAAAAATAAGAGCTACAATGATAAATTTTTAGAATAAAACCTAAGAGTGTTTGTGACTTTGGGTTAGGCAGTGATTTTTATAGATATAACACAAAAAGCATAAGTGACAAAAGAAAAAATTGATAAATTGAACTTTATGAAAACTGGAAACTTTTTATGCATTAAAGGACATTATCAAAGGAAGTAAAAGAAAAACTCACTGAATGGAAGAAAACACTTTCAAATCAAATATATGAGAAGGGATTTGTAGCCAGAATTTATAAAGAACCCTCATACTCATAATGAAAAGATGAATAACCAAATTAAAAATGGACAAGGGATTTGAATAGATATTTATCCACAGAAGATATACAATGAATAATAAGCACATAAAAAGATGTTCACATTGATTAGCCATTAGGGAAATGCAAATCAAAACCACAATGTGATCCACAATGTGATACCACCTGCACCCACTAGGATAGCTTTAATTAAAAATAGTAACAAACATTGGCAAGGATGTGGTAAACTGCGACTCTCAAATAATGTTGATAGGAATGTAAAATAGTGTAGCTATTTTGGAAAACCGTTTGGCAGCTCCTAAAAATGTAAAACATGGAGTTACCAGATGACCAAGCAATTCTGCTTCTAGATACATATCCAATAGAAAGAAAAAATATGCCTACATAAAATCTTGTGCATGGAAGTTCCTAGGAGAATTATTCATAATAGCCCAAAATAAAAACAACCCAAATGTCCATAAATGAATGTATGGATTAAAAAATAGCATATTCATATAATGGAATATTATTCAGTATAAAAAGAAATACTTACTCAAACATGCTATAACATGGATGAATCTTGAAAACATTATGCTAAGTGAAACAAACTAGTCATAAAAGACCACATATTGTATGATACCATTTTAATGAAATGTCCAGCATAAGAAAATCTATAGACACAGAAAGATTAAGTTACCTAGGGCTGGGGATGGATGGGCGTGGAGTGAGAATTGACTGCTAATGCATATGGGGTTTCTTTTTGTTGATGAAAATATTCTAAAATTAGACTGTGTTGATGGTTGTACAACTCTGCAAATTTACTAAAACCATTGAATTGTACACTTAAATGGCTGAGTTTTGTGATATGTTAATTATCTCTTTAATAAAGCTATTTTTAAAAAGCTGTATGTAGCTTTAAAGAATAAGTAAAAATGTTAGGTCTTAACACATGTTTAAATTATTTCAAAAAAGTCGGAGAACTACACATAAGCTTATTAACTATTAGTATGATTCTCGTTATTAATATATTTAACCAATAACCTCTATTATTTTAGGTAGCATGTAGTCAGAGTATGTCAATGTTCTTTTCCTTGGAAATACATCACTTATGAAATATTCTTTTGCATGAGCTCTGGGAAATGGAATGTTTTAATTTTATTGAAATTTCAAGACCTTTTCAGGTTAACTTAAAACCCACTTAAAAATAATTCATTAACAACATGAAAAATAAGAAGAGAAAATTGTTTTTTAGGTATGTCTCTCAGATATTTACTTTGACTCATGACTTCTAATCACAGTCATACTAAGCATGCTTTGATTGTGCTCCCGCCCCACTCAGAAACCTCTGGAGGCTCCTCTCCTCCCACCTCCTCAGCTGGCATTCAGGATATCCTACACTCTATCTCCAATCCACAGTCCAGCCTTATCTGCTGTTCTTTCATGAACCTTGTAAATCATCCAAATTATTTGGTCCCTGAACTCACCTTGTGTTAATTAAATCATTTATTCAATTAGTCATTCAGTTAAAATATTTGTTCAAAGTCTACTAATCGTACTGTAAATTCAAGGTTCTGATATGTGGGGAAAAATCAGAAGACCACAAGGCGGAGTAAAAATTCACGCTATTAATCAACTCATACTTGGCAGTAGGAAGGTCCAACACCAGCTCTGACCGCCAGCTTTGATTATAGCCTCCTAAGTGGGTGAATGCACACATCCCTCAGCACATGGGTGCATCCTGAAGGAAGACAGTGGCATCGCATTGCAGTGATCCTTCTAAGCCAGACAGAGACCTGAAAATTTTCATTCATGTTACTACAGTGATAAACACAATAAATGCACCAATTAAATTCTCCCTATTGGTAAATCAAAGAGAACAATAACCTCTGTAGATACCTGGGATTTTCTAAAGCTCCCTTGAATTGTCTGCAGAGTTTTATTTATGCACACAGTCATGTAGTAGAAGAGGAAGTATTAGTAGTTGGTTTTATATTAACTGTGATTTTTATTTCCTCTGGTTTTTAGGAAAGTGATTTAGACTTTTAAAAGTGGTTGTTTAGGGTGATTTTACCTTTTGGGAACTTAAGTTGGAAGGAGATACAGTATATGCAAGAGCTGTGGCATCTTCTGTGAAAACTGGAAATGCCATCTCTGCTCAGTGTGCCTTCACACTGCAGAACTCTGCAGGCTTCCTCGAGCTCGGCTGCCCTTTGCATGTTCTATAAAATATGTTCATTCAGAACCAAAGTCTGGATCCAAAAGGTAAACAGAGTCTATCCTCCAGACCAACATATTATACTCAGAGATTGGAAGCCACTGGCCTCTGCATGTTTGTAAAATGCAATTGCTAGCAGTAATCCTGAAGATCACAACTCCAGAAAATGTGCTTTTAAAAAAATAATTTTTCTTTTTTTTAAAAAAGCACTCTATTTTTAGGACAGTTTTAGGTTCAGGGCTAAACTGGGCAGAAAGTACAGAGTTCCTATATGCCCTCTGTCCTCCCACTCCCTTCCCCCTACACACACCCAGACTACCCCACCATCCGCCTCCTGTGCCAGAGTGGTAAATATCTTACAATTATTTATGAACCTACAGTGCACATCATTATCACCCAAGTCCATAGTTAACATTTGGGTTCGCTCTTCTAATATTTATTTTAAAATAACTCAAAGCATTTATTTTATTTAAATAAAATTGCACTTTTATTTTAAAATAGTCTTAAGTTTTATTCACTTTGGAGTTGAATTCATTTATGAGTGCCATTTCTATATCTGTATTTCTCACTTACTTTGAATCTGGCGGGTTTTATAACAATTAGAAATACAAAATACCTTGTAAGCTGGGTCTCATCATCTGGTCTTCCCAAACTCATGCATTGTTGATCCCTGATGTTACACACACACACACACACACACACACACACACACACACACACACACATTTTTAGCAGATGACGTGTGTCCTTCTTGTTTCATTGCTTGTGTGGTGTTTGGCTTCTGTTAATGTGTCCCCACATTGTGGTCTCCCTAAAGAGTGTGGTTTAATCATTAAGAGTCAAAGTTTAGTACTGGCCAAGAATTGGTATCACATGAATGCCTGGCTAGAAACTCATAAAAATAAATTTCTATACATATCTGAGAGGGAATCCTTTGTATTAGGGTTCTCTAGGGAAACAGAACCAATAAGATATATACATTCATGTAAATAGATTTATTATAAGGAACTGGCTCACATGATGGCAGAGGCTGTGTGGTTCCACAGATCTGCTGATCTGATTTTGCAGACCTGCTGTCTGCAAGCTGGAGGCCCAGGAAAGGTCCACAGATGGTGTAGATTCCAGTCTGTGTCTGAGGCCTGAGAACCAGAAGTGCCAAGAGGAGGAGGAGATCAATGTTCAGCTCAAGCAATCAGGCAGAGGGGACAAATTCTCCCTTCCTTCTTCTTGGCTTCTGGTCCGGGCCTCAAAGGATTGGATGATACCCAACTGCATTGGTCAGGGCAATCTTGACTCAGTCTATCAATTCAAATGCTAATCTCTCTGGAAACAGCCTCACAGACACACCCAAAATAATGTTTAGCTAAACATCTGGGCATCCTGTGATCCAGTTAAGTTAATGCATAAAATTAACCATCACACCCCTGTATAGTCAGAAGGAACACTACAGATCTGTTTTTATAGGTTGGCTCTTATAGAACTTACTATTTAAACTTCACCTCCTCGATCTTGTAGGTTTAAGTTTGCACTTATCATTCATTTCACTGGCAAACCAATGAGAACGTGTTTTATTTTCTTACCTTGGGATTCCCTTGATTTACAACCTTTCATCTCCAGAGTCATTAAAACAGAAAAACAAAACAAAACAACAACAACAAAAAAAAACCTTTAGTGTATCAGCAGACCATACCCTTGAGTTGCCTATGTACTTATTTCTTTAAATCTGGTTTTCCAGAAGAAAAGGTTCTGCTCCTCACTATGTACTTGAGAAGACAATAAGAATCTGCATCTTTGTTTCCTCATCTGCGAATTGAGAGAAATAATATTAACTGCACAGGGTTATAAAGGTTAAGAAACATCATGTGCTTGAAAATGATTTTATTACCTTTACAGTGGCAGAGAAATGTTAGGATTATCATGGCGAGTTGATATGGGGCTGTCATCATTTCTCATCAGTCTTCAAGTAGGAACCAGCAGCACACATTTGAGAAACTGCTTGCTGGGAGCAGGAATGAAACCTGCGGACACAGTCCAGGGCAAACTAACAATCCATCACAGAGAATACACTGTACCCACAACATGACACCAGGAAGAAGGAGATCTTGACTCTTTTAAGACTTATGAATTTCCAAAGTGCTCTCACTTGTGTTATCTCATTTTGATTTTGATCATCAAAACAACCCTCTGAAGTAGTCCAGGCACAGATTATTGGCCCCATTTCAAAACTGAAAAACCTCTGGGGAGTCAAAGGGTTTCCTCAAGGTCCTGGAACCAGTAAACGTTTGAGCTGGAATGGAAATTGAGTCTTTAGGCTCAGTGCAGAACTCTCTCGCTGTTGTGTTGCTCTCCTGCTAATAAGGCAGACCGCAACGAAGAAGCTAAATGATGCTTATATTTCACCTCTTATTTGTGGTGAGTGATTAAAGCTGCAGGGGACCACATCCAAATCATTAATACTGAACTTGAAAACAGCACATAAATCTCAAGAAATGCAATCTTCTTTGGAAAGTAGGGAATTGCACACATTTTTATGATGATGGAATGTACTATTAAAGCAGAGCCTTGGACATTTGAGTGTCCCAACAAAAAGGTGAAAAGCCTAATTGGTTAATTAGATGAGAGGCAATCATAAGCCAGACTTGTAGGCATAATGAAAGGAAAAACTGAGGTGTACAGTTGACATTACCTTCTCTCAGGGCCATAGTTCCCAATTGTTATTCAACTTTCAAAGGGCAATTTGTAACTGTGTCACCAACCTGAAAGCCTTTTGCCTCAATTTGAGCAAAAAACCAATTAAAACTGTTCACTTTTAATAGCCAGAGATGGGAAAAATGACTCATCCAAAAAAGTATGATTTTTTTGTCTTTATTAGAAATGTTAAACAGGGAAGTCTATGCAAAAAAAGGAATGCTTTATTTGGATGTAATTTATATAACTAGATTATCTATTTTTAAAGTTAACACCCACTACTACTATCTTTTTTAAAGTATCTCCATTCCAGCTTCCATCAAAAACAGCTCACAAAACTGCCTGTCTTTTTGGCATATTTAAAGGGTCAATTTAGATACCAGAATATATGATGGTTTCTCCCAAACATTGCTTCTCAACACATGGTCCTAAGAGCAGCAGCACCAGCACCGTCTTAGAAATGCAGTTACCCATGCCCCACCCTAGACCGACTGAATCAGAAACCCCGGGGCCGGGGTCCAGCAATCTGGGTGTTAACAAGCCCCTCCCCAGGTGATTCTGCTGATGCTGAACTTTGAGAACCACTTCTCCAGAAGAGGCAGGCATTGACTTAGAGCTGGGGTGGAGTCTTTCTGATGCAGAACCTAAATCCCCTTTAAATTCACTACAGAACAAAGAGGGAGGGCCAGTCTAGAGCCTGGACTCCTCTCAGGGCAACCCAGCAGATAGTCACATTCAACCCAGGCCAAGTCTAGTGTCTGGGACATTCTGGTTTGCTCAGGCCTCCAGGCAGGCTTAATTGGGAAGGCCAAGTCAGATTAACCCTCAGTAATTTTTATACATGCCCTATACTTGGTAAGAAAATGTACCCTCTGCACCAAGGCTTGCCTATGCATTGTCGGCTTAATAAGACCTGCCTTGCTTGTAAGACATTATATTTTCATTGATGTTTTGACCTTAGAACATGAGAAAGCACATGAACATATAGCAAAACTGAATCTTAGGGTCAGGAAAGTTCTTCCAGCATGGCACATGTATACATATGTAACTAACCTGCACAATGTGCACATGTACCCTAAAACTTAAAGTATAATAAAAAAAAAACAAAAAACAATAATGTGTCAGACATGATACAAGATGATTTAAATAAAAGACCTCTTTAAATATCGAAAAAAAAAAAAGTGATCTAGTCCATCCGTTTGTCAGGCAGTATAGTGGTTGACACAACATTCTGAATAACAACAACAATGAAAGCAACAACAATAAATACTTTCAAAGCACCATATCTTACCATAAAGTCATTTCATATATGCTGATGTGAATTTCACATAATGTTTGCATTAGGGAAGGTAAGTAGCTGCAGTGGCACCACCCCTACCACCACCACCACCACCAACACCACCACCAACACCACTACCACCACCACCACCACCATCACCACCATCACCACCATCCCCATCATCATCATCATCATCATCATCATCAATTATCATGAGACTGAAGCTCAGAGTGCCTTGGTGACTTGTCCAGAGTCCCAAAATTAAAAAGGAGACACTGAAATTCTTATTTTCCCATTCTTTTTGCATAACACCTACATAGGATTAAGGAATTTGATTCAATTGGATGAATTGTGTGAATATTATGTTCTAGTTCTAAAGAATCTTGCAAGCCCATGAGGTTGGCTATTTATTTTCAATACCTTTCAATCTAGAAGAAACCCTGGGCTTACTCTCTAGGCCTCCTTGCTACTCTGCCCTTGGCAGCCACATCCTGGCCAAGGCAGACAGCAGGGCTATCTCATGCTTTTAAGAAGTTGATAACAATAAAAATATCTTTGGAATTTCTTCTCAAATTAGAAATGAGGGTTCTCATGGAGTTAAGTCTTTTACCCTGTGCATATGGAAATGAGGGTTTTGAATTATCTCTAGTAGTGATAATGATTATACATAACCTGCACAACCTCTCCCAGTCTCTTATACTAGTGACCTAGGTGTACCTAGGAAATGGTCAGGGGAGCTTACAGTCATGGAGCCAATTGTGATCGAAGCACATCCATGCTCAGCCCATCTTCCATCTCTAAAAGGTTGACAGGGAGAGTTGGAGAGGATAAGATCCTAGGATTGGCAGGTTTCAAAATTAAGAGTGAGGCCGTTAGTTGATCTCAGAAAGTATTTAACTTTCAGGGAATTTAAAAATGTGCCATAATTGGAGTGTTATAGTTATTAATATGATTGTTTAACCTCTTTGGCTCTCCCTGGTACTTACTCCAGGGCATCATAACCCCATTTTAAAACTTCATTCTGCTAACCTACCAGGCTCATCTGGGGAGAGTTGTTAGTTAAGGCTACTCCAGTCCCTACATGCTGTAAATGAAGGTAAATTTCTCATGGTGAGTCTTACCACCACCCATACCACCTAAACAACTTGCCCAAGGGCAGGCAGTACATGAAATGAAGGAGCTGAGAATCCCACATCACCCATTTGTGAGTTCCCTTAGGGAAGCATAAAGTGTATATTTTCTGGAAGTACAATTTATTATGTTGTTTGAAAATGTTACTCTGAGCAACAGATGTTATTTTTGGAGCTTGAGCAACTTTATTTTAGTTAAAAAAAAAAGTCTTGGCAGAAGTTAAAAGATTGTTGGCTAGAAGAAGTGTTTGGTACATGAGTTCCAATCTAGTTTCCTTAGTTGTACGGAGACAGTTTACATGCAGAGGCAGAAATCCGTAATTTGCTGTCTTTGAGTGGTCGCCGCTCAAAGACATGCTGCTATGACTAATGCAGCCAGGGCTCAGCAGGAGTCCTTCCCTTAACCTTCAGCTTTAAAGTGCCACACGGACAAGGCAAATGACTGAGAATCTGATCGTGTCCTCAGAATCAATTTGGGTTTTGGTACATTTTGTTCCTACTCTTCATTTAGCTCTGAGTCTGCTCTGGAGGAGCTGTTTGAGACCTCAAAGAGAGAGCACAACCTTTAGTGCCAAGAGGATTATTGACAATTTGCTCTTACATTAAAATTTCCAGAGCGGCACCCTGGCTTAATGAAGAGAGTGCTCCACTGGAAAACTTCAATAATACCCTTTGGATTCTCTCCAGGTGCAAAAGGTCAATTTTCCAAAGGAAATTTTGTTTTAACTCTATCTTATTCTCATACACCTTTGACTATTTTGTGCTAGTTAACACCTTTTGTGGGTGGCAAATTTCTGAGGGAGAGATAAAGAAGGAAAATTCAATGTGACTGCTTAGTGGACCATGGGTAATCCAAGCCCAGCAAAGTAAACAGTGGTTCTGTTGGCCCCCTAAGACAAAGTCTATACAGCTCAGGGTATGGCAACTAATAGAAAATTCTGCTGTTGACTATATCAAGGCGGTCCAATGGGTGGGTGGAAACACAGAGCCTGGAGAAACTTGCTAGTGGTGATACAGGACGTCTAATAGGTGGCTGCACTGAAGCCCCAGATGATCAATCCTTTTCGGATCAATATTCTAGCCCAAAGTTGGGGGTGCAAGCCTTGTTCATGTCCCTTGGAAGTGGGAATTAATGAGCTTCACAGGCTGTCAAAGTCTCAAAAGAAGGGAGTAGGTTCAGAGAAGGCTCATGTGGTAAGCTGGACATTAGCTTTATGGATGTCCCAAATACTTAGATTGTTTAGGAGAAGTCTAAAGTTTGGTGAATAGGCAGTGAGTTTTGAGCTTACTTCAGAAGCTCTAGAAAGGAGGATGGATGAATCTAGGCCCCACAAATGGTAATGGAGCCCCTATGTAAAACTTGCTCCAGTCAGGACTGGCTCAGAGATCAGTGAGTCTTCTGGAGTCAGACCTTATTAACTGTGCCTTGTGCTAGTCAATTAACTGAGTAACCTCATCCATTCTTGCTCTTTCCCTGCTTTGCTCTGTTTTAAATAGAACTGCATTTCCTTGTCTCTCTTCTCCTCTTCATTTCTGGCACATTTGGCCAATGTGAGGTAGTAGCAGAAGACTGCAATATGGAAAGGAAAAACCACAATGTTTCTCTCTCTCTCCTCTCTCCACTCTCCTCTCTCTCTCCGCCCTACCCCTTCCTGTAGTATTTCCTGTGATGTTTCCATTCCTGTGGAGTAATTGGGTCCCATCTAGAGTTCTAATTACCTTAAGAAAGCTCCTCCTTCAATGATCGTCTTTCCCACTAGGCAGTCTTCACTGACTCCAGCTTCTCCTGGACAGCTCCAGATGCTGGGCTCTGGTTACCCATTTCCTCCTGTTGTTTCATCACCTCTAGTTGTGGTTACAGTTTTCTCCTGTTGCCTTCCATCTCCTAATGGCTTCTCAGGTTTTTCATCATTTTGGATAATAATTTCCCTTGATTAAATGCATCGGTTTGAAAGACGTAGAGTGGTTTCTGTTTTCCTGGCTAGACCCTATGATACACTCTCACTGAGCAGATCTGGATTCGCAGCAGAGACCATCTGACTATTAAATTACTTTCTTTCCTCTATTCCACATGTATGTCTTATCCGCTACTGGAAACACTTCCCCTATGTAACCCAATTCTTCACATTCATGTCGAATCTTAGTTCTTTTGGGTCATTGTTCCTTTGCTTTCAAATCTGTATATTCATTGGAAAATTAACAAGGGCAACGTTTGAAATATGATCCAGGAAAAATGACTCTGAGTCACAAAATGATGTTATCAATTTTAATCTTCATCTCTTCTTCTTCCCTGCTCCCTGAGTCATCCAATTTTTCTAGCATATTATTTATTTCTCTTTTTTCAATATCAGGCCACCTGGCAGGGATAACGTCTGCTTGGCTTTTGTGTAGTGCTTCTGGCATTGTTGACTCACTGCAAAAGAAAGTGCTATAGTCTCCACCTACATTTTGTGATGTTTCAACAAAAGGTTGAAACTAGGGATCCTCGTTAACACAACCGGGGGCTCAAGGGCAAATAATACTCATATTGCTTCAGCAAAGTTCATCAAAATTCTTAGCAAAAATCTAGGCTTAACCTGAACATCTCCATAAAACCTATTGCTAATAGGAAGAATGGAAACTCTTCATAATATAAACGTATGTTATAGGACTCTAAGGTCTAGAGCAATATTGTAAGGAGGTCTAGGTTCCATTTTTCACAGTGGCAGGAATTAGCTGTGTGATGATAGGCAAGTTTACCTTTCTGAGATAATTTTCACATTTGTGAAATAAGGGAATTGGACTAGGTCATCTTTAAGAGCCCAGAAAAATAAAGCTGAAACCACACCGTAAATTTATTTGGTTGTGTTTTTAAAAAATTCTTCATGTTATATTTTCCTTCCTTGAGAACAAAAGAGCTCTTCATGTATGTAGAAGAAAGGCTTCTCTGCTGCCTTTTCTCACTTCAATACTCCCACCCATTGTAGTACCATTTATGTTTTGACCAATGGATGTATAATGCTTATGTATAATGGGACATGTATGATAATTAGGGATCTTAATTATTCCTTCATCATAAAAACAATGCTATAGGACCTGTCTCTAAGAATGAGAGAAAACTCTAATGGGGTTCTTAATTATGGATTTTAAGCCTGTATAGTTAATATTTATATGCCCAAGCTCTCCCCAGTCCTCTTAGCTGGAGGATTTATCTGATACATTGGAATATTTGAACTCCTGATTTCTTTTTTTATTCTGATTGATGTAAGACATACTTTCTCCTGGAGGCAGTCCTTGGCCAGGGCTGTGCCTGGACCTTGTTTCACTCAGTGCATAACCAGAGTAGTCTGCCATTTCAGCAATGAGATTTAGGTCCTTCGGCCCTCAAACATTCCTCTTCCCATTGCTTTGCTCTTGTTCTGTGTAAGTATTCTGAAATTCATAAGAGATTCATTTTGATTAAGGCAGTAGTCTCATTTTTCAAGTCTTTCTTTAGACAGCACTTCCTCAGGGAAAATTTCCGTTCCTACCACTAGTCTAAGTTACAATGTATTTCTACAATGCTCTCGAATCTCCTTACCAGGTAAGGATACTGGGTTTAAATTTTGCCTCCACCTCTTAGTAACTTTATGAAAATTATTTAAGCTTCATAAGACTTAATTTTTAAACCTGTGAAATGGGAATAATAACAGAATATACTTTGTATGTTTTGGGAAGAGGATTTTTAATGCAAAATACTTAGAACAGTGCTTGGCACATGGTAAATGGTCAACAATATGTTTTATTATTATTATTATTATTGTTATTGGTAGTATTGATTCCTTAGTTATATATCTTTACCACCAGATAGTAAGCTGCATGAAGGCAGAGACTGTAGGTCTTGTGTATGGTTCAAGTCCAGGCTCCTAACATAGGTTCTGATTCAAAATAGGTGCTTGATAAATAATCAATCAAGTGAATGAGTGAGTCTCTAAAATCGTTTTCTAAAATGCATGTGCTTCCAGGAGAATTAATTGAGTGCACCAGCTACTCATGGTGAGTGAAGGGGATCTGGCTGGTTCCTGAACAGGCAAAATGTAAATGGGAAGAAGGAGGAAGGAAGGTCCAGAGTGTTTGGTGAACAGGTCTGTGCACTGTACAAGGGGCTTTCAGGAACTAGCTTATTATTCCTGAGACTGGAGAGGACCTAAGGAGAAGATAAACATTCTCCAAAGAATACACTTGTTGACTGATGTTTTCCTTGGGATGGTCCATATGTACAGATTATACTGTGTGACACAGTGGCCTACTTTATTACTTTATTTGTACTAGATAGAGCAAAACACTAAGTGATGCCCCTGTTTCTTTCTTTCTTTCTTTCTTTCTTTCTTTCTTTCTTTCTTTCTTTCTTTCTTTCTTTCTTTCTTTCTTTCTTTCTTTCTTTCTTTCTTTTTCTGAGATGGAGTCTCACTCTGTTGCCTAGGCTGCAGTGCAATGGCGTGATCTCAGCTCACTGCAGCCTCCGCCTCCTGGGTTCAAGCAATTCTCATGCCTCAACCTCCCGGGTAGCTGTGACTACAAGCATGTGCCGCCACACCTGAGTAATTTTTGTATTTTTAGTAGAGACGGGGTTTCACCATGTTGGCCAGGAAGATCTTGATCTCCTAACCTGATGATCTGCCTGCCTCGGCCTCCCGAAGTGCTGGGATTACAGGTGGGAGCCATTGCGCCCAGACGATGCCCCTGTTTCTAAGGAGTATTATTCCCTAAGGCTTTAATGCTTATTGAGCAAACCCTGATGTATTTTTCCAATTCAATTCTTACATCTCCGTCTCCACTATGCTGCCATCCAAGCTGTGGGGCTGCGTTAATTCTTGACTTCCAGCATTCTGTGTAATGCCTTCAAATGTCTTTGGACAAAGCATGATCATAATTAATATAATTATTTTTCATATGCAAAGTATTTTATTGTGGCAGTATCTCTTTTGATCACTAAAATTATCCTGTGGGATAAATAATTTAAATATTACTGTGATTTCTATTTTAGACATGAAGAAACTGAGATTGAAAGGTTAACAAATCTAAGGCTACACTCCAAATTCTGCATACCTTTTGCGGTGTGATTTCTTCTTGTTTCCTTTATAGATGGAGCCCTTAACAAAAGTTTTGAAAAGCCCTTAACAAAAGTTTTCTAAAAAGCCATGTTTCAGCGGCACCTGAGATGCTTTGCACCTGCTGCAATCCCTGTGTGCCTCATTTCAGCTTGTCAAGTGGTCGGTACCCGCGCATGGTTACTGTGCTGCCCAGCGAGGGTCACAGTGCTTTGTACTTAGAATTCGTGAAATATACACAATCTAACACTACTGTTTTCAGTACAATATCAAGACAAGGATTCAAAACAAAAAAAAATGACCAAAATGTGCACATATATATATGCACATATATAGAAGTGTACAAATAAAAACTGCTCAACTGTGGAGAACTGTACTTAGCCATTATAATGAAACAGATTTGCTGTTTTATACAAGTAGAAATTTGTTATAGATACTAAATATTCGTGTTCATTTTTCCCTCTATTTTCCAAAATGTATGATAATCTCTACTGCTTTCTTCCTTCTTATATCAACTATGGAATATCAAAATTTTCTTAATTGTCTTAGGCCAAGATGCATTAAATCTCACCCTTTTCCATTGTTTGGAAGATAAATTTGGTTGGGATTTTTTGTTGTTGTTTTGTTTCCATTAAGATTTTTTTGTTTGTTTGTTTGAGACGGAGTCCTGCTCTGTCGCCCAGGCTGGAGTGCAGTGGCACAATCTCGGCTCACTGCAAGCTACGCCTCCCGGGTTCACACCATTCTCCTGCCTCAGCCTCACAAGCAGCTGGCACTACAGGCGCCCGCCACCACGCCCAGCTAAGTTTTTGGTATTTTTAGTAGAGACGGGGTTTCACTGTGTTAGCCAGGATGGTCTCGATCTCCTGACCTCGTGATCTGCCTGCCTCGGCCTCCCAAAGTGCTGGGATTACAGGCGTGAGCCACCGTGCCCAGCCCTCCATTAAGATTTTTTAAATTGTATCAATAGATATAAATATGTCCAAATCAATAACTTTTATTTGAAAACTAAAAATCCTGAGAGGCCAAATACAATGTTTAAAATATATAGTTAAATCAATAATAATTCTCCCTTCTGTAAAAGTAAATAATTATCTTTATGTGAGAACGAAAAAGGTATTTCTGTACTAGTAAGGCAGCAAATTATGCAAAAGCATGAACTACTATTGTGGTTGTAGGCCACAAATGGTAGGGACCTATCAAGAGGACACAAGAACCAGCTTGAAAGGACTCTCCCTGGTGACTTCTGAGACAAAGTAATGTCAGTAATGGATTACAATCCATTGAACAAAAAAAGAATACATGGTTCCCTGTTGATATAAACAGTAAGTGTATAAAAAAATCAACAGGGAGAAAGACAAGTTCTTTCTTACAATAGAATATCAACCAATAAATGTAGAAGAAATGACAAGTTAGAAAACTATCATTCGGAAATTATCAAAATAATTGATTCAGGCAGGAGTCACCAGTGGAGGCTGAAACTAATGAGTGAAAGTGTGGTGAGGATCAGGATATTTACATAGTTTCAGAATATCTTCCACAAATTGCTCATTAATTGTCAGATAGAAAAATAATAACTTTACATTGGAAAATTCTAAAAAAATGCCACCTTAATAAAATAAAATAAAATAATGCCACCTTAATAAAATAAAGTTCATGTCACCAATGATGGGACATGAACCAACAACATATGCCTCCTGATATGAAGCACTAAGAAGGACACACATCGTTCTGTAGCATTTCTGCCCCAAAATACCTAATCCGAATCTAATTATGAGGAAGTATTAGACAACTGAGGGACATTTTAGTCTATCTCTCTTGAAAAACTGTGTACTCTTCAAAATTCCTTATACTCTGCAAAAATGTCAAAGATGAAATATCATTAAAAAATGCTGAGAGGCCAGGCACAATGGTTCACACTTGTAATCCCAGCACTTTGGGAGGCCGAGGTAGGTGGATCGCTTGAGCCCAGGAGTTTGATCCCAGCCTGGGCAACACAGTGAGACCCCATCTCTTAAAAAAATGCAAAAATTAGCCAGGTGTGGTGATGTGTGCCTGTAATCCTAGCTACTTGGGAAGCTGAAGTGGGAAGATCACATGAGCCCAGGAGGTCGAGGCTGCAGCGAGCCAAGATCATAACACTGTGTTCCAGCCTGGATGACAGAGCGAGATTCTATCTAAAAAAAAACAAAAAAACAAAAAAACTGAGGAACTGTTCCAATTTAAAAGAGTGTAAAGAGTTATAACAACTAAATGCTATGTTCAGTCCTAGATTAGATTCTGGACCAAGGAGAGGAAAGTAACTAGAAAGGGCATGATTGGGACAATTGAAGAAATTCAAATATAGACTGTGGATTAGATAATGTCATTGCATCATGTTAAATTTTCTGATATTGATAATTATACTTTTGTTATCCTACAAAATGTATTTATTATGAAGTATAGATATTGAAACACTTAAATGTAAGGAGGCAAAATGTTTCCAACTTATTCTCAGGTACAGAAAAATATGAATGTGTGTATATATATTTATTTATACATAAATATTTATGTATAGAGAGAAGGGAGAGTGAATGATAAAACAAATGGGAAAAATGTAAACAGTTTGTGGATCTGGATAAACAGAATATGAGAGTTATGTAATCTTTTCTCATAGCTTTTTTCTAAGTTTGAAAATATATACAAAAGAGTGACAAAAAAATGTTGAAAAGCAAAATTTTCTCATCAGTAAAGGCAGTCATTTACATTGTACTGTGATGAAAAAGAAAAGCCTGGCTTATTCAAATAAGCAGCCAAAGCTCTTATTTCCTAGTCATCAGTTATCTTTGCGTGCTTTGAAGTTGGAGTTCTCTTTCATGTTTGTATTGTTTTTATTTGTTTGTAAGTATAATGTGGGAACCAAAAAGAGTGAAAATGGGACACTCTGGTAAGTTATCTCTACCACTTTAGGGGACAGGAAGCAGCTGACAAGCTTTAGCACTACATTTTCATGGTTGTTTCCCAAGAATGGCCATAAATTACATCCTTCAAGTCAGTCCCAACTAGTGGGAATTCATATGAAAAATTACTTGCTGGTTCTCAAGCTTCTTGCACGTCCCTCTTGACATTTTGTCATAGGAAAACTGGGGGTGGATGGATTGTAAAATATTTCTCAACATTACAAAACATTTTAAAGCTGATACCAGACCTACACTCATATCTGCTGATTACAAATAATTCTAAGCTATTCTGGTATGCCCTGAGCATCTGTCTTATATGCAAAATAAGTGGCCTCTTCTGTTTTCCCCTGTCTTCTTGAACTGTCTGTCTCTTTTCAAAAACTGTGTATTCTTCAAAATTCCTGCAATGCCGAATGAAAAACGGAGGCCATCCACTACAGTGGAAAATGTAGAGCAACTCCAAGAAAAGAGGCTGGAAGAAAAGACAGGCTTAGAGATGTCTGACAGACTTGAAGATGGTTTCCATTTTCCCATTTTGCAAGAGGGGCAATGGATCCTCTAACAACAGAGCCTGAGTTAGTATGTTATCATGTATTACCTCGTTTAATCCCCTCAATATCTCTATGAGATAGGCACTATTTTTATCCCTATTTTGTAGCTCAGATACAGGCTTAGAGGTTTAGAGAAGTAAATAACTTGTCAAATGTGAGTAGTAGGGTTGAGATTTGCACGAAAATGCGCCTGACTTCAGGGTCTGACTTAAGCTTAAACTGCCTTGTTTTATTGATCATATTGATCACTCTATTTCTTTCTCCTGAGGACTCGCAAAGCAATGATAATACCATTCTGCTCTTGCATCATTTGTTGCACATTCTTGTTTAGAAAGAAAATACTAACAACTATTAGAGATTTTCTGAACCTAGTAATTTCATTAACAAGCATTCCCCAAGTCTACAGGGCAAATTTTTTGATACTCACAATGTTACTTCTTGTGAAAATTTTGAAGTGATTTCTGAATCATCAGAGAGATAGAGATTAAAGTGACACTGTTTTAAAAGTTGGTAATTATCATACAATTGCATGAAAGCTGATGTGGTATTTGTGGTAAACTTCCGTATTAGGATGGGTAAGCCTGTATGGCAGGGTTCTTAACCTGAACTCCAGATCCAGCAAAGGGTCCACAGGTAGATTTCAGGGGGTCTGTGAACTTGTATGGGAAAACATTTCATCTACATTTTCATGCACCCTTAAATGACATTTGGCACTGCCTTCCATGATGAATGTAGAAACAAATCACAGTGTTAGCAATACCTGTGACTTTGTCCCTAATAGAAATGATGGATATTTCCATTCGTATCAGTTGTTGCTGATATCTCAAAATGTTATTTTTCGTCATCATTAATGTGAAATCATAATTAATAAGCTCAAGACCAGATTATATTGAACATATTAATAAAGAATGTAATTACTATATCACCTATTTATTTTAAAAAATGTTTTTCTAACAGTATATCAATATTTATAAATATATATATATATTTTTTTATTATACTTTAAGTTTTAGGGTACATGTGCACTTTGTGCAGGTTAGTTACATATGTATACATGTGCCATATTTCATCATAGTTGATTTTATTTGTAATGACATATATTTTATATATATTTAAAAAGTATTATTATGAGAAATAGTTCAAAGGCTGTGCACAAATGGTTTACAGCACAAAAGGGGTGAAAGATCCAGCTCTATAATATAAACTTCATGGTAGCCCTAGTGGAGAATACCCTTGCTTAACAACTGGCTGTTTTCAGAGTCCCCTGGGGGCCCTGCAGTGACTCCAGGAGTAGAGAAAGGCTGTAAATGCTAGAACAAGATAATTGTCAGGTACTACCAAGAAGCCCTACCCAGCCTTCCCAATTAGAAGACAGGAGTCCCCCAATCCCAACCACTTTCAGGTCCTAGTTTCTGCCCAACCCCATTACCTGTTCTTCTTACTCAATTTTAATGAAAGCAGCTCTACTGGCAGCAACTTCATTGTGACCCCAGTGCTCTGGCAAGCTGGGCCTGTGTCAGCAGGCCACAGGGGTGGATGAGAGCCAAGACTTTTGTGATTGCCTCTACCCTCATTTTCCTGTGGAAACACAGCTCAGAAGGACTATGCTGGAGGGTTGATCAGCTTGGTTATGTATTTGCTTTGCGGAAACCTTAAGTTGTCCTTTTATGTGTCACTTTCTCTCATTTCATTTTTTTAATCCTTTATTTTCCAACAGGCAGGTTCTGGTCACACCTACCCAGGTGGCACCAGGTGTGTGCATGTTTTTCCAAAAGTTACAATGCAGCATAGACACTGGAAAATGAAGATGAAAAAACACAGTGGTGTTAGATTACTTCATATACTTCAACACCATGCCTGCTTTTTCCTTTTTTTAATTGCTTGTTTTATATTCTTTATTTAGTTTTTTCCAGTCTGAATATCTCTTAGCTGAGTTTCTTATCCCAATTAATCATTTTATACATACACTGGTTTCTTTTCCAAGTCTCTTTGTAAAGCAAGAATCAATATGAGGTGTCAGTGTCTAAAGCCTTCACACTTAGCAACTTAACATTTTAAAAAATGAAAATATATAATACTACAATTTCATTTAAATTAACTATTCTGAAGCTCCTCCATCAAATATTAGGAAAGACCCTTTTAAAGTTTAATACATTTTTAAAATTCTAGGTATGAAAATTCTGTTTACATAATAGTCTTTAAGTTGCTGTCTCACCTAAATAAGACACAGAGGCAGTGTTTATGAATATGATTGCCGAGTGAGATTGAGACAAATTTCAACCTACATTGATTGTCCTATTTGGCAGGAGACCAACGAGCTGCCACATAATGTACGCACCAGAAGACTGGCTATGTTCTTTGGCCATCAGCGGATGTCCATGGTTGCTGCCTATAATTGCAGTGTTTTTCCCATTCTGCAAATTTCTCATTAATCAGGTTACTTTAGCTATTTGGCCAAATTTTCCTCGAAGAAAATGAAATACAATCAATCCCTGATTCTTTTCTGATTATTAGAGACACTGCTCTCCTTCATAAGGAACAATAATCAAAGTAGAATTTATATTTGGCTTCATAATGCAATATGTGAGTTTTTCCAACAGATTTGCCCTCTTAATTGCTTTGGTCTGGCAAACTTTAAAAGGAACTTGCCTTACGTGGATGGCAGTATGAGGTTGTCCAGAACTGAACCGGGTGGTTGGCAATCTGAACAAAGCTTCTGTGCTTTATTGATTGCCAGGGAGACTCGGGGGCTAAATGGCAAGCCAAAAGACAAGGATTCAGAATATATAACTGTACTAGTTTGCTAGCACTGCCTCAACAAAGTACCACAAGCTGGGGGGCTTAAACAACAGAAATTTACTGCCTCATGCTTCTGGAGGCTAGAACTCCAAAATCAAGGCGTCAGAAGGATTGGTTCCTTCCAAAGTCTGTAAGGGAGGATCTGTTCCCTGCCTCTGTCCTAGCTTCTGGTAACCTCAGGCCGTCCTTGGCTTGCAGATGGTGTTCTCCTTATGTTTCCATATCATCTCTCTGTGTGTGTCTGTCTCTGTGTCCAAATTTCCCCATTTCATAAGAACATAGTCATATTTAATCACTTAGGGCTTACTCCAATGAAATCATCTTAGCTTGATCATCAACAAAGATCTTATTTTTAAATAAGGTCACATTCACAGATACTAAGATTAGGACTTCAGTGTCCTTTGAGGGGACACAATTCAACCCATAACACTATCTATCTTGAAAAATCACCAGAGAGGATAATTTATAGCCATTGGTAAAATTTATGCAAATCATACAATTTCCCTTCAGTCAATGCATTTATTCTGGGTGCCATATTTAGATGATAGGCTGCCAAAAGTAATGCACCGTGAATATTCTTTTTCTTTATATTATAAAAGCTATTCAATTACTCCTGGATTTTCCAGGAACTATGGTTCTCTAGTTCCTTATAAATCTCAATGGTATTTTTCTGAATCTTACTGCTTTCCTTTTATTTATAAATACTAGACTCTCCCACTTTAAGCAAATTTCTAAAGACTGGGGTAAAAGATCTCTTTTGTGAGCAAAGTGCATGTCTAGGGCCCTGTTATTTAAGAAATTTAAGATCATCAATTTCAAACATTCAAAGCCTATACTGCTGGTTCATATTTTTCACTATCCAGAACAGTAATCTTCACAATGGTTAGCTGTGTTCTCTAAAAGTCGCAGATAATTGTTATCACATTTAAAATCAAGCACCCATCACAACTCCCCAGTTCTTTCTTTTAGGAAAACCTAAAGAAACCTTGGATGACCTTAAGACTCTATGGAAAAGCTGGAAAAACACTGACCCAGAAAACAAATGTGTAACAAGTCACATTTTTTCCATTACTTAAGGGAAATTGTGGTGCGAATTTTTTTCTTAATCTCTCTGCTAAGTGTAAATATGTGACTCACCCGAACTACCTCATTCTTAGACCATAAATATTAGGAGTGATGACTTATAAGGGGCTCATGTTCATGTGTGGTAAGTAAATACTTGTCTGCACATATTAATTTAACAAGAAAATGGCATTTTCCTAAGTAGCATAACATCAGAAACAGTAGAGAATTTAATATAAGTAAAAAGCAGTGTTATATTTTAAGAAAATTACTATGATGAAAGAATTCATTTTTTTCAAAGAGTAATATAATAATATTAGGCTTTAATACCTAAGAACATGCATGCTAGATCTGGTTCCAATCCAAAAAAGTTCTATGAAACTTCAAATACCATGTGAAGGTTAACTTTTAAAAATACATTTCTTCAGAGCAAATTTCTATTCCTAGTCCATGCGAAACCACAGGGTGGTGCTCCAGCTGGACTGGTTTCCTCAATTCAAGTTATCCTTGTCCAGTTTCCTTCTTAGGGCACTGCTACATGAAAACCTGATGTGTTCTGTGTTCTTGCAGCAAACTCCTACTGTGTCCTATCTTGGCTCAGGCAGGACAAAATGAAGCTCTCCATCTCTAGGAGGTGGCTTGCTTCAGAGCCTTCTCTGTCCAAAACAAGAGTTTTTTCCATATTGTTTCTCTCTAGGCTTTTGAAATTAGAGGGGAAACACTATGGATAATAGCTTCAGAAAATATGAAAAGCTCACCTATTACAGCAGATGGGACTGAAGTATCAGTCCATATCTAAGGCAGGTGAATTGGTGCATTTGAAGCATTCCAAGTCAGTAGGACAGCCAGAAATATGAAATGAAAAGCACTAGTTTTCCTTAGCAATGAAATTTTGACTCCTATGACTTTGCTAATGCTGTGTTCTGCTTTCCTTTCTGCCTATTCTATTTGTACAACCTTCTGTGCCTTCCTCAGATGGCTTTCCAAAACATCTGTGGGCAATATTCCCTTCACTGAACAGCAATGGTACTTTAAGTGCAAAACAAAACAGCATTTACCTTTTGCAATTTATAGTTCCTGGGTTATTTCATGTGCCTTGTGGTTATCTCAGGAGCCCTTTATTAATCTCCGAACTGTAGGCAAGAAGGTGGTCTTGTTGTCATGGTAATAACTTCAGTACTTAGCACATGGAACGCAGCATTTATTGTAAAATACTTTTCCAATCAAATGGTTGCAGCAGTTTTAGAAGTCATAACAGTAAGGGTAGCATGCAGTTCATGAATTCCTTCATCAGGAGGAAAAGACTGACCTGATTTATAAAGGAAAAGGAAGCATAATAAAAGTGGAATTCTGTTAACCTAACCATATTAGTTCTCTTTGCTTAGAGTTAGGGGGTGTCCAATCTTTTCCAAGAAAACTTTGTATATTCTGGCAGTGCCCTCTGGTGGATGATTTACTATGATCCACTACCATTCAGTTCCTGGACATTACATTTCACCTGAAAGATTTCTACCTTTTGTTACCACTTAGCATTTTTCCCCCCATCTCAAGATGAATAGTGTTTTCTTTCAAAGTTTCTTGAATATCTACATCTACAATCTACAACAAATGCCACTGGATTGTGGTTTGTAAGGAATATCTAAGGTGAATTCCAGCAAAGTGAATATCAGTTTCTACCACTTATTACTTTCAAAGTCATTAAATTGCTAATATGGGTGCAATTTGGCTGTTGCGTGGAAACACTTGGCTTGGGTATGTTTATGTAAATGGTTCAAAGCTGTGGACTGTGTATCTGGCAAGCTGCTTCTAAGAAACAAAGGAGAAATAGGCATGTTTTCCATTTAAAAGACATGTGGTTCTTATTGACTTACCGAGATTGGTTTTTGTTTTTGCTTTGTTTTATTTTCAAAGTCAGTTTTCCACTCTAAGATTAAGTGTGTTCATTATAGAAAACGTAGAAAATACAGAGGAAAAAAATCACCCATAGTCACAACAAAACCAAGACTGATTTTGGATGTAGCCTACGGAGGTAGAATGCTCCCCTGGGGTAGATTTTAGAAACAGGCTGTAGTGGACCAAAGGGGAGCATGGCATTAAGTTTCCACAAGCTGTTTTCTGTATTTATAAAGTACAATAACAATATTGCATGTATTATGTACTTTCATTTTCTGTCTCAAATTAGGTATGGAGATTGCATAATAATAATAGCAGCCATTTATTTAGCACAGAATTTCAAAGCCTAACCCTAGAGTTGCCCTTTGCCTCCTGGTGAACAGCAGTTCAGCCCACACTCAATTCTTCCCTATAACCTCCCACATCTCTGCCAGGATTTATTCTTGTAATAGTAATAACTGTTGTTTAACAGGTCCTCATTACACAAGAGAATGCAGCGATTAATATGCAGCCTGTTTGAATTCCAATTCTGGCTTTTCCACCTAATAGCTGAGAGATCTTGGATGAGTAATTAAAGTCTCTGCTTCAGTCTCCTTCTTTGTAAAATAAAGGCCCTGCCACACAAGGTTTTTTGGAGAAAACTAAGTCCCTAGAACAGATCTGGGAACATAAATGTTAGTTATCATTGTTAACATATTACGATGATATATTAGACATGATACTAAGTTCCTTATTACGCCATTTACTCCTCATAACAATCCTATGAGTTAGATATTCTTTATCCCTGTTTCAGGTAATGAAAATGAAACAGAGAGCTCCAATGACTTGCCCAAATCACACGGCAAGTTACAATGTTGAGCCTAGATATGAGCCTACATTTGACGGTCTATAAAGTTTCAGCTCGCCATCTTGTTTTGGCTCTGATAGGTTAGCTATTATTTTGCTTGTTTGTTTAATTTGTATTGAAGTATAAAATATATTTAATATATAAAAATGCATATTACACAGTTTACACTGTGTAAATATTCCCAAATGAAAAACTCCTGAGATATCATCACTGCATCTTTACCAGATCCCATCCAAAGGTGACTACTAAGCTCCCTTCTAATATCATAGCTGTGGTCCAAAAGTGAGCAGTCTTGGCCTTGTACCTACTCTCCCTCCCCGTCCTTTCCCCCAGTAGCCTTCAGGGGGGTTCACAGACCAAAGTAGCATAGTAGGAGAACCACTGTCTATACCCTGCATATGCAAATGCATTCATCTCAGTGGGTTGTAACTCTCAGGAAGGAAGGATTCTAAGGCCATAGAGCGCAAAGGAAAGTATGACATGATCGATTAGTAATGTCTATCATAGTCACGAAACGAGGATGGTGGAGATCTGTAGGCTGGTCCTAGACACCATTTATGAACAGAAACAACTTTTCTTTAAAGTATTTTATTTTCTACCATTTCTAAATCCAGTATCCATGTGAATTGGCATGTTGGCATAATCATGCTGTTGGCTATTTAGTACAAATAGGCTAAATATTAACCTAAGAATCATCTATGTGCATGTAACTTTCTGCATTTGTCCAATAGATCTTTTGAGAGAAATTACTGGAAGTGGAATTCCTTTCATTAAAGTCTCCACCCTCTTCTATAGAAGTAGCACTTTTCCCCTCCAGTATGCAACACAGGTCACATTCTGCCATGAACTAGTATTGTTAATGAACATCTTTCTCCCCATCAGAACTGCAAAGCCCTTGAGTACTAATTCTGTCTTGTGCTTTCATGTATCATCCACCTCCCCTCCCACCAGTGCCTAGCACTGGTGTTTTCTTTGTTCATAGTAGATGTGGATACATTTTTTTGGCTTTAAATATAAAGATACATTTTACTATTAATATTTTAAAATATGTTAAGAATTAAGTATCAGAATTCAGTCTATATAAGGAAAGCCTGAGATGAAGTGATAAAAAATAGATGAAAAAGTCTTGATTTTTCAGAAAGAACAAATAAGCAAATAAACACAGCCCTGTTTTTCTCAGTCACTATTAGATATTGAACATTAAGAGTTAAAGGACTGCAGGCTGGGCGCGGTGGCTCACGCCTGTAATCCCAGCACTTTGGGAAACCGAGGCGGGCGGATTACGAGGTCAGGAGATTGAGACCATCCTTGCTAATACAGTGAAACCCCGTCTCTACTAAAGAATACAAAAAATTAGCCGGGCGTGGTGGCGGGCGCCTGTAGTCCCAGCTACTCGGGAGGCTGAGGCAGGAGAATGGCATGAACCCAGGAGGCGGAGGTTGCAGTGAGCCGAGACGGCGCCACTGCAGTCCAGCCTGGGTGACAGAGCTAGACTCTGTCTAAAAAAAAAAAAAAAAAAAAAAAAAAAAAAAAAAAAAAAACAGAGTTAAAGGACTGCAAATGAATTTAATGAAACTATTGCCCAAATGATTGATGTTCATGTACAGACCAAAATTTCAGTGCTAAATAGACATGTTAATAATGATGCTGGAATATACGAGTATTTAAAAATCTCCAAATTCCTGGGGAATTAGTAGTTGTAATAAAAGTGACTTCTTCTCATTCACTTCATGACTCCTTAATGTCTCTGCACTTGCTTGGTATCAGCGGCTTATTTAACAAGTCACTGCACATAACTTGTATTCCTTAATAATTAATACACTTAAAGTTTCCTATGCTTACATGGATAGAAATGTTTTCCCAGTGTCTTAAGTTTGATTCTTGCAACACTCATCTCTGTGTTCTTTCAGAAACAGGAGGCTCACTGTAGCTGACCAGCACTGGCATGGTCCTTCATTTGCTGTTTGTTTTTTAGGTCATTTCCCCCCCGCATTTCTACCTTCTTTATTCGCACCTTCTTTATTCACACCTTCTTGTTTTATTCCAATTAACATTCCCAATCTTCCTTTTGAAAATCCCAGAAGTCCCCATCATGGCCAGTCTGCCTAGCCTTCTGGGTGTCTTCTGACTTTATTACTTATAGTTCACTTGTAATTTGTTTTGTTTTGAATCCACCTACATACAGCCTTGTATTTTGGATGTTTTCTCTCTCTGGCTTTTTTCTCTCAGGTCACGTTATCTAAGAATATATTCCACTCACTCCCTGGGCTATAAGGATATAATTACACTGGTCAGAAAGACTCCCTGGCTTTGGTTTGCAGAATATGACCTTACATAAATATTATATATCAAAATGATTAAAATCTAGGTCTGCAAATGAACATCATTTCAAATTTGCAGTGTTTTCTTGCGTCTAACCACTCTGTAAGTGGAGATTCGAGATTTGGACACTCTTCCATGTTATTCTGGGAGAATCTGATATATGTTTTACATGTTTCATGTACATGGATTAATATTATCCATTAAGACTCACAGATGTGCTGTCCAATTCCTGAGACTTATTTTTGATTGTATAGAACTGGTAGGATTCCTTTGAATTTTAAATAAACATACATTTTCCCAAGTAGTAAACAACTCCATGGTCTCTCTCTTTTTGGTTCAACATCTAAATACATAAATTTCTTATAATCTACCTTTTAGTTTGCTCAGCTCTGATCCTTAATTGAACATTCTGGGTTAATATTGTGTTTGTTGTTGAATGTTCCTAAACAAGTTGTCACATTTTGAAACAAGTGTTCTAGATTAGTGGGCATAATTTCAGATACATGTTCTCTATGTATATGTATTTTAAAACAAAGTTTCAATTTCCTTGCTGCCCTCGGTATTCTTAAAAATAAATATACTTATGTAGAACTACAGTTAGAAAGTGATTCCAGTTTTTCTCTATCTTTATTCAGATTGTTTTGTACTGAATTAAGTAAAAATTTTTCCCCCAAATACCCATCTCATTTGGCTTGTAAAGACTGTTTTAGTGAAAGAATGTTACAAAATGTTTTTTTGCTGAAAGCAAATTTTACAACAGAAATGATGTTCATTTGCAAACCTGGATTTTAATCATTTAGATTTCTAATATTAATGTAAGGTCATATAATTCTGCAAACCAAGGCCAAGGAGTCTTTCTGGTCACCAGTATAATTATCAGTTTCATCCAATGTTTACTAGGGGTTGGTGAATTCATTTTGTTAAAATGAGATCTGGCATGAACCTTTACTCCAGGCTTAACTGAAATAAACATAGCCTTAAATTTTTTTTTTTTTTTTTGGCTTCACTGAATTAGATTTAGAAGCTGGACACAATCAAAAGCTTTAGAATGTCAAAGAGAAGGCGTTTTTGAAGGAGATGTAGGCTTTCCTTTTAAGAATATTTGAATAAAACCTAAATAAAAATGAAACCAAAGAGAGGGATTGTTAATGTAATATTTCCAAGTTGATGTGCTTAAGGCTAATCTGCATGCGTTTGTACTGCTCTCCAATCCAATGCAAAGGCCAAATCGCTGAAAGTAAACAGGACTTGGGAAGCTGCCTGCTCAGGAATTCAAAGACTAGCTTTCATTCTGCGCTTAACTCACAGTTGTCAGTTTAGATGGGTCCCATGCTCTGTGCCTGGGAGAGAGTGATTCACTTTACATGCTTTGGTTCTAATGCAAATGCAAAGAGTCATATTGCACCTTACACTATAGTACAGTAAATTGAATAGCCTGACCTTTCAAATTGACAGTCCCAGATTTGATTTCCAATAGGGCAGCATGACTAGCTGTGAGAGCATAGGTTAGCTACTCAAGCCATGTAAACCTCAGTTTCCTCATCTGTGAAAAGGGAATAAAATACCGACCTTATTTTGCAAGGACATTGTATGGAAAGAATGTATAGAGTGACTATGTAATTTATCATGCAAATCAGAAGTTTTGAGAGTGAAAAGGGCATTATTAAAAATTATGCTGGGATGATGTCTGTAAAATATGGCTATCCCAGACCAGCCAGGAATATAATATAAAATAACATAATACAGTATTACTATAAATTATTACATTAAATGTAAAATACATATCATGTTTACCATAAGATAAGGAGCCTGGCATATTGTAGCACTTGGTTTCAGTTCCTTCATTTTTTATTTTGAAACATTTAAAGTTTATTTATCACTTTTGTGTATTATGGCATTTGATAATCACAACAGTCTTGTAAGGCATTTCATTTTATCAAGTGTTAAGACTCAAAAAGCGTTACTACTTTTCTTGAGATTCTAAAGAGAATAACAGAGCTAGGAGAAATCTAGTTTTATCTTTCCAAGCATAGTGTTTTGCTTTTCCCTGTACCACACATTTCTCCCAAAGGGCTTGTAAACACATTATCTATGCAATTATGGGTTCATGTGTCTGGTGCAAATTTCTCAATCAACCACCGTAGGCATGGAAAGCAACTGTAACTGTACTTTTTCTTAAAATGAACTAATTTCTATCTTAATTTTTATTCTGTGTTCTGATATGAAAGTTGAAATAGTCCATTTTACGTGAATTCAGCCTAAAACTTCAGATTTTTGTTAGTGGGTTTACGGCCAATTCAGCCACCGTGGGGTTCTGCTGTTGCTTCTTTACTCCCTGGTGTGAAATCTAAGATACAAGGGCTTACGCCTAGCACTGGAAGTCTTCATCATTTGGTCAGGCACAGCTGCCCCTCTGTGCTGCCATCCACTGAGGCACCTGAGCACACCTGCTGTTGAAATCCCCTTGTCAGATTGCAGCACGTGCACAGGTCCCGTGACTGATGGCACACCTGCGACACTCTCAGAGCCAGGGAGCTAGCATCGGACACACCCCGGGCCCCATTTGCAGAGTGGCTCTGCCACCCTGTTTGAGATCCATCTGCCTGGCCATCCCATGAGTGGTCCTTATTGTTCCTCCTTAATCAAAGGGGATTTGGTGAGATCTCTCATGGCCCTGACAGGCTGTGAAGGAGAAGTTCCCCTTGTTCCAACTTCTTCACAGCTAACCAGGGATTGCTCTGTCTCTCTCTTCTTCTTTAATTCCAGGTCACTGGCTCAGCCTAAGAGGGAGGGGGTATAAGTCCACACCAAAATTTATCTCCCTTGCTTTTCTAACTGTCCTCTCTTCCTAGTCCAGAAAGAGTGTTTATCTCAGGCCTCTGAGAATGGGGTTGTTTGGGAACTGGGGGAGCAGAGGGTTCTTGTTAGACTCCAATTGTTAATGCCAAGACATTGGTCTGTTAAAACGTAGGAATGGCTATCTGTGATTTCTCTTTGCATCTGTGCTCTGGTTTACCTTCCCTGTGGGGAGTGGAGATCAAGGTCTAATAGAAAGAGAAGGAATGGAAAAAAGAAAAGAAAATTTTTCTGTTAAAAAAGACTTAAGTAAATGCTTCTCCACATTATTGCTCCCACTCATTTCACAACCTTCTGTCATTTTGTTCTAGTTCTGTTTCTCACAGCATTGTGCATGTAAACCATATTTGGTACACTACTAAATAGTAGCTGGATATATCATTAGATTTGTGTGATTCACAGTGTTATCTTCAGACCAAATGATGACTGATAAATGTTCATAATGGGCCTGTCTCCATGAATTGTATGTGATTCAGAACCATTTGATAATAGCTTGAAAGCCTAGATTGACTCTCTGCATTGCCACCCCTCCCTATTCTCTTAAGCCCACTCCATTCACGCTGTCATCCACACCACTCGGCCACCAATTTCACACTGCCAAATCCAGTTCCCAGTTCTCATCGTGTTTATTTGCAACATTTGAAACAAGTGATCAATCCCTTTTCCATGAAAAACCTTCTTTGCACAGTTTCCAGAATTCTAAACTTTCCTGGTTTTCCTCCTACTTCAACTTTCCAATTACCGTCCCTCATTTTTACCTCATCAGCCCAACTGTTTAAAGTGCCTCAGAGTTCAGGGTACTCCTATAGCTATGCTGCCTTCAAGTGACCTCATCCAATCTTGTGGCTTTAAATAGCATCTTTATACTGACAAATTTGCAAATTTGTATCTCTTTCCTGAATTTCTGCCCTCAACACCAGACTCTTGCACTCCATGGTCACTGAGCATCTCCATTGCATGTTTAAAAGATATTACCAAGTTATCTTGCACAAAACTGGCTTTCAATCCCTACCCTCCAACCTGCTTTTCCTGCAGTCTTTCTTTATCTCAGGAAATGGAACTTCATTCTTCCAATTTCTTGGCCCACAAACCTTGGAGTCATCCTTCACTCCTCTTTTCCTCTCATACTCCACACCCTTCTTCACCTCCTCACTCACCTCTTCTTCTTCCACTTGCCCTACTTTGTGCTCTCCATTCCAGCCACACTGGTGGCCTCCTGTTCCTTAAACAGGCCAAGTGCATGCCTGCCTCAGAACCTCTACACTTGCCCTTTCTTCTGCCTGGAACATTCTGTCCCCAGATACATGGATGGCTCACTTCGTCACCTGCTTTGGGTCTTTGCCTAGATGACATCTTGTTAGTGAAACCTTCTTTGGTCACCTTCCTTAAAATAAGATACCAATCAAATCCCTCCAACTCCTCTTTCTTCTCCCTGCTTTACTTTTCTTCATAGCACTTACCACCATATAACATACTATTTATTTATTTGGTTTTTGTTTTAGTATCTGTTTGCCTGTACTAAAATCTAAGGACCATGAAGCTTGAGGGAAGAGATTTCATCTGTTTACATCTCTAGGACCTACAGGAGCCTGCCACATTGTAGCTGCTCAATCAATATTGAACAAAATGAATGAACTCAGGGCCAGTAGTTACTCAACAACCAGCTCATTGCCATGCACATAGTAGGTATTAGTTAATATTTGTTTCATGAATGAATACAATGGCTTAAATCTATGAGCAGTTGTCTTGAACTCTAAAACTCACAGAAAATAATATGTATGTATTATTACATATGTGTGTTTATATAATATATACATTATATAAACACACATGTGTGTATATATTATATGTACATACACACATGTGTGTATGTATATATTTACATACACACGTGTGTGTGTATATTATATGTACATATATGAATGTGTATATGTATATTTTAATTTATATTATCCACAGTTTTTGTCTTTGTTCTGAGGTTTTCTAGGGAAAATCTCATTAATTACCGTCGAATTTTCTTTTAGTGTGCTTAAGCAAAAGCCTGGTACCTGTACAGGGTAGATGTGTTTGGTAATAGTTACTAACACTAACCTATTACATTAACCTACACAACCAGCCCCCATCCTCCAGCAGAGCTTCAGACAGCATGTACCAAAGATCACTAAGCCAAATCCTTTGGACTTGAAAGAAGGGTTCTGGAAAGTCACTTTTATTCTTTTTGTCTCCAAATGTACTCCTCCCTGTGGTGCGATTTGCTTTTCTACCTCACGCTGTGAAGAAATGGGTTTGGAACAGCTAGAAGAAAGCTGGCTAAGTTGTGTGCTTTTGCCAGTATATGTATCAAGACTTGTGCCAGTTATTTCAAAGTGAGAATATAACAGATGATGATAGTTTCAGAAAGTATGTATAAAGATATTTCAGGGGTTTTTTTTAGGTGGTTTAACTACCTAAAATATCTTATGAGGGAGACTGGTGTTACATTTTTATTTCTTCTCTCCTACCCCCCCTCTCTCTTCTCTTTCTTGAGACCCAAAGTATTATTATTATCCAGATAAATGCTAGAAAAATCAAAAGCAAAATAAAGAAGAGGCCAATTGATAAGTCGCCACCAAACAATCCAAAATTGATGCTTAAATTACAGTGCATGAGCCATATCAACCATGTAGCTATATTAGGATCATGTGTATAATAAATAAGCAAAACAATCTTTGATGAGCTTTTAAAATTAGTTTATTTCCAAACAGAGAGAACAAAATAAATGAGGTATAAAGTGAAATTTTCCTATAAAATACTCCAGTGTGCTACATGGAAACATTGACCTGTACCCATGTTTGTATAGCTGTTAGATTTTGGTTTTGTCTGACAATTTACTAAGAAATTTACTCTTAGAGTTGCTAGCAAGAGAATATTCCTGTGGCATTTGTGTTGAAATGAACATAAGATTGGCAAAGTGAATCTGAAGTGGAATCTTCTAATTTGAATAAGGTAATGACTCTTGGATTATTAAGGCTAAAAGATAAAATATGTAAATATTTGAGCCTGTGAAATAATTTTTAACACATTTATTAATGGAGAATAATCAATATTTTGTGATTAAATATATATGTATTAATCAGATATGTGTTCTTGCACATTCTTTAAAGTTAAGCGAATATGAGTAACTTGAAGAAGTTAGAAACAAACCAAATAAAACTAATAGTAAAATGTTAAATGCTTGTCAATTGAGTTCTACTTCTAGACCTACAGTGTCAATGATGGTAAGATAAATTCCTCTTTGTATCACACACTTTAAAATGCTGAAATATATATAACACATGGCTGAGCCAAAATAAATGTGAAAAAATATTGAAGACGCAAGAATAATAGCTGGATAAGGGAGCTCTAGAACATTACTGGAACAGTAAGCTGGAACAGACTTCTAATTTCAGCCTTGAAATGGAACGAGCTTGTAAGTCATCACTTCCATTCTTACAAAAAGAAAAAGCTAAATAAACTGAATAACAATCACTTTTCTTGGACCAGTCAGAATATTAAAGTTCCCAGGGAATCTATCATACTTTGAAACCTGGAAAGAGACAGACAAATACAGAAAATCATAGGCAAGATCAGTTCACCTGAACAGAAGCTGATGGGACTGTGAAATGTTCTCTAATATTAAAAATAGGCAACATTCAAGAACAGACGGGTAATATAAGCAGAAAGATAGAAACTTTAAAAAATCAAAATCAAAAGGATATTATGCTAGAAATAAGAAATAAACAAAACTAACAGAAAGGAAGAATGTGTTTCATGGCCTTATCAGTAGCTTGGACACAGCTGAGGAAGGAATCAGTGAGCTTTAAGGTATGCCAATAGGTAAAAACCCATCTCTACTAAAAATACAAAAAATTAGCTGGGCGTGGTGGCAGGCACCTGTAGTCCCAACTACTCAGGAGGCTGAGGCAGGAGAATAGCTTGAACTTGGGAGGTGGAGGTTGCAGTGAGCCGAGACTGCTCCACTGCACTGCAGCCTGGGTGACAGAGTGAGAATCCATCTCAAAATAGAAAAAAAAAAAAAAGACACATCAATAGGAACCTCCCAAAATAAAATGTGAAGGGAAAAAAGAATGAAAAATATAAAAATGAACACTCTCCACACTGGGTATCTAAGAACTGTAGGATAGTGTCAAAAGATGTACACATAGTTGGAATACCATAAAAAGAAAGAGAAAGAAGCAAAATAAATATTTGAAATAATAACTTAGAATATTCCAAAACTAATGGCAACTACCAAATCACACATCTAAAAGCTCAGAGAACACCAAGTAGAGTAAATACCAAAAAAGCTACACGTACACATAGGAAAATCATAGAAAACTCCAAAACAAAACAAAGACTAAAAACATATTGAAAGCAGCTGGCATGGGGGGAAGATCTTTCTTATAGAGAAGCAAGTATAAGAATTACATAGCAGACTCATCAGAACCCAAGCAAGAAGAGAGTGGAGCGAAATATTTTAAGTTCTGAAAGAAAAAAAAATTACCTAGAATTATGTATCCAGTGAAATTATCCTTTAAAAGTAAAGAAGAAATGAAGATTTTTCTCAGGCAAACAAAAATTGACAGAATTCATCGGTAGCAGAGCTGCCCTACAAGAAATGTTAAAAAATTATTCATGGAGAAAAAAACATTACATAGGCCAGAAACTCAGATTTACATAAAAAGGGAAAAAACAATAGAGAAAGAATAAATAACGTAAAATAAAATCTTTTGTTTCTTATTTTTTAAATGATTTAATTATAACTGTTATTCAAATGATAATAGTAATGATGTATTGGGTGATTATAGCATATGGATAAGGAATATGAATGACAGTAATGTAAGAGATGAGAGAGAAGAGTTGGGAGTATCTGTGAGGGCCCTCTTCCTGGTTTCCGGGTAGCTGTCTTTTTGCTAACCCCCAAATGGGAGAAAAAGAGTGAGAGAACTCTCAGGGGTGCCTTTTATAAGGGCATTAATCCCAGTCATGAGGGTTTCATCCTCATGATCTATTGTCTCCGAAAGGCTCCACCTCCTAATATTATCAACTTAGGGGTTAGGATTTTCATATATTAGTTTTGGAGAGACACAAACATTCAGTTCATAACACCTTTTAAAAAAGAAAGCAGACAGAAGTTCCATTAGAGAATTCTACCAAACATTTAAGAAAGATTGAGACAATTTTCTACAGAAATAAAAGCAGTGAACACTTTGTATAAGGCCAGCATTAGCCTAGAAGCAGAACCAGATGAACATAGTATACTTGAGGGGTGAAAAACTGGATTTTTCTCCTAGTAAGGTCATAAACAAGGCAAGGATATCCCCTCTTTCCACTTCTATACAACATTTCACCAGAAGACCTAACTAGTGTAATCAGACAGGAAAAGGAAATAAAGATACGCAGATTGGGAAGGAAGAAATGCAACTGTCTTTGTTCACAAATGATATGATTTTCTATGTAGAAAATCCCCCCAAATTTGCACAAAACCCCTGGAATTAATAAGTAATTATATCAAATAACAGTATACAAGTTTAATGTATAAAAGTTAATTGCTTTTCTATATACTAGCAATGAACAGATGGAATTTGACATTAAAAACACTGTACCATTTAAAACAGCACAAAGAAAATTAAATGCTTATGTATAAATCTAACAAAATATGTACCAGATCTATGCGAGAAGCATTATAAAACTCTGATCTAATAAAGAAGATCTAAATAAATGGAGAGATACTGCATGTTCACAGATTGGAAGACTCAATATTGTTAAGATGCCTGTTCTTCCCAACTTAACCTATAGATTCAATCCAATTCAAGTAAAATCCCAGCAACTGATTTTGTAGATATCAACAATCTGTTTCTAAAATTTATATGGAAAGGTAAAAAAACCTAGAGTAGCCAACACAATATTAAAGAGGAAGAATGAGTTCCATCACTAACACTACCAGACTTCAAGGCTTATTTATAAGGCTGTAGGACAGCATGGTATTCATGAACAAATAGACAGATAGTTCGATGAAACAGAATAAAGAGCTCAGAGGTAGACCTACACAAATAAAGTCAACTGATATTTTACCAAGGAGCAAAGGCAAGTAAATGTAGAAAGAATAGCTTTTTAAAAACAAATTTATGTTGTAAAAAGCAAGCGCCCACAGGCAAAAAAAAAAAAAAAAAAAAAAGTCTAGACACAGGTGAACAACTTTCACAAAAATTAATCAAAATGGATCATATACCTAAATGTAAAATGCAAAACTGTAAGGTTTCTAGATTATAGTATAGGAGAAAATCTAGGTAAGCTTCAGTTTCATGAAGACCTTTTAGAAGTGACAGCAAATGAAAGATCCATGAAAATAAAAAAAGGTTGATAATTGGACTTTATTAAAATTTAAAACTTCTGTTACGTTAAAGACACTGTGAATAGAATGAAAAGATGAGCCACAGAGTTAGAAAGTTATTCACAAAGCAAATAACACATATGTGCAAAAGGACTTACATCCCAAGTATACAAAGAAGTATTAAAACAACAATAAGAAAAAAATAAACTAATTTAAAAATGGGTAGAGTATGCCAAAGTCTCTACTGGAAAAAAGTAGACAATATGCAAAAGCTCATGGTTAATGTAAATAGAAATTCTAAGAAAGACCTCTAAAGAAATGCTAGATATTAAAATGTCTATAAAAGAAATGAAGAATGCCTTTAAATGCCTTTTTCCTCAGTCTCTTTGCTAATGAGTCTGGGCACAGCCAAAGGAAAAAAATCTCTGAGCTCAAGGATATGTCAATAGAAACTGGTAAAACTGAAAAGCAAAGAGAAAAGACACTGAAAAATATAGGACAGAATATCCAAGAACTGTGGTACAACTGTGGTACAAATGTATGTTATTTTCCATGCAACATACATGGAGAGGCAATACCAGAAGGAGAGGAAATAGGAAATAAGAGAAGTATTTGAAAAAATAATGGCTGAGAATTTCCCCCAATGTCAGACACCAGACCACACATTCAGGAAGCACAGAGAACACAAGCAGGATAAATGCGAAAGAATGACAGCCAGGTATATCATATTCAAACTTCTCCTCAGAAATTATGCAAGCAAGAAAAGAGTGAAATGAAATATCTGAAGCATTTTGACAAAAAGAAAATCCACCGACCTAGAATTCTATACCCTGAAAAATTACTCTTCAAAAGTGAAGGATAAATTAAGACTTTCTTGGGCAACAAAAATTGAAGGAATTTGCTGCCAATAAACCTGCCTTGAAAAAAAAATGATACGATACATTCTTCAGAGAAGGAGAATGATACATCTCAGAAACTGGATTGTACTTAAAGAAAGGAAGAGCATTACAGAAAAAGGTAATTTTAAAGGTAAAATTAAAACTTTAATTTTTCTTACTCTTAATTTATCTAACAAATAACAGTTTGTTCAATGTAGTAAAGGAAACAATGTATTTATAATTGCTCATGTATAAGTTGAATGAATGACAACGAAGATACAATGGACAGGAGGGAGGAATTAGGATTATTTTATTATTATAAGGTATTACTCTACCCATAAACTGGCGTAGTGTTATTTGCAAGTGGACTTGGATTAGTTGTAAATTCATATTTTTTTGCAAACTCCAGGGCAAGTACTAAACGAAGTAAAAAAAGAAGTAAAATCGATATAATAAAAAAGGAGAGAAAATAGAATCAAATAAAATGCGCAGGTAAAACCAAAAAAGGTAGAAAAAAGTAAAAGACAAAAAATAGAAACAAAGAAGAAAGGCAATGAATAGAAAACATAACAAATATGATAGATATTAATTTCATATATCAGTAATCATTTTAAATATCAATGATCTAAATACATCAATTAAAAGAGACTGTCAGATGCATCCAATATAAAATATATTTTAAATATAAAGACACATATAGATTAAAAGTAAAGGGATAGACAAATGTGATAATGTCAATAAAAAGAAAACTGGAATAGCTATATTAATATCAGACAGAACAAACTTCAGAGAAAGGAAAATTATAATGGATTAAAAGGAACATTACATGATGATAAAAGGGTTAATTATCCAAGAAGTCTTAGTAATATTTAATATATATGGGCCTAAAAAGAGAGGCCCATATATTAAAATGTGTGAGGTAAAACCTGATGGAACTTTAAGGAGAAATAGACGAATCCGCCATTATAGTTGGAGACTTCAACACCTTGCTATCAGAAATGGAGAGATCCAGCAGGTAGAAAATCAGTAAGGACATAGTTCAACTCAATAGCACCATAAATAAACTAGATATAACTGACATCTATAGGCTACTTCATCCAATGACAGCAAAATACACATTTTTTCTTCTTCAGCTTACACAGAACATTCATAAGATAGACCACGTTCTAGGTCATAAAAAACACCTCAAAAATTTAACAGAATACAAATCATAGAAAGCATGTTCTCAGACCACAATGGAATTAAGCTAGAAATCAACAACAGAAAGATTGTTGGAAAAATCCCAACATACTTGAAGACTCAACAACACACTTCTAAATAACATATGGGTGAAAGAAAAACTCTTGAGAAATTTAAAATAATTTGAACTAAATGAAAGTAAAAATACAACTTATCAAAATTTGTGTCATACAGCAAAAGCAGTGATTAAATAAAAATTTGTAGCATTGAATTCATGTATTAAAAGGGAATAAAGATCTAAAATCAATAAAATAAGCTTCCACCTATTTCTAGGAAACTAGAAATAGAAGAGTGAATTAAACACAAAATAAACAGAAGATAAGAAATAATAAAAACTAGAACAGAAATCAATGTAACTGAAAATAGAATATCTATAGAAAAATTAACAAAACTAAACATTAATTATTTGAAAAGATCAATAAAATTGACAAGCCTTTAGCCAGGCCAAGAAAAAGAAGATGCAAATTACTAACAGCAGAAATGACAGAGGGGATAGATATCACGACAGAGCCCATGGACATTGAAAGGATAATAAAGGAATACTATATGGGCAAATATTTCAGCCCACAAATTTTAGAACCTAGATGAAATAAACAAATTCCCTGAAAGACACAATCTACCAAACTCACACAAGAAGAAATAGACAACGAGAACAGGCATATACCTATTAAAGAAGTTAAATCAATAATCAATAACCTCCCAAAACAGAAAGTTCCATGCCCAGATGGGTTCACTAGTGAGTTCTATCATTTAAGCAAAAAATCTTAGAACTCTCTGTAATTTCTTCCAGAAAATAGAAGCAAAGGGAATACGTCCTAACTCATTCTATGAGGCCAGTATTATCCTAATACCAAAAGCAGGCAAAGGTATTACAGGGAAAGGAAACTATAGACCAATAAGGCACATGAACATAAATGCAAAAATCTTCAATAAAATATTCACAAATTGAATCCAACAATGTATAAAAAGGTGTATATGCCATGACCAAGTGGAATTTATTCCAAATATGCAAGACCGGTTGACATTCAAAAATTAACTAATTTATCAAATCAAGGCTGAAGAATGAAAAATCACATGATCATACCAGCTCACACAGAAAAAGCATTTGACAAAATCTTAACACCCTAATGGGTGATAAAAACTTTCAGCAAACTAGGGATAGAGGAGAACTTTCTCAACTTGATAAGGAACATTTTACAAGAAACTTATAGCTAACCTTACACTTAATGGTGAGAAAGCAAGTGCTTTCTCTCTAAGGTCAGTAACAAAGCAAGAATGACTCCTTTGACCAGTCCTTTTTGACATCATAATGCTTGTCTTAGCTTATGGAATAAGACAAAAAAGGAAAATACAAATTGGGAAGAAAAAAATATAACTGTCTTTGTTCACAAATTATGTGATCGTCTATGTAGAAAATTTTAAAGGAATAGACAAAAAACTCCCAGATCAGATAAGCAATTACGGAAAGATTACAGGATACAGGTCAATCACTTTCCTATATATCAACAATGAACAAGTGGAACAAATGTTGAAATTTAAAACATTCTACCATTTATGTTAGCACAAGATGAAATATTTAGCCACAAATCTAACAATATGTGCGAGACCTATGTGCAAGACCTCTATGGGGAAAACTACAAAATTCTGATAAGAGAAATTAGAGAAAAACTAAGTAAATGGTGAAATATTTCATGTTCATGTATAGAAAGAATCAGTATTGTCAAGATGTCAGTTCTTCCCAATTTGGTCTACAGATTCAATACAATTGAAATAAAAATTTCAGCAAATTGTATCGTGGATATCAACAAATTGATTCTAAAGTTTATATGGAGGCTGGGCATGGTGACTCATGCCTGTAATCCCAGCATTTTGGGCAGCTGAGGTGGGCAGATCACTTGAGATCAGGAGTTTCAAACCATCCTGGCCAACATGGTGAAACTCCATCTCTACCAAAATACAAAAATTAGGGCATGGTGGTGCATGCTTATAATCCCAGCTACTTGGGAGGCTGAGGCAGGAGGATTGCTTGAACCCAGGAGGTGGAGGTTGCAATGAGTCAAGATCACACCACTGCACTCCAGCCTGGGCAACAGAGCAAGACTCCATCTAAAAATATATATAATAAAAGAAAAATAAAAAGTTTATATGGAAAGGCAAAAGATCCAGAATAGATAACACAATATTAAGTGAGAAGGACATTCAGAGGACTGACTTCAAGTTTTATAAAGCTACAGTAATCAGAAGACTGTATAATATCGGTGAAAAAATAGATAAATAGACCAATGGAACAGAATAGAGAAATCAGAAATCGACCCACACAAATAATGTCAGCTTTGGTAAAGAAGCAAAGATAATAGAGTGGAGAAAATATAGTCTTTTTAACAAATGATGTTGGAACAACTGGGCATCCACATGCAAAAAGAAGAAAAGAAAAAGAAAAAAATGAACCTGGATATAGATATTATGCCAGTCACAAAAATTAACTCAAAATGAGACACAGAACTACATGTAAATGGTAAAACTATGAAACTCCTGGAAGGTAACATAGGAGAAAATCTGTGTGACCTTGGGTATGGTGGTGACTTTTTTATACAACACAAAGTAATGATGCATGAAAGAAATAATTTCTAAACAAATTATTAAAATTAAGAACTTCTCTGTGAAAAAAACACTGTCTAGAGAATCATAAGACAAGCCACAGACTGGGAGAAAATATTGGCCAAAGACATAATTGATAAAGGACTGTGATCTAAAATATGCAAAGAACTTCTAAAACTCAACAATGAAAAAAAGTCAACTAAAAAAATGGGTAAAACATCTGAAAAGACACCTCACCATAAAAGATATACAGATGTCAAATAAACATATGGAAAGATTCTCAACATCATGTATCATTTAGGAATTGCAAATGAAAACAACAGTGGGATACAACTACACATTATTAGAATGTGCAAAATCCAAAACACTGACAACACCAAATGCTGGTGAGGATGTGGAGCAAAAAAAAAAAAAAAAACCTCTCAGTCATTGCTGGTGGGGATCAAAAGTGGTGTAGCTACTTTGGAAGACAGTTTGGCAGTTTCTTACTAAAAGCTAAAGGTACTCTTGCTGTATGATTCAGGAATCAAATTCCTTGATGTTTACCCAAATAGTCTGAAAATGTATGTCCCTACAAAAACCTGCCCGTGGATATTTGTAGAACTTTTATTCATAATTGCCAAATCTTGGAAGCAACTAAGTTTTTCTTCAGTAAATGAATGGATAAACAAACTGTGGTACATCAGACGATGGAATGTTATTCAGCACTAAACAGAAAGGAGCTCTCAAGCCATGAAAAAACGTGCAGGAAACTTAAATGCATATTACTAAGTGAAAGAAGGCAATCTGAAAAGGCTTCACACTACATGATCCAACTATATGACATTCTGGAAAAGGCAGCACTATGGTGACAGTAAAACGATCAGAGATTGTTAAGATTTAGGGGGAAGAGAGGGATGAATAGGCAGAACACAGAGAACTTTTAGACAGTGAAACTGTTCTACATGATACTATAATAGTTACATGTACATATATATATATATATATATATATATATCTCCACAGGATATACAACCCCAAGAGTGAACCATAGTAAAAACTATGGACTTTGGTAATAATAATGTATCAATGTAGATTCATCATTGTTAAAAAAAAAAAAAAAGTTACCACACTAGTGTGGGATATGAATAATGGGGGAGGCTGTGTGTTGGGGGGCAGGGCGGGGGCAGGGAGGGCAGGGAGTATATGGAAACTCTGTGTGCTTTCTGATCAATTTTGCTATGAACTTAAAATTGCTGTAAAAAATCACGTCTCATTTATAAAATATGGGCCAAAGATCTAACAGACACCCCATCAAAGAAGATACACGGATAGCAAATAATCACATGAAAATATTCCCAATATCATGTGTAATTAGAGAATTACAAGTTAAAACAACAAGACACCAATACACCTATTAGAATGACTAAAATCCAAAGCCAAAAACCTGACAAAGCTATATTCTAATGCTGAGAAGGATGTAGAACAACAGGAGCTCTCACACGTTACTGATGGGAATGCAAAATGGTACAGCCAGTTTGGAAAACAGTTTGGCAGTTTCTTACAAAGCTAAACAAAGTCTTACCATAATCCAGCCATCACACATCTAAATCTTTACCCAACTGATTTGATGACTTATGTCTACACAGTTACCTGCATGCACATCTTTATTGCCAAAACATAATTGCCAAAAACTGGGAGCAACCATGATGTTCTTCATTTAGTTACTGGGTAAGCAAACTGTGGTATATCTATACAATAGAATATTCAGCAATAAAAGGAAATAAGTGATCAATCCAGGCAATGGCATGGATGAACCTTAAATGTGCATTGCAAAGTAAAAGAAGCTAATTTAAATAGGTCACATACTGTATATTTCCAATTATTATTGGACACATTTAGTAATGGTAGGAGTGAAAGGGAAACCTTTCAGTGCTACTTTCTTTCCCTTTGTAGTACTGGAAATGATTCCTAAATAAGCCTTTTGTTTCCAGTCTTACCTTCATCCTCCTAGTTCATCTTGGCAATGAAACAGCAGTGACCTTTATAAAACAAAAAGATGTTCATGTCATATTTTGGTTTATAACACTTTAATGGCTTCCCAGCATCCTAAACATAATTGGAAATTTCTTAGGCTGGCTTATAAGCTTTTCATAATGGGGGTGCTTTTCCAGCTCAAACACCCATAATTCCTTCCACTGACACCCTTATTTCACCAGGCCCTGGTTCTCCATATGTTTAAGGCTTCCTGTCTTCTTATGGGGTGTAAAGGTAGCCATAGGAGTGGTGTTTGGTCTGCAAATGGAGACACCCTACTGTTAGAGGTTTTCCCCCTGGACTAGAATCCGTGGGCACAGCCTATTTAGGAATTGCAAATGAACTGTATGTGTCCATATGGACAGGAAACCAGATCAGTCTAGAGAAAAGGACATGATGAAGAGAGTAACTTGTAAGATCCTAGGATCTGTATAAGGAGGTCATCCAGCGAGGTTTATGCCAGATGGCATAAACCTCTGCTTCTCTGGGATACTTAGTCACTCTGAGTCACTTTTATGTCCACAATAAAGTCCAAATGTTTTCGGTTGTCAATTTCTTATGTGCCCTAGTAACATAAGTGTAGGAAAAAAATTTAGGCATTAACATCATAAGTATTTCTTTCTCCAAGAAAAAGTAAAAATTGAAAATCTAAATTTTATATCCAAATCCCTTGGCAACTTAACAAAATGCTTAATACCTTACAAATAATTCTGTTTAAGCATGATGACTTGGAATGAAATATAAGTTATTAAATTAAAAACACTGACTTGGGAAATTTAGTAATTTATTTATTAACAATCACTTTTAAAATTAACATAAATAATATTTTTCAACTTATATAAAACTGGTTTGAAATCTTGGACACAAAACCCTTTTGATTTATTAACCTTCAAGACTGAAACAAAAAGATAAAGCCAAATTAGTTGATTACCATATTCCAAATTTATTTTCTCTTGTTTTTACTTTCAATTTAAATTCTTCAGCAAAATAGTGTCATTTAGTTATACAAGTTAATTTTCTATAGAAAATTAAGATTTTTCTTGATTTTGCATTATTTTTAAGCATTCCAATATCTCTACTGCTTTTCAAACATGTTAGGAATTAAAAGCAATGATTCTGCCATTTTTCCCCTCATCGTGTGTCAGCCTAAAACCAAATTACCAGGATCAGATTAACCTTTACCTTACCATTTCCAAGTTAAAAAAAAAAGTCAATTTTCCAGACTTGAGATGCACTGAAGCTAGACTCCCAGGCTAGATTTTCAAAAACAAAAGTGTTTCCCTAATAATTCTTGGAGATTACACCACTTAGCCTTAAAAAATGATTTGTACAGAGAACTGATGTGTTCTCAATGATATTTTTGTGAGAATGCAAGACTGGTCAAAATTTTCAGGCTTAAGCAAACACAGTAATTTAAAAGCAATCCCTAGACCCCCATCTGGAACTAATTTACTTCTCATTTTAACTTCTGGCATTACAAAGCATGCATTTTATATAGCATTCATTTTAAATTTCCATTAAATTGCTCAATTTTATTTTTTATAAAGCCAAATGGTTTTTTTTTTCAATGTCAATTTATTTTGACCTTCACAGGGAATAGAAAAAGAGGACAGGTGAAATAAGGGGTAAGAGAAAGGGTTCCTTCAGAAATAATCACTATATGAAGAGATATTTGTCCCCTGGCTTCATCTGTTAACTTTTTTAGTTTAGCTAAAACATCTGAGGAGTTTAGGTGGAGGAGAACATAAAAAGCAAGAGATGCCACCATGAGATGAATCTGAAAATAGAATTATAAGTTAAGTCCTCTTCTACTTAAACTATCTACCTGGACCATGTTAACCATGCCCACTGCATGCCACCACCCACCAGAAAGTGGCACTCTGGCAAGGATCACTCCCTACAGCTTCAGGCTTTGATGTCCACTGCTTATGGGGCAGTGCCTAGCACAGTACCTGGAGCATGATAAACATTCAATAATTGTGTATGTATGATAGATAGGCAGATGAATGGCAGGATAAAGGATGGATGAATGGATGGATGGCAATTCTCTACATTATGTTTTCATTAATGTCTTATGTTCAACATGTTCAAGTCCAACATCATTTTTAATTTGTTTTCCCATTATATTCCCCATTATATTCTCAAAGAATAATGCTACCCCCAGACTTTTATTTCATGTGGAGTCTTTGCACTAATCCCTCTCCCTCACTGTCCATTTATAATCAATGAATGGTCCCCAAGATGATCAGATCAAATTGAGCCATTCTCCTACCCAGAACCCCTGTATGCTCAAAAACTTCAGAGTAAAATCCAAGCTCCTTAGTGTGACATAGGAGCTACTTTATAGTCTGGGCTCTAAAGAACCTCACAACCTGACCCCCTACCAACATAGCTCCCCCTACATGCCACTCTACCCACCCTGAACCACATGTGATTCCTAACTGAACTAGCTCTCTTGTGTCTTGGCCCCTTCTCTCTGCTTGAAATGCTCTTCCTAAAATAGTGAGCTTCAATCTTCTAAGACTCAGCTTATGGCTTAGCTTTAATATAAAGTCATTTCTAATATCATGCCTAGGCATCCTCTCAGTCGTGCTTTCTTTGGTGCTTTGCACAGTGGTCAATAAATATTTATTGACTAAATGAATGTGTGTGAAAGTCACATGTGTGGAGAAAGAGAGATAGATTTGATAGGAGATCAAAATGGATAAGCATTTGAAAATTATTGCATTCAGTTATCAGCAAATATATCTGAAATCTAGTTTTTGTGTACACATCTTTGCTCTGAGCCCCCCTTTTTTAAAGATCTGACATTTCAAATCACATAATTTTCTGAGGGTTTTTTTTTTTTTGACATCTTATTTCCAATCCAGCTCATTTCCATTCCCTTCCAGAACAGCTCTTCAGTACAGAAATAGTTTTTCATCTCCTTTGACTAAGGGCTCCAATATTCCAAACTGGCATAATCTTGGTCTCAGCCATCACCAACAGCTGTGAAAGCGAAGCTTCAACTAGCTGTCATGGTCCCCATGTGGCTTTCTAGGCCGGGACTCACTCGGTCCTGGGATCTCATACTTCACATCTCCTTCTGAGGCACAATGACCCATATTTCTTGGAGGAGACCAGAACGGTCACAGAAAAGAGAGTAAGGACTGCTGTAAAAAAGAACATGAACTTGAGGGTTGGTGATAGAAGACCCAGGAACAAGGTATGAAGAACTAAAAGTGTTGGACCCAGGGGACGAGGAATTGGAAAATTCGATTTGGAGGCTTGATTTGACAGGAGGTTGCTCGAGGTGCAGGTGAGGGAGGGAAGAAGAAGGAGCTGAATTGCCTCTTATTTAGGGAGACCCACTGCGTTGTTGTCCCTAAGCTGGAAGACAAACCATTATAAGGCTGACACACCATACACATTACTCCTATTTTATCTGCTAGAGTTTTTCCAGAAAACACAAGCTTTGCTCCCTGTGAGGCACTTGAGTGAGTCCAGCTCACCTCAATCTGGCCTCCCTTTTACCCAGTCCTTGCAGTAAGAATTCTAGACATCATAACAGGACTTCAATTGGATACTATTCAAAATTACCCACATATCTTTATATTTTTCCTGGGACATGCAAAGGTGCAAACTTACAACACTTTATGAATAGAAACTGTATCTTATTTTCTTTGCTGACTTCCTCACTGCCTAAAAATGGTTCCTGGTATGCTAATTTTTATTGTTAATGACTGAGGAAACTCATAAGAAAACATTTGCTTTTAGCATACTGCTTCATCGCCTACATCTTCAGATACTTGTTTTCCTCATCTACAGCATTCTTAAAGACGTTTTCAAGAAAAAAACAAAAATCTTCTTTATCTAAAAGTTTTCTTCTTGCTTCACGAAATTCATGTTCTCTTTCTGTGTTGCCATGGTTTCTGGTCATGGATATTTTCTCCACTAAGGAAGAATAAATCTAATCACAAGCAAAATATTCCCTTCTCAAAGCATGCTTCTCCATAAGATGTACGCTCACGTTAAAAAAAATCAAACATGTAGAATTATATCGTATACATAGAAATATTAAAATACAGTGGAAAAGTATTGTATATTGGAAAAATTACGGGTTTTAAGGTAAACAGAGTTGGGTTCATATCAGTTTTATCACTTAACTGCTTTGTAAATTAGACAAGTTTATTCACTTTTCTGCTTTGGTTTCTTATCTGTATAGTGGGAACATTAATTTCTACTTTTAAGGGTTTTTATGAAAATTAAATTAGCTTAAAGTCAGTATTTAATATATACTTAAGCTTCCTTTTGATATTTAACCTTCAAGAAATCCCAGTAGTGTTTTTATTTAAGATACAGCTAAAACTTACCTAATGGCATTTTCTAAAAGCATATACACTTTAATCCAACAACTAATATAATTAATAAATGGATATTTAGTTCCACAAAATTAATTCATTCAGTAATAAACTATCTCCACAAATCTAGGGTAGAGTCTTCTCTATTTTTGTGAATAATGCTCATTTTTACTTCTCTGAAGTCTTTTGACCACTTAAGAGTTGGAGTTAAATTTAGGGCTGATAGTGGTGTGAGGTCAGGGGTAGCAATTCCTCTGGCCTAGGAGAGTAAGAGTGATGGGTCTTGCCTTTCTCAATCAGGTTTGCAATATAGATTGACCAGACTGGCATCCGACCAGAGAAGTAGTCAATATATTTTCAAGAAATGAAAGTTCCACTTTAAAGAACATGTCTTTCAAGTAACAAAAACATACTAGAGTACAGGCCCAAGCACAATAGCAATAGTGGAGCCACATAGCTTAAAGAAATTTTCATTGTTTTCTCATTCATTTCTCAAATACCTATTGGGCACATATGTGTCAAGTGCTATGCCAGCCATGGGACATAAAGATGAACAAGGCTTAATCTCTGACTTCAGATCATTCACCATTTCTAAGACATACAAGAATATAAATAAATGTTTACAAGGTAATTGTACACATTATATAACAGAGAAGACACAAAAGACAATTTCATGTCACAGATGAGTGATTAATGGCTTGGAAAGGCCAAGAAAGACTTTAAAGAGGAGGTGATGCTTCTTTAGATACCGCAGGTAGAAATGCTATCTGGGCCGGGCGCGGTGGCTCATGCCTGTAATCCCAGCACTTTGGGAGGCTGAAGCGGGCGGATCACAAGGTCAGGAGATCAAGACCGTCCTGGCTAACACGGTGAAACTCTGTCTCTACTAAAAATACAAAAAAATTAGCCGGGTGTGGCGGGTTGCGCCTGTAGTCCCAGCTACTGGGGAGGCTGAGGCAGGAGAATGGCATGAACCCGGGAGGCAGAGCTTGCAGTGAGCCGAGATTGCGCCACTCCAGCCTGGGCGACAGAGCGAGACTCTGTCTCAAAAAAAAAAAAAAAAGAAAGAAAAAGAAAAAGAAATGCTATCTGGATATGAGTTAGTACATTTTAAATATGTGTTTCTTTTCCCCTTTCTTTGACTTAGTTCCATTCTGGGTTACCAGCTTAAAATACTGACAAGCTATTAGTTTATTTGGGCTTTTAAGGGCGCTATGCTAAACTAACATCAGCTTGCAAGTATTTATGGAACACTCCAAATATGTAATGATCCCTGCACTATATTTAAAATAATAGCAATAAACCCTGTAAGAAATGTACAGTCAAGTAAATTAAGATGGTGAAGCAAAATGGTATCATGAGGATAATTACATTGTCTATGTATGTGTGTTAGCACATCACGTGTGTTAGAATTAAGGGAATAGTGTTGGTGCTCCACACCTAGGCAATAAAAGAGGATAATAAATGTTCAGAAGTTTATGTCTAAAATATCAGATTTTAATAGACATTTCAGGTTTCATTTTCACCAGGGTTTTTAGTCTTTTCTTTTGTAACAAAAGAAGGTTGAGACTAGACGATGCATTTTTTTCAAATGGAAGAATGTTTATATATGTAAAAATGTATGTGTGTAAATACATATATATATATATATATATATATGGTATATACAACATTCTCCATGGAATTTTTCAAATTAAGGGTTTAGACAATAGAGGAATACATTAGTAAGACTCTTAAGCTCCCTGGTAGCAAAGCCCTCATCTGTAAAAAGAGAATGTAGATCCTGAGGCTAGGAAAGAGTAGGCTCACATTTTAGGAAGAAATGTAAACAACTTGAGCTTCAGTTTCTTCACCAATATACATACATTGTATTCATATCCGTATCCATATATTCCACACTATAAGGAAGTGAAGAGTAAAGATACATGTGTAAATATTTACTGTAATGCCTAACTGAATAGAGCATACACTAAATGAAGATGAATAATTATAACACTACTGCATTACTTTTAAACTTTTTCCATTATAATTTTTAAAATATTATTTAAATTGAGGTCATGCTTAATGAAATGAGAAAACAGTTCCCATGTTGTATTAAATCCTCTCATTCTTCTCTTTTCCATTATTTTTTAAACACTTGCTTTATTTATTATGACATTTTAACTATAGATCATAAAAACCAAACTGAAAACAATTTAGTGTTGATTTTACAACCTTTCTGGGCTTGGTAATGTATGTCATTGCCTCCTGAATTTTGCTGGTCAAGGTAAGATCAAGTAGTTAAACTGTAAGTACTATAATGAAATGAAAATGGAGGAGAAATGAAGAGAGCTACTCTATCTCCTGGAGGCATCTCAACCTTGAAAAGCTTCATACTTAGGATACTACGTAAGTTTATTATAATTTATTCATGTAGTTTTTAAGCTTTAACATTTCTAACTTTTTTATTATAAATAAACATAGGAAAAATAATTCAGATAACAAGTGGTAAATATACATATCACAACCCATAACGGACTAAAGTTGTGCTAGTATTACCCACATTTACCTTCTCTTTATATAACATAGATTTTTGTTTTTCACAAAATATTTGAAACCGTTTGTGACAGAATTGTCCCAAAGTTGGCAAACTTTTGTAGAAGTCCCTTGAAAAGTATTTTAAAGTTACGTGATTATACAACTTATAGGTAACTATGTATTTTTTTGTGAAGGTACTGCAGGTTACAGAATGAAAATGATATAAATCACTTAATATACATCCATAGTAAGTTTTCATTATTATATGAATGTTGTACTGTTGTAGAGTATATATTAAATATCAAGGGTCTTTATAGGGTATGTTACTAGGATTATAGACAAAATTCAAAAGGCATTCATGATGTGAAGGTTATGAGTAATATTCCTTGAAGCACTTTTAATTGGAGCAGAAATTCTTTTCCTAACCAAAAAAAAATCTGTCCTGGCCATTTTAAACACTTTTAGTTACATTTTTCCAATGCAATCAACTCACCACAGTCCCATAAATACATAATACTTTTTCCAGCTGGAAAAAAAATTTCCAGCATTTTTCCATAATAAATACTTATTGTTGTATGCTACAAAGTTTTGGAGCGGATTTGTTATATAGCAATAGCTGTATGCCTGGGGACCTATAGAAAAGAACAATCACAACTGTGTAGGAGGTTACATATGCTTAAGTATCTTAGAAAAAAATTGCATTATATACATTGTTAATCAAGTTACTTCATGAATTCTATAAAGAAAAGTAATGACATATTTTTCAAGTATGATACTGAAAGGTAGCATTTGAAAGTTTTGCCTGAATCTCTCTTGAATATGACTCTTAAATAAGGAATAGCATGTGTGTTAGTTTACATTTACCTTGAAGAGTTCATTTCTTGCTGAAGCTGATTTATTGTACAGATCATACCTAATTAATTTTCATTTTAAAATATTATTCTGAAACTAAATCTGGCACTCCTGATGCCTGCTTCTTCTTGATAATGATGTCAGGAATTATTTTGAGTAACCAGCATAGATTGGTTAATTTTTAGAAATAACGTGACTATTTTAATGTAGTGGTTTTACCTTTTAGCTCTTACTTATGAATGGAATATCATGCCACTGAATGATTACATTAAGTGACTTTTAAAAATATTTTATTGGATTAAATGTTTCTTTACCAAATTTTCCATTTTGTTAGAAACCAATTTTCATTAATAATCATAAAATTCATACTACCAGTAATACTAAAACAGAACCACAGATGATGAAGAATTAGCCAAGTAGGTTGTAAATTAGGCAAAAGGAGGAAAACAGTCTTCCCTACATTAGCCATTGGACATGTTTGGCTTGTTTAATGGAAAGGCAGGGGTTGTTCAGGCAATGGGAAGAAAATAAAATATTTCAGAAGGCAGAGACTCAACAGTAACTACTAATCAAATATGTCAAACCTTAAAACTTCTGGAGCAACAAGGCCTTAAATCAATACCACCATTTTACTTCAAAAGACAAACTTTGCTCAAGATAGTTGGGATGGAGAGGGAAGGGAGTCAAAAGGAAATTAGGTCAATCTTTATAGTACCCATTTTCATTAATTATAGTTAAATTAGATTATTAATGTATTAATAATGTAATAAACTTAAAAATTAATAAGTTTTAATATTTATTATATAAATTTAATAAATTATACAACTGGGATAAAATTTTATTATTTAAATTTAATAAATTAACTATTTTGAATATATATTTATTATTTAAATTTAATACATTAAACAACTGTTTTGAATATATATATATTTATATAATAATATATATAACTTTTTTGAGTTTTTGAGCATTCATACACATATATATGCTCAAAAACTCTAGCACTCTAGAGTTCTTTTGCCTCTTCCACTCTACAGCTTCAGAAAGTATTGCTGCATAACTGCACAGGCACTAACCAAGGTTCTTAACTGACATCCAGGCATTTACAAATGATTCAATTATGTTCAGTATACTTGGTTTTGAAAGCTGATGGACTGTCTAATACATTTTTTAAATATTTTGAGAAATGATTCAAATTTAAATGGTTTTGGAATTGAAGAACTGTAAACTTCGCTCATGTAAAAAATTAAGCTCATTTTTTCATCATGGCAGATAATTAAGTTTTCTAGGTTGCAGCCTTTAGTGTTAAAACTACATAGTCTGGCCGGGCGCGGTGGCTCACGCCTGTAATTCCAGCACTTTGGGAGGCCGAGGTGGGCAGATCACGAGGTCAGGAGATTGAGACCACCCTGGCCAACATGGTGAAATCCCGTCTCTACTAAAAATACAAAAATTAGCTTGGTGTGGTGGCACGCGCCTGCAATCCCAGCTACTCGGGAGGCTGTGGCAGGAGAATTGCTTGAACCCGAAAGGTGGAGATTGCAGTGAGCCGAGATCATACCACTGCACTCCAGCCTGGGCAACAGAGGGAGAGTGTCAAAAAAACGAAAACAAAAAACAAAAAAAAAAACAACTACGTAGTCTAACAAAAGATGGAACTCTTTAAATCGTGCAAGCTGTTAGGTGTTTATTAATGTTGCTAATTGTACAAAAGAAAAAATATGTTTACTGCTTACTGCTTCCTGTATGTAAAAATAAAAGTTTCAGTCTCAAGAGAATGACAATGACAGACTCTGAAGACTGCAGATAAAACCACAAGTACAGTCACTGTGGGAAGTATTACAGGGTCAGTGGCCTTGCTACTTTAGGCACTGCAAATATTTTGGCTCGAATTCAGCCTCACACTCTGTAATTACAAAGAACATTGGTAGTTTCCATCTCCGGCCCCTGGTCAAGAAGCCACGTTGTGCTCTGTTTTGCGAAGTCCTCATGCAATTTACACTGCCATCTCCCATATAAAACTGTACAGGAGGAAGGTTATACCTCTGTTTTTCCTAAAAGTGAGACTAGGCAAAGACTGACAGTGACCTTCCACTAACTAGTTTTATTTCTTCAAGGAGTATCCTTTGGCTGCTACATTCAGGGCATTTCAGTAAAAATAAAAATACACATTATAATGGGTATTTTAAAACTGTAAAATATGATAGACAATGAATCTTTCATTAAGGTCAGTGGGATCCCTGGGAGGCCATCAGGGGTCTATGGAGGGCTCATGAGCCTGCTAAATTATATGCCAAATGTGTGTATGTATATTTTTTCAGGAAAAGGATCCAATGCTTTCATTCCATTTTTTAAGTGCCTGTGACATCCCGCTCCAATTTTTTTTTTTAATTTAAAACCACTGTTTTCAACTATACTACAAGTGTAAGAAAATGTTTGGCATATGTCTTATCAATTTATAAGGACAATAGAGTCCACATATTTCCATGCTTTTCTCCAGCCCATCTTCCAGTTAAATATTATCCAGATGGCCTAGGACTTAAATTCAGTTTGATACAATGGATAAGTTACAGACTTCCTGGATTCAGATCCTTAGCAGGCCACTAACTAACTAGATAAGCTTAATTAAATGAGTTAACCCCACAGTGCCTCAGTTTCCTCATCTGAAAAATGGGAATTAACATCGTACCTGCCTCATAAAGATGACGTGAGGATTGAGGAGATCATGCAAGCAAACTGCGTAGCATCGTTCCAGAACCTGACTCTGACTGTATTCTATCAGTGCTACTTTTGATGAGTTTTCACAGATCTCTAATAAAAATCCTTAATTTTGAATATCTACTTTTTTAAAATGCAAATGACCTGCTAGTGAGCTTTCATTACACTAAAAATTATCACATTTCAAACTTGCCTTTGCCAATCCTTATCAATATTCAAACTTCGGATACCTGTATTTTGACCTTTTATATCTAAATTCATCATTTTACTAAAAATTTTATATATAAGCATTTTCACATTATACTTTTGTTTGTTTTGTTTTTAACCTTGTGACTAAAGCAACAAATCTAATTGTTGACTAATGCACAATAAACCCATTCAAATATTACAATGGTTTTTTGGCCATAATATGAAATTGGAAAATTACTTGAATAAACATAAAAAAATTTATTTGTTTTATATATCAAGGAAATATAAAGCATTTATAGGGTTGTGTGGAGCATTTCGCTTTCCTTAAAAAGATAGGTGTGCTAAGCAAATTAACAAATTATTTTTTGAAATGTTGCTCTTTTCTTCCACAGCTCTTGTAGTGAGATTTCTGACCAAACGGTTCATCTGGGAATATGATCCCACCCTCGGTAGGTCAAATTTTGTTTCCTTCTCCTCTTCAATAAAAATTTATGGCCCCAAAGAAAGAATAATGTTTTCTGTTGCAACATTTTTAAGCTCCTTTTAGCTGATGTGGAAGTGCTTTTCAAATCATGCAAAGAAGCCCTCTATGAGGCTAGATGTGTGTTTCATGCTGTCTGTGCTTAGAACCCTGCAGGATTTTAATGCATAGATGAAGAAATTAGGTCAAGCCTCAGCCATGAGGAAAGGAAGTGGGTACAACACACTTCCCTCACATAAGAAAAATGCAGTATCATTCTAATGGGAGAGAGAGGATAAAACGGACATGGAAAATTTGGTGCGTAATAGAATGGTATCCTGAGAAGAGTAACAGAAAAATAAAACTACTGAATATGGATTTTAGGGAAAAATAAAATATGTTTCTCTCTTTTCTTCTCTCCAATACATCCGACTAAAGCCTGTTACAGAGAGAGAAGGAGAGAAGAAGCAGCAAAATATGATGTCTGTGGATCTTAAAAATAGTAATAATGTTGATGTATAAAATGTAGGCAAACACTCTTCCTGGTTTTTTTTTTAATTTCTTTGTTTTGTTTTATTTTTGTCACTCCAAGATTTTCAGTTTAAAAGGGATAAAGACTTCTTTCATTGTTTTTATTCATTCATTCTACAAATGTTTATCAAGCGCCTTCTGTGTGTCAAAGTGTTCTGGGTGCTAAAGATAAATCAGTATACAGAAAGAGAAGGCCTTGGCTTTTTTGAGTGCACAGTCTAGGAAAGAGAGAAGAGTCAATAAACAAGCAAATATATGTGAGATAGCGATAAGTTCTGTGAAGGAAAACAATAAGGAAGGGAATAGAGAATGATCTTATGGTTTACTTAGTATTTGACTAATAGTTCTGAAATTTATTTTAGTAAGAAGTACAAGGTGAAAACCCAACATTTTTGTCTAAATCGTTGACCAATTTTCCTCCTGTTATTTATTAAATACTCTCTACCTTTCTCCACTACTTCCAATGCAATCTTTTCATATGTTGAATTGTTTACACCAGGACACCATTCTAGATTTGCTTTTCACACCAAACAGAAGCAGCACACTTTTTCGTTAATTGTATGCTGTACAGAACATTTTGATACTTTGTAGAGAACATCTTTCCTCATTACTTTTTTACAGAATTATTTTGGCTACTCTGTTCAGTTGATTTTTCCAGATCAAGTTTAGAAACTCTGTAATAATATGACATGATTTTGATTAGAATTGTACTAGAACTATAAATTACTTTGAGAAGATCCACATCTTTATGTTATTCCACCTTTTAATCTAGGAGAATAGCATGTTTCTACATTTATTATTTATTCTTCTGTTTTTGCTTTTAAATAGGTCAGAGTTTTCACATCCAAATTTTTCAACATATTTTTAAATGTAGCCACACTAATTTTAAGATGATATATTTGGATCTAAAAATGCACCCGATTTTTTAAAAAAATTATTCTTTATTATTTTACCCACCAAAGTGAATACTTATTCTTCTCTTATATTTTTATTACTTACATAAGTTTTACATAGATTATCTGAGAATCTTAATGATTAATGGGAGTTTAATTTTAAAAATACAAATTTTTTATTGCTGTATCCATATATCTCAATGAAAGATGAAGCTTATAAAAAATGGTCTCATAAAATGAACTCTCCCTGAATGTGTTCCAGTACCTAATCTTATTATTCTTAATTAGTCTTAGTTTAACCATTTTCTCTTTTGTTTTATTCATCTGAAAAAAAAACTGCTATTAATAGTAATCTGCCTGCATCAGTTATGTATAGTGCGGGCTTCCTTCAGTAAGAATAATGAAACTTTATTGAGTGACCTTGTACAGTACTTCTCAAAGAGGATGGCAGCTGCTAAGCAACAAGCACTTTCATCAGACTTCAGGAGTAATGGATACATGACTCATTCCCAGGTGAGGGCTTCATTAATTCTCTCACACTGGAGGCTGGATTTGTGTGTCTATATGAGTGTGTGCAAGAGGTCACTTTTGTTCCAGCATAGAGGGGTTCTCCATCCATTTGATTCAAGGGAAATGAGCATTTCCTGAGTTTAACTTCATAATACCTTGGGGAAGACAGGATTCTTTGTTGAATACATGGCTACTGCATTAGTCCATTCTCACAATGCTATAAAGAAATACCTGAGACTGAGTAGTTTATAAAGAAAAGAGGTTTAATTGGCTCATGGTTCTGCAGGCTGTACAGGAAGCGTGGAAGCATTGGCTTCTGGGGAGGCCTCAAGGAGATTTTACTCACGGCAGAAGGGAAAGTGGGAGCAGGCATCTTACGTGGCATGACCATGACTGAGGGTGGGGGGGGGCATGCCAGACACTTTAAAACAACCAGATCCCACTAGAACTCACTATTGTGATGACAGCACCACGAAGGAAGGTGTTAAACCATGAGAAACCACCTCATGCTCCAATCCCCTCCCACCAGGCCTCACCTCTAACATTTGGGATGACAAATGAACATGAGATTTGGGTGGAGACACAGATCCAAACCATATCAGCTACTTTGACTAAAAGTTTCAAAACCACCACCAAAAGAGATAACTACATTAAAAAGCCAAGTAGCTTATATACAAGAAGCAGTCTTGAATTCTGAAGTCAGTGCTTTCCTGAGAAACATGGGGCAGTTTTTTTTTAAACCTGGAACAGAATTGTTACTCCACGAGAAGCTGAAGACTATGAACATCATTCTACATATTAACTCAATTAGAATATTTACTGCTTTGAAATAATTCAATGAAGAAAATGCTTGCTACTATAGTAGCAAGTGACTCCTAAACTTTTCGGTTTCAGACTCACTTTTTTAAATTTGATTTTTATGGAGAAAGCCTATCCTAATAATTCAATTAGGGATGCAGGCAAGGGAAGGAAATGGGGGAGGGGGAACTAAACCTACGCTCCACTTGCACTTCATAAAAGAAAGAAATTGCTTTAACATCCGAGTGTTTCGAAGGATACAATGTAAAAAAAATCAGTTCCTTACATTGAACAATTTTAGTTTTATTTTAATTTTCCTTATTATACTGTGGATCGGTGAAATCTTTGTGGGTGGCCAGCACACAGATGTCTATGAACCACATTTGAAAACCACCACTGAAGCTCATAAGATGTGCGAGTTGGACCATCTAACCATGAAAACCCCCTGATGGTGGTGGCAGCAATTATCTGATTGTAGAACAACAGGATCCATGTTCTGAATGGATCCCAACCAAGAATTGAATCCCTATCTCCAAGAGTCATATTACCCTCTAAGAATGCTGGTCACCACAGAGAATATAGATAGAGGCTTAGAATGTGTGTGCCTGTGACTGTGTGTGTGTGTGTGTGTGTGTGTGTGTGTGCGCGTGTGTGATGGAGGCATTTGGAGAGGAAGAGAGAGACTGTATTTCAGCCTCTATCACTACTGCGACTGTTACCTTGGAGGCACTGTGTTTGAATCTGCTTAGTTTTCTAAGCAGATGAGGATGGGAATGAGGAGACGTTAGACCCACTAGTTCTTTGGTTCTGTGATTGGTTCTTCTTGCCTGCCTTACAACTCCTGCTGCTTGGAATCGTTCATACGAAAATAGATACACCCAGAACAAATTATCTTAACCAGATTCTAAAGCAGAAGTGCTTAGCCAACTCATAGAATTATTTAATTATTTAATATTGGCACTGCAAGGAGCTTAGAGATTGTCATTTGACAAATAAGGAAACAGGTACCAAGAAGTAAATTTAATCAAAATTACATGTCCAGTTGTGGTTAGACTAGGAGTAGAACTCAACTCAGTACAATTTCCATTGTGGCATAAATCAACATAACTAACTGCTGCTGTTACTGTGCTGGCTAAGTGTCCATACTAAAGTGTTGAAATTCGCAAAAAAAAAAAAAGCTAAATCAGTAAAAAGATTAACCACATGCAATATCCCTTTGAGCACCAACTCCTCTTTGACTACATAAAATATGCTTCTAGTTATTAAACTACTAGTGAGTGCAGATTTTAAATTATACATCTCTCACAGTGAAATTGAAGTGTAACTTTTAATGCCTCATTCCATTTTGAAACTCATATTTTTCTTACAGTATACTATATTTTGGTTCACTTGGAACTATCTCCTAAATAATCATCCCCCCACCCTTCACCAAAAAAGGCTCAATTTATTATTTTTGTTTAGTATGAACGAAATCAAAAGCAAATCCACCAAACAAACACATACACATTTTCTTTTATGTATTAAGATGCATAGTGGAGTCTAATTTCAAAAACTACTTAGTACATTTTTTTAGAGTTAACTCTGGAAAAGTTAGCACGTAGATGCACAACACTTTACCTTTTCGGGCAATACTTCCATTGTTTTACACGTAGAGAAAATGGGCTTCTAATGAGAGAGAGAAGCTTAAAGAAAAAAAAATGCTTAAAATGGTATGAACCCAGTATTCACCTTAGACAAAATCACGCTACCACACGCTGCTATGTCTGGGGCAGACATTCTCTCATTTCCTGCATTTTATCCTTTTTGTTTCAGTTAACAAATAGCCAAAGAATCACACAACTTCATATAATTTTTATTATATTCCATTTCCCTCCTACTGTGGCATTCTGTAATTGAAATACATACCCTATTTATCATGGAAGCAACACAGAAAAATGTCCCTGTCTCTCAGACAACTTTTAGTGCAAAGAGATGGAATAGAGCCCAGAACTCTGTTTTCCAGTCTCTGGGGCTGATGCCAGTCTTTTCAAAAGGGAAGTCGGTACAAAGGACACTAAAGAACAGCAGAGGGAGAAGCCAAAGGGCATGGCTCCCCAGCATGCGTGATGCAGAATGGGCTGCTCTTCCTCACGCTGCAGCACTGAAGATGAAAAAAGAAAATCGTTGGGAGAACACTTGGAGACAAGTGGCTGCTGTAAATAGTATTTTAGAGCATTAAATCATACAAAACTATAATCTCCAATTTAACATAAAAGAGTAGGGGGATGGAATATTCTGAAATTGCGAATCACTGTGCATACACCATGTATAGATTACATATTCTAGGAGAATGACAATAACATAAAATACACTTATTAAAATATTGAACATAATCTAATTTTTAAATTTTACTTTTTGGAAAATACTTGAGCAATGTGCCGTGCTTATGGCAATGATCACTACACAGTACTGATGGAAGTAGAAGGCAAGGATATGGCTGGCGAAGCTGCATTCTACAGTTTGTATTTTGGACAGGAGATTATATTTACAGTAAAGTAACAGAAAACAGCGGTCAAAAAAGGACTGCAAAATAGTTGATGAAATGAAAGTCAGAAACATGAGGTAGATAGAAAAAATAATTACAAAACCACCGGCTTACAGGCTACCCCCATGACAACAGAAACTTCTGAGTTTATTGTGTTGGTTGGTTGGTTGGTTGGTTGGTTAATGATTTGGGTAGTTTGGGTACAAAGAATTGAGTTAATAATCATATTAATCATACCGCTCTGTTTCATGGTGTTATGCTATTATTAGTGTGTGGGAGGCCTTATATTATTCCTCTTTCTTTTCCCTTTCATCCCTTATTTTGACACCCACTGCCTTCCTCTTTCCTTTAAGTGCAGAGTCTAATGTGTTTGAAACTAAGCATGGTATTTACAAGCCTGAACTCCAAAGCTGGTCTTCCCTGACTCAAATCTCGCCTCTACCATTTATTATCTGTGTGACCTTGGGCAAGTTATTTAATCTTGTTACAGCTCAGTTTCCTCTTGTAAAATGGAGCTAATAGCAATATATACTTCATTGGATATTTGTGAGGATTAATGAGTTAACATAAGTGTTTAGAACAGTTGTTCAAATAGAAGCAGTATGCGCTAGCTATTATTATATATTTACTTAGGAAAAATAGTGTTCTGTGTATATATATTTTAAATTTAAATAACTTTTATATATTTATATATATACACTTCTAATCATTATAACCAAATCTGGTATTTTTAAGATCCATGCATTTTTCCATATTTACTTCTAGTCTTCTACACGGTATTCTTTACTATGCCACATTTAACTAATCTCCCCAATGATAAACACCTAAGTTGCCTCTAATATGAGCTACTGCTAACATCACTGGGGAAAACATACCTTTAAATTGGTGGTTCTCAAACTTTAGCATGCACCGTAATCACCTGGGGGACTTGTGAGAACACAGATTGCCCATAGGTCTGGGGTGGAGCCTGAGAATTTGCATTTCTAACAAGTTCCTAGGTGAGCCAGATGTTACTGGTTCAGGCACTACACTTTGAGACCCAGTGCTGTAAGAACCTGGACCAGGTTTTTTCTAGTGCATGTACCTGAGAGGGAGATTGCTGAATCATAAGGTACGCCCACACCGAACACTAGTGAATTGCTCTTCAAAATGATGTACCACAGTCTACACTCTCATTGTCGGTGTAGAGAAGCTGCCTGTAACCTAGTCAGGCATTATATTACCTAGCTTTATAACTTTATAATTTTTGCCAATCTTATGGTCATAAAATCATCTTATAAGCTTCTCTCTGGTAAGTAAGCAGGTAGAACATCATTTGATATATGTTTTTGCTAATTGGGCATCCTCCTATGTGAATTTCTTCTTTGTATACTTTGGCCGTATTTCTTTCCTGTTCACTTATCTTTTTAATTTCTAAAATTTCTTTCATACTTTAGATATTAATCAACTTTTTGCTTATCATGTTTCAAATATGTTCTCCAGTCTTTAGCCTATTTAATATTGCACAAAATTCTTAATTTTAATGTAGTCAACCCTTTTATTTTTTATCTCATTTTTTTTGGTCTGTGCATGAGCTTTTATATTTTCTTACTTTTAATTTTTTTAACTTCAGGTTTCACTCTTCAAATCTAGATGAGTTTAGATCTCTAATTCATCCAGATTTACTTTTAATATATGCCCTAGAAGCCCAACTTTATTTTGTGCATTTAGTGGCCAATTCTTTTCTTATTGGTTCTAATCCAAATGCTACTGATTGAACCATTCATTATTTCCCTAAGTGACTTGTGGTGCCACCTCAGTCATATACTAAGTTCCTATATAAATATGAGTCTATTGTTAAGGCCTTGGTAAATTTGTGCATTCTGATATTAGTACCACACTGTTTGGAGTAATGTTATATAGTATTATATAATTTTAAATAAGTTTCTTGAGCGTCTCAAAAAGTCCAGCTGGACATTTCATTTGAATTGCATTAAATTCTAGATTGATTTTGTGGAAAACTGACATGTTTTTAAAGATGTTGTTTCTCCATTTTCCTAGGATTTTCTTATGTATTCAAGTCTTCATTTTCTGTTACAAACTTCTAAAATTTTCTATTCTAGAAAATTTTTGTTTTTGTTTTTGGAGGGTTTTGAATGGTTTTGTTCATTTTTATTACTTCCTAAATATTATTTATTTTACTACTATTGGAAGTAGTTTCCTGTTTTCTCTTACCTTTCCTACATGGCTTTTGCTGATACAGAAGAATGCTAGTGATACTGTATTTTTCTGCAGAACTTATGAGTTTGAAATTATTGCTTATAAACTTCGTATTATTTTATTTTTATTTCAGCAGAATGTACAATTTCTTCTTTTAATGCCAAGTTTTAATTGCATTGTCTCTCTTAATTTAATGGCAGTATTGTCAGATCTTTATAGCTCTGCCCTCTTTTTATATCTTTTCAAACACCATGCTTTGGTTTTGTTTTCTTTTTCATGATGTTTTTTCTTTTATTTCTTTTCTTATATTATCTTGAATTTATTCTGTTTCTTCTCTTCTAATTTATTGAGTTGAATACCTAGTTCACTTTTTCTAGATTTTTAAGAGTTATAACATCTTCTGGAATCAGACAAGTACATTAGTTCACATAAACTTGCTTCTGGCCTTTTCCCCCATCTTCACCCTGATATACTGATAGAATCATCTAGAATTGTAATGCCAGGATTGATGTTGATGTAGTGTTATTGTTTTGATGGACGTCTTGAATTCAGTTTCACTGGCAAAAAGTCCTACATCAGTCTGAGTCATATCTTTTTGTAGGTGATGTGCTTTATTCTCTAAATCCCTTTAGACTTCTTCCTCATTGATATCCTTAAATTTTGTCATAATAGGTTTAGATATAGAGCTTTTTCCTCATGCGTCCTGCTAGTTCCTTTGATCTTAAATCTTTCATTGTTCCCTCACGTTGAGAAATTCTCAGTCATTACAACCTCAATAATTTCCACTCCTCTATGTATTTTATTCTCTCCTTTGAGGCTCATTTTATAAAGGATACTAAGATTTCTTGTTCTATTATCCATACCTTTTATTAAATTTTACTTTTACATGTTCCTTTGTTTTACTTACTTACACTTACTGACACTTCTGGGAGAGTTCCTCAACCTAACTCTCATCAGGTCAATCATTCATTCATTCGGTTCTTTATTTCTGTTGTTCTAGTTTTCATACAGAGAAGCACCAGTTGGCACTTATTTTTGACCCGTGGTTTCCATTTTATGTGAAGAGGGGCATACTCAGGGCCACCCAGTCTTCTTGCACCTGCTAACTTCTCCTTCCCCTCACATAGCTTGGTGACCACTCTGCTGTTGATCCACCAACCTCCAGCTGGTACTGAGCATCTGCCATTTTTCTGCTTTGAAGAGGCAGCATAAGCAAGAGGACTCCATATAGTTCCACCTCCCCTCCATGCTGCCCAGCCCTCCCCTACTTTGGATTACTGTTCCTCACCAACCAGCCAGTACTGGGGTCTGACCACCTTTTACTACCCCTAGAGTTTCTCGTAGTTTTACATCATTTGGCAAGAACCATTCACTTCCTGGTAATATCTCTTACATTTCCAGAGCTGAGGTTTGAAAGGAAATTAGTAGCTTCTGTTGGTATGTTATCTTGTTAGAAACAGCAGTTTCCAAAAACTCGATTTTTAGAAGGACCAAGGCAGAATGCATTTTGTGAAAATCACCTTCTCAATTTACATTGTTGAGGTCTCATTATAGAAGGAAAAGAGCACCAGGGAGCTGGCTTTTCAGAAAAATAAAATGGAATCTTCAGAGGAAAGGATAGGGCCAGGCACGGTGGCTGAGGCCTGTAATCTCAGCACTTTGGGAGGCCAAGGCAGGCGGATCACTTAAGGTCAGGAGTTCAAGTCCAGCCTGGCCAACATGGTGAAACCTTGTCTCCACTAAAAATACAAAAATTAGCTGGGTGTTGTGGAAGGCACCTGTAATCCCAGCTACTTGGGAGGCTGAGACAAGAGAATCACTTGAAACCCGGGTTTCAGTGAGCTGATATTGCACCACTGCACTCCAGCCTGTGCAACAGAGCTAGACCCTGTCAAAAAAAAAAAAAAAAAGGAAAGTATAGGGTAGCAAAGATGCAAAGAGATTCCCCCTATTCTACATTCTGAAAGTCGGTGACACCCATGTTAGAACTTGGTATGTCCAGGAGCTAAGAATGAAGATTCTACATTTTTGCACATCTCTCCTCTCTTTCCTAGACTACACAGTTCCTTATGCTGTAAAATCAGGAATACTTCTCCCATGCCCATTTTCAGTTTTAAGGATCAAATTAAATCTTGCATTTATTTATCTTTTTGTCTTTTTTATTTGCTCATTCCCTTAGAATCAACCTACCGACACCAAGCAACCATCGATGATGAAGTTGTTTCCATGGAGATACTAGACACTGCTGGTCAGGTGAATAAAGAGTTCAGCTAAAATATTTTTCTGGATCAAATAAAACTGAGAAATCTATGCTATGAACAAAAATAAGGCACTTTTCTTCAACTAACTTTTGCATGCCTAAAACCTTTTTCTCTAATTAACTAGCCATTTTATATATTAACATATTTGTAAATATCTGTATATTCATCCTTATATAAACTGCCCAGTGTTTCAAGGGGGTTTTGAAAATACTATAATATTCACATATCATCTAGGTTAGACTCTCTCACCTATATTTTGTGGCATAGCAAGATATTAATAAGTTTTCATGGTCAAATGTGTTTTGAAATGCTCAAATGAAGTTAAACAGGTGTCTTTACTGAAAGAATTCTCAGAGCCTCTAACAGGCTTGTGTGTGAGTCTTTAAGAAAGAGATTTAGTATATATTGTATTCTAAACTCACATGATGTCATATAAGTTTGTTTCAGAATACTTCATTTTAGATGTCTTTCTTGTAATATTTGGTATTAGGTCGGTCACTTCTGAGATTAAAAAGGGTTCATAGATAGGTTTAGTTTCCAGGTACAGAAATGACCACTGGCTGGGCACGGTGGCTCACACCTGTAATCCCAGCACTTTGGGAGGCCAAGGCTGGCAGATCACAAGGACAGGAGATCGAGACCATCCTGGCTAACATGGTGAAATCCCGTCTCTACTAAAAATACAAAAAATTAGCCAGGCATGGTGGTGGGCGCCTGTAGTCCCAGCTGCTGGGGAGGCTGAGGCAGGAGAACGGTGTGAACCCGGGAGGCGGAGCTTGCAGCGAGCCAAGATCGCGCCACTGCACTCCAGCCTGGGCGACAGAGTGAGACTCCGTCTCAGTAAAAAAAAAAAAAAAAAAAAAAAAAAAAAAGAAAAAAATGGCCACTGGAATGACAGAAAGCTAAAGTTTTCCATGGTACTTTATCAATTACCTGTGACCCCCAAAAAGACTTGAATCAAAGTGTTTAAACCCAGAAAGGTTCTTGAAATGAATTACCCACTTTTCCACTTTTCCATCTCATCACCACCTACTTATTCTCTGACCTTCACAGAGCACTGATTCCGAAGAGAGGCAGCAGGGAGGTGCATGCCTCCAGAAGTCATTTGAACCCGGGAAAGCAATGTTTTTTCAAATCATGCTTGCCACTTTGCTATGAAGGAGTGATAACCCACTTTGAGAATCCCTTCAATAGAGTTTCTGTCATTGGTACTACACGACATTTTGGGGGCTCTGAGATAGGAAAAGAAAAAAAAAGCCAAATCCTTTAGCATAGAGTTGGATTCTCTAAATAGTTTGTCACAGTTTTTCTGGAGTCTAATTGTCTATAATCTGAAGAAAGAGAAAATTAAAACAAACAACAAACCAAAAAAATAATAAATAAACCAAAATGCATCTTGCTAAATTTTGACTCTAATTCTGATACTTAAAAGGTGGAATAGGGGCTACTTGTCTGTTAGAAAATTGCTAAGTCCTTAATTGTGATGAAAAGTCTCAAAAGTGATGTGCTCAACTAAGATTATAATTTCTTTTTAGTTTTTATGATTACAGATTTAATGATATGGCAAGAAAAAAATTAAAAGCAGAAATTTAAAATCTATTAAATTAGAAAATATTCAGTTCCCTGAAATATGTTGAGATGGATAAGTCATGACTGTATTTAAAATTATTTAGAAAGTTTGTACAATTAGAGTACCACGACATTTTAATGACTTTGGATATAAAGAATAGTAATTAAGGCATTACTGTCAGCATTACCAGCATCCATATATTTTGATTATTTCCAGGTCTCTTGACGGCCATTTTTCTTTGCCAACAGGAAGATACCATTCAGAGGGAGGGGCACATGCGATGGGGGGAAGGCTTTGTGCTGGTCTACGACATTACTGACCGAGGAAGTTTTGAGGAAGTGCTGCCACTTAAGAACATCCTAGATGAGATCAAAAAGCCCAAGAATGTGACTCTCATCTTGGTTGGAAACAAAGCTGACTTGGACCACTCCAGGCAGGTTAGCACAGAAGAAGGAGAGAAGCTGGCCACAGAATTGGCTTGTGCTTTTTACGAGTGCTCTGCCTGCACTGGAGAAGGGAACATCACAGAGATATTCTATGAATTGTGTCGAGAGGTGCGTCGCCGGAGGATGGTGCAGGGCAAGACGAGGCGACGCAGCTCCACCACGCATGTCAAGCAAGCCATTAACAAGATGCTCACCAAAATCAGTAGTTAGGCAGCCCAGCTGAGGTGGACCAACTAATTGGAAACACTCTTCCCCTTCTGTTCCCCTTTCAAAAATAAAACAAAATATTGCATTCTTTGTTTGGATTCTGAGAAATGTCTGGGCTTCCCATTGTTTCTGGCCTCTAATAGGTTGGGAAGTTTTAGCGTGTTTTATGCAATTTCAGTGCTAACAATTTCTTCCTTTCCTGCTTGAATAAGATACACTCTAATGGCATTTGAACATGTAATCACCAGAGATTCTGAAATGACTGGTTTATGTTAAGCTATTTTTAGGCATCTTCACCTTGCTTTAAGTAGGTTGAAGTTTTTGCAAAGGCATTTAAAAATTCAATTTCTTGTCAGATACTACAAATAATTTTCTTAAAAGTCTAAGATAGCAGAAAATACAGTAAAAACACAGGAGAAGAAGCTGAGCTATTGGAACAGGAAATAGAAGGAACTCTAGTTTCTGTTTGAAGTGAGGATTTTCTGAATTATCTAATATCATCTAGGTTTTCTTTAAAATTTTATTTTGTTCTTCAGTTCAAGCATCTTCTCACTAATGTTTTTCACTATAACAGAGAATTCATTTCAATTTGAGTTGGTTCTCTCAATGATCTATTGATCATTACACCCTAACTCTCCTTCCTTGGCTCAAACAATATTTTCCCTATAACAAAGGCAATAGGACACAAAATTCACATCCTGCTGGGCCTTTTTTCATCAAGTCAGGGTGATATAAAAACATTGGAAGTCTTTTCACCAAACCCTGACTTTATTGAATGCTAGTAGAAGATGTAGAATTAGAGACATCTGATTTGTTTATCACCTTAGCAGAAAAACCACAGTCCAAAAGACAAGCAAATTAAGAATGGAGCTTAACCATGCCTCCATTGGGAAGTCTAGACTTTGAGCCAGGTACAGTAAGAAAAATTAGCCTCTGATTCATTAAGTTTGCCACATGACTTATTTTGATATTTTGGATACATTAACTCACTTAGGAGAATTCAGAAAAGAATGGGTGATTAAAGTTCATTACAGCTGAATAAATGTGTCTAAAACAGACTCTTGTATTCTGAAAGTACAGTCTACAACTGATAAAACCTTATGATTCTTTTCTCCCCCATTATGCCCCTATATATATCAAGATTTGGGTACTTTATTTTAGTAGAAAATATATATCTTTTACATATGTATGTATTTATAAATGCATAGATATATGTATAAAAATTTGTAAGCGTTAGCGGCATTAATTCACCAATGCATTTGGACAACTTGATGTAACTGACTTTATTTTATGTGACTATAATAAAAAGCATAATTTTCTCATTCTGTCATATTTGGGTAATCTTTCTTGTGATAACATGAAACATTTATAATTTGAAGGGAGACTCAAGGGGACAACTGAATTGCAAAATTGACAAATCAGTGAGCCTGATATAAAAAAATTAGCTCCTGTTGATTAAACTAGCTGCTTTTGGAGTCTTTAGGTGCTATTTTAGGTACTTTATGTATTATCAAATCTTCACAATCACTCTGTGCAAGACTAGTACTGTAAGCACAATTGTAGAGATAAATATATTGAGTCACAAGGGGGAAAATGTAGTAAAGCCAATTTTGCATAGCTATTTAGTGTGTAGAACCAGGATTTGAACCCAAAGAGTCAAAAAGTTGGATTCCAGACCTCGCATTTTTAACCATTATATACTTCTTATCCTTGAGCTGTAGTGGGGAAGATACTGAAGCAGATAATTCACTTTAACTATGTTTTTGTTCACTCACTACAAATCTTTATACATGTTGGACAAGTAACTTGATACAAATTAGTCTATTTGATGGTGTCTGATCTGAGCCTTAAAGTATACACGAGAGTTATCCAAGAAAGAAATATGGTAAAGATATTCTAGGCAAAGGAAATAGCATGGAATCAAAATATAGAGACATGAACAGTGATATTAAGTGTGGTCATGTAAAGGAGTTTAGACGGGCAGGAGGGAAGAAAGAAAGTCAAAAATTCCTATTCCTGCAAGCAACTACCTACTAAAGAATCAAATTGGTAAACTTAGCTATGATTCATTTTCAATAAAGTCTTTTTAGACAATGTAGGGGACATGGAAGCAGATAAAAATTATTTTTGAAATTTTGTTATCTTCTAGAATTAGTCACTTTGATTCTCTCATATCTATACTTGGAAATATAGTTCAACCAATTCCTATTAAAAGTAAGCTAATAAGGAAGCATAATGAAATACGTGGATGTCATTCTTGAGTCAAAAAACTAAGTTAAACACAGAGTCACCAACACCAGAAACTACCCTAGATATGTGAATACAAATCCAGACATTAAAAACCAAACAACCACTGGCATAAGTTTCAACCACTAATTACAGAAGAGCATGAGACTGTATAAATATAAATTGGTGATTTCTCTCATGCCCCAGGCTTCTCCTCAAATATAAGATTATAAATAAGTTAATACTATTAGTTGTTTAGAAGCTGAGCTTCATTTTTATGAATGCCGAGGAAGAAAGGTTCACTTTGTAAAAAGTAGAGACAGTGTTTTATTTTCTGTATTAAAAGCATAACATCACTTGGCCATTATGGAGTAACAGGGACCAGATTTACTCTTACATATTAAACAACCAGAAAAAACGTCAGATAAAATATGCAGAACAATGGTTTTCAGATATTGAACAACAAGCAATACAGTGCATTGATCCCTAAAAGGAGGGAAAGAAATGATGTAAACCCTATGAATGCTTCAGCTTACTGCCAAGTGACAGGTTCCAAGAAGCAATACAGTTAAAAATAAAAAGGAAAGAAAGAGAGAGAAAGAAATGAAAGAAAGAGAAAAAAAGAAGAAAGAAAGAGGAAGGAAAGAAGGAAGGAAGGAGAAAGAAAAAAAGAAAAAAGAAAGAAAAGAGAAAGAAGAAAGAAAGAAAAGAGAAAGAGAGAAAGGAAGGAAAGAGAAAAAGAAAGAAAAGAAAGAAAAACAAGAAAGAAAAAGAAAGAAAAGAAAGAAAGGAAAGCCTGGGCATGGTGGCTCATGCCTGTAATCCCAGCGCTTTGGGAGGACAAGGCAGGTGAATCACTTGAGCCCAAGAGTTCAAGACTAGCCTAGGCAACATGACAAAACCCCGTCTCTACTAGAAACACAAAAATTAGCTGGGCATGGTGGTGCATACCTGTAATCCCAGCTACTGCTGAGGCTGAGGCAGGAGAATCGCTTGAGCCCAGGAGGCTGAGATTGCAGTTAGCCCAGATCATGCCACTACACTCCAGCCTGGGTGACAGAGTGAGACTCTGTCAAACAAACAAACAACAACAACAACAACAAAACACCGCAGAACTTGGTTGTCTCATTGAGTTGAATAGACAAAAATCAGAACTGGGGGAGGTCAAGTTTATAAGAATCTGTGGGAAAGAATGTCTGAAAAAAGGAAACTTAACAGAGAGAAAATTCCGCAGATGTACAAAAGAGTTCCTTTCAGTGTTTGGCTTAGTATGGATCACATGGTAAGAGGATGCTACCCATGGATGAAGCAAGAAGTGCAGAAAAGCAGTAGGTCAAATTTTGGGGGGATCATAAATAAGGCTGAGAATAGTTTGTACTATTGAAAATACCATGTAATATAGAAGTAATAAACAGGATCTTAGACACTGTGTTTATACACAGGACATTAGGACATTGTGTGAATTGTGAGTCTAAATTAGCGCCAGACCAGGATGCTAAGTAACTGCTCTAACACAGCATAAAAGGCAGCCTGAAATTGATCGAATTGAGTCCAAGTAACTTGATTTTGGGCTGGAAAAAAATCCAACACACTATACAAAAACAGTAAAATCTTGTGCCCGATAAGATAAAAAGTACAGTGGCTGGCATCCAGTCAAAAATTACTATGCCAAAGAAGCAGGAAAATATAATCCATAAATAGAATAAAAATCAATCAATCAATAGAAACAGACAAAAACATGACAAATGCTAGCATTAGCAAACAAAAAAATTAATACGGCCATTATATGTATATGCTCCATATGTTCAAGAAGGTAGGGAAAGATACAAACATAGTGAGTGAAGACAGAAATAAAAGTTATAAACAAGACCCAAATGTAATCTCTAGAGATAGAAAATACAATATCTGAAATAATAATACACTGTGTAGCATTTACATCAGATTAGACTCTGAAAAATTGACCAGCTTGATGACATAGTGATAGAAATAATCCAAATGAAGAAAAGAGAGGAAAAAAGACTAAAGAGATAAAAATGAACACATCATCAGTGATTTCTGGGATAAAACCAAGCAGTCTAACACTTATGTATATAACTGGACTCCCAGAAGTAGTGAAGAGGATGGTGGGACCAAAAAAAAATGAACAAATAATAGCTGAAAAAATCCATATTATAAACTCTCAAATCCAAGAAACTCAAAAGAACCTAAGGAGTAAAAAACAAAAACAATATCATGATACATCAAAATCAAGTTGCTACAAAACTATGATAAAGAGAAAATATTAAAAGTAGCCAGTGGGGGCCGGGCACAATGGCTCATGCCTGTAATCCCAGCCCTTTGGGATGCCAATGTGGGAAGACTACCTGAGATCAGGAGTTTGAGACTAGCCTGACCAACATGGTGAAACCCTGTCTCTACTAAAAACACAAAAAAGTAGCCAGACATGATGGTGGGCATCTCTAATCCCAGCTACTCGGGAGGCTGAGGCAGGAGAATCACTTGGACCTGGGAGGCAGAGGCTGCAGGGAGCTAAGACCACACCACTGCACTCCAACCTGGGTGACAGAGTGAGACTCCATCTCAAAGAAAAAAAAGAAAAGAAAAAAAAAAAAGCAGACAATGGGGAAAATAGACACATTAAGTACAGCAAAACAAAGACAAGAATGACAGCCAACTTTACTTTCAAAACTAGGCAAGCCGGAAGTCATTGGAATGAAATATTTAAAATAGAAGGAAAAGAAATGTCAACTTACTATTCTATTCCAAGTGAAAAGATATTTCAATAATAAAGGTAAAATAATGATAAAAGATCTGGGAGAATTTATCACCAGCCAGTCTGTAATGCCAGAAAGGTTAAAGAAGGACATTTTTAGGGCAAAATATATAATAACATTAACACCAAGGAAGGGTGGGAATAGATTTTAAGTTTCTGAAACTATATGTAAAATATCATAATATTATTTTGAGATAGGCAGTGATAATAAGTTAAATGCATATGTTGTAAAGTTTAGGGCAGCCACTTAAAACTAAAACAAAGAGATGTATCTAAAAAGCCAATAGTGTATATAAAATGGAATCATAAGAAATACTCAATTATTCTAATAAAAAAATCAGGAAAAGATAAAGAAAAAAGAACAGATTGGATTAAAAGAAGAGAATTCAATTACATCTTTGAATTTACTAAATATGAGTTGTCTAAAAACTCTAATTAAAAATCATAGATTTTCTAATTGGATAAAGAGAGAACAACCTACATTCTGTCCACAAGAAATTCTTATTAAACAAAAAGATACAATACATTAAAAATACAACAGTCTGAAATATATACTAAACAAACACTACTTAAAGAAAGTCAGAGTAGCCATATTAATATTGGACAAGATAGATGTCAGAGCAAGGAAATTAACAGGAACCAAAAGAAACCTTTCCTAAAGATAAAGAGGTCAACTGAAAAAGACATAACACTTCTAAATGTATGCACCTATAACACAGCTTTAAAACACATAAAGAAAATGATAGAAATGAAATTGTAAATAAACAAATATATAATTATAATTGAATATTTCAAGTCTTCTCTCAGTAATTGATAGAACAAATAGATTTTAAGAAATAGTAAAGCTATAGAACACATAAACAAAACTATCAATCAAACTGATGTGATATTTACAGAACATTCCACTGAACAAAAACAGAGTACATTTTTTTCAGGTGTACACATTTATCAAGCCAGATCATGCTGGACAATAAGTTTAAATAAAGTTAAAATAATTTATATCTTAAAGAATGTTCTCTGACTTTAAAAGAATTAAAGTACCTGTAGTCAACAAAATGATAATTGGGAAATAACCAAATGTTGAGAAATTAAATAACGTATAAATAATTCATGAATCACAGAAGAAATCAATTGGGAACTCAGAAAATTTTTTGAACAAAATGAATGTAGAAACACCAAATATCAAAATTTGTGGGACCCAGCCAAAGCTGTGCTAGAATAAAATTAATTACACTAACATCTTATATTAGAGAAGAAAAAAAGTCCAGTACAAATCAACATATTATACTGATATCAGCATTACTCTAACACCAAAGCAAGAAAAGCCATATTATTTTTAAAAAACTGCAGGCTGATATTTCTCTTGAACATGAACACAAAAATCTTTATCAAAGTTTTAGCAGATGAATGCACACACACACACACACACACACACACACATTCACACACATATCATAACATATCATGACCAAGAGAGTTTATACCAGGAATTGCAAGATTAATTCAATATTCAAAAATTAATCAATGTAACTCACAATTCTAACAGATTAAAATATAACAAATATATAATAATCTCAATTGATTCATAAAAATAATTTGATGAATTCAATACCAATTCCTGATCTTAAAACTCAAAAAACAAAAAAATCTCTCAGCAAACTGAAAATAGAAGAGATCTCCCTGACTCCAAAAAAGTGTATCTTCAAAATTCCTACATCATACTTACAGATAAAAGACTAAAAACTTTCCCCCTAAGAAAGGGAACAAGGATATAAGCTCTCACCACTTCTATTCAACATTATTCAGAGGTTCTAGACAGCACAACAAATCAAGGGAATGGAGAAGTAAATTGTCTTATTTGCAGAAGACATGATCATCTATACAGATAATGCCTAAGGGATCTTTAAAGAAAAACTACTAGAACTAATAAATGAGTTTAGCAAAATTAGTTGTATAAAGGTAGTACCCCAAAATCAATTGCATTTCTACATACTAGCAGCATACAATTATAAAATTATTTTAAAAATCTATTTACAATAATACCCATATACATATACTATTTAGGAATAAATTTTACAAAATATGTACAAGATCTGTACCCTGGAAACTATGAAACATTGTCTAGAGAAATTAAAGTTCTAAATCCATGGAGAGACATATCATGCCCATGGTTAGGATGATTCAACATTGTTAAGATATCAGCTCTCCCCATTTTGATTTTTACATTCAATAAACCCCAAGTTAAAATCCCAGCAGGCTATTTTGTAAAAGTAACAAACTAATTCTAAAACAAATATTTAAATTCAAAGGATCTAGAATAGATAAAACAATTTTGAAAAGGATTAAAAAATTAGAGAGCTTATACTACCTGGTTTTCATACTTATTATAAAGCTACACTAGTCAAGATAGCCTGTTATTGGTATAAGGTTAGATATATAGGTCTATAGGACAGAATAGAAAGACAAAAAAAATAGAACTGTACTTAGATGGCCCATTGATTTTTGACAAATGTACCAGGGTAATTCCATGGGGAAAGGATATTCTTTTCAACAAATTATGCTGTAATAATTGAATAGCCATATGCAAAATAAACAAATAAATAAACCTCAACCCATACCTCAAACCATATACAAAAGTTAATTCTGAGTGGATCATTTACCTACATGTAACAACTAAACTAAAACACTTTCACAAGAAAATAGGGAAAAAATCCTTAGGACCTTGGCTTAGGTATAAATTTTTAACATCAAACACAAAGAACACATCTTAAAAGAAAAATTAAAAGTGTATTACTCTAAAGGACATTAAGAATATGCAGCATTAGGCCTGACTAGGAAAAACTACATGGAAAACATTTATCTTACGAAGGATCTATTTCTAGAATACATAAATAATTCTTAAAACCCAATAATAGGAAAATTAAACTGAGTTAAAAGTTTAAAAATGACAAGTTTAAAATTTGAGCAAAAGTTTTGAATATATAATTCACTAAAAATATATGCAAAAGATAAATAATTACATGAAAAGGTGCTCAATGTCATTAGCCATTAATGTAATGCTAATTAAAAACCACAATATATTATCAGTATGCAACGGTTATAATGTCTAAAATTCAAAAAGATGCAGTACACCTCTGTGACGATGTCTGCATCCTGGAACTCTCATACGTTGCCAGTATGAATATGAAACGGAACAACCATTTAGGAAAGCAGTTTGGCAGTTAATTCTAAAGTTAAGCATATAAACTTCACATACGATCCAGCAATTCTATTCCTAAATATCTTCCAAGAGAAATAAAAATCTATGTCCACATAAAGATGTGTCTGTTGACGTTTACAGCAGCTTTATTCATAATCACCAAAAACTAGCCACAACTCAGTTTTCCATCATGGGTGAATGAATTAACAAATTATGGTATATCTCCTTCAAGAAATACTACTAAACAATTTTTTTAAAAAAGATCAAACTACTGGATGAATCTCAATGCATTATGCTAAGTAAAAGAAGTCAAACGCAAGTTACTACGTAAGTATTATAAGATTTCGTTTGTACAAAACTCTGGAAAAGGCAAAACTACAGTAAAAGCAGATCTGTGTTTGCCAGAGGCTGCAGATAATGGGCAGGAATGGACTACAGAGGAATCCAAAGGTATGACTGTAGCGGTGGTTAAATGACCATATATATCTGTTAAGACTCACCGAAAAGTGGTTTACTTACTGTACATAAATCATTATCTCTGTAATGCAAATTAGAAAACAAAACATATCTTTCATTTGCACATTCAGCAAAGAAGGCAGGTCAAAGAGAAACTTTCTGAAACCATTTAAAACAAATGTTCCACATCTCAGCATGGGTTTATATTTAATATATTTTCCAGTTTTAATAAAGTATAAATATTTTATTTTAAAATAATAGTTTCATTTAAATTCTCCTTGCTTTTGCCCCGTTTCAGGCTCCCTGACCTGAAGTAGGTCCAATCAATAAACACCCACTGCCAGTCAATGTGTAATTTAATGCCTTGTGAATCCAATAAATGTATTTTTCCTTAAAAACTGCAGATGGATGTTTGAGGCTTTGTAAGTTTGGGCTGCTCGCATGTGTGTATGTCTACCTACTCTTATATATTCTATGAGAAAAAATAACTTGGTTTATTTTATGAAGGAGTATCTTTAAGAATAAAACCTTGGCCGGACGCAGTGGCTCACGCCTGTAATCCCAGGACTTTAGGAGGCCGAGGCAGGTAGATCACCTGAGGTCAGGAGTTTGAGACGGGACTGGCTGACATGGCGAAACCTCATCTCTACTAAAACTACAGAAAAATATGAGCCGGGCGTGGTGGCAGGCGCCTGTAATCCCAGTTACTTGGGAGGCTGAGGCAGGAGAATCGCTTGAACCTGGGAGACGGAGATTGCAGTGAGCTGAGATCGCACCACTGCACTCCAGCCTGGGCAACAAGAGCGCAACTCCATCTCAAAAAAAGAAAAGAATAAAACCTCATTGTTTGTAATCCAGGGAAATTCTTGATGAGGGCTTCTTGATTGTTGATGTTACTTTACAATTTATGAGATCCTGCAGATACCGTTATAAAAACTTTTGTTCTGTCTTTCTGTCCATCTTCTTGCTGTTTGAAGAAGCAAAGAGCTTATTGCAAAAAGCAAGATTGTGCATTGAAGCAATGCACAGGATATTGATTGCTTCTATTCCCTGAGGTTCTGAGTCAATCTATATACACACCAGTAGTGTCTAACTTACAATTTATGCTCCCAACATTTGCTTGTAAATTGGCTTTTTGGAATGCTGAATGCAATTTCCCTGGAAAACAAAGTTATAAATCATATTTGGGCTCCCCAGCGAGTCCACAGCAACCTATTTAACCCATAACACAGCACTTTTCCTGATAGGGAATGCACTAACCATAACATTTCAGAAAGGGCAGGTGTCTTTTTAGCATCCCCTCGCCTATACTTCTATATATCTCTCACACATTGCAGTACCTCTCCTTGAACTCTTGATTTTATACCTTCTTTGAAGAGTAGGGCAAGTTAGGAATTTTTTCAAGAGGGTTGTTGATAACACAAATACATCCAACTGATGATATTTCAAGTAGCTTAGAAAAGTGAAGGAAAACATTTTACATAGAATAGGGGAAAGATTCTTTAGAATAGAAGCATGTATACACAGAAGCAGTTACACCTAATTCCTAGAATGAGTTCTTACAAATTGCCTACAAACATACAACAGACAAAAGGGACTTAGTAATTATCTAATTTACCAGCATTTTTCAAAGTGACTTTCTTGATTCTACAGGCAGCTATTAGGTATCATTAATATATTTTTAAAAGGATTTTTTTTCCAACGAATTTGGAAAAAAAAAGTGGATTAACTCAAGGAAAGTAAGTTTCACTACAGTGTAACTTCTTTGAGCTTTCACTATGCTAATGAGTGTTGGGAATCAGAAGGAGGAGGTTAGTAGCACAGTGTTGCCTAAACTTGCTTGACTGTGGTGGTGTATCTCACAGGACTAGTGTTCTGTGAACTGTACTTTGAGAAATAATGCTTTCATCTTACCTTCAAAGAATCTCTTCTACATCATCAAGGCTTTTCTTGAACAACACCAGTAATGAAAAGTTCTCTGCTCTTTAGGAGAGGTCCTTTGCGGGATGTGCTGTCCCTTTAGAGTAGCACTGCCCAATAAAAATATCATGTAAGCCATAAGTAAGTTTAAATTTTCTATTTATTAGATTGTTTACCAGATTCTTATTAATTGCTTAAATTTAAATTATTTAAATGTAAAATGTTTACACACTGGGCACACATAGACATAAATATGGGAACCATAGACACTGAAGAATACAAGAATGGGGAGGGTGGGAGGGGGACAAGGTTTGAAAAGCTACCTGTTTGGTACTATGCTCACTACCTGGGTGATGGGTTCCATTGTACCTCAAATCTCAGCATCACACAACATACCTTTGTAACAAGCCTGCACATATGTATGCCCTAAATCTAAAAATAAAAGTTAAATAAAATAAAACGTTTACATTTAAAATAAGAAAGAAATGCATGGCATTCACTTTGATATGTTTTCTTGAATCCAGTATATCCAAGATAATATTGAGAGACAGGACTAGCTAGATTTCCGAGGCCAACTAAGAATCCCTAAGCCTAGCTGGGAAGGTGACTGCTTCCACCTTTAGACATAGGGCTTGCAACTTAGCTCACACCTGACCAATCAGATAGTAAGGAGAGCTCACTAAAATGCTAATTAGGCAAAAACAGGAGGTAAAGAAATAGCCAATCATCCTATCCATGAGCATGGAATGTTCTTCCATTTGTTTGTATCCTCTTTTATTTCATTGAGCAGTAGTTTGTAGTTCTCCTTGAAGAGGTCCTTCACATCCCTTGTAAGTTGGATTCCTAGGTATTTTTTTCTCTTTGAAGCAATTGTGAATGGAAATTCACTCATGATTTGGCTCTCTGTTTGTCTGTTATTGGTTTATAAGAATGCTTGTGATTTTTGTACATTGATTTTGTATCCTGAGACTTTGCTGAAGTTGCTTATCAGCTTAAGGAGATTTTGGGTTGAGACGATGGGGTTTTCTAAATATACAATCATATCATCTGCAGACAGGGACAATTTGACTTCCTCTTTTCCTAATTGAATACCCTTAATTTCTTTCCCCTGCCTGATTGCCCTGGCCAGAACTTCCAACACTGTGTTGAATAGGAGTGGTGAGAGAGGGCATCCCTGTCTTGTGCCAGTTTTCAAAGGGAATGCTTCCAGTTTTTGCCCATTCAGTATGATATTGGCTGTGGGTTTGTCATAAATAGCTCTACTGCCCAAGGTAATTTATAGATTCAATGCCATCTCCATCAAGCTACCAATGACTTTCTTCACAGAATTGGAAAAAAGTACTTTAAAGTTCGTATGGAACCAAAAAAGAGCCCGCATTGCCAAGTCAATCCTAAGCCAAAAGAACAAAGCTGGAGGCATCATGCTACCTGACTTCAAACTATACTGCAAGGCTACAGTAACCAAAACAGCATGGTACTGGTACCAAAACAGAGATATAGACCAATGGAAAAGAACAGAGCACTCAGAAATAATACCACACGTTTACATCTGTCTGATTTTTGACAAACCTGACAAAAACAAGAAATGAGGAAAGGATTCCCTATTTAACAAATGGTGCTGGGAAAACTGGCTAGCCATATGTAGAAAGCTGAAACTGGATCCCTTCCTTACACCTTATACAAAAATGAATTCAAGATGGATTAAAGACTTACATGTTAGACCTAAAACCATAAAAACCCTAGAAGAAAACCAAGGCAATGCCATTCAGGCCATAGGCATGGGCAAGGGCTTCATGTCTAAAACACCAAAAGCAATGGCAACAAAAGCCAAAATTGACAAATGGGATCTAATTAAACTAAAGAGCTCCTGCACAGCAAAAGAAACTACCATCAGAGTGAACGGGCAACCTATAGAATGGGAGAAAATTTTTGCAATCTACTCATCTGACAAAGGGCTAATATCCAGAATCTGCAAAGAACTCAAACAAATTTCCAAGGAAAAAACAAACCAACTCCATCAAAAAGTGGGCAAAGGATATGAACAGCCACTTCTCAAAAGAAGACGTTTATGCAGCCAAAAAACACATGAAAAAATGCTCATCATCACTGGCCATCAGAGAAATGCAAATCAAAACCGCAATGAGATACCATCTCACACCAGTTAGAATGGCTATCACTAAAAAGTCAAGAAACAACAGGTGCTGGAGAAGATGTGGAGAAATAGGAACACTTTTACACTGTTGGTGGGACTGTAAACTAGTTCAACCACTGTGGAAGACAGTGTGGTGATTCCTCAAGGATCTAGAACTAGAAATAGCGTTTGACCCAGCCATCCCATTACTGGGTATATACCCAAAGGATTATAAATCATGCTGCTATAAAGGCGCATGCACATGTATGTTTATTGTGGCACTATTCACGATAGCAAAGACTTGAAACCAACCCAAATGTCCATTAATGATAGAGTGGATAAAGAAAATGTGGCATATATACACCATGGAATACTCTGCAGCCATAAAAAAGATGAGTTCATGTCCTTTGTAGGGACATGGATGAAGCTAGAAACCATCATTCTCAGCAAACTATTGCAAGAACAAAAAACCAAACACCGCATGTTGTCACTCATAGGTGGGAATTGAACAACGAGAACGCTTGGACACAGAAAGGGGAACATCACACACCAGAGCCTGTCGTGGGCTGGGGGGAAGGGGGGAGGGAAGGCATTAGGAGATATACCTAATGTAAATGATGAGTTAATGGGTGTAGCACACCAACATGGCATATATATACATATGTAACAAAGCTGCCCGTTGTGCACATGTACCCTAGAACTTAAAGTATAAAAAAAAAAAAAAGAAATAGCCAATCATCTGTTGCCTGAGAGCACAGTAGGAGGGACAATGATCGGGATATAAACCCAGGCATTCGAGCAGGCAATGGCTACCCTCTTTGGGTCCCCTCCGTTTTTATAAGAGCTCTGTTTTCACTCTATTAAATCTTGCAACTGCACTCTTCTGGTCCGTGTTTGTTACAGCTCGAGCTGAGCTTTCACTAGCCGTCCACCACTGCTGTTTGCCACCGTCGCAGACCCGCCACTGACTTCCATCCCTCTGGATCCGGCAGGGTGTCTGCTGTGCTCCTGATCCAGTAAGGCGCCCATTGCTGCTCCCTATCCGGCTAAAGGCTTCCCATTGTTCCTGCAAGGCTAAGTGCCTGGGTCGTCCTAACCGAGCTGAACACTAGTCACTGGGTTCCATGGTTCTCTTCTGTGACCCACGGCTTCTGATAGAGCTATAACACTCACTGCATGGTCCAAGATTCCATTCCTTGGAATCTGTGAGGCCAAGAACCCCAGGTCAGAGAACGTGAGGCTTGCCACCATCTTGGAAGTGGCCCGCCACCATCTTGGGAGCTCTGGGAGCAAAGACCCCCTGGTAACAATATCACAGTAACATAATCAATATAAAAATTATTAATTCATGAGATATTTCACAATTTGTTATCAAACATTTGAAATCTAGTGTGCACTTCACACTTACAGCACTTCTCAGTTTAGACCAGCCATATTTCAAGTGCTCAATTGCCACATGTGGCTAGTGGCTGCTGTATTGGATGGTGCAGCTTCAGGATATGTTGCCATCTATTGAGTGTTAATGCTTTATTTTGAACAAAGCCAGTCACCAAAAATTTGAAATTGAAATCCTGGAATTTTAAAAGTAAAAGTATCCTCAAAGATCCTCTAATGCCATCTCTCAACTCTAGAGCAAAATAATGGAAGAGCAACAGGACTGGAATGCAGGTCTCTTGATAGCTAGATTACATTCTCTTCTCCCTTATATACCATAACATAGCAACCAATAATATTCTTAAAAGGAAACATTACAATTTGAATTTATAAAGAAATTTCTGGCTTCACCTTTAAAAAGATCACCACAGAATTATTCTTAAAAATTGCCGGCTGGGTGCCGTGGCTTATGCCTGTAATCCCAGGACTTTGGGAGGCCGAGGTGGGCAGATCACGAGGTCAGGAGATGGAGACCATCCTGGCTAACACGGTGAAACCCCATTTCTACTAAAAATACAAAACATTAGCCGGGAGTGGTGGCGGGCGCCTGTGGTCTCAGCTATTCCGGAGGCTGAGGCGGGAGAATGGCGGGCATGAACCGGGGAGGTGGAGCTTGCAGTGAGCCCAGATCGTGCCACTGCACTCCAGCCTGGGTGATAGAGCGAGACTTCATCGCAAAAAAAAAAAAAAAAAAAAAATTGCCTATCTTCAGAAAATGAGTGATTTCTTTTTAAAAAATTCAATTTGCAAACACATTTTCCAGACTATATCCACTGTGCAGTAATGCTACTTGCCAAGTTGAAAACAGAGCACATACAGTAGACTAAAGAGCAACTCGTTATTGCTACATTTTCGTTGTATGAAGTACTTAAGTCAGCAGCATAAACATATAATAAACTCAGATACCATAGCAAAGTTAGTAATGTACTAGCCCTTCTCCATTTCTCTCTAGAGAAGGGGTATCCAGCTTCAATTTATCTGCTCAGCTTTCACGTCTAAGCCAAATGATATTACTTACAACTTGAATTTTAAAATTCACTTTGCTAATTTTTTTTCCAGCCAACTGATTCTATGGGACCTTGGAAAAAAATAAAAATACAAAATAATTGAGGTGCTAAATAGGCAAATTGAGATTTAATTAGCTACACGACCTTTATCAAGCTATTTTTCTAAGGAAAATTGGGACATTTTACATTCACTTTGACTTTTTGAAAAAAAGTAGGTCTTGAGTTTGCTAGCTTAGCTCAATTACTCTAACTTTTAGTGATAATAAATATTATGTTCCAAGTTAACTAGTGTACCAAATGAAAGCTTTTATGGAAGAAAAGTCAGACAATCAAAGGACAGGTGAGAACAAGGCAGGGAAAGCTCCATCTATCCAGGTTGCTCACAATGACAAAAAACAAACAAGAGTATATTAGTTCATTTTCATGCTGGTAATAAAGACATACCTGAGACTGGGTAATTTATAAAGGAAGGAAGTTTAATGGACTCACAGTTCCAGATGGCTAGGGAGGCCTCACAATCATGGCAGAAGATGAAGGAAGGACAAAGAGATGTATTACATGGCAGCAGGCAAGAGGTCATGCGTCATGCGCAGGGGAACTTACCTTTATAAAACCATCAGATCCCATGAAACTTATTCATTATTGCAGGGGAAAAGCCGCCCCTGTGATTCAATTACCTCTTAATGGGTTTCTCCCACAACACATGAGGAATATTATCATTCAAGGTGAGATACGGGTGGGGACAGAGCCAAACCATATCAAAGAGATATGCTGCTTTGGTAATCTTCCTAGCTGAAATAAATTAACAGTGAATCAACATCCTGTATCTTGCTACCATGTTGGCTATAAACAATCCATTAAAATGTCAACTCAGAGTGGAGAAGAGAAATTATGCTGGACAAATGTATGATGCTGATAAACGATCTGATTGTGACCACAAAACATGAGCAAGTAAAACAGAGTGGAACTCTTCTCACCAACTGTAACTACTGGGCACCAGCCCACAAATCCTTACTGCTGCATCTGAGTTCTGCTTAGCCTAAAACTAGATTACACACTGGAATGCCAACCTGCCAGATGTTTTTTCTATGTTGCAAATCATGTTCTTGCTAAGGAGTCAAAGGTAAAACATGGGTGGAAATCTGAATCCATAAGTAATTGGCCCTTTCTGTTGGGATGATCTTGGTCAAGTCTGTTGGAAGCACACTAATAGGAAAGTATGATATCCCATCTCCAACCTGAGCTTGGCAGGGAATACAAGAATCCCCATGCTTTCCTGGCACAGCTTGGTGCTCTACTCCCTGTGGAAATGTTTTTCAAAATATAACTTTTCTGGGAAGTGTGTTAAGAATTTAAATCCTAGACCTACTTCAGACCCACTGATGTAGAATGTATGGCAGGGGAGCTCAGAAATCTGCATCGTAACAAGCTCCCTAGGTGATGATTTTATCTTCAAAGAATTTATTTTCCATCAAAGTGTGACAATTTCTGCAGTAGGGCCAAAGAGACAGGCAGAACGAGAAACTATATCAAATATATCAAATATCAAATATCTATTTTCTGAAGGATCTGTGAATTTCAAGGGGAAGGGAATGAGCTCTATATTGTTTCAGTTTTCTGCCACCATACAGAGGGCTATGCCAGATCTTCACATTACTGCACCAGAGCTAAGGTTCTTCAAGGTTCTTAGAGTTTTGAGAGCCTTGACAAAAGCACCTGGGTAATTTGTGTAGCTCCTGGAGACGGGGTGAAACCAAATTTAAAATGAAGCTTCTTGACACCAATTTTATAATAATGTCTGTTTCATTAAAATGGTACAAAGAACTCAGGCCGCCATCATTCACCTGAATACCAAAATCTCCCTAATTAACTTAATGTTTTGTATTCCAGAACAGAGATTCCCTTTAAGTAACCTTGACATCAATTTGTCCAGATTCCTTTTATAGAGAGTCTCATGTAAACCAGGCAAAACGCATCTAAGGCATGAGGGGAAGGAGGTAGATATATTAATTTCTGATGCCTTCAAGGCAGCACCCCAAGAAATCAGCTCCTCCGAGCAGCCCGTAGATAGCTAAACTGCCAAACAACCTCAGTGATGTCAGAACAAGAATAGAAATAGAAGCGAGAGAAAACAAAGAAGCACTCTAGAGCTTATGAGAAGGGCAATCATGCCCAGAAATCTTGGTAATTTGAGCTATGGTCTGAGGATGTCAGGGGAAGAGTGAAGATTGTTGAAACCAGTATTGGGGAAGACATGGGGAAATAATTGCAAAGGTTATCTGAAGCTTTTTCCATCTCAAGTGTCCAGATTGTTCTGCATAATTGGAGAGATCTTGGATCTAGGCATGGATGAGTGACTCAAAGTCATTAAACCTAGAAAGTGATGAACATTTGGAAAGAGGTTTAGATTCAATGCTTACTAGTATGCAATAATGCAAAAAAAAAAATTACAACCACTTTATGGAAGTTCAAGGGACACAGAAATCTAAAAATTTTCAGCAAGCAAGTAATAGTATACATACATTAATTGTATATCCATTGCATATAGGATATTGTATGTAAAATATTATACTAAAGCTTGCTTTAAAAATCAACAAGAATATCTTTACTCAGTTTTAAATTTGTTTGATTTTTACAAACTTAATAAATACATATATTTGATCATCCAGTCTTATTGTTGTTACATAACGTCCTGAACTCGTTCAGGGAAAGCTCTTCTATCAGGAGAATTTTCAGGTACTTGAGCATCCTTCATGAGTCAAGAGGGAGTATACTTTATTTTCTCCCTTCACTACAGAGTCTTCTAAATATGTACTGCCTCTTCTTTGACAAACTCTTTTCTGTGGCACACAAGAAAACACAACATGTATTAGTCAGTACATTTTCAGTCGTAGCTGGCAGAAACTATCCGATCTGGCTTAAATGACTGGGAAGATCAAAGATAACGGCTTCAGGCGTGAATAGATGCAGGGATTTTTAAAGCACATCAGGATTTTCTCTTCTTTCTCAGGCCACAAAATAGAAAACAAACAAAACAAAACAAAACAAAAAAAACAGCTACTGGTCAACCTGGGGATAAGAGTTTTTGATGATATTTTCTACTGAAAAAAAACCTTCACAGACCTTGACTGTCCTGATGTGGGTATTAAGCCCATCCTTAAATCATTCACTGTGGCCAGAAGGTTGGATACTCTAGTTACTCAAGACCATGCTTGCTGCTAACCCCTCTGGCTGGAGGAAAAGTTCAGTCCCACCTAGAATGTGCAGTGGTTTCCCTGCAAGAAAGAGCAGTTCTAGTTCCAGGAAAATGCCGATCTAGCACTATTTGTTTTCTTTTGTTTAAATCATTGAAACAAACCAAATGGAGCTCCATGTGTAACTCCTAGTGTGCTGGCAGATGTGTTTCCCTTTGCTGCTATTATCCGAAGGTAAAAAGGGGATCATTTCTGGCTGAAGAACACAGCCTAGCCTAGTATTTTCCTCTCATTGCTGCTATTACCAGCTGATAGTAAGGACTTTCAGCTATCCATTCTTTGTGAATAGATTGGGGCACACTGGTATTTCCTGACCTGGAAAGAGATATCCCTATTGTATTTTTAGGGTTTCATGTCATTCAATAGCCAAGCTCAGCTGCCTTTAAATCTCTCCAGAGATTCATCCCAGGGTTCTTATGAACTCTCCTTTCTAACCTAAAGAAACCGCCTCAAGGGCTCATTCCTGGGTTACTCCAGTTCATAGCTCCTCTTCCATTTCCATTATTTCACCTCTAGAGAAATAAGCTTCTTTTAAGATCCTCTGTATGAATTTTCTTTGTTATCATTGGGTCTTTCTTTTTGTTTTTTGTCATTGTTGTTGTTGTTTTGTTTTTTGTTTTTTTTAATCAAAGCCGACTGTGTTTAGCTATCTGAATATTCTCTATGAGGAAATGATGCACAGCAGCTTTCCCATCCCACTCACTCTTGTCTTAAAATCACTTTTTACTTATAATTCACAACTCTGCACAAGCAGACTAGCTGTAAATTTTCTCTTTCTCCCATTCTAAGACATCTTATATCTGTCCAATGCTATAGTCAGGGATTCACAGTGTCATTTATAATTTAAAACATGCAGAGGTCAGGACCAGCCGGGGCAAAATGGTCAAATCCCATCTTTACCAAAAAACACAATAAATTAGCCACGTGTGGTGGTGTGCACCAGTAGTCCCAGCTATCTGGGAGGCTGAGGTGGGAAGATGGCTTGAGCTCAGCAGGAAGTCAAGGCTGCAGTAATCTGTGATCTTGCTACTGCCCTCCAGCCTGGGTGACCACAGAGTAAGACCCTTTCTAAACAAAAACAAAGACAAAAAAAATCCAGGCCTTTTGTTTTTGCTTTTTCATAAATAGAAGACTCTATATTCACATGTTAACCTAGGACCTATGTGGAAAATCGTTTCTACAAAGTTTATTTTTTCACAACTATTTTCATAACCAGTGAAATAGCCTGCTTTTGACTGTGCTATTACCTGTGCCAAGAACACTATGCACTTCATATCTGTCCCTTTATAGCCTTAAGTTTTTCTACTCAAGAGTCCATTTCCAGAAAACTATTTTAAGGAAACAAAATAATGCAGCAAATTCTTAACATCAAAGGTATTAATTGCACTGTTACTTCTCATAACAACAATAACAAAAATCAACTAAACCAAAAAGGAAGCCATTTATGTATTCGATAATAAGGGATGTTAAAAATTATACATAAATTTTATAGAGACTTTGCAATATTATCGACAAAGTTTCTAAAAACATGGGGAAGTGTTTATGACATTTTTTAAAAAGACAAGTGAGATACAAATTACACAGCTAAATCTCAAGTAAAACTATAAGAGGACAAAAATTGAAAGAGAATAAAATGGCAGAGTAGTTATCTTTTAGCAGATTATGGAGGACTAATTTTGGTGTTTGCTCAATAATCTGCACATACATAATCTCTTAGGATAAGAAAAAATAAGCTATAGAATTAAAAATAAACTACCTAATCAGTGGCCTTTTCTTTTTTTTCTTCTTTGTACTCAGAGATTACTTAGTTTATAATGATCACTTTCTGACTTGCACGGTGATGATTTATGATTTTGCTGGTCTTATGCACCAGATCATCATTCACTGAATTGTAGGAGTCCTGCCTTGTTTTGATTTTGGTTTCTGCGGCCCTGAGTAGAGTCTTCTAAAACCCTGGTACTCATCTGCACTTTATTGTATTAATTTGAAAGTGTAAGAGTTATAGTTCCAATTTTTAGTTATTATAACTTCTACTTTCTCTATAATGAGCTTCTGAGGACATGGCTAGAGACTAAACAAACAAAAAAATCAAACCAGCATCTAACTCATAAATGTGAAACATCAGCTACCTGGTCGTAAGATCAGTCTCTGCATGAAAATTGCTACTGTTTCCAGAAAAGGATGAGCAAAAACGAAACGATACACCAGAGGTAGAATTATCATCTAATGACAAAGCCAAAATTTGAAATTTGAGAACCTGTAATCTGTAATCTTTGTCTAAGATGAAAATGTCACTTGTTATTGAACATCTCTGCATCTGCTTAGTCATGATTGAGGCTCGGTTTTGGTCCCTGATTCTAGCTGTGACTACACCTAGCCAAAACCACCAGCTTAAAAGTGTCTGGTTAGTAAAGCCAGTTATTTGTTTCCATGGCACCCAAAATAAACTAGTGGTTAAGACTTTTAAAATGTAAGGTTAGCAAATTGATCTGTGGTCTTGCCTTGCCTAAAATGTGACTTTAAATGTGACTCTGAGTAGTTGAATCTGGATACAAACAACTCAGATTGCAGGGTTCTACTTTAGTCAGAATGTTGAAATAAGTAGTTTATCTTACGTCTTCCTCCCTTTTTTTTATTCATATCCATCCTTTTTCCCCCTCCTGCTTTCTCTTTTCCTTCTCCTTTTCTCTCACTTATTTCTTTCTCTCTCCCATAATATCTGTTATTTTGTGGCCCTATCCTTTCAAAACATGCATACCTTTTTGTTAAATTTAGCTCAAAGCTGTCTCCTTATATATTCAAAGCTTGGCCTCGTGGTTTCTCTGTGCACGGTAACTGTAACCTAACTGGATATATAAACAGACTGTAATCTGTTCTTGTTCCAATCACTGAGTTTTGGCCAATCAAAGACAGCCAACTATTCAAATTGCGTTCAAATAAGGCAAACCCAGAGCTATAACCAATCTGGCTGTTTCCATATCTCACATACTTGTTTTCCATAGGTTGCTTCCCTTTTTCTCTCCATAAATGTTCTTCCACCACGTGGCTCTGCTGGAGTCTCTCTGCCTCTACTCTGGCCTGAGAGGCTGCCCAATGCAACAATCCTCCTCTGCTCAATTAAACTCTGTTATATTTAATTTGTCTAAGGTTTTTCTTTTAACACTCTGTGTAACCCTATTGAGGCTGTGATTCCCATGGTCCAATTAAAGAACTACAGAGCAAATAAATTGAAACATAACTAAAACCTAAGTTCAAGATAATCACCTGCTTATGGTATTTCTTTAACATCTCAAAGTAAACACGCAGTCCACAGCAATAACTTTTAGAATCCCCTTTCTTCTTTTTCCTATGATAAAATTTATGGAATCCATTGCTTTAGACTAGTGTCCTGCCTAGGCCCCCGCAGCCCAAAACAAATAAAAATGGGGTCAGTGCCTGCTAAATGCCACACCATCAAACTGTACTTTAAGCCAGTTTCTCCTGGAAACAGGAGATTCACAGAACTCTATCAGAAAGAGCACAGTCGATCTAAGTCAGCATCATTTAAGGAAGTCCTCTTTGCTTCAACACTTACAAGAAAGGGAACCTGTAGTGACTTGATGTTAACCAGTCACTTTTTTTTAATTTTTCTGTTTTCATGTCCCCACCTTACAAAAACCAGCCATTCTATCATGCCCAACTCATTCTATTTTATAAAATGACGTTTTGCTCTATTCCAGAATCACAAATAAAAGCCAATTCAATTTTTAAGTTTATTGTAATTTTGTCTTTTGACAACTCCTACTATAACTCCTGCAGCGCATTTCTGCTCAAATCCTCCAGGAAATATTTTCCCATTTTCTTCTCCCATTCATTCACTCACATCTCCAGATTCTGCACTATGTGAATTAAGTCCTTTGTATTGAGGTGACTATGTCACCTTACTTGGCAGAGGACTTTATAGATGTAATTAAGATGAGGACCTTGAAATGGAAAAATTATCCTGGATTGTTGAGATGGCTCACATGGGTCCTTAAAAGCAGAGAAACTTCCCTGACTAGAATCAGAGAAAGAGATGTGACAACAACAAAAGCAGGGTAACAAAAATGAAGACTCAACCCACTCTTGCTGACTTTGAAGAAGGAGGAAGGCAATCATAAGCCAAGAAATGGCTTTAAGAAAACGTATTCTCTCCCAGATCCTCGAGAAAAAAAAAAACACAGCCTCACCAACACCTTGATTTTAACCTAAAGGACAAATATAAAAGGGATAGAACTTTTTTCAGTGGATAGTAAAGAGGAAGGAACTGATGGAGAAAAGCTGATACCCACTTTGATGGGGAAGATAAGTTCCTACCTGGAAAGTGTTTACATTTTAAAATTTGCTCACCATTTTTGCTTCCTATAAGTGTCCTGGGTCTTCCCATAGGAAAGGAAAAACGCATTTACACTCATTTTTATAAATCTAAATTGCTCCCCTTTCCCATTTCCTTCATAGCAGCCATTTGGAAAGCTGAAGACAAAATATAATAATTAAAGTTAATAAATGTTGTGCTTCTTGTGTGCTAGACATTGTGAAATATGTATTTTAAGCATTATTTTATTTAATTCCCAAATCAAGCCTATACATTTGATATTACTATATTCAATAGATGAGGAAATAAAGGTCTAAATAAGGTAAAACTTTTCCAAGTTCAGTCAGCTAGAAAAATGGCAGACCAAAGGTTAAACCCTGGTATCTTTGCCTATAAAACTCTAATTCTGAAGTACTGTTTTATAGTCAATCAATATAACAGATGAAAGTATAATATGTGTTGGCTACCCTTTAATTCCCCATGCACTGAAAACGACTAGCCTCTACAAACAAATTGGAGGCAGTAACATTCCAAGGAAAAACATCAGGTACTTCCAAATTATATCATCAGTTTATCTTGGAACCAGCTCAATAAATAATGGCTTTCAGGAATCTTAGAATATAGCACTGACCAGGTGCAGTAGTTCATGCCTGTAATCCTAGCACTTTGGAAAGCCAAGGTAGGACGACTGCTTGAGCTGAGGAGTTCAAGACCAGCCTGGGCAACATAGTAAAACCTCATCTCTACAAAAAGAAATTTTTAATAAATTTTTAAAAGAATATAGCATTAAGCTCAGTATCACGCTAAGTATCCAATAGAGAAGAACTATGTCCAAATTTCAATTTTTTGTTTCTATAATGGTTGGTAAATGAGATATTTTGATTAATTAAATTATACAGTATCCTTTTTGTTATAGTTCCAAAGTAAGAACAGGGAATTGAACTCAAAGATAAGCAAGAGCTATCACTAAAGTACAAGAGGATCAGTGGGATGGGGGTCAAGTACAGAAGAAAAAAAAAAGAAAAGGTAAGAAATTTACCACAGTGTAAGGAGAATTGATAGAATTTCTGTTTATGGCTTTGATAATAAGTCTTCATTTCTCATATGGCTATAGAATAAAGATGAGAAACTTTATTCACTACAGAATTGTTATTCTCAAATAGAAAATAATGTTTTAACTTTCCAAAATAAACCTCTCAATGTGGGCAGTTACAGCAGTATCTCCCTGTTAGTGTCAAAGAATTGGCTCGGTGGAAGTAGGACTTCTAACACACACATGATGTTATAGGCTGATTATCTCCACCCAGAATTAATGTGTTAAAGCCCTAACGTTGAATACCAAGGAATGTGACCTTTAAAGAAATAATTAAGATAAAATAAGGTCATATGGATAGATCTTAATCCAATCTGACTGATATCTTTATGAAAAGAGTGGATCAGGACACGGACAACACAGAGTGCCAACCATTTGAAGACACAGTAAGAAGGCGGCCATCTGCAAGCCAAGGAAAGAGGCCTCTGAAAAAAATCAAACCTGCTGACACCTTGATCTTGTATTTCTAGCCTCCAGAACTATGAGAAAAAGAAAAAGTATATTGCTTGAGCCAAACAGTTTGTCGTACTTTGATATGGCAGCTCTAAAAAACTAATAAACATGCCCTTCCAGTAATAAGACCTCATCCCCACTTTCCAGTGATGGATTTAATTGGTCTGGGTGAGGTTTGCTTTCCAGGTTTTGTTTATGGTTTAATTTAGTTCAATTATGTTTGTGAAGAATACAGAGTTGTTCCTATATAAATGAACAATATTTTAACAGATGTAATTTTTTAATTTTACATTTTTTAATAATTTTACAATATTTTAAACAATGTCCAACAATTTTAAACAATTTTAAACAATGTCCAACAATTCAGAAATATTCACAAAATGCTCATCTAAAAAATATATAGAGTAATATTACCAATTGAGACAGTTGGAAACTCACTTTACTTAATTTCCATGCAAATATTCCTACTGAAAATGTTTATATACCTGAGTTATAGAAAAATCTGATGTTGAGGGAATGTGCTAGCTTAATACTTGAGAGTCCAGGTTGAATTCTGACTTTTCTCCCATCTGGATGAGCTTTAGTCTACTTAACTTTCTGGCTATTTCCTCTAGTGTTTTACCTTTTTCTTAGAGTTCAGACAAAAAGAGATTTAGTTATAGTTTTCTAAAATCATTGAACATCAATCTCAAGTTTTCCTCTCTTGAATTTCTCAACAAGGACAACTTGCTTCCTTTGCTGAGGAAATGAAAAGTTTCTAGTTTCCCTTCTTGCCTAAATTCTACATGTAGGAATCACTTGTTATAGGGACTATATTCTGAATGCTTCAGTAAAAATGATAATTTTCATAGCTTTTATGACAATTATATGTATGAAAAGTGCTACTTACTACTCTGGACTGGGTAAATGGGGAAAAGAACTACTACTATTCGTTTCATAGCCATTGTACTTTCAGTGTGTCTATCAGAGATTCTTTTTGAATCAAAGCTTAATTATATGATGAAGTAAATTACTGTTTTTGCCCCGATGTTTTAGAAACTGTATATGTACTAGTAATCGGAAAATGTTTACAGCTTACCTCTTTAATAAACATACAAAACAGTAGTTTTTTGAGTGTGGCTTACACTTGCTAATAAATAATGTGACCATGTTTATCATCCACACTAAAGCATGTGGTAACAAAAGAGAGCATTATTAGTAAGTTTCCTGAGTAAATAGGCATAAACCAGGACTGTCCCTGGACAAACGGCATCTATGGTTGATTGTCACCCCTGTAATACATAAACCACTTTCGACATAATATTAAGAAAAGGTGATTGTTGTCTAAAAGTATGTTATTGCTCTAAAAGTACCATGATTTTCATAAAATTTTACATCCTAGTGTTGCCTGTATCATTTTTCTTCTTTCTGCTAGAATCGAAACATCAGTCTAATACATGGTGCTGACAGGGATACAGAGCAGACAACTAAAAATTAGAGATGTTTGACAGTGGAATGTGACTCCCTGATGCCGCACGAGTCTCTTCTACAGAGCATGTGGTAGCTCACAGATAAAGGGTACCACTTGGAACGCAACTTGTTTCAATGTTCTATCAAACAAAAGATTAAACGAAAGGATGAGAAATATAATCATTGCTTTGTTTAGATGGTGTCAACCTATGTCAACCATTAAAAAATGAATAAGCATGAACAAGTAATGAACTGGCAAGTAAATGAACGATGACAATTACCAATGACACGTAAATGAACTGGCAATGCTTCACTATTAACTACATTGGGTACCTATCACCATATATAGAAGTTCAAAACTAATGTTAGGTTTTGCCTATTTCTTCAAATTATGTGACTATTCTAAATCCCTGTACATACAAGACCAACCCCTATGCATACGCAACTCCAAAAAGGCATTCTGGTTATGAATGGTTATGAAGAATCAAATCTTTTTTGGAAAAGGGAGAGAATAAAAGTATATTTATCCTATGTGGCTGATTTTAAAATATGGATATTGTTTGTAACAGAAAAAGATACTGAGTTTGAAATGCTTTTCCTTTAAGACTTTGTTCATTTGGAGTGGTTGTTCTATTGAAATTACTGTGCACCTACTCAAGAGCTAAAGTACCCCTGGGACATAGTCAAAGAAGGCAACTTCTCCATTCTCCTATCTCTGCAGACTTTACATGATATAGAAGGAGAAAAACTAGACCCCAGTCCAAATCGGGTACATTCAATATCTTTGTATTAGAGAAAGCATAAAAGAATGAACAAGGTCAATTTCTGGTTTTAGTTATAACCAATATTAATATGTTACTTTTCCAGGGTCTGGCTAATGACAGAATCTCATAACCAAAGCTTCTGGAGAACCACTAGAGCTGAGTTAATATTCTTCATAAAAGGCTAATGTACTTTCAATTCTGTAGTCAGAGTTTACATTCTAGAAAGAGCTTGCAGAATATAAAAGTTTCTGTTAACCTCTTTATAAGAAGCTGAAGTACGAAGGCATGATGTGGCTTTCCTAAGGTCATCCTGAGTGGGTGTCAGAGCTGAGGCTGTACAACACAGGTACCTTCCACCTTGTTATGCCACAGGGCAGTGAAGGAGATTTTTAAGCATTTCAAGAACAGTCTTCCTACAATGTTTTCCATGGAGAGAATTCTGTGTGTTTGAATAATGTCACCTTCATGAGTGGTTTGCAAAGTATGGTCTCCAAATCAGTAGCATCAGCTTCACCTGGGAACTTGTTAGAAATACAAAATCTTGAGACCCACCTCAGATCTACAGAATCAAAAACTCTGTGCGAAGCTCCCAAAATTGTTTGAGCAAATCTTCCAGCTTGTTTTGAAGCATATTAATGTATAAGAACTACTAACCTTGTAGTTTCCTTGAATCTATATAATTGCTAACACATTTGGAAGACTCCCCATCTTGGAAATCAAGGTAATCTGGTTGTTTATTGGCTGTAAACAGTGAGGAATTAGCTTAAATTCATTAACTTACTCATTTCATTCATTTAAATTGATCAACTATATAATTCATCCTGTAATTCACTGGTCTGTATTTTAGGGATAGGAAAGGAAGAAACAACAAAAAATGAATAAGGTATGATTCTGTCCTTGAGGAACTTAGGTATATCAAGAAAAATAAGAAATTACATTTGATGGTATTTTTTTCTCTTTTTTTTCTTTTTGAGATGGAGTCTTGCTCTGTTACCCAGGCTGGAATGCCATGGCTTGATCTTGGCTCACTGCAACCTCCAACTCCTGGGTTCAGGCAATTCTCCTGCCTCAGCCTCCCAAGCAGCTGGGATTACAGGCGCCCGCTACCATGCCCGGCTAATTTTTTTTTTTTTTTTTTTTTTGTATTTTTAGTAGAGACGAGGTGTCACCATGTCGGCCAGGCTGGTCTCAAACTCCTGACCTCAAGTGATCCACATGCCTCCGCCTCCCAAAGTGCTGGGATTACAGGCATGAGCCACCGCACCCAGCCTTTATGATATTTTTTAAATGGTGCATTGTAAATGTTACTATTATTTAGAAATCGACTGAGACATCAAGACCCAGATAGAAACTTCATAGCCTATGGAAGTCTACAGATGTTTCCAAAATTTCTATAAATTTTCTTGTTGTCACATCTGTCTCCAAATATCTGATCTCTCTGGTCCTCAATCAATTGGTCTAGCTGTGGAACGCAATCTTCTTCTAATTCTAAGGATCGAAGGAAAAAGAAAAAGAAAAAAACACTTGCCAAAATTATTCATGAATGTAGTCATTTTCACTGGAGAATTGAGAGTGTTGGAAAAGGGTTCTATACTAAAGAAGGTGAACAGATTCCAATCATGGAATGGATTTCCTGTACCTAAAATGCCCTTGTGATTTCCCTCTGACTTTACCCCTCTCAGAATCAATCCATCCAGTCTTCCATTCCCTGACTCCTCTCGTCACATCCTTCCATCCTTCTTTTGCAGAGTATTTAGGCCCTGTTTGTTGTTTAAAAAATTCACCTTTTATGGCTGCTGTAAAAAAGGGCACACTCAAAATCTAGTTGGTGACTAGCAGGACAATTATCCTTGGAATATTAATAGAGCCTTCAAACATATATGATGGTAAACATTTGCTCTGCAAAATGTTTATCAACTGTTTCCAAAGCACTGCAAAATCTACACAGACAAATAAGTTTCTGTCTTTGCCTTTATGGGGCTTAGGAACTAGTAAGGATTTGGGAAGAAGACAGGGATCCCCACAAATGTGGAGTAAATTACTGTCAATTTTCTACAAAGTAATCAGAAGTGCTCAATCCAGTGCTATTTCATTAATTCCACAGTTTCAAAAAAAAAGTAGGTATATGAGCCCTGAGAGAAAGTTTAGGGCTACAGTCAAGAAAATCAGTTGCTTAATGGTGATGGTTGAAGCCACAGGAGTCAATTAGAATGACTAAAAGAAAATACAGAAAGAATATGTGTTGAGGGCGGATATTTTCTAGATACCTACAGAGAACATAGAATCAAGATGACAATGAAGTATTGTCAACATCGTAATCTGTTTGGACTGCTATAACAAAAATAAACTTGGTGGCTTATAAACTACACAAAGATATTTCTCAGTGTTCTTGGGGCCAAAAAGCCCAAGGTTAAGGCTCAGGCGGATTCGGTGTCTGGTGAGGACCCACTTCCACATAGGCAGCAGGCTTCTCCTTATAAACTCACATGACAGACAGAATGAAAGTGTTCTCTGGGGTCTCATTTATAAGAACACTAATCTCATTTACGAGGCTCCACACATCCCAATACCATCATTTTAGGGGTTAGGATTTTGACATATGAATTTTGGGGGAACATAAGCATTCAGTTTATTGCAGTTAGTGATACAAAAACAGAGTAATATAAGAAGGATTTTAAGAAAAGCATGATTGTTACTAATGACAAATGCTGCACAGGTCAAGCAGGTAGAAAAGCAAGATAAATCTATTGTCTCAGATAAACTAAAAGTCATTGAACTTGTACAGAACATTCCACAAAGCAAAGACATCAAAAATCATATTGACATGGGACGATGGGTTGGAGATAAAAATTCAAAGGCAATAAATTTGGACTATTCTCCCTACCCCCAACTTTAACATTCTTGGAAGAGAAGGTAGTAATTTGATTGACTAGTAACTTAAAGACAATGGATTTCACATGAAAAGAATTAATTTGATTTAAAAAATTTGAAAGAATTTATATTATCTGAAGCCAAGAGGAATTATTTGGTGCTGAACTTATTCTCCTGTCATAAATAGTTAAGAGATAGACAAGACATAGAAATCACTTTTTCTAGGCCCTGAACAGTACCTAGAGCGTATCTATAATCCTTGAAAGAAGGAGAAGACAAGATGAGCCTTACATTATTCCTTGCTCTCACTGACGGCATCTTCCAAACCTCAGTGCAGGAAAATAAGAGTTCAAGAAAAGAATGATGGCCTTGTTGTCAAGAAGATATATCACTGTGTGGGGCTGCTAAAGCAGGTGGGATTTGAGGGAAAGTCCTGGAGATGAGAACAACAGAATAGGAATTCAAATCTCTGGGTTAAAAACTCCCTTCAGGGATAAGATCTAGTGTTCAGTAGCACAATAGGGTGACTGTAACAATAATCCATTGCATATCTTAAAATAACTAAAAGAGTGGAATTGGAATGTTTCTAACACAAAGAAATGCTAAATACTTGATGTGATGGATCCCCTAATTACCCTTTTTTTTTTTTTTTTTTGAGACGGAGTTTTGCTCTCCTTGCCAGGCTAGAGTGCAACGGTGCCATCTCGGCTCACCGCAACCTCTGCCCCCCCCGGGTTCAAGCGATTCTCCTGCCTCAGCCTCCCGAGTAGCTGGGACTACAGGCATGCACCATCATGCCAGGATAATTTTGTGTTTTTTTTTTTTTGTAGAGACGGGGTTTCTCCACATTGGTCAGGCTGGTCTCAAACTCCCGACTTCAGGTGATCTGCCTGCCTCAGCCTCCCAAAGTGCTGGGATTACAGTACCCTTATTTAATCATTACACATTGTATACAGGAATCAAAATATCACATGTATAACGATTAAGTGCCAATAATAATTAAATTTTTTTTAATTAAATTTACTTCAGGTCCTTGGCTGACCCCTAAGTCACATGTGATTAGCAGGAAAAGGTGATAAAAGAGATTAATTAATGAGAGCCAGAGATGAGTCACATGTAGAAGTTATTATGTAACATTAATTAACGTGATAAAAAATAGAGAAGCAGGTAGACAAATTAGATTTTAAAAAGGAATATTTAAATGTAGACAGAGTCTAAAAAGAAATTAAATAGATGTTCTAGAACTGCAACTTGAAATATATCTGAAATTAACTCATCGGATAAATTTAACAGTAGACTAGCACAGGAGACAGGATTAGTGAATGCAAATTTTGCTGTGAATCTGTCCAGTCTTGGACTTTTTTTGTTGGTAAATTTTTATTACCATTTCGATCTCACTGCTTGTTATTGGTCTATTCAGAGTATCTAATTCTTCCTGATTTAAGCTAGGAAGGATGTATCTTTCCAGGAATTTATCCATCTCCTCTAGGTTTTCTACTTTATGGACACAGAGGTGTTCACAGTAGATTTGAATGATCTTTTATATTTCTGTGGTGTCAGTTGTAATATCCCCCTTTTCATTTCTAATTGAGCTTCTTTGGATTTTCTCTCTTCTTGGTTAATCTTGCTAATGCTCTATCAATTTTATTTATCTTTTCAAAGAACCAGGTTTTTGTTTCATTTATCTTTTGTATTTTTTTGTTTCACTTTCATTTAATTCTGCTCTGTTCTTACTTCCTTTCTTCTCCTGGGTTTGGGTTTGGTTGGTTCTTGTTTCTCTAGTTCCTTGAGGTGTGACTTTAGATTGCCTGTTTGTGCTCTTTCAGACTTTCTGATGTAGGCGTTTAGGGCTATGCACTTTCCTCTTAGCACCGCCTTTGCTGTCTCCCAGAGGCTTTGATAGGTTGTGACACTATAGTAGTTCAGTTCAAAGAATTTTCTAATCTTCATCTTGATTTCATTTTTGACCCAATGTTCATTCAGGAGCAGGTTATTTAATTTCCATGTATTTGCATGGTTTTAAAGGTTCCTTTTGGAGTTGATTCCCAGTTTTATTCCACTGTTGTCTGAGAGAGTGGTTGATATAATTTCAATTTTCTTAAATTTATTGAGGCTCATTTTGTGGCCTATCATATGGTCTATCTTGGAGAAAGTTCCATGTGCTATTGAATAAAATGTATATTCTGCAGTTGTTGGGTAGAATGTTCTGTATATATCTGTTGAGTCCATTTGATCCAGGGTGTAGTTTAAATCCATTGTTTCTTTGCTGACTTTCTGTCTCAATGACCTATGTAGTGCTGCCAGTGGAGTATTAAAGTCCCCACTATTATTGTTTGCTTTCTAGCTGATTTCGTAGATCTGTTAGTCACTGTTTTATAAATATGGGACCTGTAATGTTAGATGCATATATATTTAGGATTTTGATATTTTCCTGTTGGATTATCCCTTTCATCATTATATAATGTCCCTCTTTGTCTTCTTTAACTGCTGTGGTTTTAAAGTTTCATTCGTCTGATATAAGAATAGCTACTCCTGCTCTCTTTTGGTTTCCATTTGCATGAAATGTCTTTTTCCACCCCTTTACTTCAAGTCTGTGTGAGTCCTTATGTGTTAAGTGTGTCTCTCGAAGGCAGAAGATAGTTGATTAGTGAATTCTTTTTTTTTTTCATTATACTTTAAGTTTTAGGGTACATGTGCACAACGTGCTGGTTAGTTACATACATATACATGTGCCATGTTTGTGTGCTGCACCCATTAACTCGTCATTTAACATTAGGTATATCTCCTAATGCTATCCCTCCCCCCTCCCCCCACCCCACAACAGGCCCCGGTGTGTGATGTTCCCCTTCCTGTGTCCATGTGTTCTCATTGTTCAATTCCCACCTATGAGTGAGAAGATGTGGTGTTTGGTTTTTGTCCTTGTGATAGTTTGCTGAGAATGATGGTTTCCAGCTTCATCCATGTCCCTATAAAGGACATGAACTCATCACTTTTTGTGGCTGCATAGTATTCCATGTTGTATATGTGCCACATTTTCTTAATCTAGTCTATCATTGTTGGACATTTGGGTTGGTTACAAGTCTTTGCTATTGTGAATAGTGCTGCAATAAACATACATGTGCATGTGTCTTTATAGCAGCATGTTTTATAATCCTTTGGGTATATATCCAGTAATGGGATGGCTGGGTCAAATGGTATTTCTAGTTCTAGATCCCAGAGGAATCACCACACTGACTTCCACAATGGTTGAACTAAAGATTAGTGAATTCTTATCCATTCTACAATTCTGTATCTTTGAAGTGGAGCATTTAGGCCATTTACATTTAACGTTATTATTGAGATGTGAGGTGCTATTTCATTCATCATGCTATTTGTTGCCTGTATACCTTGATTTTTTGTTTTTGTCTTTTTAATTGTATTTTTGTTTTATAGGTCCTGTATGATTTATGCTTTAAACAAGTTCTATTTTGATATGTTTCTAGGATCTGTTTCAAGACTTACAGTGCCTTTTAGCAGTTTTAGCAGTTTTGTAGCTTGGTAGTGGTGAATTCTCTCAGCATTTGTTTGTCTGAAAAAGACTGCATCTTTCCTTCATTTATGAAGCTTAGTTTCAGTAGGTACAAAATTCTTGGCTGGTAATTGTTTTGTTTGAGGAGGCTAAAGATAGGTCCCAAACCCCATCTAGCTTGTGGGATTTCTGCTGAGAAATCTGCTGTTAATTTGATACGTTTTCTTCTATAGGTTACCTGGTGTTTTTGCCTCATAGCTCTTAAGATCCTTTAGTTCATCTGAACTTTAGATAACCTGATGACAATGTGCCTAGGCAATGATCTTTTTGCTATGAATTTCCCAGGTGTTCTTTGAGCTTCTTATATTTGGATGTCTAGTACTCTAGCAAGGATGGGTAAGTTTTCCTCAATTATTCCCTCAGATATATTTTCCAAACTTTTAGATTTCTCTCCTTCCTCAGGAACACCAATTATTCTTTGGTTTGGTCGCTTAACATAATCCCAGACTTCTTGGAGGCTTTGTTAATATTTTCTCAGTCTTTTTTCTTTGTCTTTGTTGGATTGGGTTAATTTGAAAACCTTGTCTTTGAGCTCTGAAGTTTTTCTTCTGCTTGTTCAATTGTATTGCTGAGACTTTCCAGAGCATTTTGCATTTCTATAAGTGCTTCCATTTTTTCCTGAAGTTTTGACTGTTTTTATTTATGCTATTTTGTTGAATATTTCTCACTTCACTTCTTGTATAATTTTTTTAAATTTCCTAACATTGGGCTTCACCTTTCCCTTGTACCTCCCTTATTAGCTTAATAATTAACCTTCTGAATTCCTTTTGAGGTAAATCAGGGATTTCTATTTGGTTTGGATTCATTGCTGGTGCGCTAGTGTAATTTTGGGGGGTGTCAAAGAACCTTGTTTTGTCATATCACCAGAGTTGGTTTTCTGGTTCCTTCTCATTTGGGTAGGCTCTGTCAGAGGGAAGGTCTAGGGCTCAAGGCTGTTGTTGAGATTTTTTTGTCCCACAGGGTGTTTCCTTGATGTAGTACTCTCCTCCTTTTCCAAGGAAAGTGGCTTTCTCAGAGCCAGGCCTGTAGTGACTGTTATCTCTCTTCTGGATCTAGCCACCCAGCAAGTCTACCAGGTTCTGAGGTGGTTCTGGGGGTTTTCTGCACAGAGCCCTGTGATCTGAACTGTCTGTGGATCTCTCAGCCATGAATACCAGCACCTGCTCTGGTGGAGGTGGCAGGGAGATGAAATGGACTCTGTGAGGGTCCTTAGCTTTGGTTGATGAGTGCACTATTTTTGTGCTATTTGGCCTTGTGCTGGGAGGTGGCGCTTTCAAGAGAGCATCAGCTGTGGTAGTACTGAGAGTGGCTTTTATTATGTTGGCCAAGCTGGTCTCAAACTCCTAACCGTAAATGATCCGCCTGCCTCGCCCTCCCCCGCAAAGTGCTGGGATTACGGGCATCAGCCACCGTGACTGGCCAATAATTTTAAATCAAAATTTTACCCACAGTGTTATAATTCTCTTTTATCTTATCCTTAAACAGTAGAGGTTGAAACAGTATCTCCAGAAAACACAATCAGGAAGCTCAATCTTAAAACATAGTTGGACATAAATGGCATGCACATATGAGAAGAGAAGATAGTTCACTGTCTCATGCTACTAGTATGTAGTAGCAATAGTATGACTAATAGTCACAGGGTCTCTCTCAAGCACAGCAATCCCAATTATATATACAAATGCTCAGGCTGCTAAAGAAAGTAAACTGATCCAAACTTCTGAAGGTGACTGTTTATCAGATGTTTCTGTCTGAAGACACTTAAGTTACCTCTGTCATAACAGAGCTATATACGTAAACAAGGGGTATAAAAATTTTTGACATTTCCCACAATGTCCCCATTCTGATGTTCCATCTGAGCCAAAGTGTTATTTCTGGTATTTTTATTCATTTTGTTTACAGACTTCTTATTAGGCTAAGTTGACCACAATGCTGCGTAAGATACAAAGGTAAGTATGAAAAATTTCTGTCCTCAGAGTTCTGAGTCTACTGGGGAAGATGGATGAATTAAAACATTGTATTGACATTGGTGTAATATTGTGCTCTGAAAGAGATGGTGATAGATAAAGCACCTGATCCAGAAAGCAGGGTGACTGTGGGAGGGACTCAGAGCTTTGTGGCAGAGAATAAACTCTGGAACTGCATCTTCAAGGCTGAGCCAAATCTAGTGCAGTGTGAGAGTTTGCAGGATGAAAGGAGGGCAACTGATTCAAGAAGAATCATGCAAAAAAGAACAGAATGAGAAAAGCAGGCCAATTATCATACTGTACAGACTGGGAGTAAATAATAGGTATAGATAAGCAAAGCTGGTTTGGTGTTGAATTTTGTCATTGTTGAATATAAATAGATATTCACAAAATGATATAGATACATACACCTATGCTGGAAAACAAAACCATAAGTCCAACATAAGATGATTGCAACATAGTATGTTAAGATTAATAAAAACTAGGATGCTTTGGAAATTTGCTTTAATCTACCTTCTTTCAGAAACCTGTGATGGAGTTTTTGTTCTTAAATAATGTTAAATACTTCTTTCATCTGTTTATAAATAATAACATTTGTTTTGTGGTAGGCAGGTCTATGCAAACCTACTCCCAAAGTTCAAGGAAGCTGAGAGGCCAAAAAAGAGGCTAACATATCCAGTTTCTTAGAAAGAAATATTTAATAAGAACTTACAAACAGAAGCCACGTCTGTGTCTCCTGCCACACAAGACAAGATGGTGGATCCCCATCCAATTATCTCCCAGACCCAGGGCGTATATACCATAGGGAAAGTGTGATTCAGAAGGGAGAGTAGGACATCTGAATTACGATAACATCAAGGTCGTTTGACTTAAGGGTAGGATTTGTGGTAAGTAAATCTTCTTAAATGAGGAACAATAGATAAATGGAAATCTTAGAGGCTTCCTGAAACTAGTTAATCGTAAGTCAATACAGCAGATTAACATCCAAGATGGAGTTTTTTTGACCTCTACAACATTATAATTACACCTCTTCATTAAGTAAGAGGACTATGGGTCCTATTGACCATTATAAACCATGATACAAATATTGAAGATTATAAGTGTATGGAAAAGACTCAGCATGATCATCTCAACATTCACTAGAATTGTAACTCTTGGGAGCCTATGAAACATCAATTTCCCCTGTAGTTTTCCTGAATGGTAATATAGTTCCATTTGTGTTTGGCTAGTAACAGTAGAGTACACAACTATCACAGACTCATCCCATGGCCCAAACCATCCTATGTGCGGTTTGTATTTGGGTTACATATGTATGTCTATAGTTGATAGAAAGCTGTTTTATTCCTAAACATTGTGGAGAAGATAACATTTCTTTCTTGAAATAGTAAGAAACAGTACAACCTACAAGTTATTTTTATTCATGATGACTTAAATACGAGTCCCCACACATACCTATTTCAATCTCAACTTAGTCATTAGTCAAGTAAAAAAAGTTAACACGCCAGCACAGATAAATAACTCCAGGAGCACTGGAGTGAGAGGCATTTTATACTTTAAGATGATCAAGCACCTTTCTTTAGGGAGGAGAAATGCAGTTCTGCTCTGGGTAATTTTTTTCATCGAAGAGTGAGACATCACTGTTAGGGTTTAGGATGATGATTTATTTAGCTTGTTTCCTTTTTCTGTAAGTTTCACTGCCATATTCAGCAGTTTTATACAGAACGGGGCTCTGACTTTTATCACATTTATAATTAACTGCATCTAATATAAAAATGAAAATTCCGCTTTTGGGCTTGGTAAATGTTGCCTTTGTAGCTTGAAAAAAATTGTAAACAAAATTAGAAAAGTTACAAGATAGATTTCAAGTCTAAAATATTTAACTTACTCAAATGTTCTTAGAATTTCTAAAGTCAATTCTCATGAAAACCTTTGTACATTCAAATGATCACAGAGCCATGGCCAGAAGGAAATATATAGCTTTTTGGTGAAAACGAGAATATAATATTAAATACCAGAAAGAATCATAGATCATCTATTTCAACATCCTTGGATTATAAGTAAGGAAACTGAGGCCAGAAGGAATATATGACTTTCTTAAATGTCACAGTGGCTGAGACATAATGCAGGATGATTCTTTTATTATTATTATTTTACTTTAAGTTCTGAGGGTACATGTGCAGAAGACGCAGGTTTGTTACATAGGTATCCATGTGCCATGGTGGTTTGCTGCACCCATCAACCCGTCATCTACATTAGGTATTTCTCTTAATGCTATTCCTCCCCTAGCCCCCCACACCCCGATAGACCACAGTGTGTGATGTTCCCCTCCCTGTGTCTGTGTGTTCTCATTGTTCAACTCCTACTTATGAGTGAGAACCTGCGATGTTTCATTCTCCGTTCTTGTGTTAGTTTGCTGAGAATTATGGTTTCTGGCTTCATCCATGACCCTGCAAAGGACGTGAACTCATCCTTTTTTATGGCTGCATAGTATTCCATGGCATATATGTGCCACAATTTATTTATTCTGTCTATCATTGATGGGCATTTGGGTTGGTTCCAAGTCTTTGCTATTGTGAATAGTGCCGCAATAAACATACGTATGCATGTGTCTTTATAGCTGAATGATTTATAATTCTTTGGATATATACCCAGTAATGAGATTGCTGGGTCAAATGGTATTTCTGGTATTAGATCCTTGAGGAATTGCCACACTGTCTTCCACAATGATTGAACTAATTTACACTCCCACCAACAGTGTAAAAGTGTTCCTATTTCTCCACATCGTCTCCAGCACCTGTTGTTTCCTGACTTTTTAATGATCACCATCCTAAATGGCATGAGATGGTATCTCATTGTGGTTTTGATTTGAATTTCTCTAATGACCAGTAATGATGAGCTTTTTTTCATGTTTGTTGGCTGCATAAATGTCTTCTTTTGAGAAGTGTTTGTTCATATCCTTTGCCCACTTTTTGATGGGGTCGTTTGTTTTTTTCTTGTAAATTTAAGTTCTTTGTAGATTCTGGATATTAGCCCTTTGTCAGATGGGCAAAGTGCAAAAATTTTCTCCCATTCTGTAGGTTGCCTGTTCACTCTGATGGTAGTTTCTTTTACTGTGCAGAAGCTCTTTAGTTTAATTAGATCCCATTTGTCAATTTTGGCTTTTGTTGCGATTGCTTTTGGTGTTTTAGTCATGAAGTCTTTGCCCATGCCTATGTTCTGAATGGCATTGCCTAGGTTTTCTTCAAGGGTTTTTATGGCTTTAGGTCTTACATTTAAGTCTCTAATCCATCTTGAGTTAATTTTTGTATAAGGTGTAAGGAAAGGGTCCAGTTTCAGTTTTCTGCATATAGCTAGCCAGTTTTCCCAACACCATTTATTAAATAGGGAATCCTTTCCCCATTGCTTGTTTTTGTCAGGTTTGTCAAAGATCAGATGGTTGTAGATGTGTGGTGTTATTTCTGAGGCCTCTGTTCTGGTCCATTGGTCTATATATCTGTTTGGAACCAGTACCATGCTGTTTTGGTTATCATTCTATAACCTAATCTTTGAGCCAGTGTGCTCTGATATGTACATAGTAGAATAGCAGTAGATCACAAATATTGGTGATGAACTGTAAAGTTTAGCACTATATTGATTCATTCATCATTTCCTTCTCAATTCTTCAGAAAGATCCAAAGACACGCACAGGCATTTTGCAAAAGAGGAGATCAACATACACTGAAAGGAAAAGCCTTAACCTAAATAAAGGCAACCAATTCACTTCTTTTGATGCCAATCTCTCCTGAGTCAACTCTCTTCCACTTGTTCCCTCAGTATTTATAAGGGCTAGCATGCATTACAATATGTCTCATTTCAGTGAATTAATTTTATATCTTCCTCCAGAGGCTTGAAAGTTGCCAATGCCTTACCCAAGACTCCTTACAGGAAAGTTGAAGTAGAAAGAAATCAAAATAAAGTGAAAATTTTTACACACATCTCTTATTTCTAAAGCATATCTTGTAATATAACACTTTTAAGACATCAGAGTAAAAATAAACAGCTAATATGATCCCATCTCAAACTTAATTTAGGAAGTTTCCTTTTGGCAATGAGTAGAATGTTCCTGGTTATTGCCAGCTGACCTTATTGAATTCATTTCAAGAAATATACAAAATCCCATATGTAGGCAGTAGTAATATCAGTATCAGATACTTATCAGCATGCTATAATTTTCATAGAAAAGAAACTTAACTTCCCATTGTAGGAAGTCAATTATATTTTATGAATGATACCAATAAAACTTATATAACTCCACCCTGAGAGTTCATATAACAGGACTGAGTAGAATTAATCCAGAAAAATTAATCTTGATAGCCAAGGAAACACAAAAACCTGTCTTCTCAAATAGGAAAATGAGAACATGAATTCATAATTTTACTTAGCAATTCAAAATGAAAGGTCAGATCGTGTATCTGGACCAGGAAGTAGGAATGACTATTAGACAGTAATTTAATAAGTGAATGAATGGGAAACTAACCTTGTAGTCATGGTAACTGAGTTCTCTGTGACTCTACTGAAAACAGGCTTGCCTGAAAAAGTAAAAGCTCTCATTTTATTCATAATGACCTGGATTTCATATCAGAGAACATTGAGGCATAAACAAGCATTTGCTGTTAACATTTGCAATATTTGCTGTTAATAGAATGATACTTGGGATGTTTATGGCAATTGTGAATGTTTGACCAAATATTTGTTATATACTGCAGGTTTTTGTCTCCCTACAATTTATATGTTGAAACCTCAACCCCAATGGGATGGTATAAAGAGGTGAGCCTTCAGGAGTAATTAGGTTTAGATGAAATTATGAGGGTGGAGCTTCCATGATGGGATTAGTGTCCTTATAAAAAGAAAAGGAAACCAGAGATCCATTTTTCTGCCATGATAGGAGAAATCAAGAAGGCAGCTGTCTACAAGCCACAAAGCAGTTCCTCACCAGACAGCAGATCTCCCAGCATTGTAATATTGGATTTCCCAGCCTCTAGAACTGGGAGAAATAAATGTTTGAGCCATTGGTCCCCAACCTTTTTGGCACCAGGGACTGGTTTCATGAAAGACAATTTTTCCACAGACCAGGGGGTGAGGGATGGTTTTGGGATAATTCAAGCACATTACATTTATTGTGTACTTTATTTCTATCATTATTACATTGTAATATACAATGAGATAATTATACAACTCACCATAATGTAGAATCAGTGGGAGCCCTGAGCTTGTTTTCCTGCAACTAGACAGTCCCATCTGGGGGTGATGGGAGACAGTGACAGATCATCAGGCATTGGATTCTCATAAGTGTGCAACCTAGATCCCTTGCATGTGCAGTTCACAATAGGGTTTGTGCTCCTATGAAACTCTAATGCAGCCATTGATCTCACAGGAGGCAGAGTTCAGATGGTAATGCAAGTGATGGTGAACAGCCGTAAATACAGATGAAGCATCACTCACTTGCCTGCCACTCACCTCCTGCTCTGCGGCCCATTTCCTAATAGGCCATAAACCAGTACCGATCTGTGGCCCAGGGGTTGGGGACCCCAGGTTTAAGCCATACAGTCTATGGTATTTTTGTAATAGCAGCCTGAGCTGACTAAGACAATGTTTTATACTCTGGTTAGTTTTTCAAAGCAGTAGATAGGCATGTATTATGTAAAAAAAACTATAAAACATTTAAATAAGGATCTCAAGCTATGTTTCTTAATCCACTGATATTAGAAGAAAATTTGTATGAATATGTGTATAAATTAAAAGTTTCTGAGTATATTTAAAAAGACAAAAGATGAAAGATAAATTTGAACATTCAGATAGGCTACACAGAAATGGCACCAGACTTCCTACATTTGAATGGCATCTAAACATATACTACATTTTTAGGAAATTGAGCATGCTTATAATTTAAGAGTAGATATATGGACCCTCAGGGGGAAAAATGCATCATGTAATGACAGGGATATGTTTTGAGAAATGCAGCTTTGGGTGATTTTGTCATTGTATGAACAGCATAGGATGTCATTATGCAAATCCAGATGGTACAACCTACTACACACCTAGACTATATGGCATAGCTTATTGCTCCTAATCTACAAATCTGTATGGCATGTTACTGTACTGAATACTGTAGACAACTGTAACACAAGTCAGTAGGTGATAGGAACATTTCAGTTCCATTATAATCTTATGGGACCACAGTCATAAATTCTGTCAGTCATTGACCGAAAGATCATTACGTGGCACATGACTACATGTGTGTGTTCCTTACTGGCAGTAAAGGTGAAAATTAATAAATACCATAGCAATACATGCATTTCTAAGGCTGTGAGGTTAGTAGAGGTACATTAAATGCTACTACTGAGAACTAATTTACAATTCATGATAGGATTTATAACATAGATTTAAAGACTTTCATCTTCTCTTTTAAGCAAATTTCAGCAGAATGCCTGGTAGAACAAAGATTAAGTAAAAGACTAGCTATTTCTTGGGGTGGTGGGGAGATATGGGATTAAAAAGAGGTATAAAAAATCAGATATATTGCAAAATATGTAAACTCACGGAAACATTCCAGTCAAGAAGAAGAAATGTATGATGCAGAAGAGATAGTGAAGCTGTAAACTGAGAGTAAACAGTCTTTGCATCGAAGAAAATCCTGTATATTTCACAGATAATAAAACTGATGTTAAAAGGTTCTATAATTTCCTCATAGTAATTTACCTTAGTGTCCAAAATAGACATAGAATCTTTACCACACAATCTTTATTTGAATGTGTTTTCTATCATACTAATCAAAAAGGTCTTATATTTTCCATCCCTGGGACACTATGATATCATGATCCTACTTCTGGGGCAGGAAGACAAATAACTGTATCCTGAAGCATTCCTTACTCCACCAGGCCCTGGTCTAACTAAAATACTCAACTGATAGGACTACTGAAAGCAGAATTTCATTGAATGGGAATTATCTCCCATGTCTACTTCAACCTAAAAGCATTCATTAAACTGAAAACTACAAAGATATGCTTCTTTGGACAAGTTTACTCCACAAAAAAATTTTCAGGTATCTAAGTAAACTTGTGAATTTTTCTTCTCCAAAAGAAAAAGTATAATAATACCATGAAATGAAACCAATTAAAGTCATTTAAAAAATATAATCTTTCCATATCCAAAAAACTTTGGGAGAAGATTTATGAACCATTTAGAGTGTAAGGAGAAAAATTGTGCTAAGAAAGGAAGGCAAAAGCAATAGCACAGATAGTCAAATTTTTTATCAATCATAAATTTGGGAATCAGGTGACTATGAGACACATTTTCTCTTTACAAAGAACTTAGAGAGAAGCTACACAACCAACCAAGTAATTACAACAAACACGCTGTAGAGACAGCAGGACACCTGATGGGATAGGAGCTAAGCTTCACTGCCCATCAGAATCACTGGAAGCTTATTCAACAACAACAGCTACAACAACACACAGCTGGTCCCCAAACACACTTTTTGATTCATCAGGTCTTGGGTGAGGCCAGTAAATTTTTATTTCTAAAAGTTTTGCTGATGATGCCAGTTCTAGGGAAACAGGGAAACCCTCTTAGTAGCTTATGTTGATGTGGGAAAGATGAGTAGAAAGTATGTGTAAACACTTATTTTAAACTATTGATATCTAGTAGGGACAAAGTAGCTAAAAAATAATCAATAATTAAGACTTCTGTTTCTGCCCATGAGATTTCCACTCTTGCCTACAGTGAAGTAACTGGTATCCAACTAATGCTTTCGAGATTAAAAAAAAAAATTGTAACCTGGGACAAAATACATGAGGGGTTTATTATCAGATGATAAACAGCAGACAGTCTAGAACTGTGATCCCTCAGAGAGGAGAATACATGAGATTAGCCCAACAATGACCTATACTTTTTGCCTGGGAGCACTTTTCTGATTGGGACAAAGAAACAGGGGACCTCAAGAAAGCTGAGGGGCAAGCTACTGACAATGGCCCTACTGCCCCCAGTTATAAAGGCACTGTGCATTAAAAAATTCCCTGAGGGGAGGCTGCTCCACCCATAGCTGCCACCTGGAGCTGAAGTGCATTCTCCTCAGTCCCCTGCCTATGGTTGCTCCTACTGAAAGCAACTTTGGCCACCCCAGTATTAGGTCCACAGTACAGTTACTGATAACCCCACCCAAGCATTTTGTCTCTGACAACCCCTGCTTACTACAGCCAGTGCCTGCAAACAGCAATGGGGGTCCTGAGGACAGGCCTTCCCTGTCTAACTCTGCTCCCTCAGGGCCTGAGCATGTCATCTAGGAGTCTGGAGATCACCCAGCCCCATTCATCATCATTGTACCTGGGTACTCCTCCCAGGAACCTGATGTGAAGCCCAACCAACCTTCCACTACCACGACAGACAGCACCTACCTTCACTTGCCACCTGTGGACCAGGGACTTCCCTGCTGAGCCTCAGCAGCAACCACCAACATCAGTGCAGACCACTTGGGAGACAGGGATGTTCTGCCACTGCTATGGCCATCACCCCTGCCATGCCTAATGTCCAGAGGCTGGAGGACTTGCTCACCTGCCTGGCTCACCACTGCCACTACTGGCACCTGAGCAAGCTCCCTGAATGCCCGAGAATCAGCATGCAAGGACCTGCTAATCCAGTGTCAGCATACACCACTTCAGGTACAATTGGCCCATTACTGCTACCAATGGGGCACAAGGATTGGTCCACCTGACATCCCCATCCCCAGCAAAACCTCACCACAGCCTCCACTACAAATGCAACCTAAACCACTGAGAACATCACAGACACCATATATGCTGTTTAAAGCCAAAGAAATTGTACAGGAACTGCACTACTGCCTGCATGCAGAATCTAAGCCAAAGTGCCCTATCCAACCAACAACATAGATTCATCTTCAGGAAAATGTCCTCACCTATGAAAACAAAGTCAAAAAAATTAGAAGTGACTGTTACATCAGATGTGCAGATAGCAATGTAAAGGCAAAAAAAGACATGAAAAAGCAAGGAAATATGACATCTCTAAAGGAACACAATAATTCTCCAGCAACAGATACCAATAAAAAAGAAATTTATAAAATCCCAGAAGAATTCAAAATAATGATATTAAAGAAGCTCAGTGAGATATAAGACAACACAAACAAACAATAAAAAGAAATCAGAAAAACAATTCAGGATATGAATTTTAAAATTACAAAAAGATATCATTAAAAAGAATGGAATAGAAATTCTGGAACTAAAAACTTTATTTAATTACATACAAAATACATTCAAAAGCTTCAACAAGAAACCAGATCAAACAGAAAGAATTTCAGAACACAAAGACATGTCTTTTGAAATAACCCAGTCAGACAAAAATAAAGAAAAAAGAATCAAAAAGAATGAACAGATTCTATGTGATATATGGGACACCATAAAGAAACCAAATAGTCAAATGTTTGGTGTCCCAGAAGGAGAAGAGAAAACAAAGGGGATAGAAATGCTATTTAATAAAATAATGGCAAAATACTTCCTAAGTCTAGGAAGAGACTGACACATCAGACATAGGAAGCTCAGGAATTCCCCAAATAGATATAATTCAAAAACACCTTCTCTACAGCATATTAGAGTGAAACTGTCCAAAGTCAAAGACAAAGAGAACATTTCAAAATTAGCAAGAGAAAACTGTCCAGTCACTTATAAGGGAACCCTCATCAGAATAACAGCAGATTTCTCAGTAGAAACTTACAGGCCAGGAGAGAATTGCATAATATATTCAAGGTGCTGAAAGAAAAAGAAACTGCTGGCGAAGGATACTATACAGAGCAAAGTTATCATTCATAAATGAATGAGAAATAAACTCTTTCCTAGACAAGCAAAAGCTATAAAAACTCATCACCATTACAAATTCATACCACTGTGATTGCTCCTACAAGAAATGCTTAGGGGAGTCCTATACCTGGAATTGAAAGGACAATATCTCTTGTTATAAAATTGCATGAAAGTGTTAAACCCACTGGCAGAGCAAATGGGTTGAGAAATAAGAAAGAGTAAGGACTCAAATTTTACTGCTACAAAAAAACACCACATCACAATGATAAATAAGGGAGAAAGAAAAATGACCAGAAATCAATCGATAAAATGACAGGAATGAACCCTCACATAAAAATAATAACCTTGAATATAAAATGATTTAACTTTCTACTTAAAAGATATAAACTGGCTAAATAAAAGAAATATGACCCAACTATGTGCTGCCTATAAGAAATGCACCTCATCTGTAAAGATACATATAAACTGAAAGTAAATGGATGGAAAAAGATATTCCATGCAAACAAAAACCAAATGTGAGCAAAAGTAACTATACCTAATTAAAATAAACTTTAAGACGAAGACAGTCAAAAAGAGACAATGTTTATTCTATAATAATAAAGGGATCAATTCAGCAAGGGGATATAATAATTATAAAGACATATGCAACCAACATTGGAGAACTCTGATATATAACGCAAATATTAGACCTAAAGAGAGAAATAGACTCCAATACAACAATAGTTGGGGACCTCAACAATCCACTCTCGGCATTAGGCAGATAATCTAGACAGAAAATTTACAAACAAACATAGAGTTTAAACTGTACTTTAAATTAAATGGACCTAACAGACATTTACAGAATATTTCATTCAGCAGCTACAGAATACACATTTTTCTCATCAACACATGAAACATTCTCCAAAACTGACCATATGTTAGGAAACAAAACAAGTCTCAAAAAATTTTTAAAAATTGAAGTCATTTCAAATATCTTCTCTAACCACAATGTAATAAAAGTAGAAATCAATAAGAAAAGGAACTTTAGAAACTGTAAAAATACATGAAAATTAAACAACATGATCCCGAATTATCATTGAGTTAGGGTAGAAATTATAAAGGCATCAAAAAATGTCTAGAAACAAATGAAAATAGAAACACAACATACCAAAGCCTATAGGATACAGCAAAAAAACATGCTAAGAGGGAAGTCTATAGCAATAAACACCTACATCAAAATGTAGAAAGAGTTCAAATGAACAATCTAACAATTTACCTCAAGAAACTAGAAAGAAAAGAACAAACCAAACTCAAAATTAGTAGAAGAAAAAAAGGATCAGAACAAAACTAAATGAAATAGGGACTTAAAAAACAATAAAAAGGATCAACAAAATGAAAAGTTGATTTTTTGAAAAGATAAATACCACTGATAAACAACTAGCTAGGCTAACCAAAAAAAAAAGGAAAAAAAGACCCAAATAAAATCAGAAACAAAAAAGGAGACATACTCACTGATACCGAAGAAATATTATACAAATACTCATCAGAGGATATTATGAACAACTGTACACTAACAAACTGAGAAACTTATAGGAAATAGATAAATTCCTGGACACACACAACTTACCAACATTAAATCAGGAAGAAATAGAACACCTGAACAGACCAATAATCAGTAATTAGATGGATTCAGTAATAAAACATCTCCCAACAAAGAAATGTTCCAAATCAGATGACTTCGCTGCTGAATTCTATCAAACTTACAAAACACTAACACCAATTCTCCTCAAGCTGTCCCAAAAATTGAAGAGAATGTAATTTTTCCTGACTCATTCCATAAGGCCAGCATTATCCTAATACCAAAACCAAAGATGCGACAAAAAAAAGAAAACTACAGACCAATATCCCTGATGAATAAAGATACAAAAATCCTCAATAAAATACTAGCAAATTGAATCCAACAGCATATCAAAAAGATAACACACAGTTATCAAGTGGGATTTATCCTAAGGAGGTAAGGACAGTTCAACATATGCAAATTAGTAAACGTGATGTATCACTTCAGCAGAATGAATGACAATCATATGATCATCTCAATAAATGCAGAAAAAGCACTTGATAATAGTCAACATTCCTTTATGATACAAACTCTCAACAAATTAGACATAAACGGAACATACCTCAACATAATAAAGGCCATGTATGACAAACCCACAGTTAATATCATACTGAATGGGGGAAAGCCAAAAGTCTTTCCTCTGAGAATTGAAACAAGACCAGGATTCCCACTTTCACTACTCCTATTCAACATAGTACTGGAAGTCCTAGCTAGAGTAATCAGGCGAAAGAAATAAATAAAAGGCAGCTACATTTGAAAAGAGAAAATTATAGGTTCAGCACACCAACATGGCACATGTATACATATGTAACAAACCTGCACGTTGTGCACATGTACCCTAGAAGTTAAAGTATAATAAAATATATATATAAGTTTAAAAAATTAAAAAAATATAAAAAAGTGTCTCTCTTAGCAAGTGACATGATCTTATAGTCTCTCTTAGCAAATGACATGATCTTATATCTAGAAAAACCTAAAGACACCACTAAAATTCTCTAAGAACTTATAAATAATTTCAGTAATGTTACAGGATATAAAATCGGCATACAAAAATCTGTAGCATTTCTACACACAAATAATGAACTAGCTGAGAAATCAAGAAGACAATCACATTTACAATTGCTGCCAAAAAAAATCTAAAAATAAATTTGATCAGAGACATAAATGACCTCTACAAGGAAAATTACAAAACACTGATGAAAGAAATTGAAGAGGACAAAACCAAATGGGAACACATCCAATTCTCACTGATTAGAAGAATGAATGTTATTAAAATGATTGTGTTGCCCAAAGCAATCTACAGATTCAATGGAATCCTTATCAAAGTACCAAGGTCATTTTTGACAGAAATAGAAAACAGCAATTCTAAAATTTGTATGGAACCAAAAAAATTCCCAAATAGCCAAGGCGATCCTGAACAAAAATAATAAAGCCAAAGGCATCACACTACCTAAATTCAAAACATATTACAAGGCTATAGTAACCAGAACATGAGTATTGGTATAAAATCAGAATCATAAACTAATAGAATAGAGAACACAGAAATAATCCATGTATTTAAACGATTTTCAACAAAGGTGCCAAGAATATGCATTAGCAGAAAGAATACCCTCTTTAAAGAATGCTGCTTGGAAAACTGGACATCCATATGCAGAAGAATGAAACTGGATTCCTATCTCTCACTATATGCAAAGATCAATTCAAGATGGATTAAAGACTTAAAGGTAAGACCGACACTATAAAAATCCTAGAATAAAACATAGGGGAAGCACTTCAGGACATTGGCTAGGCAAAGATTTTTAACTAACTCCTCAAAAGCGCAGGCAACAAAAGCAAAAACAGACAAATGGGACTATGTTAAACTAAAAAGCTTCTGCACAGCAAAGGAAACAATCAACAGGGTGAAGAGACAACCTGTTGAATGGGAGATAATTATAAAGTTCATCCAACGAGGAACTAATAACAAGAATATGCAAGGAACTCAACAGAAAAACAACAACAACATCAACAACAACAACAAAGAGTCCCATTAAAAATGGGCAAAAAAACATGAATAGACATTTTTCAAAAGACAACATACAGTCCAGGCACGGTGGCTCACGCCTGTAATCCCAGCACCTTGGGAGGCCGAGGTGGGTGGATCGCGAGGTCAGGAGATCGAGACCATCCTGGACAACATGGTGAAACCCCGTCTCTACTAAAAATACAAAAATTAGCGGGGTGTGGTGGCACATGCCTGTAATCCCAGCTACTCGGGAGGCTGAGGCAGGAGAATCGCTTGAACCAGGGAGTCGGAGGTTGCAGTGACCTGAGATCGCACCACTGCACTCCAGCCTGGCGACAGAGTGAGACTCCATCTCAGAAAACAACAACAACAACATACAAATGGCCAACAGGTATATAAAAATATGCTAAACATCACTAATCACTAGGAAAACGCAAATCAAAACTACAATGAGATATCATTTTACTCCAGTTAGAATGGCTATCATTAAAAAGTCCAAAAACAATTCTGGTGAGGATGCAGAGAAAAGGGAACTTTTAATACACTGTTGGTAGGACTGTAAATTAGTATAGCCACCATGGAAAATAGTATGGCAATTTCTCAGAAAACAAAAATATCGAACCACCACATGGTCCAGCCATCCCACTGAGTATTTATCCATTGGAAAAGAAGTCAGTATATCAAAGGGATACCTGTAACCTAATTTTAATTACAGCACTATTCACAATACTAAAGATATAGAATAAACCTAAGTGTCCATCAATGAATCAGTTGATAAAGAAAATATGGAATATATATATAATAAAATAACACTTGGCCATAAAAAATAATAATAACATCATGTCACTTTCATCAACATTGGTGGAATTGGAGGTCATTATGTTAAGTAAAATAAACCAAGCACAGAAACATAAATAATGCAGATTGTCAAGGTGGGAGCTAAAATATCATGGAGGTAGAGAATAGAATAATAGAAACCAGAGGCTAGGAAGCATGTGTTTGTGGGGTTTATGAAGAGAGGTTGGTTAATGGGTACAAACATGCAGTAATACAGGAAGAATACATTCTAATATTCTATAGCAGAACAAGGCGACTATGTTAACAATGTATTGTATATTTCAAAATAGCTAGAAAAGAGGACTTAAAATGTTCTCAACACATAGAAATGATAAATACTTAACGGAATGAATACTCCAAATACACTGACTTGGTCATTACACATCCTATGCACGTAACAAAATAACACATGTACCCCATAAATATGTGTGACTATTATGTATCAATAAAAATTTTTAAGGAAGGCTTAACTACATGCAGTGTATAGGAAACACACATTAAATATAATGACCCTGAAAAATTGAATGTAAGTAGATGGAAAGCATGCACCATGAAAAGTGTCAGCAGAAGTCTAGAGTACCTACATTAATAGCAGTTGAAGTAAACTAAAAAAGAATATTACGCAAGACAAAGTTATTTCATAATGATAAAATGGTCAATTCATCTGAAATCATAACAGTTATAAATATGTGTGTGCATAACAGCAGATCTTCTAAATACATGAAGCAATAAATTGACAGAATTAAAGAATATCTACAAAAATAAAATACACAATTTTTTTTCCTGGGAACCAGTCCTCATTTTATTTTACAGCACATTCATATAAGTTCCAGCATTTCTAAGGTAACCAAGTCACATTCAGGTTAGCACTGCTAGTAACAAAATCATACAACTACCCTGGCTTCCAAAACAAGTTAGGGTGATGCACATTAATACTTCTTTCCCTTTAATACAGCATAAGACAGTACATCCCAAAATAAAATCTCTAAAATCACATGCCTTTTACAATCCAGTATAAAAGCACATTATTTATGTTAAAATTAGAAATACGGAACATGAGAATAAAAAGAGTTTGAAAGCTCTCTAAAATTTCCCTCAATGCCATCTTTCTCATCTAACTGCCAGTTGGCACATTCCGCTCCGATGCCATGGGAAGGGAGGGGCAGACAAAAATAGCCCGATGTCAATATCTCTTCCTCAGCAATTAATAAAACAATTGTACACAATCAAGTAGTAGGGAGAGAGAAAATTTAAACACCATAACCATCCTGACCTAGTTCATATTTATTGTTCACTGTGTGAAACAACTGAACTATATTATAATTATGTATAATTATATTATATTCTTTAAGTGCATTAAAGTATTTACCAATATGGACCACACATATCGTAGAATAAATTTAAGTAAATTTTAAAAGGAATTCTCATGGAGTGCATTCTCTGAACACAACAGAATTAAATTAGAATAAAAAACAAGATCTCTCAAAGTCCTTTGGGTTTAATTTGCTCATCTAGGAAGTAGAAGGAAGAAAATAAAAAGCTTAAATCAATAAAATAAAAAAGACAGATAATATAAAAATTAAAGCTAAAATTGTTTCTTTGGAAAGATCAATAAAATTAAAAACCCTCTACTAAATCTTATCAAGGTAGCTTTCTATTCATCAAGACATTATTAAGAAAACAAATTGAAAAGTTGCCAACTCAGAGAGCATATTCACAATAAACATATCTGACAAAAATGTATATCCAGGATATATGAAGAATGCCCATGACTCAAAAACAAAAAGAAAATCTTAAATAAATGTGGGGAAAATTTTGGACCCTTCACTAACAATAATACATGAATGGCATATAAGAACAGGAAAAAAAAGGTCAGCACATTAACCAAGAAATACAAATTAAACCAATGAAATCTACTGTATATCCAATACAATTGCTAAAATGAAGAAGACTAACAACAGTAAATATTAACTAGGATGTGGAACAAATAAAATACTTACATGTTATTGGTAGGAGTGTAAAATGGTACAACCACTTTAGAAAAAGCCTTGATAGTTTCATTATGTTCTCCATCAACTACCTTGTAATCTAGTAAGTCTCCAATAAAAATAAACATTTATATTCACAAAGAAACTTGTACACAAATGTTTATAGCAGTTTTATTTATGATAGCTAAAAAAATAAATAACCAAAATGCTCATCAACAGAACAGATGAACAAATTGTGGTATATTCATATAATAAATGTTATTCGGCAATAAAAAGGAATAAACAACTTATACACACAACAATGTGGATGTATCTCAGCCATTACGCCAGGTGAAATAACTGGGACATAAAAGAGTATCTTCTATATGATTTCATTTATAAGAAATTTTAGACCAGGCAAAACTAACATATGGCAGGAAAAAAAGTCAGAAAAGTGATTGCCTGGGGTAAAGTTTATGGGAAGGATCTCTAGGGGCATTGGGAAGATGGAAATATTTGATACCTTCGTTGGCGTCTTCATTGTACAGATAAATGTACTTCTCAACACTCAAATTGTACAATAATATCTGAACATTTCAATCTATGTAAATTTTACCTTAAAAACAACCGCAGAAACTGAAACCTCAAATATGATCAGTGTGATATAGCATAATAGAAAAAACCTAGTCCTATGATCTAGAACAGCTGAAAATGAGCCCAGACTCTACCCAATGACCTTAGAAAATGATTTCAGCTTCTCATAGCTTCAAATACCTGTTTTTAGAATAAGACACTAATATCTACACTTCATTCAGTTAATCTTTTTTTCTGTTGTTGTTGTTGAGACGGAGTTTCTCTCTTGTTGCCCAGGCTGGAGTGCAATGGCGCAATCTTGGCTCACTGCAACCTCCACCTCCCAGGTTCAAGCGATTCTCCTGCCTCAGCCTCCTAAGTAGCTTGGATTACAGGCATGTGCCACCACACCCAGGTAATTTTTGTATTTTTAGTAGAGACGTAGTTTCTCCATGTTGGTCAGGCTGGTCTTGAACTCCTGACCTCAGGTGATCCACCCCCTCAGCCTCCCAAAGTGCTGGGATTACAGGCATGAGCCACTGCACCCGGCCCATTCAGTTAATCTTTAACAACCTACTATATGCCAAGGGTTCAATAAATGACTCTGTTACTTCACAGGCTTATTACAAAGTTCATATGAGAATATTAAATTGGTTTATAAATTATAAGGCAGAATACAAATGGTATGATTTGTTACTGAGTCAAGTAACAGAAACAAACTCACAGGGAAAAAAAACCAAACATTTTATGCTTGGGGCTTCAAAATAGAGAGACAGCTTATATGACAGCATCTACTCCTGCTTTTATTACATGAAAGAATATGAGAGATCTTAGATGAGAGGAAATAATTTAAAAGGCAAATTACAAACAGCCTTTTAGTTTATGATCACAGAAAGGACTCTTATTTGTTCAATTAAACTGGTTGCCAAGGGAAATAGCAAACCTGAAAGCCTTTAATATCAAAAGCCTAAAGATCAAGAATTTAAATTCCTGCAGTAGAACAGCCAACCCAGAATGAATCAGAAGGAAACATGCCAAATAAAAACTGGAGATAAAACCAGAATTAGAAAAGATCCATCCGATTCTAACTGGATGAGATCAGTCCTCATCAAACCTGCTCATTTTAAATTTATATCTTATGTATTATACAACAAAGTATAACAATTTCTAAATAGAAATAATTGTTTTATTTTTAAAATTGTTTGAAAGTTAAAAATCCGTGGTTCAAATCTATAGCTCATAGAAGATAGTTCATTATGGTAGCATCGTAGCTACTTCCAATTAGCTCTGAAACTTAATTGGAATATCAACTTATATACTTAAACGCCAGTGACGAGCCCCACACCATTCTAAAAATGTTTTAATAAATTCCCCCAAACTTGGCTTATTGGAACCTAAATTAAATTTGTCAAATAGTTTCATCACTCAAATTAATTTAGTCAATTTTATTTTAATGAAGAATTTTCCTTTTGAATTCAAATTCTGACAAATACATTGAATAATTTTGATAGGACCTGAGGCAGTGGTAGAGACAGAATCTATTTCAGACTGGAAAGAGTGGATTTATTGAAGCACTGCTCCCTTCCCTGGCCTTCCCTTGCTTTCTTACAGTAAATATTTCTAAAGTAAATGCAAGTGATAAACCCCATGATTACAGCTAACTGATGCTTACGTCTTATTTCCAAAATAATGGCAGTGCCAGTCATGGGACATCCTGTGAATTTAGAAAATCAAAGCCACCTAAGATTCCAACAGAAATATTAGCCAACTTGTTAAATTAAGCACAAGATAAAGGATCAAAAAATGCCCCAAATAGATGGGACAACGCCTTCAATGAATGTCTTACAAGGCAAGGTGTTTTGGAGAATTCTATTTGGAGATTAAATACCTTTGTGTTGGCAATATAGCACAACGTAAAAAAAAGGTTACAAAATTAGTTTGAATCTGCAGTATGTGGTCAGGTAATTAAAAAGTGAGTATAGGCTTTTCTCCCAAACAAAAAAGGGCTGAAAACATCTTCATAGCATAAGAGGTTAGTTATATTCACAGACAGTCTTAAGGGATATTGATTTGCTTTATGGGCTAATTAAGACCCACTCACATTGTGTGGTATCAACTATTATTAGGCTACAAAAAAATCTGATCCATCAAGTACATGGATAAAAACAAGTAGGCAACGTATAGACTCATCATGATGGTGCTGTGATCTGAGAGACCAAAATAGATGCATGCCCCTTTATCAACTAAGAGGGACCCTAAGATTAAGGAAACAAAAGTTACCTGCAGATAAAGAGTTCAGGGCTCGACTGGCATGGCAACTTTTTAAACTCCTATGGCTACCAGAAAAACCACACTCTTGCTAAACTCTCTAACAATAGGAGCTATCAGGCAAATTGTCAGACACTTCCTAACTCTGATTATTAACCCAGATCACTACAACTCTTGATTGGACAAAGAATTGGCCCTACAGACATTATTTCCTGATGATGTTTTTAGACCTCAATCCAGTTTCAGCCAGCTTACAGAAACTGTGCACAAACTGTCTTTGTATATTATAGTTTATCTTTGACAAAAGGAGCCAAATTCCACCTTATTTTAATGCTATTAGGTTGGTGGAAAAGTAATTGCAGTTTTTGCCATTACTTTTACTGGCAAAAATTCTAATTACTTTTGCACCAACCATAAAACCCCGCCCCAAGGTGAACATGGAATGCATGTTACCTATATATTTATCCATTCCACATGCTCTCAGCTCCCCTCATAAATATGCATGGCTTTCCACCCTAAACTTGCTGAATATGTATGATTCTATTGTATAATGCAGACCCTGCGAGGCATAAAAATCAACCTACCCTTTTGTTCTTCAAAGAGAGAGCACCTTCGATACATGCAGGAGACAGTCTCTTCCCGGTTTGCAAACTGGTATTACCAATAAAGCTCTCCTTTCTACTATTTAGCCTTCCTGGCAGTCTTTTGGATGACATTGATATTAAGTGGATTAAAGAAAATTTAGAAATCTCTCATGTTAATATTAGCAACTACTATTTGTTGATGATCAACAACACATCCACCTTTCATGTGTTTTATTTTGTTACCTTCTTATACTAGCCCTCTAGGAATATTTTCAAATCTTCATTTAAAGAAAAGAAACTAGCATTCCAAGTTTAAATAACTTGCTCAAAGTCATATAACAAGTAATGAGGCAAGATCTGAATTGAGGTCAAACTTCAAGACCCATGATTTGCTATTTTCATGTTTTATCACATCCACAACTGAATTAAATTTTTAACCTATAGTGTTTATGGTCTACACTTGCTGTATTCCACAAACAATTCATAGCCCCAAAAGCAAAGCCAGCCCTAATGGATTCAGTCATCTATATAAGGTAGCATTTCCCAGTGTGGCTGAAGGATCATATGTAGCCAGGTGGCTAAAAAGCTATGATCTGCATATGGGTATAATGACTCAAAAAGTATATATTACTCGATCTTGCTAATCAGGCCAGCTTTAGTTTAAAGCTTTAAAAAAAAAAAATCCTAAGGTCCAAAAAAAGGAGTTAGTATTAAAGGTAAGACTACTGAATACATTGGAAACTAACAGTTATACAAAAATATAGATGGTTTCCAAAGGTAAAATTGAAACAAGAAAAGTTTTAGTCTGTTACCATTTTTATTATTGGCAATGAGAATAAGTGAAATCAGTGGAAATAAAATTTTCTGAATAATGATATTTGGGTGAGTCAGTGTCTCATAGCTAGATTTCAGATGGGGCCTCACAGGGTTTGCAGATATTTTGTTAATTTCCTTCTATACTTGTACTTATTGGCAACAACAAGGGATATAAACTAACAGAATCACTTTTGAAGAAATACATTTAAGACTAAACAGTGGGTAGTTACTCTGCTCTTGCTTTCCACTAAGTGAATATTGTTTACATGTCACATCACGACCATCGGGTATTAGACCATCTCTCAAAGTCAAATATCTCTATCCTTACTTAAATTAAAATAGCCTTTGGTTCTAGCTAATGCTTTTGATGGTCTTGATGGTTCTATTTTATAAGAGGTAACCATTACTTACCTGATAACATAGGGAGGCCTAGACGGAACCAATCTGCCTTCAAAGAATTTTAGAAGTAAGTAAAACAGAAACTCTTTCAGCAAGAGAATCATGTGGGTAAAGTTTAATTAAGGGCCCTATCTTTTTTCCCCATGTTTTCCTCTTACTCAACTGAGTATTCCAATATACTGGCTAGTTTCATACTTCCTAATCCTCCCTGGACAGAAAGTAATCTAACTTGCATTAGCCTACAAGACTTCATCATTTTCCCCAAAAATCCTTTAGTAAAAGAGACACAGGGTAAAGAAGGATATTCTTTGGATGGAAAAAGAAGGCTGTCAGGTTCCCTTTAAATCATACAACATTAAAACTCCACTGTGTAGCCCAACTCTGAACAAAAAGGGAATTTTGTACTGTAGTTCTAAACTCTGCAGCTTACGTTTGGATATTAGACATCTAATGACTTGGCTGACTTTTAAACATGTGGCTAACATATGACAAATTTGTTTAAACTTGTGTCCAAAAGGTTCTAATGTGGAAGACTAGAAATCCTTATTCATGTTTTCTTATTCTAGTCTCCCGAAGAAGAATTAGTGCCAATATGTCTGTGTTGAGGGGGGTAAAGGGGAGTGAAAGGGAGCTAAAGGGAGTAGAGAAAATTGTTTTCCTTCTCCCTTCTTAGCAACTGGGGAAGCAAGGTAGAACATTTCTTGCTGAAAAGTCTTTGAGATAGTTGAGTATACATTTACATGATAGCTGACGATAAGGGCACAGTTTATCCAGAGAAATGTGAAACTTCCACCAGTACATAGAGGGGTGAATATAACAGGGTGATTTTTTTTAAATGAGGAAATACGTAAAAGCCTGTCATGGTTCATTTGAAGCTTTGACCATTGTATTTAGCCTATGTAGTAGGAAATATTCAGTGACAGAAAAAATATTAGTAAACAAAAATATGTAATTATAACTACAATTATACAATGCTTTGAGTTCTTACTTTGTGCCTGGAACTTTTTAAAGGCATATATTAAATATTTAAATATCTCAGAACAATCCAAGAAAGTAGACATTTATTATCATTTCCATTTTACAGAAAAAAATTACCAATGCACTAAGAAACTAAATATGTTGGCCAAGTCAACAGCGCTAGAAACTGGGGAGCCAGGATTCAAACAGAGCAATTTGGCTCCAGAATTTATACCCTTAACCATAATGTCATATTGGTGCTTTGGTTTGGAAGAAAGGGCTGTACTGATCAAGCCTCTGCTACTATTACTTAGAGGGAGTAGAAAACAACGCCCATCCATAGAAATCTAAGGATTATTTTAAGTCCTTCTATCCATCCATCTTCACCGCATTATTAGATGTAGAAGGAGCTAGAAATCAAGATGCTATATATGACTTCCTACAAGAGAACTTAGCTTATCAGCAAAGGCGCAAGTGGTGCTGAGTGGAGAATGAGCTCTCTGACATCATGATGGCATCTACAACAGTAGGTTGGTGGTGAACAAGCAGTGAACCAGTGAACAGGTAATCCTCAACCTTCTGCCATTGCCAGGAAAGGGTGATCCCAGAGATCAGTACTACCTAGTTCTCTCAACATTCTATGACAAAAGTCAGAATAAGGCATATGTTCTAGAAGTACACTACAGAAGCTACTTCAAAAATGGCTTTTGTAACAGTGAAAAAGATTAATCAGAAGGGCAAGCAAAATTCTAAATGTACATTTTCTAAAAGGGATATGATACTGAACACAAACCTTTCCTTCCTGTTTGTGATCATACCTAACTTATTCTTGTGGCAATACCTTTGTTCATGTCATTCCCACATGACAATAATCTCACTAACCCTATTCTTCAAAGCTTTTCTTTCAAGCCATTACTTTTCCTTGAAGTCTTGTCTGACCACGTGTCTTGTGTTTGTAATTTACAGCATTGAATACCTATACTACTTATATGTTGTCTATATTTTATGTGCTATCTTGCAATCTAAACAGTAAACTCATATTGACCATATTTTTGTCTTCTTAAACACGGATATCATAAATGTATAAATAAGAGATATTCAGCATACTTGAATGATTTTCTATTTCTATAATTACTATGAAATCTTTAAAAGGTTGACACAAGATATAAAGATTGATTCTAAACTAACACTTAGGAACCCAAGTAATGATGTTTTTGCATCAAAGTAGGTAAGAAGAAGAATTTTACATACTGCAGATACACATTGGTACTCTTGCCAAAGTTCTCTCTCACCATGGTCCAGGTTCAAAGGTAATTAACAACATTCTGTGTGACAAGTTTTAAACTCACACATTTACTTTGTAAATCAGCAGAACAAGCAGACTACAGTACTTGTAACTAGCACAGCATGTTAGCCACTTATTTACTTATTCTCAAGCTATTGGAGAATAAAACTGGCCAACAGAGCTTCTGCAGAGACTCTCAAAGTCTCTAACTCAAAGGATTGGCATGCAGCCATCTTTACAGGTTTCCAGCATATGAAACCACAATCCTACCCAAGGCGCAGAGTCACGAACATTCAACTTGTTCCACATGCAGCTAAAATTTGTTAATTCTGCCAAGTTCCATGAGTTTTAACACCTGCAGTCAAATTAGGTTTGATTTGTGTTCTGCTGTAAAGTAAAAATATTTGGGTAGCCTGCAATACATTAAGCCTTGGAAACTTTAGGCTAATAGGCTAGAAGGGCTGTTGGCTGGATGATAAAAATAAATAATGGGGGTAAAGCAAAAGATAGGAGCATAGGAAGATTAGAGGGAAAACCTTAGTATGCAATACCTTAAGCCGATAATTCAGAATTAATTAATAACATTAACACTTAAACATAATGTGGAAACAATTGAGGCATAGAGGTGTCAGGTAAACTCAAGGTTGGACAGACTATAGAGGTGAGATTTGAACTGATGTGGTCTGGCTCCAAGTCCAATACTCTTTTAACTGCTAAGCAACCTATGCCACCTCTGACATTTGGGAAGTTACTGGTAATAATAAATTTGGAGTTGTACTTTGACTTACAACTAAAGATAGTGGAGTAAAGGCAAATTGACTCTACTCCTTTCTCTTAAAACAGTTGCAAATACAATGAATTTCAATAAATAAAGATATACCAGTGTTAAAATGTAAACTTGTAAAACTATTTACCAAATAAGTTTGAAATAAGATAATGGATTAATTCAAACAGCCCAGTATTCTAATCCGATTTTTCCACTTACCAGTGTGACCGTGGGGAAGTTATTTTACCATTAGCCTTGGATTTTTCCATAAGATGAAAATATAGCTGCTGTGAAGAGGATTAACACCAGAGATGTTACCCTTTACAGCCTTTGGAACAAAGTCTGTAAATTATTAATGATAGTTCTTTGCTTCTTCCCTGAGGAAACTAGGGTTGAAGGAATGGGGGAAAATAAGCCTTAATGAAAGTAGTGTCGTGTTACCTGGAAGCCGAATTTCTTGCTTGTTTCAGGAGAAGTGTACTCGCTGTTCAGCTTCTAATCATATTTAGGTCTCAACTCTGACTGCGTATTAGAAACTCCTAGGACCATTATAAAAACATCAACCCTGGGAGTGCAACTCAGACCAGTTAAATGAAATCTCTTGGGAGTAGAGCCAGATGGTATAATTTTTTAAGTGCCTCAGATGATTCCAATCCAGGATTGAGACCCACTTTGCCAGATGCTCATCAGCTTGGCCTACCAAAGTATCTACCAATGGGGTCATACGGTTGGCTGATGTAAGTGTGACAGTTCAAGTTACTTCATAGTCACCCGACACACTGGGAAGCTTTGCAAAAGGAAGAAATGGAAGAATCACCCTTCCAGAAGTAATAGAGAATAGGCACAAGGAGTTGATAGCTAATGAGACTCAGGTGTCAGGTTTATTCATCAAGTGCCAATCAAGTGCTTATTTTTGTCTTAAAGGGCAGCGTTCTTTGACAACACTGACTTTAACAACAGGATGGGCCATTTTTTCCCGCACCAACAAATTGAAGAAATTTTCAAAATTGGGCAAGGCTGATTTGATTTACTCACCCAATTGCAACTAAGAAGCTGTAATTGAGAGAGCTGACTTAGCTGGGCCTTCTGGGAAAAGCCTTTATTTTTCTCTTTCCTCATGGAGACTTAAAGAACAAGGTAAGGCAACTAAATTTCTGACTAGATGGTGCCATTTTTCTAGTCTTAAATCAAAGTAACCCTATTCACTAGCAAAAAGCCATGACTCAAAGAATGTTCAGACTGTACTCATGATCCCCTGAAGGAAGGAGTAAGTAAGGATGTGACATATGAGACTATTTCCCAGGTAGGATGGAAAACAAAAATACCCTTGTCTCTGGACCAAAACAGTAACGTAGGGTCATGCGGTCTCATCAATATTCCACAAATTTTTGTTCTGTCATAGTCCATAGACTTTACAGCCAAGCCTCTTGTCAACTGTAAGTATGAATGGAAGAATGAATTGTCCTTCAGGATGCCAGGCAACACTACCACCAGGGGCCCTGATACATCCTCCTGAAATTTGTGAAATGGCCCCTTTAATGGTTGACCTTCAAATGCTTTGGTGTGGATCAGAACATTCGTTAAGTCAGTGATGCTGTCTACATAAAAAGTCAACTTTATTTCACACTTCGACTTATGCCCAGTAACCTTATTCACCATAATTCATCTGAGATTATAAGAGATACCCAAACAACAACATAATATAGCAAATGGTACAATGCCCAGAAAATTAATAATATATACATCCTCCAAAGATGAAATTACCAGAAAGAATTAAATCCCTTGATAAAATATCCTTCTTGTGCATTAAAGAATGTATGTTCAAAATCAATTTTCTCTTTAGCCCAACTCAGTTAAAGGATATTACCTTAATCTGGGTTTCTTTAGCAGCTGTTTCATCTTGTGCTGTCTTCCACTGGCACCTCCGAAGTTGTTTCAGCTTTTAAAATTTGTGTATCTCTTTTCCAGTCAGATGAAATAGGATATGAGGTTATCACATCACTGGCCTCATAGGCATAAAACAAATCCTTGGTATCTATAGCAAAATTCCTAGGTAAAATTAATGATCCAGACCTCAAGACAACCCATACCTACAAAAGTATACCAAAGTCAAAGCTCAGTATTAGCTTGGAAAGAGGAGTAGACATAAAATATGAGAGATAAGTGGGGAAAATGCCTTGGCATCAGGGCAGCAGGAGGCCATTAAGTCTGTGAGCAGTAGTCTGAAACTCACAATCTGGGAGCTGAAATTCCTTTCCAACAGTGGTCACACTGAGAGTTAAATTGTCATCGTCACAAGTGTCCCCTATCCTTGGAGGAAAACACTTACCTCTATGCAATCCCCTTATCTCTTAAAGCATTTAAGGCATTGCAGTCTCCCTGAGCCATTTTTATTTTTATTTTTTTGCTCCTTGATTCCACATATTTACAAGGTCTTAGTTTCAACTTACCCTTTAAGCTCTGCATACTTGGCACCCTAGGCATAAATTTAGTAAAAATATTTCTCATGTCACTGGGAGGCTTCTTGTAAGTAGATTTCCTTTCATTTTTAGCATGCAACCTCTCCAAGCAACATATATTGCCTTTCTTTCTCTGCAGTCTTATCTATGTCTGTACCCTAGTAAGATCTCAAGGTCTTTTAGCACTACGGCACACACTGCTCCTAGGCCTCCTGTCTCCTAGGAGCAGTTTCCCCATCGACCCCAGATGCATGCCAGCTAGAGAACTACTCTCAGCCAATTCCTGAGAGGCATAGTGATGTTCAGTGCTCCTCCTCGCCTTCTGAATTTTCTAGATACATAGAAAACTATGCAAATAAAAAAAGATTATGAAGTCCAGGAGAAATGAAAAGTTATGCAAGAAAAAAAATGTAATCATAGTATACCAAGTGCCTAATAGTGATTTAGCCAAAATTTATTAAATAAATGTACCGGAATAAAGGGGAAGTTCATTGGAGTGGAGTATAATGTAAAAGGGTTAAATCTTCAGAATAGAAAGCCATTAGATATCCTAATTTGAAAAAAAAAAATTTAGTGGCCAATAAGCATACTGTTTGGATATATGGAAGTAAATACTAGAATAGTAGCTGAAAATGTTGAAAAATAATATTCCTTAAGCAGTAGGACTCAGAGGTGAGAAGGCGGGACATGTAACTTCTGTGTGTAGGGGCTGGGAGTTGGTGGGGGTGTGTTTAAAATGAGACTTTAGTGCTATCTAAATTTCTAAACCATATGCAGGTACTGAAATAAAAATTAAAAATTAGTGTACAATATTACACAAGCCAAACTAAGGCATCCATTTTTCTAATATTTTGTTTTTCCAAACTACATCACATCAGTTGCATAAACACATGATAAATGGAGCGCTGAGGGTTTAATGGCTAAGCACACACCCACATATATTTAACATAGCATATATTTTCATTCTAAACAAAATAAGAACAGTGGAATTATTTGGTTCCCCCTCTAATTTTTATTCTCTTTGATATGTAATTTCTCATCCTTAAGCAGAAGAAATGTATATACAACTTCCAATTTCCATTAAACAAAAAATAAATCACCTAGAAAATTGTCTCTCAACCTAAACACTTCATGGAATCTTTACTTGATTGGGCATCATAGCATGTTGAAGTTAAAAAGGAGTCAGGAAAAGAAATCAAGACAGGTAACTGAATACCCCAAGGAAGACGGGAAGACAACGTTTTTGGACTTGAGACAATAAAATGATAAAAAAAATGATGTCTTGGAGAGAGAGAGACAGAAGACCTATATTTGGAAGGAGTAGGTCTCATACACAAATCTACTTGGCAACCTGCTGATACTTATGAGAATTTTACACACACACACAAACTCTTCTTTAGTCTTCTGACTGTGTTATAGAATAAAGAAAGGAAGAAGGGAAAAGGAAAGAGGGAAAGAGAGGAAGGAAAGAAGGAAGGAGAAGGGAAGGGAAGGGAAGGGAAAGGAAGGGAAACAAAGGGAAAAGAAGGGAGGGAAGGAAGGAAAGAAGGAAGGAAGGAATCATTTCCATCTCTGGATGCAGGATATTATATCTACTTTAAGGGGAGCTTGCTTTGTTGAAAATGCCAGTGTAATTTGAGCCACTATCTATTTGCAGGTCAATTTTCTGCCCCATCAGTCCATGCAACTCCTATGATTACTGTTTAATGTGCAGAAGTCTTGCTCTTCGTTGAGTCCCTACATCTTTCCTTTAAAGTTTACTGATATTTCTATAGTATGTTGATGTACTCTGCAATTACAGTGTAGATTTTGAGATTTCCAAATGAGAAGAAAAATAATAAAGGGACTGGGAAAAAATAAGAAGGCTAAACTGATTCTAACTTTTTAATCTCAGTAGAAAGTCAAGAAGTACATTTATCATGTATTTCAATGTATAAGAAATTATTACAAGGGAAGAGCAATCATAAACTTTTTTGCCTCATTGAATAAATGCCAGAACCAATTGTAACTTGCCTCACTTACGAACTGAGTACATAACTACATGTTGATTTTATTTTTATTCTGAAATGGTCAAACAAGAACCAAACTTCATACTGGATTTGGCAACATTTTCTTCCTGTAGCTAATTATCTGGTCTGTTGAGGCCAGCTTTGGCCTGATTTCCACAGATTATTTTTGCCTGGAACATTGGCAGCCTGAGTTGCACTGCCTCTCATGCAGCTGGTCCCCTTCAACCTGCTCCTGGTTGCTGGGCTGTTTTTGTGATAGGTAGCCTGCATGGTCAGTGGTCACCTGCACAGGCAGCATCCTAGACCTGAGGTCAAGACTCTGTTTCTACTCTCCAGCTTCCCTGCCACCTTTATTCCTCCCCATGTTCTGGCCAGGTCATACTGTGTGATAACTATTTTAAAGAAAATTTCAAACATGAAAATATAGAGTATAACAAAAATAAAGAGTCCAAGCACCCCGGTTTGACATTTATCAACACTTTGCCATATTTGTTCCCCTCCCTCACATTAACCCCTTTTTTTACAAGTTTTTTTTTAAGTAATCCTAGATCCCATGAAATTTGATTTTTATCTACTTTAGAAAGAATCTCAAAATAATAAGAGTGTTAGTAACATAAATGACATTTTCCTAAAACATACTATTACCATACCTAACAAAAAATACCAATAATTTCTTAATATGTATTATATGATACCCTATTATCATAATTCCCTGGCTATTTTCTTTCTTTCTTTTTTTCTTTTTGAGACGGAGTCTTGCTCTGTCGCCCAGCTGGAGTGCTGTGGTGCGATTTTGGCTCACTGCAACCTCCGCTTCCCAGGTTCAAGAGATTCTCCTGCCTCAGCCTCCTGAGTAGCTGGGACTACTTCATTTTCATTGGAATCTTTGTCTTCATGGCTTGTGTCACTTACAAATGAATTGTATTTACATATTCAATATGTTTTAATTAGGTGCAGTCTTTTCGTGGGGGGAAGACGTTGGGGGGAGTTGCTAAAATGCTTTTCTATATTGGCAAGTGAGAACTTCTTCCAGTTGGTTTCTATATCCTTTTTATGCAAACCCATAAGAATTTGATAGCTTTCTTGTCTTCTGGCATAAGATAGACAGGTTTATTTTGTGTATTTTTTGCCCCAGAGCTGGAATCGGTCATTTCTCTAAAGAATCCAAAGCTCTTTTAGTGGGAAATATTTCTTAGAAACCACAATCTGGGCATTATGCCTGCTCCCTGCACTGGGGTTATCATTGCTTTTAGGCCTTTTTAACAACCAGAATTAAGAAATACATATTTTTAAAGAATAAAATATGAATTCCACTGATATTTCCCATTCAGATTTAGTATTTCTTAACCTCTTTGATTTTATAATTGTATCTTTTCTCTCTTATTCTAAATATCTAACAATATTAACATAATTCTGTGCTTTATTCCATGGTAAAAATGTAATACTTTTAAACTAGTAATAGTTTACTTTAAATTTTACTAACAATAAAATGGCTAAATGAAATTTAAGATTCTTTCGCAGTTTTTAGTCCTTAAGTTGCATATGGCTAGGGATTTACAGTCATTATTGTTCTAAGGTCATGTAGAGTAAATCTTTTATCTGTAAGGTTTTTCTAGCAGCCTACTATATAGTAATATTCACTGGTTACAGTTGGTTTTCAATTTTTAACATTCTCTCTTCTTTCACTTTTTTGTTCTATTTGGACCCTCAATGAATTGGATGATGCCTGCTCATATTAGTGAGGGTAGATTTTCTTTACTCAGTCTACTGATTCAAACGAATGATCTCTTCTAGAAATACCCAGAAAGAATGTTTTACCAGATACCTAGGTATCTCTTAACCCAGTCAAGTTGATACCTAAAATTAGCCATCACAAGCTTTTATTAAAAAGTCTGTCTTTTCATTTATGATTATGAGTTTTAAAATTTATTATATACAGAATTACTATATTTATGATTGATTTCTAATTTCTTTATTCCATTAGTTTGCATATTCATTCATTATATTACATCTTTTGATTGTAGTGAATTTATATTATGTTTTAACATATTATGGAACTAATTCCCCTCATTCTTTTCTACTATAATATTTTTCTGGTTACTCTTAATTTACTTTTCCATACAAACTTTAGAACCAATTTGTATGGCTCAAAAAAAAAAGTATCAGTATGGTTATTAGAACATTAAATATTTAAACTAGAAAGAGTTTAATATCTTTATGACATTACATCTCTGGTTTGTACTCAAGCTATATTACAAAGTCATATAATTAAAATAGTATGGTACTAGAACAGATCAGATAAACCGACCAGTAGAGCAAAAAGGGAATTCACAAGTGGACTTCTGTAGCCACGTGACTTAGTATATGATATTTTGGTAACTTCAATTTGGAAGAGAATGAAGTAATTATATAAATGCTGTCAGGATAATTGGTCATTATATGAAGAAAAAATAAGGTCAGATATCTATCTCTTACCATATATTAAAATAAATTTTAGATAAGTAAAAATGTAAATGTAAAATAATGAAGAAAAAGACACAAGATGATATCTCTGTGATTGTAATCAGGGAAAAAATCCTTTTTTAAAAATTGATGCATAGTAGATGTATCTGGTTTGGGGAGACGTGTGATAATGTAATACATTCATATATTTGTAAAGATTGAATTGGTATACCCAACACCTTAAAGATTTGTTTTTCTTTATAATAGTATCACTCAAATTCTTCTTCTCTAGCTAATTTGAAATATACAATAGATTATTGTAAACCATACTCACCCTAAAAAGGCAAGCCATGAGAAGAAATATGCACATTTGACTACATCAAAATTTAGTTGTTTTTCAATGAAAGACCCCCTAGACAAAACAAATAAATAGAAGACAGGCTGAGAAAAGTATTTGCAATTTTTATAACTGACAAGAGTTAATATTGCGAATACACAAAAAACTCCTAAAATGAGCAAGAAAAATACTGGAAACCTAATAGAAAATGTTAAATGCATGTATATATGTTTTAATCTAGCAATTTCACTCTTGAATATAGACACCAGGAAGTTCTATCAAAAGATTGAGTGTGCCATATGCTCACATAGTATAGCTTGTGGTAGCAAGGTAGAAATAACTCACATGATCATTGCTAGTGGAATGGCTACCTCACATGTAATATACACACAGAGTGGAACTACTGTTGTAAAAGTCAGAAGTTTTGAACTAGACTTTCTAACATTAATGGTCATCAAGAACAGAATGTTGCACACAAATTGTAAGAAAGAGAATGCAATTATAACTTTTATTTTTGGCATAAAATGTATATGTATATAAAACTGTCAAAATCACATCTTACATTTTTCAAAGCTCAGTACACATATGGAAAGTGGACTGGAATAACATACATTACAAATACTGGAGTGTGTGCCTATTAAAGAGATGGGGAAATGGAAATGGGCACAGGAGCTGGTGGAAAAATAATAATAAAATATCACCAAATAAACATGAAGTCTTAGAATGACCTGATTTAGCCACAATTTGAAGAGGATGATTAATTCTATTCTATTGTCCCAAAGGGAAGAAAAAAGTAGCATTCAGTGTGTGTTTAGAAAGAGAGGCTGTGGTGGTCAAGAAAAAAGCATAGAATAAAAACAATGACTCCATCATTTGCTGTGTAAGGATGAGCGTATCCTGACAGATTGACCCAAGTGTCCCATCTCCCTTGCAGATTGGGCTGGTATTCAGCAGTTATGTACCATTTTGGTAATTATAGACAGAATCCTGAACAATGGTGGCATCTGTTCATACAGATTGGGGCATGCACTTTCCCCTTGCAGAGGCATCTCCATTATGGAGACTGAAACATCAAATTGTCAGGATTTGATGATATTGAGCTTTTAGATCATACAGTGAATTCCTCTGTCCTGAGACCATGTCTCCCTTATAACATCATTACTGGTTTGCCTGCATGAAGATATATATTGATTAGAAGTAAAAAACAACTGTTGTAATGGACAGTTTTGTTTTTTAGTGTAAATTAACAACATTGATATTATGGTTAACCTTTTATAATACAATGTCTTGAACATACAAAGTTAAGAATGAGATCCTGGATCCTAATAAATTCATTAAAATTAGTTTGCTTTTTATGTAAACTAATTTTTAAAAATTAGAAGTTTCTTTTTATTTTTTATTGATGCATAATAATACATTCCTACCATTTGTATACTTGGGATATTCATGACCTTAAATATTTGGTTTTGTCTGTTTGTTTGTTTGTTTTTGAGACCGAGTCTCGCACTGTCGCCTGGCCTGGAGTGCAATGGGGCGATCTCAACTCACTGCCACCTCTACCTCCCAGGTTCACTTGATTCTTCTGCCCTAGCCTCCCAAGTAGCTGGGACTACAGGCGCACCCCACCACACCTGGCTAATTTTTTTGTATTTTTAGTAGAGATGGGGTTTCACTATGTTGGCCAGACTGGTCTCAAACTGCTGACCTCATGATGCTGGGATTACAGGCATGAGCCACCACAGCCGGCCCAATATTTGTCTTTTCTTTATGCTAAAACCATTCTGATTCTTTCATTCTAGCTATTGTGAAAGATTATTATTGTGAATAGAGTACTGTAAACTATAGTTCCCCTGCTGATCTATATAACATGAAGTCTTATTTTCTCTGTCAAACCATATATTTGTACCCATTAATCAATTTCTCTTTATGCCCTCTCCCCCTACATTAAGAAATATTTCCTACCGGATGCGGTGGTGGCTCATGCTTATAATCCCAGCACTTTGGGAGGCCGAGGCAGGCAGATCACCTGAGGTCGGGAGTTCGAGACCAGCCTGACCAACATGGAGAAACCCCATCTCTACTAAAATTAAAAAAATTTAGCCAGGCGTGGTGGCACATGCCTGTAATTACAGTTACTTGGGAGGCTGAGGCAGGAGAATCACTTGAACCTGGAAGGCAGATGTTGCAGTGAGCCGAGATTGCGCCATTGCACTCCAGCCTGGGCAACAAGAGCGAAACTCCATCTCAAAAAAAAAAAAAAAAAATTTCCTAGTCCAATTTCCATATTTATGAGAAGTACAAATTTGAATGATTAAAAATGGAAGTTTTCATTGCTGAGGAAACCTTCCAATAAAAAAAGAATTTTATTAACCCAACCATTGTCTGAAATGATTCTCAATTATTACAAGATAATAATCAAGTTGCCCTTTGCATAGATGCACAAAACAAACCATGACCTCTGCCTTTACCTCCCAGCATATCTCACTAAAAATAAGGAATGGTATTTGATCAACTGCCTTCATTCTTTTAGTGCCTTCTTAGAGTTGACATTTTAATTACAAATTCAACCATTTATATTTTAATCCTGCCCAAAATAATGTATGTGCTTCTTTTGCCATTTGAAATAAAAACTAAGTCTCCAAGCTGACATTTTCTTTCCCTTTCCCTAGAAAGAACATTCTTAACAGTGTCTGTGACTTGATCTCTCCAAGAGGAAGATGCACAGGAAGTCTAAATGCTTACCATCTGAAGAGTGGTGCTTGAACCCACAGCATCCCCATTGCCTGGAAGCTCCTTAGAAATGTGGAGTCTCCATCCCCACCCTAGGTCTGCTGAATTAGTCTTCATTTTAATAAGATCCTTGGGGGATTCACATGCACTATCTATCATGTATAAATTCTATCAGGTGTAAATAGCAGTTTAGTTACATACAGGAAATTGCTCTCCTCTAACATGACAGATGCAGATGTATCTTTGAAGCACCTAAAAATGTGCCCTTTTGAGGAAAATATTAGCTCTGTTCTACAGAAAATTGTGGCTAGAGATATGAAGTTATTTTTTCAAAATTACATTGTTCATAATTCCAGGACCACAGATAGAAGATAAACATCCTGCCTCAATATAGGATTCTTTCTACTGTGCCATAACTGGTCTTTCATTGTTGTGTTCTCTCTGGAGCAAATTAGGCTAACTGAAACACCAGTTACATTTTTTTCTATCAAGGCTATAGAATATACAGTTTACTAAACTCTAAATTTGAATACTGTCTAAATTCATGGAAAAATAAAACCCCATAACCCCAGCACCTTAACACAACTTCTATTTTTAATATGGTCAGTTCTAGTTTTTGGTCTTACATATCACATATATTTATGTAGAGACAAGTACTAAAACTTTAACTCCAACCCCTCAAAATATATTCTTCAAAAGATAGTGGTAGCGTGAAAAGTTCACTGGATTCACATTGGGACAGATGGACAACAATGCTAGGAAAAGAGAGAGTCTTTAGGCCCACAGAGTAAACATCCTGTCTGCAGCCAAAACTTAGATTGAGAGTTTATCTTTGATCACTGTGTTATCTACATCATATCCACATAGACATTCTCCTTCTTCAGTCTTGCACATCATTTCATTTTACTTTGGTTCTAAAGGTAATAAGAGAGGGTAATGTTTGCAATAACTTTGATTAGCCTTTCATCTCCAGACTTTACAAAACTATGTGATATTAACAAAACAGAAATTGGCTTACTTGAAGATTTCCTCTCCCCTCAAGCAATCGTCCTACATATTTTCCAGGGGAACATGGATTAGAAGAGTGGTTTTTAAACTGTTGGCAAGAAAAAATGAGTTGGGCTTGAGTCTCTTTACCAACTATTTTGCTTCTATCAAAACAACTCAGATCTATACATTTTATTATATGTTACCACATCTATGTTAAAATCTTAAAAATTTTTTTGGAATTTTAAACATTTTTATGATTGTTTTGGTAATGGAGATTTGATGTGGTATGTGTTAAGAAAGAGAAGGAATGGGGAGCTAAGATGGCTGACTAGATGCACCTCAGAAGAGCTTCTCCCACCAACAGACCAGACCAAGAAGATTGGCACACTCCAAACAGATCTTTGGAAGGAAGGAATTGAGAGTGGATAGAGGGAGGATACAGACCCTGGGCTGAAGGGAGAGGAAGCTGGAATCCTGCATAGAGCTGCTAAGCATGAAGACTCATTCCTGGGCCCCAGAGGCTTAAAGTTAAATAGGTGAGAAGTGGCCCAGTCTTACCATAGACTTCTGGAATTCTAGCTGCAGGAGACCCCACTACTGTCATGGACATTGGAGCTGAGAGGGAGAGCTCTTTGTATAGGTGGCAGGGACAGGACTCCAGCTTGTGCAGAGCTCAGAGGGTTTGGTGTGGGGACAGCTGTGGTGGAGTATGGCCAGGGAGGCCCATACCCAAAGGCTCACCACACTCCTCTAGATGACTCTAGCCTTTGCTGACTGTCAAACCTTGACAGAGCAGGGCACTCTTGCCCATTGGACAGGACCAGTCTGATATGAGCACCTCCCTCTCTGCACCCTCTTCTGGGGTCCCTGCCTGGTTGCATCTGCTTGCAGCCCAGTCTCAGATGCCCACTGGGGTGCTTCCTGGTGGCTGCTGCCATAGGTCTTTTACTACCAGACCTCACCTAACTGTTGGTAAGATCCAGCAGATGTGTACCAGCCAATGCCTACCCATGCACCCACAGCCTCCTCCCACTGCAGCCTGTCTGCAGGCTTCCCTGACACGCACCCACGGCCTCACCACCTGGCTGGCACTTGCATGTGTGAACATTTGTCACCACCCTGCCCTGATCAGTGCACATGTGTACGAGTGCAGAGCCCTCTGCCACCACCTGATGAAGTGCTTTGGCCGGTATCCTCCATTACAGTGTTATTGCCAACACTCTGGAAACACCTCAGCACCTCCAGTACTGTAGCAGGTGCTTAACCTTGAGGGGCCAGAAAGCAAAGCCGTGGGCCTGGTACTAGCCACCCAGGGTTATAGAATGCAGCCAGGGTGCTTAACTGAGCCCTTGCTCCCTGAATTCTTCCAGAAGCAAAGCCAGTCAAATGAACCTGAAACTGCCTTTGCAAAATTATAACTGAGGAAATTATGACAGCGAAAGAAATCAGACCCCACTGACTCTATCTTGTTTCTAACCCTTAAGCTGTCCTTGTTGATTCCCGGGCATAGGCCAAACTAACTTTGGGAAGGAATTCAGTTCATGGTTTGACTCTGAAACAAAATTGATAATAGCCCTTTCCCAAAAAGACTCCCTTCTTGCCTGGGGTCCAGTCTGCCTTTACAGGACTCACAAATTAGCTACAAGATTAAAAATTACAATTTAGGGGTCATGCAGCCTCTGGCTCCAAGAGTCTGAACCCCCAAGTTGCTCCTGGGGATAACATCGCTATTGTAAGACCTAAGATCAGTGCTTGAGATATTTTGCAGACCCTGCACTCGATGAATCAGCTGACATCACCCAGAGCAGTAATCTGGCCCAACCAGTTCTGCCATCACACCCACCCGGGAATAGAAGACATTAACAAAACCTAACTTCGACCCCCTGTGATTCCATCTCCAACCTGACCAATCAGCACTCCCCACTTCTCAAGTCCCTACCTGCCAAATTAGCTTTAAAAACTCTGATCCCCGAATGCTCAGGGAGACTGATTTGAGTAATAATAAGACTGGTGTCCCACACAGCTGACTCTGCATGAATCACTCTTTCACCATTGCAATTCCGCTGTCTTGATAAATGGGCTCTGTCTGGGCAGCAGGCAAGGTGAACGCACTGGGTGGTTACAAATTTGGCGTGTCAGCCGGGAAAGCTCTTGTGGCTACCTGCCTGTTGTTCGGTGGCCCCCGACTCCAGCGATGGATCCAGAAGCCAGCCCAAGTGGCTGCCTAGTTCTCTTGGACTGGGGGCTGGCTCTGGTACTCTCTCTACTGGCTGGGCACTGCTAACTCAATGCCCATGGATTTAATTGCAATGGAGAAATAATCGTGGGGAGACATCCCCTAACTATAGCCCTATCATAGAGTGTCTGCCTGTAGCCCTATTGTGGGGTATCTGTCTGTCTGTAGCCCCATTGCCAGGTGTCTGGATTGATGAGTATCCTAGCCACTGCCAACGCCTCCTTCCTTCTCCTGACCGGTTCTGTAGCCCTGTGGTGGGGTGTCTGTAGCTCCGTTGCGGGGTGTCTGTTTGTAGCTCCACCATGAGGTATCTGTGTCTGTAATCCCACTGTGGGTTGTCTGGCTCCTGGGCGGTCTCAGTTGGCTCTTTCTAACTAGTAGAAAGAGTCTTGGTTTCAGAGACTTCTCAATCAGGAACACTTCGAGGAGGTTTCTTAAGTGGAGAATAGGAGGATAGTTTGGAAGGGATACTCTTGGAGTTCTTGGTTAGGGATCATTTGATTTGGAAGGCCTTCTGTCTCATCTTTGTGTGTGTTTGCACATGTGGAGGGGTCTGAGAAGGAATTGCTGAAGTCCAGCAGGCCTAACTCAGAGAACCCTCCTTCCCTCCTTGTTTGTCTGGTTACATTCAGTGAGCCCTGAAGAAAGCTCAAAGGCCTATCTCGGGATGACTGCTCTTCGCCTTGCCCAGAGACCCCATTGTGAATTACCATTCCAAGGTTGTCTCTCCCCACCTTGAGTGGATCAAAGACAATGGGGACCAACGGGAAAAAGTTTGAGCTTTGCCAGGCTGATACTGCATGCTGAATGAGGTGACTAGTGTCTGTTTTGTTATGTGTATTTTGCTGGGATGGAAAATATTAATTCGGTTCCCCAGGCAGCCCATTGGGCAACATCTTGCAAATTAAGAATCTTGCCTGTGGTTCCATAAAACAAAAAAAGGGTGATTTTTCTCTCGTAAAGTGGCTTGAACCCCACAGCTGTGGCACAAGCGATCAGGGTCATCAGAAGCCACTCCGTTCTTCTGGAAGCTGCAGAGAAAAGAGAACTGGAAACCTGGTATGCCAGCAAAAAGGGTAAGAAATTCTTACCAGCTGAGTTTCTGGTCTTTCTCTCTCTTACTCCATCTGTGTGAAGAGTAAACGTCACTATTCATCTCTCTGCAAGGGTTTGATTAATAGAAAAAAGGATTTGTGATACTAGTCTCAGGCTGTAGCAAATCTGGTGTATTTTGTGCTAGGAATTTGTCTTTCTGTGTTCTGTAATGGAGAGAGGGGTGTCACAGGATAGAACATGGGTTTAGGACCCCTATAAGCCTGCGTTTCAAGCCAGCTTAGCAGGCTGGTCAGTTATAAACTTTGCTAGGAGTCTCTGAAATCAGTACTGTATGAAATTTCTCTGTCTTGTTTGTGTCCTTAAGAGCTTAAACTTGTGACCATGTGGGGATACTTTCTCTTGGTTTCCACCATCCAGAGGACAGGAATTTTCAGATTCATGTCATACTTAGCCCTAAAAAATATCTTGAGCAGTTAAAAGCCTTTTCAAGCTTGAAATTGGCTTCTCTAGGCTCCTTCTGGGAAAAGCAATAGAAACTGCTCAATGCTCTAACTCAGTAGCTAAGGCTTTGCCCTTTGACAATAGTGGCCTGGGTTCTATTCTTGGCTTCCAGAATAATTCCTTTCTGGTTTGTTATTTGCATAACTTTGCCATTTATTGAGGTTCCCCACCCCGCAATGGATAGCTTCTGATTTCCTCCTTTGAACTGTCCTTTCTCTGAACTACCTTGGGGAAATTCTAAATCTTGTAAAAAGAAACTGTTTACCATGTTTTTGAAGCACCTGGGACATTACCGTTGGTAAAGTTCAAAAGCCAGAAATATTTGCAGCGTGGCTAAATTTGGCTAATAAGAAATTTAAAAGGTTTTTTAAAGAGCACTATGGTTAAAAGTCAGCTTAATTAAAAGTGAATAAACAAGCTATGGATACATTTAAAAGACCTTTATGTTTTTCTCTTCTTGGATCTTGTTTTTCTAAAAACGGTTTTTTTCTTCTCAGTCGACTGAATTATTTTTCTCCATTTTTCATCTTGCCACTCTTAATGCACATATGAGAGGCCCTAAGATCACTTCTGGTAGCCTGGGATTTCTTGAGAAAAACAGAGGAGGCGTGACAGACCCAGTTTGGGAAAAAAAACAAAAAAACACAAAACAAACAAACAAACAAAACCATCTGTTTTATTCATGAAACCCCAGGAATTAAAAGTGGATAGATCCTTTTCAAAATCAAAGACTCTGTTCCGTTTTGCATTGTGTTATCTGATGGTTTGAGTTTTGGGGGTATCAGAAATTACTTGGCATCATGACAGCACTTTGGTGTGTAATAACTAGGTAGGAAATATACTTTAAGGGATGGCTAAAAGTATTTTTGGAGGGATACTTGACTCTTTGCACACTTGGATCAGAGAAGCATGCTCTTGGCCACCTGGAAGATATGGAAACATCCCCACCCCCACTGAGAGATGAGATTCCCATGGGGGATGGGCTGATTACAAAATGGACTGATTGGCTTTGGGTTACCTTGCAATAAAATGTGGGTTAGAATTGTGGCAGGCCAATTCTCCCTGACAATCATGCAAACAGGCCTGCATGACAGTCACACAGACAGGCCTGCATAGCACTCCAGTTACACAGACAGATTTCCACAGCACTGCCTTAACATTGAGCAAATGGTTAAACTGAGGGAAATCAGTGGCCAGACATCAGAGCTAGAAATGAAACATATGGTCAGCAGGAGCCTTGCATAGGCTTCTCCCTAACCTGGAGCAAACAAAATAGTAGAGACAGTCTTACATTCCTAGTTCCAGGACACATTTCAGGTCGACAGAATCTGAGACAAGTCAAGGTAACAGAGGCAGCTGTTTGAATAGATTCGTTGGAGAGTCTAAGGCAGCTCTCCCCACCAAGCCGTAAAGGAGATGAGGTAGAGATAATCACTCCGGTACCACAGTAGACAGGCCTTGAAGGTACTGGGGCCCTTTTAATCAGACTTAGCAAGCACTTTTTGCCTCTGACCTTGCAGTTGAAACAAAATTAGTTACCAATAGACTTAGGCAAATGCTATATTGCATGTAGACACATAACACCAACCTATATGAGCACTAAGAAAATTATAACACTTTGAGTTGGTCTGGTGGAATTATCTCCAGCCTTCTCCCTGTATCTGGTTACAGCAATAAATTCCCTTCTTTCTTAGTTTGTCTGCTTCTCGTTATTGGGTCTCAAGAAAATGCAGCCGGACCTGGCTTGGTTCCAGGAACAGAAGTGCTGCACTCTCTTCTCCCATAGTATTTCCCTCCTTTTGGGGATCCAGGATCCAATATAAAATGGCATCCTCAATTTTGGGGATCTGTCTTTGCCTTCAGCTCTGCATGCTTATTTGACCTCCCAAAAGGAACGCATGCTTTCCTGCCCCTGTTCCTCCAAGGGTTCTACCCTGAAGCCAGTAATGCAATTAAAAACCTGGCAAATCAAAAATCTTACAGGTGCTGAATTTTCTCTCTGTCTGTGTATTTATATATGTTATGTGTTGTATGTTTATATAAAAAGCTCTGATTAATTGGCTTAGAAAAATAAGTGCTTAAATCAAACATTTTGCCAGAAAAAATAGAAACTTTAATGCCTTTAGTTCACATGACATCAGTAATCTTTTAGAAATAAAGATAGCTTTAAAGATTATTGGTAAAATAAAATATCTTGAAAATGTAGATATTTGGTCTAAATTAAGGTCAGATATCAGATTTGCTAAATGCTTTAAGGTCAAACTGTTTTGTTGACTTTTGGATATTGCTCAATTTACCTGCTGAAAAAAGTCAGACCTTATCTTCATTTCTGTCTAATGTCCTAGGCTCCACCCCTAGTATATAATTAAAATTGCTTACTGTTCAGGTTTTTCACTAAAAATAGCAGTTGCTAAGAGCTAACAGTGTAACATGTAATTAAGACCACTGGAGAAACAGTTTTACATACAATGTGTGTAGGGAATGTGTTTTTGGTAAAAGATTATCAGAAGGCATGGGAATATGGCTTTCGTTAAAGGAAATGTAATTTTGTCTAGTTCAGAGGGTTTTAAAAATTGTCTTAATCTAAAAGAGTAATGGGACAAAACTGAAGGTTTAAGCAAAGTGAGAAGGGTTTGTAAAGGGTTGATCTTGTAAAGATTCTGTGGGTATAAAAAAGTTGTCTAAGATTTGAAATAAATTACTTAGCTTTTTTTCCATAGATTAAAATATTAAAATCATACTCATGTGGGGCCAAAATCTGGGCCCATGTGTCCGAACGACAGGGTTTTCTTAGAAAATTAATCTGCTGCTTGATGGAAAAATTGTAAAGGTTTCTAAAAAGTTTATAAAAGTCTTACCTTGTGGTCAAACTAATTAAAACTGGGTACATTTATAATTTTTTTTAAACCAGACTTAGCATGAAACATGCACTAATGCAAACATGAAATTTGGTTTTGTCTTTTGAAGATATTTTTATGTAATATTAAAAAATAATAGAAAGTTTTTGTTTGCCCCTTTGGGTAAATGGCAGGAAAAAAAGGGGGAGGAGAGAGAAGAGGCAAATTCGGTTAGCCTCATACTGTCTTTATTGGGTCTTGTTTGGAAAGCTAAGTGCTCTATCAGAGTAAAGGTTTTCTTTTTTTTTAATTTTAGAGTTATCATTTTGGCCAAATGAATGACTTATGGTGACCTGGGATTTTATTTTGTGATATCCAGTGTTTTAAACCTTTGATATTTGACAAACTTTCCAAAATCAAATTGTAAATTATGTCTCTTCCTAACCTAATATTTTAGACATTAGTTCCCCTAAAGTCCAAAAATGGTATTTGGCTTATTTGGCATAGAAGTTATACAGGAAGCATTGTCAAATATGAAATGGTGTTTGGCTTTCTTTGGGCTAGATGGTATATGTTGCAAAATTATTTAAAACTCATAATTCTAATATGACTTAGTATATGTTATCAAAAATAATTATAATTATTATGTTAAATGACTGTGTGCTATAGAGGTAACACATTTCTTTGTCAATTGTGTCTTTAACTGCAGCTACCCTAAGATGCTTTTGTCATCCACAGACAATTGTTGTATAATTTTGGTCCTCTTTAATAGATGGTTTTGTAATCAGCTATAAAATTAAACAGGTGCTCTTAAATGCAAGTGTCTGATTAATAACTCTGGAGATTGTGACATTAGAATAGAGGAAAAACTTTCAAATAGAAGAGTGAATGGTGTTTGGTTTCTTTGGGCTGTATTTGTATTAATATGTTATGAACATGTGTTCCAGAAATTATGGGAAACTTCTATAATTCTGATATGATTTAGTGTGCATTATTAATAATTATAATTGTTATGTAAAATTGTTGTATGCCACAGAAATAGCCAAAATTCCTAGTCAATTGCAGCTTTAATAGTGGCTATACACTTCTGTCATCCACAGACATTTTGTCTTGCTTTTGGTTCTTTTCAAAAGGCAGTTTATAATCAGATATAAGATTCTGAGTGCAGGTCTCAGATAACTTTAAAAATTGTGCTATTGGAATAGAGGGAAAAACGAAACTTCTAGGACTCTCATGGAAAGCTGATGTGTTAAACATTGCTAATCATTTTATCTTCAGAGTCAAGACAATTTATTTCTTTACAGCTATTTGCAACTTTTAACACATGAGTAAAATATACTCCTGTGAAAAAATTTTGGAGCACATTTGTTTCTCTCTACCTGATTTCTCCAGAATTTGGAAAACATTTGTAAGTATTCTCAATTTATGGCAGTATAGTTAATTGCATAAGGGCAGTAAAAATCTGTTTTCTTTTGACCAGGGCACAATTGGAAAAATTGGTTATTTTACCAAGGCTTTGACTGGAATGGCATGCTTCCTTTGAAGAATCAAAGTTGACTTATAGAGGCAATAAAAGCCCCTTGGAGACTCTGGCCCCATACCTTGTCTACACAGAGTCCCTATACAAGGTTCCTGACCTGTGGTAAGTAAATAATGTCACTTTCTAACAGGTTCAGGAGCTCCAAGTTATCTTGGGACCTTGAGAGGAGAGGAATTTACCCAACTTATAGGTATTTGAGGGGACGAACCCGTGGCTGGGCTCGACTTTTAAAAAGTCTTCTCTGAGATTCCTCATGGAACAAAGTTCCATCAAAGCCAATTTAAACAGCAAAAAAAAGAGCCTAAGTGAAAAATAAGTATTCTTGCTATACTTTATGCAAATAATCAGGCAAGTACAGTAAAACTAAAGTTTATTTTTGTAAACAAATCAGTTCTATCATGATTTGTTCTTTATACAAATGGGGTCTAAAGAGAGAAAAAATATGCTTCAAAAGAAAACCTATAATACACCTCTTCTTAGCCATCCTTAAGTTTTGTCTACAGTTTGGACTAAATCCTAAATTATTTGTGGGTTAAAAGTCCCCAAACGAATTCTCTCCAATCTTTGCTTTTAAAGTTCAGAATTGTACCCCTCATCCTAGGACTTATTATTTATCTTATAGTAGGTGATTCACTTAAATATTGTAGTAAATCTACAGATGAGAATACTAATACTTTTGCCATGCAAGCCTTGGAAGCACAGCCAGGCCTGCATGAGTACACTCAGACAGTTGCAAAGCAGTTCCACTCTTCCCACCTTGGAGTTCACTTCCATTCCCATTACGTCCCATGTCAGCAGGAAGAAGCGAGAGCGATCGATAGGCTTTTCTCATCTTTGTAGCCTACACTTTAAGATTAAGGTATAGATTAAGGTGTAGATTAAGATTAAGATTATAAAACCCAAAGGGATGGTTTGAAACTGTCTTTGCAAAATTATAACTGAGGAAATTATGACAGTGAAAGAAATCAAACCTAACCGACTCTATCTTGCTTCTAACACTTAAGCTGTCCTTGTTCATTTCTGGGCACAGGCTGAACTAACTTTGGGAAGGAATTTAGTTCATGGTTTGACTCTGAAACAAAATTGATAATAGCCCTTTCCCAAAAAGACTCCCTTCTTGCCTGGGGTCCAGTCTGCCTTTGCAGGGCTAACAAATTAGCTATAAGATCAGAAATTACAATTTAGGGGTAATGCAGCCTCTGGCTCCAAGAATCTGAACCTCCCCAAATTGCTCTGGGGGATAACGTCACTATTGTAAAACCTAAGATCAGTGCTTGAGATATTCTGCAGACCCTGCACTCAGTGGATCAGCTGACATCACCCAGAGCAGTAATATGGCCCAACCAGTTCTGCCATAGCACCCACCCAGGAACAGAAGACATTAAGAAAACATAACTTTGACCCCCTATGACTCCACCTTCAACCTGACCAGTCATCACTCCCCACTTCCCAAACCACTACCAACCAAATTATCTTTAAAAACTCTGATCCCCGAATGCTCTGGGAGACTGATTTAAGTAATAATAAAACTCCAGTCTCCCACACAGCCAGCTCTGTGTGAATTACTCTTTCACCATTGCAATTCCCTTGTCTTGATAAATGGGCTCTGTCTAGGCAGTAGGCAAAGTGAACCCACTGGGCAGTTACAAACCCACCTAATATCACGGTGAAATCCTCAAGGGCATCAAAGAGCATAAAAGCAAAAAACTCCAAAGGATAGGAACTTCAAAGATTAAAGAAATATCAACTCACACAGATGAGAAAGAACCAATGCAAGAATCTAATAACTCAAAAAGCCATAGTGTCTTCTTACCACCAAATGACCACACTAGTTTCCCACCAATGGTTCATAACCAGGTTGAAATGACTAAGTGACAGAAATGACAGACATAGAATTCAGAATCTGGATAAAAATGAAGATCATTGAAACTCAGGAGAATGTCATAACCCAATCCAAGGAATCTCAGGAATCCAATAAAACAATACAACAGCTGAACATTGAAATAGCCATTTTAAGAAAGAACCACACTGATAGATACAGCTGGAAAACTTACTAAAAGAATTTCATAATAATCAGAAGTATTAATAGCAGAATAGGCCAAGCTATGGAAAGAATTCCACAACTCGAATACGGGTTCTTTAAATCAACTTAGACAAAAATAAAAATGAATGAAACCTCTAAGAAATATGCGATTATATAAAGAGACCAAACCTATGACACATTGGCATTCCTGAAAGAAAAGGAGAGAGAACAAGCAACTTGGAAAACATATTACAGGATGTTGTTCACAAGAATTTTCCCAACCTCATTAGAGAGATGAACATTCAAATTCAGGAAATGCAGATAACCCCTGTGTGATATTATAAAAGATAACCATCTCCAAGACACAGTCATCAGATTTTCCAAGATCAATGTAAAAGAAAAAAAATATTAAAGGCAGCTAACAAGAAGGGGCAAATCACCTACAAGGGAACCTCATCAGATTAGCAGCAAAGCTTTCTGCAAAAAACCTATAAGCCAGAAGACAATGAGGTCCTCTATTCAGTATTCTTAAAGAAGAGAAATTCCAACCAAGAATTTCATATCCAGCCAAACTAAGCTTCATAAGCAAATAAGAAATAAGATCTTTTTCAGACAAGTAAATGCTAAGGGAAACTGTTACCACCAGACCTGCCTTACAAGAGATCATTAAGGGAGTGTTAAACATGGAAACAAAAGACCATTACCAGCTACCACAAAAACATATTTAAGTAAAAAGATCATTAACACTATAAAGCAACTACACAATCAAGTCTGCATAGCAACCAGCTAACAACATGATAATAGGATCAGAGCTACACATATCACTATAAACCATGAATGTCAATGGGCTAAATGCCCCTACTTAAAAGGCACAGAGTAGCAAGTTGGATAAAGGTGCAAGATCCAACTGTAAGCTGTCTTCAAGAGACCCATCTCACATTCAATGACACCAATATCCTTAAAGTAAAGGGATGAAGAAAAGAGTCTACCAAGTAAACAGAAAACAAAACAAAAACACGAGAGTTTCCGTTTCTAATTACAGACAAACTTTAAACCAGTAAAGATCAGAAAAGACAAAGAAAGGCATTATATAATGATATAGGGCTCAATTCAAAAAGAAAACCTATTATAGGGCTCAATTCAAAAAGAAAACCTAACTATCCTAAATATATATGCACCCAACACTGGAGCACCCTGATATATAAAACAAATTCTTAGAGACCTATGAAGAGACTTAGATAACCACACAGTAAAAGTGGGGCACTTCAACACCCCACTGACAGTAGTAGACAAAGGCAGAAAATTCACAAAGATATTTGGGAGCTAAACTCAACACTTGACCAAATGAACATAACAGACATTTAAAAAACACTCCATCTAGCAACAGAATATACATTCTTCCCATTCCCATCTGCACATGGCATATACACTAAAATCAACCACATGATCAGCCATAAAACCATTCTCAACAAATTCAAAAAAATCGAAATCATACCAACCACACTCTTGGACCATAGCACAATGAAAATGGAAATCAATACTAAGAAGATCACTCAAAACTATACAATTACGTGCAAATTAAACAACGTGTTTCTGAATGACTTTTGGGTAAACAATGAAATTAAGGCAGAAATCAAGAAATTCTTTGAAACTCATAAAAACAAAGACACAACATACCAGAATCTCTGGGACACAGCTAAAGCAACGTTAAAAGGAAAGTTTATAGCACCAAATGACCACATCAAAAAGTTATAAAGATCTCAAATTAACAACTTAACATCACCTAGAGGAACCAGAAAAACAAGAGCAAACCAACTCCAAAGCTAGCAGAAGAAAAGAAATAATCAAAATCAGTGCTGAACTGAATGAAACTGAGACATATAAAACCATACAAAAGATCAACAAAAGTTGGTTCCTTGAAACAGTACATAAGACTGATAGACTGCTAGACAGACTAATAAAGAAAAAGAGAAGATCCAAATAAACACAATCAGAAATGACAAAGGGAACATTACCAATGACCCCACAAAAATACAAAAAAAATACCCCTCAGAGACTATTATGAACACCTCTATGCACACAAACTAGAAAATCTAGATGAAATGAATAAATTCCTGGAAACATACAACCTCCCAAGATTGAAACAGGAAGAAATAGAAACCCTGAATAGATCAATAATGGGTTTCAAGATTGAATCAGTAATAAAAAGCCTACCAACCATAAAAATCACTGGACCAGATGAATTCACAGCTGAATTCTGCCATGCATATAAAGAAGAGCTGATACGAATCCTACTGAAACTATTACAAAAATTGAGGAGGAGGGACTTCTCCCCAATTCATTCTATGAGGCCAGCATCATTCCGATATCAGAACATGGCAGACACACACACACACAAAGAAAACTTTAGGCCAATATCCCTAATGAACACATATGCAAAAATCCTCAACAAAATACTAGCAAACCAAATCCAGCAGCACATCAAAAAGCTAATCTGCCATGATCAATTAAGCTTTAATCCTGAGATGAAAGGTTGGTTCAGTATACACAAATCAATAAATGTGATTCACCACATAAACAGAACTAAAAACAGAAACCATATGATCATCTCAATAGACACAGAAAAGGCTTTTGATAAAATTCAACATCCCTTCATGTTAAAAAAAAAAAAAACCTCAGCAAACTAGATACTGAAGGAACATAACTCAAAATAATAAGAGGCATGTGTAACAAACCCACAACCAACATCATACTGAATGGGCAAAAGCAGGAAGCATTCCCCTTGAAAACCGGAACAAGACAAGGATAACCTCTCTTACCACTCCTGTTCAACATAGTACTGCAAGTCCTAGCCAGAGCAATTGGGCAAGAAAAAGAAATTAAAGGCATCCACCTGGGAGGAGAGGAAGTCAAACTATCTCTGTTGCACACAATATAATTTTGTATCTAGAAAACCCCATAGTCTCAGCCCAAAGCTCATATGTCTCATAAACAACTTCAGCAAAGTTTCAGGATAAAAAATCAATGTACAAAAATCAATAGCATTTTTGTATACCCACATGCAAGCTGACAGCCAAATTAAGAATGCAATCCCCACAATAGCCACACAAAAAAATAACAAAACACCTAGGAATATAGCTAGCCAGGGAGGTGAATTCTACAATAAGAATTATGAAACACTGCTGAAAAAAATCACAGATGACACAAACAAATGGAAAAAACATGTCATGCCCGTGGACAGGAATAATCAATATTGTTAAAATGGCCATACTCCTCAACAATTTACAGATTCACTGTTATTTCTATCAAACTACCAGTGACGTTTTTTCACAGAATTAAAAAAAACTATTCTAAAATTCATTTGAAACCACAAAAGAGTCTGAATAGGCAAAGCAATCCTAAACAAAATGAACAAAGCCAGAGGCATCACATTACCCAACTTCGAACTATATTATGAGGCTACAGTAACCAAAACAGTATGGTACTAGTACAAAAACAAACACATAGACCAATGGAACAGAATAAAAAGCCCAGAAATAAAGTCACATACCTACAACCATCTGATCTTTGATAAACTTGACAAAAACGATCAATGGGGAGAGGACTCCCTATTCAATAAATGGTGCTGGGATAACTGGCTAGCCATATGCAGAAGATTAGAACTGGACCCCTTCCTTTCAACATATAGAAAAATCAACTCAAGATGGATTAAGACTTAAATGTAAAACCCCAAATTTTAAAAACCCTAGAAGAAAACCTGGAAAATATCATTCTGGAGATAGGCCCTAGTGAAGATTTCATGATAGGTGCCAAAAGAAATTGCAACTAAAACCAAAATTGACAAATTGGATCTAATTAAACTAAAGAGCTTCTGCACAGCAAAAGAAACTAGCAACAGAGTAAACAGAGAACCTACAGAATGGGAGAAAATATTCACAAACTGTGCATCTGACAAAGGTCTAATATCAGGAATCTACAAGGAACTTACACAAATTAACAAGCAAAAAACAAACAACTCCATTAAAAAATGATCATAGGACATCAAAGGATGCTTTTCAAAAGAAAACATACATGCAGTCAACAAACATATGAAAAAAGCTTAATATCACTGATTATTAGAGAATGCAAATCAAAACCACAATGAGATACCATCTCACATCAGTCAGAATGGCTATTATTAAAAAGTCAAAAAATAACAGGTGCTGGCAAGTTGTGGAGAAACAATTATACACTGCTGGTGGGAATATAAATTAGTTCAGCCACTGTGGAAAGCGGTTTGGAGATTTCTCAAATAACTTAGAACTACTATTCAACCCAGCAATCCCATTACTGGGTATATACCCAAAGGAATATAGTTTTACCATAAAAACACATTCACATATATGTTCATTGAAGCAATATTCACAATAGCAAAGACATGGAATCAACCTAAATGCTCATCAATGGTGGACTGAATAAAGAAAATATGTTACACATATGTCATGGAATACCATGCAGCCATGAAAAAGAACTAGATCATGTTCTTGGAAGCAACATGGATGCAGCTGCAGGCCATTATCCTAAGTGAATTAATGCAGGACCGGAAAACCAAATATCGCATGTTCTCACTTATAATTGGGAGCTAATTATTTAGTATACGTGGACACAAAGCAGGGAACAATAAACACCAGGGCCTGCAAAGTAGCAAACAATAAATGGCAGGGTGGAGGGTTGGAGGTGGGTGAGGAATGAAAAGCTATCCATCAGATAGTGGATTACCTGGCTGATGAAATAACCTGTTAATACCTGGGTGATGAAATAATCTGTACATCAAGCCCCCATGACTCTCAATTTACCCATGTAACAAACCTCCACATGTACCCCCTGAACCTAAACCTAAAATAAAAGAAAAATGAAAGAAAGAGTCAGAGAAGAGAAATGGAGGGATAATGGGTGACAAGGGGGAGTGGCAAATAGCCAACATTTCTACACATTGCTGTTCACGGTAGCCAAAGTTGGAGATGTCTATCACTACTTCCCCCAGGGTTAAATAAAACGTGCCAATATACTATTTTGCCCATAGATTTTTAAAATTCAAGTTGTTTATTTCTGACTGTGGAATAAAATAATTTATTCCTTCTTAAAATTTTTTAGTCATCAGAAAGCATGAGAACATTATGGTAAGACCCTTTCCAGTACCCCTAAAATCACTTTTACCTTTACACAATTAGGGCAGTCCACACCTGACAGGAAAAATGAAATCTGTTGGTCATAGCTTCCACATATCTGTAACCCATATCCTAGTCAAAAGCAGAATTCAATAAAATCTTAACAAATTTAACCAAATGTCATAATACATCATGGCCAAGTGGACTTTATTCCACATATGCAAATATGTTCAATATTCAAAAATCAACCAACATAATTTATCGAAACAACTGACTAAAGAAGAAAAATTACATAATCATATCAATTGACACAGAAAAGAGCATTAAACGACATTTAACTTCTATATATGATAAAAACTCTCAGTATACTAGAAATAAAGGGCAACTATTCCAACCTTATAAAGAGTATCTACAAATAATCTACAGCAAAAATCATGCTTAATGGTTAAAGGTTGAATCCTTTCCCTCTAAGATCAGAAACAAGGCAAGGATATCTATTTCCATCACTATTATTTAACATGGTACTATAAATTTTAGCCTTTGCAGTAACAAAGCATGAAAAAGAAACAAAAATAATACAAATTGGGAAATAAATGAATCTATGTCTATGTGCAAATGACATCATGTCTATATACAAAGTTCCAAGAAATCTCCAAAAAACCACCCCCACCAGAGCAGTTTAATAGGGTCACAGAATCTATGATAAATGATTAGTGCACAAAACTCAATGTATTTCTGTATATTGACAAAGAACAAGTGGAAACTAAAATATGTAATACTATTAACAATTTCTTAAAAGAAAATGAAATATTTTGGTATAAATGTAACAAAACATGTATGGGATCTGTAGTGAAAATTATAAAATATTGAGGAAAAAATCAAAGAAAACTTAAATACTTGGTGAGAACATACCATTTTCATGGACTGGAAAACTCCACATAATTAAGATATCAATTTCCCTAAATTTATCTATATGTTTATCATAATTTCCGTCAAAATATCAGCAAGTTTCATGTAGACAATTTAGAATATGACAAGCCTATTCTAAAATTTATATGAAAAGGGAAAGGCCCTAGACCTTTATTTTTCAAAATAATTTGAAAAATAAAAGTGGAGTGGGATAAATTACTCTTCTTGATATTCAGACTTACTATATAGCTGAGGTAATCAACAGAGTATGACACTGACAGAGAGATAGACACAAAGATTAATGGACTAGAATAGGGAATCCAGAAGTCGGCCCACACAAATATATCCAAATTAGTTCTTGACAAAGGAGAAAATGTTCAATGGAGGAAAAATTGCCTTTTCAATAAATGGTGCTGAAGAAACCGGGCATCCGTTGATGATAAAGAAAACCTGACCTATATCTCACACCTTATATAAAGTTAACTTATACAAAAACGAAGCATAAACTTGAATGTAAAATGTGAAATTTTAACATTTACTTGTTTATTTTTAGAAACAGGGTCTTGCTCTCTCACCCAGGTTGGAGTACAGTGGCTTGATCACAGCTCACTGTAACCTCAAACTCCTAGGCTCAAGCCATCCTTCTGCCTCAGCCTCTCGAGTAGCTAGGACTACAGGTATGTGCCACCACTCCCAGCTAAAATGTTTTGTAAAGGTAAGTTCTTGTTGTCTTGCCCAGGCTGGTCTTGAACTCCTGGCCTCAAGTGATTCTCCCACCTTAGTCTCCCAAAGCTGTAGGATACAGGCATGAGCCACTGCAGCTGGCTGAAATTTTAACATTTATAGAAAGAACGTAAGAGAAAGTACGTGGAACCTGGGACTAGTCAAGTTTCTTCTTAGACTCAACACCAAAAGTATAATTTGTAAGAGGAAAAACTGATAAATTAGCCCTCATCAAAATTAAGATCTTTGATCCTCCGAATATCCTGTAAAATGACAGAAGGGACAAGTTACAGACTCAGAGAAAATATTTGCAAGTCACATATCTGGCAAAGGCCTCTGAAAAACAGTTTGCAGTTAAATAAAAAACTAAACGTGATACTATCATATAGCCCAGCATTTGTACTCCTTGATATCTATCACAGAGAGATGAAAACTTATGTTCACACAGAAACCTGCACAGAAATGGTCATATTAGCTCTATTTGTAACAGCAAGAAGGGAGAAAAATCCCAGATGTCTTTTGATGTAACAAACTCTATTATACCATAGAATGTTTCTTAACCATGAAAATAAATGAACTACTGGTACATGCAACAACTTGAATTAATTTCCAGAGAATTATACTGATTTTAAAAATTCAATCTTAATAAGTTCATACTATGCAACATTCTTAAAATAACAAAATAACAGAGATATAGAACAGATCAATGGTTTTTTCAACTGTTGAAGAGGATAAAGGTAGGGGACAGTATGAGGGAAGGAGGTGTGGCTGTAAACAGGCAACACGAGAGGTCTCTGTGGTGATTAAAATGTACTATATATTGGTATATTGGTGTCAATATTGTACTATAGTTTTAGAAGATATTACCATTGGGAAAATTTGATTAAAGTGTATATAGGATCTCTCTTTATTATTGCATATGAATCTATAATAATCTCCAAATTAAAAAGTTAATTAAAAGTAAAAAATCAAATGGTATCTATGTTGCCATGTAATTTACGTAAACACAAAAACACAGAAATTAATACTACCCTATACCTCATGTTACCGAAAATTTTATATATACATACATAGTACACATATAGATAATACATGTATTATGTTATATATACATATCTATCATATATCTGTGTGGGTATATGAAGTGTGTATATATATGAATGTGTGTTTATACATACAGACAGAGATTTTATATATATTTATACACACATGCATATATACACATATTTACATATACATATCATGGTCTGGAAGCCAAAAGTCTTTGCATATGGGATGGGAATTGGTACGGGGAGAAGTGCCATTACCTGAAAATAAATATTTTCAACTTTCTGTCTCCAGCATCCTTAACCTGCACCTCTTGGATGAGCTACCTATAAAGCGTATTTTCAACACTGACTCTCAGAGTTCCCCTGTAGAATTAAGCTCTGGTTGGTCATGCACCCTTTATTAACTGACTTTCCTTTCTTTTCTCAGTTTCCCACTTCGCAACTGTTTCTTCCTGAAATCATCACCTCCCAATCAAACTTCTTGCACTGAAATCCTTATATGAGGGTCTATTTCTGAGAAACCCAAAATAGAGCATTTCTTCTATGAATCTAGGGGTTAAGTCTGGTAGGTTTGGAATAGTCTCTTCTCCTTCTGCTTGTTTCTGCACTTCATGTATCCTTATTAGACCTTGAGATTATGAGCTGTGAGGTCCCGTTCTGTTTCTCCATTTGCTTCGACCTAACAAGTAATGGGTAAAGTACCAGTCTAAGCATTCAGAGTTCTAGTCTAATTCCCCATGCCCATCCCCCTTATTAACTCCCTGAATTTAGCCCGAACAACCTTGTTGGGTCTGTTTTTTTCTTGGTTAAATGTGAATAACATAATCTGTCTTACCATCACTGCAGATTTGTTATGAGGATAAAATACAAAAGTGTTTGAGGAAGAATAAAACATGGTGAAATGTTAAGTCAGAACATTTTTATCTTTATTCAAAGGGAAAATTCACTGAAACTCCACTGCCCTGGTGTGACTGGCTGCAAAAAGGAAAGAGGCTCTGAGTCATCCATTTAACTTTCCCTTCAAGGTTTGTTCTGCAATCTAGCAGCGCCAAATGGCTTTTGTAAGCGGTGTTAGTCTGGTTGTGCTCTATCATGTTAGGAACATCAAGATATTGAATTCCCTGTTCACAAACCCTGCCCCAGCATCATCTTGGATTTAGTCTAAGCCGGCAAAGAAGCTTCAGTTCTGCAAAAAGCAGTCCCATGTTTATTCGATGGCTTTGTGTGAATCTCTAACAAAGCGATCTGAGGTTTAGATATTTCCTCCTTCTTACATTCACTGAGAGATATATATTATTTTCCCTCTCTTTAAATTCAAGGAGAAAATGTTACACAAGGCCAAGAATGCTTATCAGATATCTATTTTTCACGTAGCTTTCTCCTTGCTGTGATTTCATATAGAAATGATGAAGCAAAAGATCTGGCATTTAAATAACTATAACAAAGCTCTCCCTTTTTGGCTGAAATGGCATAAATTCCTTGAAATAAGGAAAAGCTTTAGGAGTAAAGAAATGACAGATGTTTGGTGTGTCAAGTAAGAAATTAGAACTGTAAAGCATCTTCCTACTCTTCCAAATTCTCTGTTTCGACATTTGCTAAGAGGCAGTAGTAAGGATACTCCCAAAGGCTTTTAGATGCTACTCTTTTTTTGCGTTGGTTTTTTTTTCTTCTTCTTTTTTTTTGAGACAAAGTCTTGTTCTGTTGCTTAGGCTGGAGTGCAGTGGTGCCATCATGGCTCACTGCAGCCTCAACCTCCCAGGCTCAAACTATCCTCCCGCCTCAGCCTCCCAAGTTGCTGGAATTAAAGGTGTATGCCACAACACCTGGATAATTACATTATACCCTTATTAAATGGCTCTGTGGTCTTCAACAAGAGACATAACCCTTGTGAGCCTTCATCTGGAAAATCGGAATCATACAGATGATACCTACCTCATGAGTAAAAATGCTTAGTTCCTGGCACATAGTAGGCTTTAAACAAATGCTGACTACTGTGATCATTATCATCATCATCATTATTATAATTAATATTGTTTTTTCAAAAGTAATGTTATGATCATTAGTGTTTTCTTCTTAGAAGATGTGCAGATATTAATTAATACTTTTCCTTTCTTTAAACAGCAGATGATTTCTTTGCTTCCAGTGGTATGGCAGTGCTGGTTCATTTAAGAATCTATCCCACTCCATAGAAAGATAAAATTTCCATAAATATCCTCTGAATCACCAATTATTTCCCTGTAATGCTTGACACTAACAATCAATACCAAGAAAAAATGTCTGTGTATGTTTCACTAACATCATTTTTATTTTCTTAGAATCTGTGTTTAGTACATAAGAGAAGATTCATAATAAAGCAGCCATATATGGTTAAGTACACTAATTTCTTGCCAGTTTTCAGGATTTGAAGTATACTCTTAAAATATATCATTAATAAAACTTACTTTTTAATAGGTTTAAGGGTCACAGAAAAATTGAGCCTAAAGTTTAGAGCATTCACATGACCTATCAGCCCTCCCACCCCTTAATTTCCCCTATTATCAACATCTTGCATTTGTATAGTACACTTGTTACAGTTGATGAGCCAGTATTCATAACTTATTATTAACTAAAGCTTACAGTTTGTATTAGGGTTCACTCTTTGTTTTGTACATTCTGTGGAATTTGACACATGTAAAATTACATGTATCCAGCATTAAAGCATCATACAAAATAGTTTCACTGCCCTAAAGTTCTCCTGTGTTCTACCTATTCATCTCTCTTCTCCTCCCTCTCTCTCCCAAAACCCTGGCAACCACTGATCATTTTACTGTCTCCAAAGTTTGGCCTTGTTCAGAATATCATATAAGTGGATTCACACAGTATGTAGCTTTTTTCTGATTAGCTTTTTCCACATAACAATATGCATTTAAGTTTCCCCATGTCTTTTCATAGCTTGATATCTTGTTTCTTTTTATCACTGAATAATATTCAACTATGTGAATGTACCATAGTTTATCTACACACCTTTATAAAGATATCTGAGTTGCTTCCAAGTTTTGCCAATTATGAGTGTATTAGGCCATTCTTGCATTGCTATAGAGAAATACCTGAGACTGGGTAATTTATAAAGAAAAGAGGATTTATTGGCTCACAGTTCCTTAGGCTTTACAGCAAGCATGGTGCCAGCATCTGTTTAGCTTCTAGTGAAGCCTCAGGGAACTTTCAATCATGTAGCAGGAGAGAGAGAGAGAGAGAGTAGAGGGGAAGGTCTCAAACACTTTTAAATGACCAGGTGCTGTGGGAACTCACTCACTATTATAAAGATACCACCAAGCCATAGGGAATCCGCCCCCATGACCCAAACACCTCCCACCGGCCACCACCATTAGCATTACAATTCAACAGAGATTTGGATAGGGACAAGCATCCAACTATAGTAATGAATAAAGCTGCTATAAACACTCATATGCAGGTTTTTGTGTGGACATAAGTTTACAACCCAATTGGGTAAATAGCTGTGAGTGTGATTGATGGATTACTCTTACATATGGTAAGAGTAAGGTTAGCTTTGGGAGAAACCGCCAAACTGTCTACCAAAGTGGCTGTGCTATTTTTCAGACCCGCCAACAATGAATGAGAGTGGCTATTACTTCACATCCTCATCCAGCATTTTATGTTTAGGATTTTAGCCATTCTAAAGTGATATGTAGTGGTATCTCATCGTTATTTTAATTTGCAATTACCTAATGAGCTATGATGTTGAGCATCTTTTTATATGCTTATTTCCCATCTGTACATCTTCTTTGGTGAGATGTCTGTCCAGACCATGTGTACTTTTAAAATCAACAAAATAATAAAACCATAGTCATGAACCACCTACAAAAAAAGACTATGCTCTGAAAAGTACATTCTCTTTTATAAAAGGGCTCACAGGACAGTTTGCAGGAAAATACTCCAATCAAAGGAAATAGTACAGAAACAAAAGCAAGCCTGTGTGTTCTCACACTAAGGAGTTGAATTTTGCTTAAGAATAGGATGCAAAGGTAATATAAGTAGGAGATGGTGCTTGAAAAGAGGGACAAGGGAAAATCCAAGACACTGAAAAAGTGTGAAGAGTTTATCTTACAGGTAACCAGGAGCCACTAAAGAATTTTGCACAAAGAAAACAATAGAATCATATTTGCGTGTTAAGACTATTCTGATAGCAATGTATCAGATGCATTAAGGGAAGGCAAAGCTAGTTGTACAGAAACTAATAAGGAGTCTATTGAAATAACTTAAATGAGGCCATCAAACGAGAACTCAAGAAGGGACAGAAAGGATGAAGGAGAGGCGGGGTCATTTTTAAGAAGTGTTAAGGAAATAAAATGAACAGGCCATGTTGACTCATTCTAGATGAGGATAGGGTAGAGGAAGAAATACAGAACAACTTCCAGTTTCTGACTTGGGCAATTAATTTAATGACAATGTCCTTTTCTAATATAGTGTGTTTAAAATAGAAGAACATCAGGAAAAGAGAATTAGTTGAGTCTTAAACATGTTGCATTTGGAACATTCAAACAAAGCTATCTAGTAATTTATAAGATATAGCATTCTGGGGCCCAGAAAAAGAAGTTTGAGCTAAAGATAAGATTTGGGGCCATTAGCTCATTGATAGGATTTACTATGTGTTGAGAAAAAGGGGACCTAAGATGAAACCCTGAAAAATACCAACCAGTATTTATGGATAAGGCAGAGTAAGCAGCTTAAGTAGGAAAATAAACATCAGGGAGAGTGATATGTAAGCCAATAAAGAAGAAAGTTTTAAGTGGAGGAAATAATCAGTGTGGCTCTGTAAAACACGCTTCTAGTGAATTTAGTAACTAGAAGGTTGCTGAAAGCCTCAGCAGGGGAATTTACAATAGACTGAGGTGTGAAATGCATTCATTGCTGAATCCCCACCTAGCATAATTATTGGCCCCTTCCTACATGTTCCGTAAATATCTATTGGATTATTGCATGATAAATCTTTTTCTAGGTCACGTCACAGAAAATGAGCAGAGGAAGTGCTGTTCTTTCTCCTCAATGTGATTCTTAGTGATTCTCATTCTCCGATCTGTGAGGTTGCGTGGAAGACTAACAGTCTACTAATTACAATCACACTCACTCAGCTATACCCTCTGTGTTCCATGATTCTACTCAGTTCGTCTTGCCAGGGTTTTTAAACAAAGTTCTTTTATTTAGCAAATAGTATACACTTTAAAATACTTTAAAAATTTTTAATTGTGTTGAAAATCACAAACATAAAATTTACCATCTTAACCATTTGTACGTGCACCGCTGATTGGCATTAAGTTTATTCCTATTATTGTACAATAGATATCCAGAACGTTTTCATCTTGCAAAACTCAAACTCTATACCCATTGAGCAGCAGCTCATTTGACCCTTCACCCAGCCCCTGGCAACCACCATTCTACTTTATGTTTCTATGAGTTTGATACCTCATTTAAGTGGGTTTATACAGTGTTTGTCTTTTTGTGACTAGCTTATTTCATTTAGCATAATGTCCTCAAGATTCATCCATGTTGTAGCCTATAAAATGAACCTACCTGTTTTTAAAACATGGTTTCAGTGTTTTTCTCAAAAAGTTCTAATAATCCAACAACACATATAAATCATATAATTTCCAGGTAAGTAGGAGTTGTGAGGGCTTACCCATCTATTTTGCAAGTTTCCTTAACATGGCAGAAATCATTCTTCTCATTAGAAATTATTTTGTGGTAAGGAACCCACTAACTTTGAGAGTGGATAGCCCATTTTGCAATAAGACCCATCATCAGATGCTACCACAGCTCTACTCTCTGAACTGTTCTGGGGATGCATTGATTGAGATCCTAGCATTTGACAGAAACAAAGCAAATATATAACGTCTGTTTAGAGCCCTTATTTTCCTCAAAATCTTCTGATGTTCTCCAGGTCACCTTTGTCTTTCTGGCAACTAGCTATTTTATTCCTTGTATCATTTAACCATGGTTACTTATTAATCATCCCCCATGAGATGCCTGAAGTAACAATGTTTTGCAAATAGGTTCAGCTCTCTGGTTTTAGGGAATGAAGAGAGGGAGAACTGTAAAAGGGGAGTGTTAGACTTCATCCCCAAAGGCCAGGAACAATGTCAAAAAACTCTGGTATCTCTGCAGTTGATAGTTCCCTCTCACTTGACTAGATTTTAAAATAATTAAGTTCTCAATTTCCAACTTAGTACAATTGCAATCTCCAACAGCATTTCAGAAATAGGAAACCTGAAGCATATCTCTGCACACTTTTATTTGTAGTTTAGTAAACAGAAAGTCTGCAAATGAGAAAGAATAATGCCTAACTTCTTAAATAAGCAGAAGATGGGAATAATCCAGTCATTGTGCTTATACCTGCACTTCTCAGTTCTGCCGCAAGTATTCCAGTAAAAACTGGGTTGATCTGAGCTGAAGTGTTTCTTCCTTTTGGCCAGGTGCAAAAGTCTGGAGTCTACTTCAGAGGACGAATGTGTTTAGTCATTTTTATAAGAGTTGAAAAAAATAAGCACTAAATCTTTCTTTCAAACTTGAACTGATCCTCAAAACAGTTTTAGGAATTTCCAAAGGATCTTTTTGCTTTAGTTTCCAAACTGGTATTTTCACTTGTTTCCATCTTGTTTGCTAGATAACCTGAGTCTTAAATTTAAAAGAAAAATGCTTTGAGGATGATTTTATCAGCTCTCCATATGGAATATGAGAAAAAAAATCCATAATTATTCTGTATCCAGTTTACCTAAAATATTTTTCTAAGTTTTTGGTAGGCAGGTATTCTCCTTTCCACCGTAGAACTCAAGCAGTACAGACTATACCATGGCCTATTGCTAAGATTTACTGAGATCTCCACTTTTGGAAACCCCACAAGTGTAAATTGAGATTAATAAAAATTCCTTGGTATGAAAAATGCTAACAGTTGAATTTCACTCTCCCATCTACTCAGATATTACTTTATACTCCTGGATACCCCTCATAACTGCTCCTGATGCCCAGGCATCCAGGGTTAGGTGAGGAAGCATGACCTGGGTTTTCAACAAACTGCATGAGGCCACTCTGGCCACGAGCAGACTCTCTATCCTCAGGCCCCCAGTAATTTTGAGTTACTTCCTCTCAGCCATCTGACTTATATGTGAGGCACAACTGCACAAAAATAGCAATTCTTGACGCTTTTATAAACACATCTACAGAGAATGTTCCCATTATTGCCTTAATATAGCAATCTGAGATAATCAGGTCTGGAAACATAGCCACGTTTTATAGGTAAGGAAACCAAGCATAAGTGATCTAAAAACTAACAGGAGAGTGAAATTGAAACCAGAACCTTGGTTTTCTGACTGCCCGTTATGGATTCCCCCTCTGGTTTTCTAGGAAAGCCCTATAGTGAAGGCCATATTGCTCTCAATATTTCTTCTTCTTTTCAGTTGCCTTTCTTTATGCCCCTCATCCCTGTCTGTCTTTTCCTCATCCAATCTCCTTGTGACTCTCTGAAAGTCCCTGCCCTGTGACAGTCAGTTCAGACCTACCCTTTCTAGCCATTTTCTGATGCTCTCTGAGCTGCAGATTTTCCTGAGCTTCAGACACCTCTCGTTCTCTCAATGCCTTGCTAGACTGCTGCAAGTTCAATTTATAAGGAGCTGATGGGAGATAATAGTTTACTGCAGTGGTTCTCAATCAGGGCAGTTTTTCTCCCTGGGGGACATTTGGCAGTGTCTGGAGACATTTTATGCTACTGGCACATATTGGGTGGAAGCCAGAGATGCTGGCTGCCATCCTGCAATGCACAGGACAGCCCCCCAAATACTAAGTAGAAATACTTCGTGCCTAATGTCGATAGTGCCTCCAATGTCAAGGTTGAGAAACCTTGGCTTAGAACAATAATCCATCCTACAATGTTTATTACCAGCATTTCCCGAAAGGAGTAACCAATGCCAAGACTTTCTATCATCATGGTGGTTGAAGAAGATAGTAGGTTTCAAACTGGCATGTACGAAAGTGTGGGGTGGGCCCATTAGTCAGGTCACAGAGACAATAGCCTACTTTGAGTGTGTTAACTGATCATTCTTGACACAGTAAAGTCACGTAAACTGCTTTGTGGCAATATAACTAAGACTTGCTGTGAGAGGAAGGCAGAAAAGAGAACGTGAGCACAGAGTTCTTCTCAGAATCACTGAAGGTTTGGTATGAGTATGCCCCACAATGGGACTCCTGCTTCGAGACGTGAGCTCGGAGCAAATGTGTCCCAAGCAATAACATAAGATCATTATGTGTGGAAAACAGACTTAAGAATAAAATACACTAAATATTTTTGATGTAGTATCCCATGGTGGGTAACACATGTCAGAGATGTGAGTGCAAATGTGAGACGCCTGATCTGCTCTATCTAGTTCAATTGGAGTCGTGGACCTTCTAATTCCATTCCTTCTGTCAAAAACATTTTTACATTCATTCTGGGATGTGTGTCATGTAAATTTTTAACCAGTAGAGCAAATTTTCATTTTATCTCAAGGACAAAGAACAATTTGCTCTCAGCTACAAACTTCCTTCCTTCCATCTGTAACATCATCAATTCTGTTCTTGGTTCCTCCTCTTCAATCATGTGGGACCCACTCAAAGAACAAAGAAGTCCTTTGACCCTTTGTCCTCCCAACCACTTCCATGTTCATGACATATATTTGTGATATTTTGAGTGAGTTATAATCACTTAATTCTAACATGTTTTTTGAAAGAACATTTTCCTTAGACTTCTTACTTTCCAACTCCAATTCTCTCAACCTAAAGAAATCCTTTCTGTCCCACTTAGCTGAATCCAAGCACCCCTCTTCATTTACTTTCTGGTCCCTTGTTTTTCACTGGACACTTTTCTACACTCCACTTGGGCACTTTCCAGCTGCTGAGGCACTATATTTTTATCTTTTCTCTCTTACTGCTTTTTTATGTTAACAAGAACATTACGTGTACTTACATCACTTCTTTTCCTTCCTTTTAGTACTGCAGGACCAGAACTATATGAAGTTCTGAGGACATAATAGCAGTTACAATCTTGTTCATCTACTGAGATAAATGGGCCTGAGCTCTCCTAGCATTTCTTCTTTCCATAATCAATTGTGATTTTTTCCATAATCAATTGTGGTAAAGCTCTCTCTTTCTGTCTCTCTGTCTCTCTGTCTCTCGCTCTCTCTCTCTCTCTCTCTCTGTGTGTGTGTGTGTGTGTGTGTGTGTGTGTGTGTGTCTGTGTGTGTCTGTGTTTATGACTATCAGAGGAAGAGAGACAGCTGGAAATTATTTTCAAGTATTTAAAGGTGATAGAAGTTCTTTTTCTTAGATAACATGCTATCCGGACCAGTAGTTATATATGAAACATATAACTAGTGTAGTATATAAAACATAAAACAATTTCCCCTTGGTCTTTCATTCAAAGTCCAAAACTTAAAGATCACGCTGAGAAAAGAGGGGTTCGGTGCTATATTAGCTGTAACTTAGTCTTGGGGTCTCTTCCAATGGTTGGCCTTGTTTTCCTTTGGCAAGGAAAAATTTATTGTTATGCTTGGAAAATATTTTGCTGTTAGCAGAAGAATAGTCGATATTTCAAAGAAAGATAAAGGGAGTAGAGAGAACTATGTGACAGGACATTTTTCTTGATTGTTTTCAAAATGGAAGGTTGAGGGAGGGGTATTCAAGAAAAATAAAGTACAATTTTGACCTCCACAAAGCAGAAGCTACATCTATTTTACCTTCCCACAGATCCCAGTAAAATATTCTAGACCTGGTGAGTGTGAAATAAGTATTGTGACCTGTTTTGTCCTGAAAGTCTAATTAACATAATCAAATAAGAACTTCATGTGAAAGTATGCAAGTTGCCTTTGTAATAAATTACTATTTAGAGATTAGATGAGTCTACCTAGTAGAAATGTACACAGTGGCTTTAAACCTTTCAGAGTACTGCCCCTAGTGAACATTTGTTAAAAAGACAGCATGGCCTGAGCACTCTAAAGCACAAGCCAATGTCAGGGCCAGAGCCTGTGGGCTAGGCTAGTGGTGATGGTGGTGTTCTTCATGTGTGGCCAAGAACAGGAGAGGCAAGAGATCTACCAAGGAGCCTATAACAGAAGACCAGAGACCTGAACTACAGAAACCAAAACTGGGTGTGGAATAACTATTTAGCAGAAGTTTCTCTGATGCTGTACTAGATTTTTGTGGACTTAGCCAGGCCCAGACCTAAGCTATGGCAAATTCCAATGATGACCCAGGTCCTCTAGTTTGGAAGCCAGGGACTAAGATAAGTGACTGAGAGGCACTGAGCAAGAAGCTGACCTAACATCTGGTGGTAAAAAACCAACCAACCAACCTGACGGTCAGATCCTACCCAGCTGGGTTGGATGGCTACTTAGAAATTTTCTACCTTCCACACATCATCTTATTCTTCTAAGTAGCAATTTCTCATTTCCTTTGAACTTTTATGATTATCCTGCCTACAAATCAAAATTGTTGTGGGAAAAGAGAGGGCCAGAGTGTGGGATCTGTGCCATGTGAGGGCAAAGCTAGGCCTGGTCCAGGAACTGGCAGGCTCAACACCACACTTTGCCACAGCTAGGATGAAGGTCTGCTGAATCACAGCTTACAGGGGATGAGGAGTCTGGGGGGTTTGCCACCTCAGTGAATACTGACATCTTGTTTCAGCATCCAAAGGTAGTCCACCATCCGCCACCTTGAATTCAGAGTATGGGATCAAATTTCTTCAAAAATATGTAAAGATAGAAATGTATTTTAGATGCCATCTCTTTTTGCAGCCCTCTTACTCTTTTTTTGCAGCTGTATTATTATCGTTATTAATGTAGATGTTTTTTGAATATCGACTGTGTCTTTCTTTAATCCTAAAAATAACCTTTGATGTAGATTTAATTACCCTGAAACTGCTGCTGAGAGAGCATGAGTAACAATCCTATGATTAGTAAACTAGTACATGGCAGCACTATTAGATGAGTCTACCTAGTAGACTCATTATTATTTAAGTATATATTGAACTTAGTTTTGTCTGACGCTATAGACCCAAGTCTTTTCCCGATGCTCAATTTGCTTTCTGTTCTTCTTTTTGGCAGTTTTTTTTTCAAGACATGCTTAATACTGTCTGCTCTTTAGGAAGATGATTAGTGAAGTTGATGAATTCACCTGACCAATGGTAATACTCCATCTTGTATCAAGTAAAATGGGCATCTGTCAGCATGGCTTTTTAGAGATAGAGTCAGACCTAAGGAAGTCACTGGACTTTTCCAATCAGCTATAAAGTAAGGCTAAAACTATGGCAAAATAGAAGATGTAGTAATTCTAGCCACATGGAACCATACAACTTCTCTTAAAATAAACCAACATTTGTTCAAATGATCAAGCTTTCCCTCCTGCCTTCTCTTATTAACACATTGTACTGGGCTGAAGAGTATCTCCCCAAATTCCTGTTCTCCAGGAACCTCTGAATGTGATCTTTTTTGGCAGCTGGGTCTTTGCAGAGGTAATTAGTTAAGATGAGGTTTTGCTGGATTAAAATGGGCCCTAAATCCAATGACTAGTGTTTTTATAAGAGAAGGGAGAGGGAGATGCAGACACAGAGACATACGGGAGTTAGAGGGGAGAAAGCCCTGTGATGACAGAGACAAAGATTGGAGTGATGCAGTTACAAGCTAAGAAATGCAAACAATTGCCAAGAGCCACTAGAAGCTGAAATAGGCAAGGAAGTATTCTTCCCCTAGAGCCATCAGAGGAGCACAGCCCTGCTGACACCTTGACTTTGGACTTCCACCTTCCTGGACTGTGAGAGAATAAATATATTTCTGTTGTCGAAACCACCCAGTTTTGGGTACTTCGTTATGGCATTTCTAGGAAACTAACACACCCATTATTCCTGGTGCATTTATGTAGTTATCTCCTCAAACACTCTAACAGACATATAATTTAAGAAAATAAGACAGAAAATAGTGAACTTTCAGTGGCTGCTAAAGGCATAGGAGAAGGCATTTCAAGCGGTTAGAGGACAAAAGTAGTAATCCAGGGACTGAGGGAAAAACAGACAAGGTGAAGAGAAAAGGTCACAAGTATTGAAGAGACCATCCACTTTTGTCTAAGGGCTCAGGTAATAAGCCTCGCTGATTTCCTAAAAAGCATTTGGAAAATTAACATACTTGGAGGAGTTTTTAAAAATTAGCTTAATATTTCTCTTAAATTACATGTTAGATATTTTATATAAATAAAACCAATTTTCATAATAAAAACTTTAATGAACTTTGATTCTGATATATTAATACAAAACATACACTTTAGATAAATGAATGAATTTTTAAAAATAAACTTCAAAAAGTGATATTCATATGAAAGCCTTCCTAAAGTCAACAATAAATGTACATTTATATCAGCTCCAGTCAGAAAATTATTTTAAAATGGTATTTGTACAAACAATTCTTTGCTTAAAGTTTCATAAAACTCTTAGTGAATACTTTCAAGGCTCTTTAAAAAAAACAAAGTTTGACTTGAAGTTGATTACTTTCTCAGAACAAGCAAGTAGGAGTCTTACATGAAGTGCTGAAATCACTCCTAGTCCCATTCATTATTAAGGAAAAAACAAAAAAATACTTCACAATTTAATAAACAGAGCCTTGTGCTGGGAGTCAGGAGACTTCAACTGAATTATAGCCGAGGCTGACTTTGATTTACTCTACGACTTTAAGTCAAATAGTTCGCCTCCCACTGTCTCGATTTTCAACTTATTTATAGCATGTAACATTTGCCAAGTTATATAATATTGCTCACCTCAATTTCTTCATCTATTAAATGAAAATAATGATGACATCGTCTTGCAGAGTTACTATGAGGGTTAGGTGAGTTAGTATAGCCAACGCATTGAGAGTAACGCCTGGTATAGAGTAGCTAGTATTGGTACTTGCAGTATTACATATCTTCTCTCACCTTCTAAATCTTGTGCCTCTTAAGGGCAGGGATCACATCTTATTTATCTTGGTATCTCTCAAAATACGTAGTAAAGTATCTTGTATACAGTAGCTGCTCAATAAATATTTACAGACCCAAATTTGCTCTTAAAGGACAAAGGCTGTATATTATCTAGTTGTTTGGGATAACGGTCATTACATTTTTTTAAAAAACCCAGTGATGTGGGAAAATAAGAGAAAAGATCTTTTGGGAAAATATCAGTGAGCAAACCATTCCCATGAGAAAGTTTCCATCGGGTTGGAAACAACTTTTAAAAATCTTCCATAGTAGAAGCAGAGACTTGGTCTCCCCGGGCACTAGTCTCTGCCTTCTTAGAACAGCCTGGAATATAACTACTGTTTAGAAGAGCTGAGCCTCTCCTGTGATCCCATTCTCTTCCTTCTTTTTTCGCCTTCCCAGCTCTATACCTCACCCCAACCTCTTTCCCATTCCACTGGAGCCCTCTTTGTCCCAGGAGAGCTAATAGTAAATTCTTTATTGCTGTAGCTTTATTGCCTTTAGCTCTGGAAACTGTGTGCTTCCAGGCTGTAATTACGTTCCATTTATAAATATTATCTCTAAGAGAATAGCTAATAGCTTTTTTGTAACGCTATCTGTAATTCTGTTGCTGCTAAATTAATGTGTCAGCCAGAATCTTGAAGTAAACAAAGTTTATAAATTGATTCCTGTAGAATGATGTAAGATCTTACTAAACCCTAATACTGCTCAGATGAGAACAGCTCAGTTAATCAGCTAATAAGCCAGCAGTGAAATTAAAAATATAATTGAACATTCAGAGCAGTCTCCAAGAACCATGACAAATTAAAAATAAAACCCAACATGCGAATATCAGTTGCTTTGTGAAAAAGTCAGGTTACCCAGCCTCCAGAGGTTCATGTAGTTAGGTTCAAGCTAGCTTTTCCCATAAAACAGTTCAGATAGAAACAGTCTTTAACCTGCACATCAAAGTTTCAGGAAATGAAATGAAGAACATAAAGCATAGTTAGCTCTTTGACTTCCACATAGAGTCAGTAGACAAAAATGTTTCTTGAAAAGAGGGGAATGTCCACTCTGATGTCTTAGTTGTAATGACAGTGTCATGATGAGGATAGGATGGTGGCTGGATTCTATCTTCATACAAAGGAGTTCTGACAAAATTATGTGGAATCGCCTTCCCAAAACGAACAAGCACAGTAGCAAATATTAGCAAATATCTGCATAGTTTAACTGAAGAGATTCACTTTTTCTCAAGAGGCAGGTAGTCTTAGGTAATGATAAACTGTACGAGCTCTGAGGACAGAACTTCTTGGGTTTATATTAAAAAAAAAACTATTTCATTTGGACAATTTGTGCCAGTTTTTTTATTTATAAAATGGATGGAAGTTATAAAGATTAAGCAAGTTAATACAATTAAAGTGACTAAAACAGGACGTAGGACATCATAAGAGATCAATAAATATTTGCTATTATTATGTTACTACACTTATTATTTAGAATTATTTTATTTAGAATAATTATTAGGATTGTTTAGTTTTGAATTCTTACATCATTTAGAATTATGAGTCAGCTCTCCTCTAATTTTTGCTACCTTCTTTTATTCTTTTTCCCTTTGGTCAGGGGTTAAAGGGTTCACAGACTTTTTCTTTTTATTTTTACTTCAACTTTAATTTTAAGTTCAGGGGTACCTGTGCAGGCTGTACAGGTTTGTTACATAGGTGAATGTGTGCCCTGGTGGTTTGCTGCATAGATCAACCCATCACCTAGGTTTTAAGCGCAGAATCCATTAGCTATTATTCCTGATGCTCTTCCTCCTCCCATGCCCCAACAGGCCCCAGTGTGTCTTGTTCCCCCTGATGCATCCATATGTTCTCATCATTCAGCTCCCACTTATAAGTGAGAACATGCAGTGGTTGGTTTTCTGTTCTTGCATGAGTTTCCTGAGGATAATGGCTTCCAAGTCCATCCATGTCCCTGCAAAAGACATGATTTCATTCCTTTTTACGGCTGCACAGTATTCTACGGTGTATATCCACACCATTTTCTTTATCCAGTCTATCACTGATAAGCATTTAGGCTGATTCCGTGTCTTTGCTATTGTGAATAGTGCTGTTCTTGCTACCTTTATATCTAGCTCAGGAATTGCCAAGCTGTGGTCACTGACACTATTGTCTTGAAGAGATATTCTGACAACCTTGTCTCTATGACCCCAGAAAGACAATTCCATTAGTCCTATGTGGGAAATATTTTTTTTTAACTGAGGACCAAGCAAACATAAAGATGATTAAAATCTGAAAAGACAGATAATGCATAACATTCTGAAGTGACTTGCTACTACTTCTGAAGAAACTGAGGTCCCTGGGGATTCTTTGTAGTCCCTGGGGCCCCTCTATTCCTGGAGGCACAAGGAACACAGGCAGTGTGCCCCCTCCTCTGAGCCGTGACTTCCCTTTTCATCTGTGGAGATTCCTATTTCTCAAGGCTGGCTTCAAAGTGGATTGCAGTTCTCCCCAGCCTTTTCCTCTTTATGCTATCTCCCCACACTAACTAACAATTTTTCATTCAACAATTTTACTATTAATCACTGTAGAAGAAAAGATTGGTGCTAAAGAATAAAACTGGGAAGTTACAGAGTTCCCAAAGTTGTAGTGGAAATGTGAGATTTTGAAGCCAAATGCTTTTCTCTGATGGAACAAAGACCCCAGCATCCTCCAGTTTCTCTCTGACAGTCTTAAAGGTAAAATTTAATAAATATCATATATTACTAAACCTCCTCCAAATCCATTTCTTTTTGAAGATCTCTCAAAATAGGGATAAGAGTATAATTAAGGTAGATTAATTAGGCACTCAAGTGAGTGCCTTGCATGTCAGAGGAATTCCAAACACATATAATCCCTCATTTTGAGCTATTAATGTCTCCCATGTTCTTCTACTTCTGTACATGAAAGCCACTTGATGAAGCCCATTTATTTGAGGACTCAATTCCTACCCTTAGTCAAGCAGGTCTCAAATTGTAGTGTACACAACAACCACCTGGAAGGCTTATGAAAACACAGAGTCCTAGTTCCTAGTGTCAGAGTTTCTGATTCAGTAGGTCTTGGATAGGGCTCAAGAATTTGCATTCTCACCCAGCTTCCAGGTGATTCTGATTCTGCTGGCAGCACACTAAAGAAAACCATTGACTTATGGTCCTTCTGTCCTGGTCCTCCCTTTTGGTCAAATGGTGACAGCCTTTCTGCAAAATGAACCCAGTATGAAACACATGTAAATAAAGAGAGAAGGAGGGACACACAAAGAGAGACCAAAACAAGGTTGTTTGGCTCTGGGATACATTAGGATCTGAAGCCGGCTCTATATTCCATCTTGCAAAGTTACAACTATACATTTTGCTAAGCTAGTGTGAGTTGGGTTTATGCCATTTGCAACAAAATAAGACAGCCAATAAAATCCCAGTAAAATGTAAAATTATAAAAGTATCCACTCAAGAGCATTTCTCTTTGCTCCTATACATCATCAGAGAAGTTATTTCTCTACCTCAGTTTATCACCTTAATCAACAACAAATATCCATTACCAACTTGACAACCACCATTTGCTTGTTTAGAGAGATTTGTTGGTAGTTGAAGCAGACAGAAATTCCTCCAGGTAGTTGTAGGCACAGAAGGCAAAGTTGAGCATATGTTTGGCAAGCCCAGAATCATGCATCCATTTCCTTAACAAATATTTGTTAAACACCAACGTGCTACTCACTGTGCCAAGTGCTGGAATGAAACAGTGAAAAGCCCCTGTCTAGTTGGAGTGACAGAAATAAGCACTTACAAAAGAGTTAGATCAGATATGTGAGGTCATCAAGATGGTACCACCGGCCCTGGAGTGAACAAACAGGGGACACCAGGGCACCAGGCATGTGCTCTGCAAGCCATCACTCTGAGACAAGTTTTGAGTGATGGTGAGAAAACAGTGGATGTGAGGGGCAGACAGATGTTAGTGTTTAGGGGACAGGCTTTGGGCCTTGAATAGACTTTGATTGGAGGCACGGCTCTACTACCCGTTAGTCTACTTAATTACATTGAACAGTTAACTCCCTAAGCTTCAATTTCTCTTATTTATAAATTAGACTCTTTATGTTAGCTATTTTAGGTAACACTGTGATAAGAATTGCACATTGTTCACAAACATATAAATATTCTATCCATGTTTGCCAAATAAAGTACCCCCAAATTACATAATTTTAGAAATACAGTAAAGAAAGCCCTGTCTTCCACTGGAAAGCTACATACAGAGGAAATGTGAAACCTAAAGTTTCAAAGACTGAAGTGACATGAAAATTAAATAAAGGAGGAACTTTTGAATGATCAATAGCTTCAGAGCTGAACCTCTAAAGGACTTCTTTAAGAATCAATACTGATACCATAACATTGATCCAAAAAGATAAGAAACGGCATCCTATCTTTTTATGAAAATGGAAAAGTCATATAAATTTAAAAGAAGCTGTGAGAACCGTGGGAGATTAGACACAGTAAAAGACACAAATCGTATTTGTCCCTCATTAATGTAAAGCAGGGGAATTGCCCTGCAGGTTTCCATGTGAGAATATGTTATGCTTTATGGTGGAAGGAGGGTAAAAAAGTCAAAACAACCAGACTTTACCCCTAGATTTAACTAAGGACTAGCTCGACCACATTCTAGTTGTGGGGCATTTAATTATGAGCTCAAGACTGGTGATCAGTGCTCTTATTATAATACCTACTCCACAAGTGTGTGAAGAATCAAGTGCCTAGCATCCTGTCTTGCGCCTCGGAGGCACTCAATAGACAGGAGTTTAAGTCATTGCTGAGAGGAAGATAAATGAACTTATGACTTCTCTGCAGGTCAAGCAACTCACTATACCGATGGCTTCAACCTTCCCACTGCATCATTTCTTCATGTTTTGCAGATCATGAGAAAATGCTGTCATTAGCCAAGTCAGATTGTCTTCTGAACCTTAGGTCAACAACTCTGCCACAGAAAGCCTGCTATGGGCATAATTGTGAAATTAAAGAGAATTTCTGCAATCTCAGATGGCACTTTCTGTCCTCCTTCTGGTCCCACCCCAGGTGTTCTTAATGAACAATCAGCTGTCGGAAAGCTGCCCTAATTCTGCCCCACAGGAAAGAACAACTTCTTAAAGTGTGGTTCTCAAACTCCATGTGTCAGCATCCCCTCAGACGCCACAGGGACAAGCGAGTGGGCTGTCGAGATTGGAACATCCTGAAAACTGCTCAAAATATTCCACATGAAAAAACAAAGAAGTATTTTACCTGTGCGGGGATAGGATTGCAGACCCACAGGAAGTTTTTCTCCACTCTATTATCACAGAAAGGGATGCTCTGAGAATTCATGAACGATTGGGGTTTCTGTTCTGCATTTTTAAAAAGAGGGAGTTTGAAAGTAAGAGAACATTAATCCGATGGAAATGTGTTAAAAATTGATAAGTAAGACTGGAGCATTTGTATTTTGTGTAAATCTCTATTTGTTTTATGTGTTTAAATACCCACCAACAGAAAAACATTTTTAAATTAAAAGAAACCCCACTATCATTTTAAATTAAATTAAAAGAAGTCCTGCAAGTTTGTGAATTGTTAAGAGCTTTGAAATATAGAATTTGCAGAAACACACATAGCTGTAGGATAAAGAACATGATCCATCAGAGTCCGGGTCAGGAAACTAGAAAGCATATTATAACAGATGGAATGTATTATAAATTAATTATAATCAGTTATAAGGAATTGGCTAAGCTAAATAGAGAAGGTAGAATAAAGGGAAGAAATTGCGGTTCCGTCCCAGGTGTTCCTAATGAGCAATCAGCTGTCTGAAAGCTGCCCTAATCAGAGAAGATGCCCGGCAGAGCCATTGTCAGACTCGGACCAGATCTCTGAGGAGAGGGCACTGCCTGGCTGCTATGGGTAACTTTGCAGAAAAAGTGTAGAAAGAAGGTGGAGACTAGAACCAGACCAATTGCTGCTGCCAAGAGAGGGCGGTTGTTGCTGGCGGATGCCGCTGCCAGGAACAGGGACTTCTCCTTCCCTCCCTCCCTTTCTAGCCTTCCAGCAAGCATCCAGTGCCTCCCTCTCAGAGAAGCCTCACAGGCAGCCAAAACTCTATTTCCTATCATCCCAGCCCCAGTGCCATAAAGCTGAGTAAGGAAAGGTGGGTTTGAAGTAGAGAGACAATAGCTTCATAAACCAGCACACTGTCTTCTTAGGAAACCCTTCAAGTAAACTGAAGTAGATTAAAAAAAAAAATCACAGCAGATGCTTCAGCTGGTAACTGCAGTTTGCAAACAAAGAACCGCACTGCTGTAACCCGAGTGGGGAAGCCTCTGCTTATGCCATAGTGATCTTTGCAACTATCCATGCACACAAATAATTTTCTCATGTATTTACTCACCCAGGAAGTATTTACTGAGTTCCTTCTATTTCTAGGCATTTCCTAGGAAGTGGAGTGGGTATAACAGTGAACAACACAGGCAAATTCCCTGTCCTTGTGGAGGTGATGTTGTAACAGGATAGGCAGACAACAAGCATGCTAAAAATAGCCGGTAGTGCTAAGTGTAAAAAGACTGAAGATATGTGGGAACAAAGGGGTATCCAATCCACTTCCTTTTCCTAATGCAACAAACACATAACATTTTAATAAAAACAACTGATTATGCTAGCTCACATGGGCTAATATTTTACATTAACTTTCTTTCATAAGCCATCATTTCATCTGTCGGTGGTTCATACTAAGCAGCCTGGCTCACATCATATCTCTTAAAACAATAAGACCCAGAACCCTAAGATTCACCACTTCTGGTGAGAGCCAAAGTACATATACATGAGCTCCAGCCCTGCACACTGAGGTGGATGAGCTTCAGGACATTCTCTTTAAGACTGTTCTTGTGTCCCAGACATAGCATGTAGGGGTCTGAAATAATCCTCAAAGAGCTTTAATGATGAACTTTGCAAGAGAAGATATTTGGGAGAAGTAGAAAACCAGAGGACATGTTTCAGAGACTGGTCCTTCTTTTCAAACTTCAGGGGAAAATCACCTACTTGTATCTTAGCGTATAGTTGGTTGCCTGAATGAAATAATTTCAAATGATGGTTATTCTAATTCTGTCATATTTTTTACTTTAGGCAAAATAAATATTACAAATGTCTTGACTCCAATTTGTTTTGCTTCTTCAAGGCACCATAACTACTGAAATATTGAGGATATAAATCAAACCTGTTGTGTACATATTTCTTGTGGTGACCTATGTTAGAAAAATAACTGAGGCTGTAGCATGCATTTACTAATCCTTCATTTAAATGCCATGCAGCAGCTGCAGATTATGTATACTGAAATGATGATCATGCTGTGGATAGAAGCTTTAATTATTTGGGGATGGGGATTTTTTAAAACCACACTTCTCAGTATGTTCCTTCTTATACCTAACATTAAAACATTTTTCACTCCTTTTCTGAAAATCTAATAATACTGGCCACTGTATGTAAATGACCTCTAAAGTGACGCATGCTTTCCCAAGTGTGGCACAATCTCTGGTTTCACATAGCTGGCTTCACTCAGTTCCATCACCTACTTGCCTTTGGAGGCATTTGAGTTTTGCAAACTCTGTACTTAGTGAATAGCTCAGAAGAGATATTAAATATGTTTAATAATCAATAAGGCATGGGCAATAAATAGGTGAGGTCCTAGAAGTCCGATGCAGTGTTAGGCATTAGCCCATTAACTTCTAATTGTGAGAAGAGGCTAAGTTGAAGGGATATGGGGGATGCCTAGGGGGATCATGACAGGAGTTATTAACCCGTCATTTAAATATCAATATCTGAACTACCTATATGGCCGTATCAACTGAATATCAGATCTAGGTGTGTATTCATTAGGTGAAGAAGTCGTGAAACTCCTTCGTGAGTTTAAAATATGAAAGATAATTTTGACATAAGGAAATATATTGAAAAAATCTGAGAGGTGAAGTGAAGAAAGAAGGGATGGTGCCTTCAGATACACAGAACTAGAGGTAGAGGAAAGAGTATGTGTGCGTGTGTGTGTGTGTGTGTGTGTGTGTGTGTGTACCAAAGCCTAAGGAAAGCCTGAAGAGATAACAAATAATATTGTTTCTGAAGGCCTGAGCTTTGAACTTTGAGCTGCTTAAGATGCTACATGTACAAAACAGCTGATTTCTCCTTTAAAATGGATAAGAAAAGCAATGATTCCCTCAACCTGGTTCATAGTCCTGAAGTAGTAATAGAAGAACTAGGACAACAGGTACCTCTATCAGATCCCTTATCCCACTTATCTGTCTCTTTCCACTGGACTAAGAGTTTCTTTCATCTTTGTTTCCCAAAACCTAAGACAGTGCCTGGCAGATAATGTGCCTTCTCTGGCTCCCTTCCAACCTCAGAATGATTCAGGCTTTCTTTGTGCCAGTTTATCTGGCTCAACTGGAAGGTCTTTAAGGGAATGGGCCATGTTTTCATTACTTAACATTGTGCATAGTGCCTGACTCAGAGTAAGGCTTAATATATTTGTTGAATAAATAAGCGAATGAATATCAATCAATGAACTACCTTGGCAAACACTTGTGAGAAAAATCTGTAAGACTAAGAATTTATTTGCTCAAAGTATGCTGCCAATTTATGAAATAATAGGGCAGACATTAGTGATTGGCTACCCAAAAGTCATTCCTGATCCCTTCATTCTTGTGGTCTTCTTGTACAGCACTTAATAAGTGCATATTACATTCCAGAGCAGATGGAGGTCCTCAGTTAGCCCTTGATTTATTGATTGGAAGGAGCAGAAACTGTCTCCAACTTCCTTTGTAAATTCCTACTCTAAAAAGTAGATGTACAATAATTTCCATTACATGAAACCAACATCATAAAGAACATGAAGGAAAGAGCATTTTGTGAGAATCGGAAAACCATATGAGCACTAATGAAATAGAACAATTTAACATCAAAAGAAAGCTGTCAAGTTGTTCAAGATGCTGGATTGGGTGCAGACATTTATGTCCTGTGCTTCCCAGAACACAATGCAATAGTTCAGAAACACACACATAAAGTCAAGAAAACAGCAGGGATGGGGGGAAGAGTAACCAGTAGAGGAGAGATTTCAATAAATCACTGCAAGACAGAAAACAGATGGGAGTACGGTGATGGACCACAGCAAAGAAGTTATAGCCTGGAATATTCCATGAGGGGGCTGAGTGGGGACTGGAATGCCATGATCTGCCAACTAGAATATTCTAGAGGGGCTCTGGGCTCAGGAGGGAGGAATTGGTCTGGAGCCTGGAAACAGGAGGATTTATTGAATATATAAACAGAGAAGAGGTATGCCAGTTAAATTCCTCTCTCTCCACCTCCCTCACTGCTTACAATTGTAAGCCATCTGGGGAATTAAGACTTCAAATGGGATGTTGGCCTACTCCAGAGTGAAGTCACCTCATTCTGACTTTTGGGGGAACCCCATCTGACAGCCACCTCCACATTTTCTCATTTTAAAGCTAAACTTGCCATTCCACAAACTCCCCCCTTGTAAACAAAGCTCCCTACCAGAATTTCCGCTTGGTGGAATAGCCTATCTGGACATCAGTACTGGACACCAGTATATCAGAGGAGATGCCTATACCAGATCCCCATCCTTCATTCTTAAATAGGAAGAGACAAACCCGAAGACGATTAGACATGTGAGAAAAACCAGCAGCATTAAGAAAAAAAGAAGATAAAAAGAAACAATGACTGGAGGAGAAAAAAAGAGAACTCAAGCACTGAGAAATATTTTACATTCATAAACTTTCTGGGTGCTAAGAAAATGGGGCAAGCAGAGAACTGTAAAGAGACTAAAAACAGGACACAAAAAAATCAATGGAATGATAGGAAAATACAGTCATAAAAATATCCCCAAATATGAGCAAAATGATAAGGAGAAATAGAACATGAGAGAAAACACAAGAGAACTAGAGAAACCATCACTTGACTTAGAATCTCAGACAGAAAAAAAAACAGAAAAAATTGGAGGAGAGGATATTATTAAAGAAACAGCAGGGGAAAAAAATCCCTAAACTGAGAAAAACAAAAGTTTTCACCAGAAAAGAGACCACTTATTGCTGAGTAGGATGAATTTAAAAAACTATAAATTTTAGAGCGCCAGTGATAAAAGATGATTATAAACAATTCCAGAAAGAAAAACACAAATACGATCCAGAAAAGAGCGTGTCTAGGATGACATTGCTATTCTACAAGCTTGGAAAAAAACAATCCAGAGTAGGCCAGTGAGACAGAGGCTCTAATAGGGATGTCTCCCCAAGAACAGTTGGGGGATTTGGTGCAATAGACCAAATAATTGTAAAAGTTGAAAAACTTGAAAATATGATAAAGGCATATTATTCTTTTGGTAAAAGATTTTTAAAAGAATCAAAAAAATCAGGAAGGAATAAAACAACAAATTTGACAAGACTTTATATAATTGATGAGGTGTAAGGAAAAATATTTCATTTGATCTTGGTATTGAAAAGATGTTCCACTGAGTAGCCCGAAAGTGCAGATATTGAATGAATAGAGAAGGGTCCTGCTTTATTTAAAAAAAAAAAAGAATGCATACATCATAACAATGTAACTGCTATTGATTAGTTTTGCTTTTATTATAGAATCTAACTATAGGAAAACCATGGGAGGTTTATGTATGGCTAGTGTACAGAATGTTAGTACCAATAACCTGGAGAAGGTGGAAGAAAAGTGATTGACAGAATGGGGAGTATAGAGGTTTAGAATGAGGAAAGTTAGAAAGAAGGGTTAGGGGTAAAGGCACTCATCCTAAATAAGCAAAGATTCAGGATAATGGAAGAAGAAAAATCAGCTAAAATTATAACCCATAGGAGATCTAAAAGTAAAAATAAATAAGTATCAAATTTAGGAAATGAGAATATATAGGGAAAGTAGCCAGGGAATAAGTTAATATCTCATCTTTTATATTAAGATATAAATATTGTTTAAATAAAGGCATAAGCCTATTATTTAAATTTATAGTGGTAACTATGAGAGGGTTAAAAATAGAAACAGAGTTGCCCTCAGGAGGTGGAGAGAATAGTAAAGGTATAATGGAGACTTTTGCTGTTTATAAGCTCTTCTTTAGTTTTATTAAGAAAGTATTTTTACACTGCCTTTGAAACACTAATTTTGTTATAAAATAATTACTAAGAACCATCCCTCATCCCATTTCTGAGTCTCATCCTATTCTCACTCCAAATCTTATGTCTGTCCAATCTATGTCTTACCCCTTCTTACTCCATTACTGAGCTCAAAAGGAAAGCATAGCTGATGTATCACAATGGCCCATCAAATTGACCAACTCATTTTATTTCATGGGTGACCAGTCATTTTATCCTCTCAGCCTCAAGTGTTTTTTTCTTTTATAAAATCAGGGCATATGGTGAATAATATAAAGTCTTTTCTAGTTTTAATATTTTTTAAGAATATACGTGCACCTCTTGGGGAGAATGTAAATTATCACAACCATGTGGAAAACAATATGGCGGTTTCACAAAAAGTTACAAAGAGAACACCATATGATTCAGCAATTCCACTTCTGGGTATATATCAAAGGATATGAAATCAGTATGTCAAAGAAGTATCTGCACTCCCATGCTCATTGCAGCATTATTCACAATAGCCAAGATATAGAATCAACCTAAGCAACCATCAATGGATGAATGGGTGAAGAAAATATGCTATATATACATAATGGAATACTATGCAGCCTTAAAAAAGAAGGAAATCCTATCATTTGCAACCACATGGATGAACTTAAAGGACATTATGTTAAGTGAAGTAAGCCAGGCACGGGAGGACAAATACTACATGATCTCACCTCACCTATACATGAAGTGCGAAAAAACTGAACGCATGAAAACAGAGAATAAAATGATGTTTTCTGAAAACCAGGGGATGGGAAGAATTGGGGAGATGTTGGTCAAAGGACACAAAATTTCAGGTGGACATGATAAATCAGTTTAAGAGATCTATGGTAAATCACGATGACTTCAATTAATAACAATATATTGTATGTTTGAAAATTGCTTTCAGAGTAGATTTTCAGTCTTCACCACAAAAAATAAGTATGTGAGGTAATGTATAATTAAGTTACTTGATTTGGCTGTTCCACAATGTACACATATATCAAAACATCACATTGTACACCAAAAATATGTACAATTTCTGCTTGTCAATTTAAAAAACAATGTGTACACTTACTTTTACCTGTTTTTGTCAGCACTAGAATATGAAGCTAAATATCCACAAGATGGCAGTCTAAGCCCAGTTCTAAGAAGAATCCATTTTGTTGTTTTTTTTTTTTTTTTAATTCTCCTAGTCTTGCTGGTAGAAATTATTACACAGCATAAAGAACTAAGAGAAATATTTTCAGGAAAATTTGAGTAAAGCCATAAGCAACACTCAAGAAACCAGGCTTACTTCCTCACCTCCAACCTTTAAGCAGTAGCTAAGCCTCTCCTATAGCATATGAATTGCCTTGCCACAAGTCACAGCAACCAAGATTTTTGCACACTTTCAAAATAACAGTCACAAAACCTTATTTCTGGGGTTTGGACCTCCATCCAAAGTATTGGTGAAAGCTATATCTTATGGACCCTCCCAGTTGGGGTGAGCAGGTTTTAAGTGACAAATCCACTCCAGCCTTCCCATCTCCCTAAGCCTTTGAATCCCTTCCTCTATGGTAAACCAAGGAAGAGCATCTCCAGCTCCCTCACAGTGGGCCACCTTTTTATCCGTGTTTCAACCAACCAACCAAACAGATTGTTAGCGCCTTTCCTAACTCCCCAAGCTGCAACATTAAATGCAGAATCTCTGCTTAGTGGGCCCAAGTCAATAAATTCAGCTAGATCCAACTTTATGTTCTTTCTACCATTATCCCACACCCATAATATCCATTCCACACGTGTTCCCTGGATTTCTGCTTGTGTAAATTAGAAAACTCAAGTCTTTCTTTTGGAGTGTAGCATACCTCCTCGTGGATCACACTTTCTATCTCACCTTTAGGGGTCTGCTGGGACTTGAGTCTGGTTATGCGGCTAGAAGCAAAGAGAGGAGGTGAAGGTGGGTCCTGAGGAGAATCAGCCTTGTCTTGCTTGGAAGCTCCCTCAGGGGAGGCCATTACTGTTTATTCAGACAATGAAGGGTTAATCCCCTCAGACACAGGTGGAAAGGCCAATATCACTGGGGGTGGGGCTTGAGATGGGGGTGCTACTGCCACTAGGGATGAGGGTTCATCAGAATTTAGGAGCCCGATGTCTCCAGCCTCATCAGGGTTCTCCCACACATCTCCATCCCAACTTAAAAAAAAAAACAAAAACAGTCTTTCCCAATCAATGTCCTCACTTTAATAGTCGACACCTGAGAGGCTGAGAGTTTGTGTTTATTGTACATCAGACCATTGCATGATGAAGGCTTGTTTGATTTTCAGCAATTTCAACAATTTCCTGTGTTTACAGGAGAGAAGGTTCTTCTTCGGGGCACACTTAGAAGCTCTTAGGCTGTTTATGAGCACCTAGAGCCAAGAATTCAAATCCATGGGCTCATCACTTTCTTCTCTCTTTTTTTGGTATAAATTTAAGGGGTACGAGTGTAGTTTTGTTATATGGATAAATTGCCAAATGGTGAAGTCTGGACTTTTAGAGTAACTGTCATCTGAATAATGTACATTGTACCCACTCAGTAATTTTTTCTCCCTCACCCCTCTTCCACTTTCCTCCCATTTTCTTTCATCACTTTGTCCAGTGGTGTTAGGAACAACCAACTAGCATTATTATATTCCTTGGTTTTTCACAAATGTTTGAAAGTATCAGTCACAGGGTTACCAAGTGTCTTGCTTCATGTATGTGGTGAATTAGGAGTATCAAATATATTTATTTTCTGTACAACAGTTCATGCCATGGACTATCTGTGCTCTCTGTACTGTTAGAAGCAGAGTCTTTAGCATTTTTATATCTAATCAGATTAGACAGCCCATTTCAAAAACCCTAAAACCAGTTAAGAAAATTTATCCTTAAAATTCTGTTTATCAAGAACCACTCCTGGTACCAAAATCTGTATTATTCAGGGTTCTCTAGAGAGACAGAACCAACAGGCTATACAAAAGGGGATATATATGGGGAGAACTGGCTTACACTATCACAGTGGTGAAGTTTCAGTTAGACTGACTTCGAGCTGGAGAGCCAGAGAAGCCAATGGCGTGACTCACAGCCAGTAGCATGGTCAGTCCATGTCCTAAGCATCAGATGCAGGAAAGCCCATAGTGCAGCAGTGAGGACTGAAACCACCCCCTACCCCAACCCCGGAGGCTGCTGGTGCAAGTCCTAGAGTCCAAAAGCTGAAGAAGAACCTAGAGTCTGATGTCCAAAGGCAGGAAAAGAAAAAGCATCCTGCTGTAGAAGGGAGAGAAGGAGATAATTTTTCTGCTCATTTTCATGAGCAGGGTCCCCAGATGACTGGATGGTGCCCACCCACACCGAGGGTGGGTCTTCCTCTTTCAGGCCACTGAATCACTCACCAATCTCCTGTGGAAGCACCCTCACAGACACACCCAGAAACAATGCATCACCAGCCATCTGGCATCTCTCAAGCCAGTCAAAGTGACATCTAAAATTAACCATCACAATGTCTTTAACTGACATCTCTTGTGTAAGTTTGGTGACTTTCAGAAAGAGAAATAGAATATATGAAAATTTCAGCTTAACTTACAAATGCTACATTTACAGATGTCCACATCAGCATAGTATTTTACCAATTTTGCCAAGTCAGTGTCCATGAAGACATGGTCAATGTGCAGGAGGGTGACTTTAGGCCAAGATAGGCATGCCGGGGCAGAGTCTTTTAAATCATCACTTATTAATTCAGTCAACATATATATTAATATATTGAGTGCTTGCTATCTGCCAGACTCCATGCCAGACACTGACTACACAGTCAAGAATGATATAACGAGGTCACTGTTTCTTGCTGTTTACATTCTTACGGCTGGGGGAACAGACACGATGGCTACAATTTGAAGGATGAGTTGGGGAACAGGTGTGAGAACAGGAAGATTATTTGGAGGCTGTGGTAATAGTTCACCCAAGAGATGATGGAAATGGAGAACAGTAGAAAGATTCGCCTAAATTACTACTCTTCCTGACTGCATTGCTCACAGCTACACACATACACACGCAACAACCTCTACCAGTGCTGTCGCATAGCTAATGGTTCCCTTCAATGTGATCTCATAACAAACTATATCTCCGTGCTAGGCTATCGTCATGCAGAAAGCAAGAAATTCATAATTATAACAATGGCAAAGAATATAGCAATCATAATATGATCATTGGACATTTACCATGAGCCAAGCATTACACACTTATTTCATGTAACTTTCAAAAGGCATTCTTATGAAATAGATGGTATTTCCTCAACATTATAGATGAGAAAGTGCATTTGGAGCATTTCAACTTATTCATCTCTGGAGTCCATTTGTTTCTTTTTACTTTTGTTGCCTGTGCTTTTAGTGTCCTATCCAAAAAGTTATTGCCAAGACCAATGTTAAGGAGAGTTTCCCCTGTGTTTTCTCCTAGTTTTATGGTTCAAGTCTTTAATCCATTTTGAGTTGATTTTTGTGTATGGTATAAGATAAGGATCCAATTTTATTATTTTTTATTTTTTGGTAAATATAGAGATGGGGGTCTCACTATGTTGCCCAAGCTCATTTATTCCTGGGCTCAAGTAATCCTCCTGCCTCGACCTCCCAAAGTGCTGGGATTACAGGCATGAGCCACCACACTTGGCTGAATTTCATTTTTTTACATGTGAATATCCAGTTTCTCCAACACCATTTATTGAAGAGACTATCCTTTCCCCATTGTGTATTCTTGGCAACTTTATTAAAGATTAGTTAACCATATATGTGTGGGTTTATTTTTGAGCTCTCAATTCTGTTTCATTGGTCCATGTGTCTGTTTTTATGCCAGTATCATACTGTTTTGATTGCTGCAGTTTTATAATATAATTTGAGACCAAGAAGTGTGATGCCTCAAGTTTGGTTCTTCTTTCTCAAGATTGCCTTGGCTACTCAGGGTCTTTGTGGTTCCATGCAAAATTTAAATTTTTTTTCTATTTCTGCTAAAAATGCCATTGGAATTTTGACAGTAACTGCATTGAGTCTGGAGATAACTTTGGGTAGTATGGAAATTTTAGCAATTGTAATTTTTCAAATCCACAGATACATAATATCTTTCCATTAATGTTTGTCTTCTTCAATTTCTTTCATCAATGTTTCAGTTACAGTTTTCAGTGTACAGATCTTCCATTTCCTTGATTAAATTTATTTCTAAGTATCTTATTTTTTGAACATTTTTATTTTAGGTTTGGGGGTACATGTGAAGGTTTGTTACGTAGATAAACACATGTCACAGGGGTTTGTTGTACATATTATTACATCACCCAGGTAATAAGCCCAGTACCCAATAGTGATCTTTTCTGCTCCTCTCCTTCCTCCCACCCTCCACCTTCAAGTAGACCCCAGTGTCTGCTGTTTCCTTCCTTGTGTTCATAAATTCTTATCATTTAGCTCCCATTTATAAGTGAGAACATGTGGTATTTGGTTTTCTGTTCCTGCCTTAGTTTGCTAAAGATAATGACCTCCAGGTCCATCCATGTTCTGGCACAAGACATGATCACATTTTTTATGGCTGCATAATATTCCATGGTGTATATGTACATTTTCTTTATTCAGTCTATCACTGATGGTAATTTAGGTTGCTTCCACGTTTTCACTATTGTGAACAGTGCTGCAATGAACATTCACATGCATGTGTCTTTATGGTAGAATGCTTTATCTTCTTCTGGGTATATACTCAGTAATGGAATTGCTGGGTTGAATGGTAGTTCTGCTTTTGGCTCTTTTGAGAAATTGTTGTACTGCTTTCCACAATGGTTGAACTCATTCACACTCCCACCAACAGTGTATGAGGGTTACCTTTTCTGTGCAACCTCATCAGCATATGTTACTTTTTCACTTTTTAATAATAGTCATTCTGACTGGTGTGAGATGATATCTTACTGTGGTTTTGATTTTCACTTCTCTAATGATCAGTGATATTGAGCTTTTTTCATATGCTTATTGGCCACTTGTATGTGTTCTTTTGAAAAGTGTCTGTTCATGTCCTTTGCCCACTTTTTAATGGGGTTGTTTGTTTTTCTGTTGTACATTTAAGTTCCTTATAGATGCTAGATATTAGACCTTTGTCAGATGCATAGTTTGCAAATATTTTCTCCCATTCTGTAGGTTGTCTGTTTACTCTGTTGATAGTTTCTTTTGCTGTACAGAAGCTCTAAAGTTTAATTAGATCCCATTTATCAATTTTTGCTTTCGTTGCAGTTACTTTTGGGGTCTTCATTATGAAATCTTTGCCCATTCCTATGTCCAGGATGGTATTGCCTAGGTTGCCTTCCAGGTGTTTCTAGTTTTGGGTTTTATATCTAAGTCTTTCGTCCATCTTGAGTTGATTTTTCTATATGGTATAAGGAAGGGGTCCTGCTTCAATCTTATGCATACGGCTAGCCAGTTATCCCAGCACCATTTATTAAATAGGGAGTCTTTTCCCCATTGCTTGTTTTTGTCAGCTTTGTCAAAGGTCAGATGGTCATAGATGTGTGTCCTTATTTTTAGGCTCACTATTCTGTTTCATTGGTCTATATGTCTGTTTTTGTACCAATACCATACTGTTTCGTCATTGTAGCCTTGTAGTATAGTTTGAAGTTGGGTAATGTGATTCCTCTAGCTTTGTTCTTTTTGCTTAGGATTGCCTTGACTATTCAGGCTCTTTTTTGGTCCTATATAAATTTTTAAATAATTTTTTCTAGTTCTGTGAAGAATGTTATTGGTAGTTTGATAGGAATAGCATTGAATCTGTAAATTGCTTTGGGCATTATAGCCATTTTAATGATATTGATTCTTCCTATCCATGAGCATGGGATGTTTTTCCATTTGTTTGTGTCTTCTCTGATTTTTTTGAGCAGTATTTTGTAATTCTCATTGTAGAGGTCTTTCAACTCCCTGGTTAGCTGTATTCCTAGGTATTTTATTTTTTGTGTGTGGCAATTTTGAATGGGGTTGCCTTTCTGATTTGGCTCTTAGTTTGGTTATTGCTGGTGTATGAGAATGCTAGTGGTTTTTGTACATTAATTTTATATACTGAAACTTTGCTGAAGTTGTTTATCAGCTGAAGGAGTGTTTGGGCCAAGACCGTGGGGTTTTCTAAATATAGACTCCTGTTGTCTGCAAACAGAGATAGTTTGACTTCCTCTTTTCCTATTTGGATGCACTTGATTTATTTCTCATGCCTGATTTCTCTGGCTAGGTCTTCCAATACTATGTAGCTGGCTGGAATTCCAGGCCAATGGGTCTTACCTTGTGAGGTGCCATGGACATGGGGCCTGTGGGCTGTTGCTGCTCAGCCCCCCTGGATTCAGCCTCTTTTCTAGGAGTATGTGAAGGAACTCAACCTTCCACTTTGCCAGAGCTGCAGCTACTTTTGCCAGAAAGCCCAAGTATCTAAGGCTCCAGGGTCTCCATACATGTACAAGCAGCTGCTCTGCCATGACTCCACGTAGCTCTGTCTGTCAGACTGAAGACTGAATGCCCTGGTGGAGTGGGTTCACAAGGAGATCACCTGACCTGAGGGTTGCAAAGATCTATGGGAGAAGTGTGGTTTTGTCACTCATTCACTCGCCACTTCCCTGGGCAGAGAAGGATCCCCAGGCTCCATGATGCTCCCAGGTGGGCCATTGTCCTGTCTTGCTTTTCTTCATTCTGTGTGGGTCAGTTTGTTTCCTTGATTAATTCCAATGCAAGTACCTGGATGTTTCCATTGAAGGTGTTGTATTTATTCATCCCTTCTTTTCCTCTCCATGAGAGCCGTGCACACTAGTTGCTTATAATCGGCCATCTATCATCTTATTCTTTTGATGCTATTATCAACAACTTTGTTTTCTTAATTTATTTTTCAGATAGTTGATTATTAATGTATAGAAGCATAACTGATTTTCATAGGTTGATTTTGTATCCTGCAACTTTACTGAATTTGTTGGTTAGTTCCAAGTCTTTAGGCTTTCCTATCTATATGAATATGTCATCTGCAAACAGAAACAGTTTTATTCTTCCCTTCCAATTTGGATGCATTTTACTTCTTTTTATTGCCTAATTGCTCTGGCTAGAACTTCCAATATTATTTTGTTTTAGTTTGAGTATATGTGTGCAGATTTGTTACACAGGTATATTGAGTAATGCTGAGATTTGGGATATGAATGATCCCATCATCCAGGTAGTGAGCATAGTACCCAATAGCTTTTCATCCATTTCCCTCCTCCTTCCCTCCCCGTTTAGTAGTCCCCGGTATCTATTGTTGCAATCTTTATGTCCATGTGTACCCAATGTTTAGCTCCTATTTATAAATAAGAACACATGGTATTTGGTTTTCTGTTCCTGTGTTAATTAGCTTAGGATAACGGCCTCCAACCTGCATCCATGTTGCTACAAAGGACGTAATTTTGTTCTTTTCTATGACTGTGTATTATTCTATGGAATATATGTGCCATGTGTTGTTTTTTTAATCCAATCCAGCATTGATTGGTACCTAGGTTGATTCCAAGTCTTTGCTATTATGAATAGTGCTGTGACGAACATGGAGGAGCATGTGTCTTTTTTGGTAGAATGTTTTGCTTTCTTTTGGGTATATACCCAGTAATGGAATTGCTGGGTCAAATGGTAGTTTGGTTTTAAGTTATTTGAGAAATCTCCAAACTGCTTTCCATAGAGGCTGAACGAATTTACTTGCCCACTAACAATGTATGAGCATTCCCTTTTTCCTGAAGCCTCACTAGCAACTGCTGTTCTTTGACTTTTTAATAATGGCCATTCTGACTGGTGCGAGATGGTGTTTCATTGTGGTTTTGGTTTGCATTTCTCTGATGATTAGTGACGTTGAGCAATTTTTCATGTTTGTTGGCCACTTGTATGTCTTTTTTCGAGAAGTGTCTGTTCATGTCTTTTCCCCACTTTTAAATGAGGTTATTTGTTTTTTGCTTATGTAATTGTTTCAGTTCCTTGCAGATTCTGGGTATTAGACCTTTTTTGGATGTAAAGTTTGCAAATACCTTCTTGCATTCTGTAGGTTGTCTCTTCATTCTGTTGATAGTTTCTTTTGCTGTGCAGGAACTTTTTAGTTTAATTAGGTCCCACTTATCAATTTTTGTTTTTGTTGCCATTGCTTTTAAGGGCTTAGTCATAAATCCTTTCCCATGGTCAGTATCCAGAATGATGTTCTCTAAATTGTCTTCTAAGATCCTTATGGTTTGAGATCTTACATTTAAATATTTAATCCGTTTTGAGTTAATTTTTGTATAGGTAAAGATAAGAATCCAGTTTCATTCTTCTGCATATGCAGCTATCCCAGCACCATTTATTGAATAGGGACTCCTTTCTCCATTGTTTATTTTTGTCAACTCTGTAAAAGATAAGATGGCTGTAGATGTGCAGCTTTATTTCTGCGTTCCCTATTCTGTTCCACCGGTCTATATGTCTGTTTTTGTACCATGCTGTTTTGGTTACTGTAGCCATATAGTATAGTTTTAAGTTGGGTAATGTGATGCCTCTGGCTTTGTTCTTTCTTGCTTAGGTTTGCTTTGGCTATTTGTACCACAGATATAAGACAAACCAATACTTCCTTTTATACAGATGACACTGATGGGGGAGAGATCTTATAATTCAAAGATTCGCTGTTTCATAGGAAAACAGACAAAGCACAAGAGCAGACAATTCACTGACAAGAACATAACAGTGACTTTTAAACTTATGAAACATTGTTCAGTTTCAGGCAAAATAAAAATTTAATAATATTATGTAAAGGTATGAGTGTTTGGAAAAGTATGCATGAGTTGTATATGTTGTGTTAATGATTACAAATTTTTCAGAGGCGAATGTAGCAATATCCTTCAAAGCCTGTCCATTCTACTCCTAGGAATTGGTCCTAGAGATAAACCTGCACAACTCTGGCATAAATATGGAGGCATTTGAGAAAATATGTAGAAGTCTAAAAATATCCAAAACGTCCATCAATATGACGCTGGATAAATGAATTAGACCTCAATTATACAAATGAAACATATGCTGCTACTTTAAAAAATGAGGTATATCAAAATGTACAGACATAGAGTTATCTTCAAGAAAAAATAAGTCAAAAATAGTATAGAATAGCGAATATAGTATGTTATTACTGTGCAAAAAAAGTGTATACATATAAGTGTGTCTATGCACAGAATGTCTCTGGCAGGATTCACAAAAAGCATAACAGGGATTGACTGAGAATGAGAGAGGGATGTAGGGCACTGGGTGGAAACGACTTATCTTGTACTGTGTTCACTTTTATACCCTTTTAATGTTCATCCTTTTTATGGATCACTTTTCCTTAGCCAAGCAATGCAACAGTTTAAATTGGTGAATGATTGGATGGGAAGAAATTCAGAACTAGCTATGTGGATTGAAAAGTCTAATAGAAATGGTTGTCTCCAAGTGTTGAAGTGCTTATTTGTTGCAGCAGGTGACAGTACTAACACACGATTCGACTTTATTACTGGACCCTGGAGAAATGTGAAAAAAAAAAAAAAAAAAGGCGGGGGATATTAAACAAGCACTCTGGAAATAATTGGAAACTGAGGCTCTGTGCTTTAGGTCTTCTGGTCTAAAGGGAACAACTGAAATATATTTAGATGTATTACTCGTTTTTTGGAATTTTTTGCTGAAAGGAAACTTGGCAATCATTATGTCTAAGATCCTGTTTTATTGTCAAATATTTGAGGCCAAAGAAGAAAAGTGAATTAATTAGCTGACTGTCTAGCAGGTACTTTGCAGCAGATCCAGGCAGAACCCAGGCCTCTCAATTGTTTTTGCCAAAAAAAAGATACTGTGACTGATGTTGCCAATCAACTTGATTGTTGCTTTTTTGAATTTCGGTTTTAATCAATCAGACTCTGCCCTCATATTGCAAAAAGCATCATGCTAGTTTATATATATATACACAATTTTGTGGCCTGTACAAGCCTTTCCCTGTAGCCTTTTATAAAACATAGTTCCTTTCCTATTTTCCCCTTTAAAATAATTCAGTGTCACACTTGCATGGTTCTCATTATATTAGTTTTATAGTGCTCAATCTTGTGTGATCTTTTTTTCTCTTGTGCTGAATATTGGTCTAATTGATTATTCTTCTGTGCGTGTGTTTTCCCTCCACTTCTTTAGTTGTTGAGAAACTCCTCCTCCTTTGTTTTATAAAATTGTTTTTGGCGATTTTTGCTTTCTCACAGCACAGGTCAACTGCACAGTGGCAATTGTTTGGACCACTGTGCCTATTCAGGTAGGGTGGAGACTCAAGAGGAACATTTTCTCCTTATGCACTGCTTTTTCTGTCTGGCTGTAGTGTGGCTGAGGTCTGTGGAGAACAGGAATCAGTGCCTAGCTCACTGGCACCATTAATCTCAACTTCTACCCAGTGCTGAAACAAACAGGGAAGAGGTGGAGGATTAGCCAGCTCCTGCCTCCACCTGCCTCTCACCCTCCCTGGCTTCCTCCTACTCCAGTTAGAGGAGGCAGCAGAGGCCAGGGAGTGACACAGGCTACGGAGGGAGGGTGGCTGTGTGAGGCAGTGGTCATAATTGTGGTACTTGTCCAGCCCTATATTCTTGGAATTGCTTCAGTCCAACCCTTGTCTCCTGAGCTCTCTGACATCTTCTGGGTTAGGTCTAGAGTAGTGAGGCACATCTATTTTATCAGCCAGCAAAACTATGTAACAGTCAGAACACATACACGTTAGCCTCTGTTCTCCCACTGACTACATGTGTTATTGGGGGCAAGAAGAATGGGTTAAGTTGGCCACTGGATCACTGGGTGGTAACAAGTTAAGAATTAGCTAATTCCTAATGTGTAAAATGTAGGCTTGGATTACATCAGAGTTTTTAAACTGGCACAAATGTAAGAATCACCTAGGGCCCTCATTTAATAACATAGATTTCAATATCTCTCCCTTGGAAATTCTTATTCAGAAAATCTGGAGTGAGGCCCAAATTTTATGTGCTTTTAAGAAGAGACTCTCAATGTTTCTTATTATCAGAAAACTGTCTGAAGATTTTTTTTAATTCCCCAAACTCTTAAACTTTATGATAAATTATTTCTGCTATTGTTCTCTTTTGCCTATTGGGTTCTTCCTATTCAACACTGCTCTTCCTCCACTCTAGCGTTTTGCATCAGAATCAGCTGTGTAGGCTATAGACATATGCATGCTATTTCCCAACTCCAACTAAAAATCACTGGCTGACAAATACTATCTGCTCTTCAATACTGTTGCTATGATGGATATATATTTTCTTAGCCCCTTCACATTCACTCTCCACTTGCTCTTTGCTGAAGAAGGTGAACTTTTTAAAAAATTTTAAGTTGCAGGATACATGTGCAGGATGTGCTGGTTTGTTACACAGGTAAACGTGTGCCATTGTGGTTTGCTGCACCCATCAACCTATCACTTAGGTATTAAGCCCCACATGCATTAGCTATTTATCCTGATGCTCTATCTTCCCACCGTCCCCCTTAGAAGCCCCAGTGTGAGTTGTTCCCCTCCCTGTGTCTATGTGTTACTGGAGAAGGTGAACTTTAATGACTGCATTAAAGAGATTCTTTGCCCTCTGATTTCCAGTTGGGTTTAGCCAATGGGAGGCATCAACAGGGAAGTAGAGAAGGGGAGAAGGATGACATTGGAAGGAGGAACAACCCCTTTACCTCCTGATTACTTACAGCATCACTGTATGTTAACTATGTCCCTCTGCCACATCCTACAGCCTTGTCAAGGGCCCCTCCTTTATTATTAGAGATGTTATTTCTGGATTGCTTCAGGCCCAGGTTTGGCAATGGCTCCTATGCTGTTGCTAGCCCGAAGTTACTGTACTGGCCTTTGTAGATTGCCACTAACTCTTCCCCAGCCTGTGTAAATAGTCCCTTTGTTAAACCTTTCCTCAATTACCCAGCTTGGGGTTGTCATCTCTTTGCTGCCAGGACTCAGATGAGGACAATGACTTACTTTATCTCTTTCATATGTGTTGTCTATACATTGAGAGGTTTCTTATTTAAAATAATAAAATGATAGGAATAGCAATAATAGGATTCTAGATACTGGAAGGGCTTTAAATTATGTCTACTCCAGCTTACCCCCAAATGCCAGACTGTGGCGTGAAAGATATTTGCTTCTTCCTCCTTCATGATTACTTTTTTTTCCTTTTTTTTTTTTTTTTTTTTTTTAGATGGGGTCTCGCTCTGTCACCAGGCTGGAGTGCAGTGGCACGATCTCAGCTCACTGCAAGCTCCACTTCCCTGGTTCAAGTGATTCTCCTGCCTCAGCCTCTTGTGTAGCTGGGACTACAGGCTCATGCCACCACACCCAGCTAATATTTTTTTTTTTTTGTATTTTTAGTAGAAACGGGGTTTCACCATGTTAGCCAGGCTGGTCTTGATCTCATGACCTTGTGATCTGCCCACCTCAGCCTCCCAAAGTGCTGGGATTAGAGGCGTGAGTCACCACACTCGGCCTTCCCCATTACTTTTTTAAAAGATCCGGTGTATTCAGGTTGTTACAGCTGTGGACCATTACAACTTTTCAAATATTTGCTGGCAATGAATGTTTTCTTCTCTCAGCTAAATGTTATCAGTTCGTTCAACAATTCCCCATGTAGCATAGTTTCTAGATACTTCTTTAGGTAGCCTTTGGATACATTCTTTTGAGTGCATTCTGTTTTGTCAATGTCATTGCTTCATTTTTAAAGAAATATTTGAAAAGTAAGCCAAATGTGAACCAGAGTCTCTCCCAGCTGGAGAAGAAGCAAATCCTCCCTAATTGGGATGAACTGAAGGCACTGGCTGTCAAATGGAGCAGCTGACTTGAAAGGCAAGGGTTAGCTTTGGCAGGAGAGAAAGCAGGTGCCTGGGTGGAGGCAGGAGTTCCTGCTGAAGGAGGAAACACACATTTCCACTGGGCGTCTTTGCATGTCATGGTTCCACTTTTGAATCTATACCTCAGCTTTTCTTTTGTACTTCTAATTTTCTGGCCAGAAGGTAACCTGATCATTCGTGCAAAATGGTTAACACAGGCCTTGTAGCAGCCACAAGTCTCAGTGCTGCACTCCTCTAAGACCACAAAGTCACAAAATTTATCACTACCATGAACCTTAGATTATCTGATTCAGGAAAACTTGAAGGTACAAAGGGTGAGATCTTTGCCCAAAATTATATTGCAATTTACTGGTAGAGACAGGATTAGAACCTGAATCTCTTACTTCTCTATCATCCTGTCTCTCTCTTCGGTTAATTTACTCCATTCTTTTACCACAGATTTCAAAACTGAAATGAAGAAATTCATACTGTTAGTTCCAAAGCATCCAAGTCACATAGAGGCAGCATTTGAGTTGCACAATTGCCTTGAAAGTATTGAGAAAAGATAAGTATGAGCACATTACATTGACACAACTTCAGGGGTGAGGCAAACCATCCATTTTATTTAGAGGGTCAACTGCCTATCCTTTGCATATGAGTCTAAACCTTACAGCATATAAATCTTTTCAATTGACAGTTTAAAGATTAGATTTACTACAGATGTACACAAAGCAGTCAATGTATGTAACTCCTGTGACTCTCATTTTAAGTCATTGGACAAAATAATTTCACTGAAGGGATGCCGTGGAAGGAAACCTTCCTCAACCAGAGTACCGAAAAGAAGGCTCACATTGTCAGAATTCTGAGTTTAAATCCCAGTTCCTCACCAACTTAGAACTATACAACTTAGAGCTGCATGAGACTTCTGGAATAACCTAGTTCAATAAAATTTAGACCCAGTGGCCGGGCGCAGTGGCTCACGCCTGTAATCCCAGCACTTAGGAAGGCCCAGGGGGGGTGGATCACGAGATCAAGAGATCGAGACCATCCTGGCCAACATGGTGAAACCCCATCTCTACTAAATATACAAAAAATTAGCCAGGCATGGTGGCAGGCGCCTGTAGTCCCAGTTACTCGGGAGGCTGAGGCAGGAGAATGGCATGAACCCGGGAGGCGGAGCTTGCAGTGAGCCGAGATCGTGCCACTGCACTCCAGCCTGGGCGACAGAGTGAGACTCCGTCGCAAAAAAAAAAAAAAAAAAATTTAGACCCGGAAATTATACAATTTACAAACTTACAGAATTCAAATCTTAATGCTATGCTGTTTTGTAAGCACTGCACTTATTTCCTGTATGACTGTGCCTTCTTTGTTTAATTGGTTCTCAGAACACAGCATCAGATATTTCTACGTAGCATTTAATACAACTTCACCAACATTCAAGGTAAATATCTCCTTTATTAAATATGAGGAGGTGGGGAGTGACATAAATGTTGTCTTAAAAGTCTACTATTAATCATAATGAATGCCTAGCAAAAATAGATTTAAAGGACTTACAGATAAACAAAATGTAGAGAAATATTGATGACTTCTAACTAGCTGGTAGGAAAAGGTGGTCAAGTTTGAAATGCATCCACTATTTTGAGCTGTACTGCAAGAGAGATTCTGACAGTAAGAGAACTCTTAGTAGTAACTGATAGGGAATGACCTTGAAAGTCAAAGAAACCACTTCCAATCAGCTGAATTTCAAGACTCCGGCAGATCAACAGGGCAAAAGCAACCAAAATTACAGCAGATGTCATTGAGAGTGGCAGAACCTCTGGCACTTCAGATAATCCCAAACTGAGCGAGCTCATGCAATTCCAGGTGGCTGAATGCCTCCCATGGACAAATCACTGTGATATCTGCAAGAGATGGAAGAAGAGCACGTAAGCCAACCTCACCCCAAGAGAGCTTCTTCACAGAAAGACACCCTTCAGGCAGAGACACTTCACTCCTCTCTCCTGCTCATTGTCCCCTGACTGGGAAGTTCCCTAGCGTGGCCCTGTGGCCCAGGAAGGATCAGACCAATTGCTTAATTGTTGCACCAGGCATCTCTGTTGGTTTCATTCTGCTTCCTCTTTGGGGAGGTGATCCACAGCTGTTGACTGGGGGGTTCCCTGTGGGGTACAGCCCACTGATTACACAGAGTCTCCCCAAACCACAACCACTAAGGAGGAGGCAGAAGTGGAATTCTAGTCAGGCCAAGGGTTAAAATGAAAAAGAGGAGCACTTTGAATCTCCCTGGTCTAGGTATCCATAGTCTTCCCTACCAATCTAGATCGGTTTCTTCTCTAATTGTTCTTCTATTCCTTTACATTTTGAATTGCCTATATCCAATCACATATTGAGAAACGATCACAAAGCATCTTTTAATCCAGCTTCTTGTTTTAGACAATAAGATGTTATTATCCCTGAGTTACAAAGAAGCTTGCTGACACACAGAAAGATGAAATAATTAGCAAAAACCACATAGTTGTAGAGCTGAGACTAGAGCCAGGTCAAAGACCTCAGACCTTCACTCCCTATAAACCTCTTTACATTATTCCAAATACACTGTCAGAGTCAAGCATATCTTCCAGATCCCAAAGCAAATTTGCTGGTCTTGTATGCACCTTGCCAAAATACGGAAGCAGTTGATCTAAAAGAATAGAAAATTTGCTTTATAACATGGCTGGAAAATTCATTCAAGATCCCAGGATTGGTATTTGCCTGCAGAAAGAGACACTGAGGATTGCCTGGGAAGGACACTGATTACTACAAGTGCTACTGTTTATCAAAGGTGTGTTGGATGAGTTGAAAATATGTCCACACAAAAGCCTGCACATAAATATTTAGGGGCATTTTATTCATTATTGGCAAAACTTGGAAGAAACCAAGGTATCTTTCAATAGGATAAAAAACTGTGTATATCCCTACAATGGAGTATCATTCCGTGATTTTAAAAAATGAGCTATCAAGCCACATAAAAACATGGAGAAACCTTAAATGAATATGGTTAAATGAAAGAAGCTAGTCCAGAAAAGCTGTATACTGTATGAGTCTAACTATATGACATTCTGGAAAAGGCAAAACTATAGAGACAGTAAGAACATTAGTGGATGTCTGGGGTTTAGAGAGAGAGAGAAGGATGACCGGGTGGAGCATAGGGCAGCGAAACTATTCTGTATGATACTATATGTACTGCAATATGTACTATAATGGTGGGTACATGGTATTTATCAAAACCCTTAGAACTTTACAACACAAGGGATAAAAACTCTAATTCAAGCTATGGAGTTTAATTAACATACTGCATCGACATTGGCTCATCAAATATAATCACACTAATACAAGATGTTAATAATAGAGGAAACTGTGTAAAAGGGGAGAGAGATGGTAGAGAGGACATATAGGAACTCTACTTTCTGCTGAACTTTTCTGTAAGTCTTAAACTCCTCTAAGAAATAAAGTCTATTAATTTAAAAAATATGCAGTGATTGCATTCATTGTATGATACATAAAAATCTGGTAACCAATTTTTAAAATTATATTGCAGGCATTCAGTATGTAAGATCCTCCTCTGGGTGCTAGAGGATGTGTAAAAAGAGGAAATTGGTAAGGAAGTGGTTTGCCAGGTAGAGTGGAGAGATCTCCAGACCTCACCCTTATTTCCAATAGTTCACTTGGTAGCCTCAGACAAAAGACTGCCAATTCCTGTATGTCTCAGATTTCTCCCTTGAAAAATGAAGTTTGGGGAGATGAATTATGAAAATCTTTCTACCATAAAAGTCTATAATTTATCATTGTATGCCCTCAAAGGTTGTTTGACAAAACAAGAAGGTTTATGAAATTTTGGGCCTACCCTGATTTCTTTTAGGGCTTTTGTATCTGGGCACACATGTACTTATTTCGAGGGTAAATTAAATCCCCACATTTCTATGTCTTCACAGATCTTCTGCCTTGGGTATTTCTCATAACTTTCAACTGCCCCTTGAGGCCTGAAGTATATAAAAAGGCAGAACTCCAAGTGCGAAGTTCTCACTTAAATCAGTGGATGGCTTACCTGTTCCTAGCCCCTCCATTCCTGGAATGTCATCTCCAAATCTATGGAAAAGAATAAAGGAGAAATTAGCTGAGATTAGAGCAAAAGAATTTTGGAGTCACTCACATGGAGAGTTTCTTGATTCAAGGGGGAAGAAGGAGAGGTTTAAGTGTTTGTATGTGAGAAACTCCTTTAGTTTGCCCTGAACTGGAGCAAAGAAAATGTCACTCAGGCAGGTTTTGGTGTATCCCACTGGAGAGATATTTCTCTCCTGTAGGAACTTAACCTAAAACAATTAAGAGTCAGAAAGAACCATCAGTGGGACAACTTAGTCAAGTTTCACTTTTTATAATAAAAATTGAAATGAGAAAGCAATACAAAAGGCATTAAAAATGATGAATTCATCCATTTGTTTACTTATTCAAAATCATTAACTAAGCATCTATTATATACCAGGCATTTTATTAAGCACAGAGAGTTAAGAAGAAAACAGACAAATTTTCTGAGTGGTCTTAGCCTCGGAGAATAGATACAAATAAATAAATATAAGATATAATGTAAGTTATGATAGCTGAATGTACAAAATGCAAACATGAAAGTAATGATAGTTTGTTAAAGAGAGTCAGGAGTAGCTTCAAAAAGAAATTAGCATATGATCTGTGTGTTGAAAAATCAATAGGATTTTGCCAAGGAGAGGAAGAGGAAAATAAAGAACTGAGGATACAAAATTGGAAGACATAAATATAAGCTATATTTTCTGGAAATGGTCAGTGGTTCAGTGTTACAGATTAACGTAGAGGTTGTCTCAGTAAAGAGGAGTGGTCATCAAAAGCCTGCAAGGCAAAGTCAAAGTTTATTGTAAAAAGCCTCTATTTGCCATGTTAAATTCGGCCACAGACCTGGAAGTTGAGAAGGAAAGAATTCCAGGGATAAAGACACAATTCATCAAAGATGGAGTTACAGAGGAAAAGAGAGGATGGAGTGGAAATTTTTGTAAGTCTGTTTAATATTGTGAGCACCAATTTCCCAAAACAAAAGCAGTCTTGTGGGAAAAAGAAAGTAATAGAAAGTTTTTCTTTTCATTTTGGTCTTACCCTTTCACACCTTTCTTTGGAGGTTTACTCTTGAATTGGCGAGTCTGCCTCTGCTTGAACTTGGGAGGGCCTTTGCGTGGGGTGGTAGGACCCTGGTTTGAAGCTGGAGCAGGCAGAGTAGTGTTGTCACTCATTTTAACTCCCCCCGGGCGGCTGATGTTTCCCTTTCAGCCTCCTTAGACAGTGAAAGATAAAAAAAAGAAGATCTTTCAAGTCATGGGGACCATTGGTTATTAGATCTTTATTTCAGGCTGGAGAAGAAAAGTACTTCAACAAGAAAGCTCAGTATTTTGTGTTGACACAAAAGGGGAGAAGTTATCATCTTTAAAAGGGATCTTTAAGAAAACAGAGTATAAATCAATGCAGGCACTTAATGGAATGGAATGGAAACTTACCTTCTGCTACATTACTTACACAATCTATCAGTTGTGTAAACGGACAATTGATAGATTTTAAAACTCAGAAATCTAGGTAGCTATGCTGTTCCCATGGATCTGCCACTGAAAACAATTTTTAAATAAATAAATTAAATTAAAGCTTCACATTAGGTATAACAAATTAAAATTTAAAAATAAATAAATAAAATAGATTTGCCACAAGCATTCTACGTGAATTTATTATGATGCTGTACTTCTCTGTGACTACCAGTTCTGTCAGTTACGAAGAGAGGAAAATGGACTCAGTGATATCTATAGTCTTTTACAGCATCTGCAATTTCTTTAAGCTTTACATATTCTTCCATCCAGCTGTAAAATAACCTGACTCTAAATGTTTATTGAGCATTTTTTATGGCCTCTGTTTTTTTATAGTCCTTCATGTCCTTATAGTTTAAGATAGGATTATTTTGTTTAATCCTCACATGAACCAGAAACTTCTCTCTTAGTTCTGGGAGATGACAGTGTAGTTGTCTGGACAGGAGGACCTCTGAAGCAGGAATACCAACACCCATGAATATATTCAACACATCTTAATACACACGCACATACAGAAGTTAATGAAGGATAATTAAGTAATACGTTTGTGCTTCAACTCTACGTCGAGACATAAGGTTCTTCAGCCCCCACTTTTCACAAATCTTCAATGCCTTCTTCTATCCACACCACGGACCTATCCAATATGGTGTTCTCAGACTTTAATTTGGCTACAGAAATGCACATTGCCATTCTTCAAATACAAATCAAAGAAAATTATTGAAAAAGATAAATTTAAGCAATTAATGTGTCATTTTGGATGACGTTATTTTCTTTCTTCCTTTCTTTCGTAAGAGTTAACAAAACTTGCTCTTGGAAGGAAGATCCTGAAAAGCCCCAGAGAACTCCAAATTGCTTTTGCCTCTTACCCTGAGACAGTCTCCTCTATAAAAACTAGTGTGTGGGGGCTTTGTCTCCATAAGATTCCTTATTTCACCCATTGCAGATTTATGCTAATATTCTTTTTTCTTTTTTTTTAAGAGAGACAAGTTCTTGCTCCATCAGCCAGGCTGTAGTGCAGTGGTGCAATTGCAATCATAGCTCACTACAGCCTCAAACTCCTGGGCTCAAGTGACCCTCCCGCCTCAGCCTCCCGAAGTGCTAGGTTTACAGGCATGACCCATCACACCAGCCTATGCTAATACTGTTAACTGCAAACCTCCCTGACAGTCTTTGGCTCGTGCTAACAATGACTCTCTTTACTGGCCACACTGCATATTCCTGAAACCTCATATTCTATAACTTCCAGTCCATACTGTTTTCTTATTTCCTTGACAATTGGGTTGCAATTATTATCCTCGCCTCCAAGATTTTTCTCTTATTTAAATTCTGATTATTACTAAATTATTACCCTTGCCAGTACCAGGGATGGTGAGATTGGCCAGGACCCTGGACCACCTGCTCATGCTGTGATTCCTTCCTTTATCCCCTACTGGACTAGCTTCATGAGGCTGTCCTTCCAGTCTCAGAACCTACAACAGTGCATGGTGTACAGTAATCATGCCATATATATTATATTTGTCAAATGAGTTAATAAATTAATTTAGAAATTGAACAGGCCAGGCACGGTGGCTCACGCCTGTAATCCCAGCACTTTGGGAGGCCGAGGCGGGCGGATCACGAGGTCAGGAGATCAAGACCATCCTGGCTAACACGGTGAAACCCCATCTCTACTAAAAATACAAAAGATTAGCCAGGTGTGGTGGCGGGCACCTGTAGTCCCAGCTACTTGGGAGGCTGAGGCAGGAGAATGGTGTGAACCCAGGAGGTGGAGTTTGCAGTGAGCTGAGATTGTGCCACTGCACTCCAGCCTGGGCGACAGGGCAAGACCCCGTCTCCAAAAAAAAAAAACAAAAAAAAAAAACAAAAGAAATTGAACAAATACTGTAAACCTTGGTCATGAGATCCTGACCCTTTGACTTCTCCATCAGAGCACAGAGAAGTCATTAGCTTTCAGGCTTTAGGAAATGCACTGCCAGTTCCTCTGCTCACTAAATTCAGTTCCCGTTCTGTGGGCCCTCTCTACCCCCGGTAGACAGGCAAACCTTGTGTCTGTCCCAAGTGTGGTTGGGACCCTGGGAATAGCTGGTGAGCAGCCAAGATCTGCGCTGTGCTCAGAGTGGACCACCAGTAACTGACACATCCCAGCCCTGCCAGAGTCACAGAGGGCAGCTAGAGAATTGCTCTCAGATCAAGGTTTTTGAACTGCCCAGGATTTTCAAGGTAGAAGAAATCAAAAAGTTTCTTTTCTCTCATCTAAAGAATCTATTAGGGTTAGAATTGCCAGATTAAGCCAAAAAAAAAAAAATTACAAGACACCCAGTTCAATTTGAATTACAAAGAAATAATTTTTTTTAGTAAAGTATATCTCAGCTGTTTCATGGTACATATTTATACTTTAAAAAGTCATTTTTTTTCTGGAATTCAAATTGAACTGGCATCCTTCATTTTTATCTGGCAGCCCTAATAAGATCCAATTGAGTTGGATCCAGAGTTCTATAATGTAAGGGCCTAAAGTGACCCTCATTTGTCAAATTGTCCTTTGATGGTAACACGGTAGAGAGTACACTCTTTAGAATCAAACTGATATAGTTTTAAGTTCCTACTCCACAGAACTGGCTACGTGACTTAGGATAAATTTCATAATCCTCTGTGGGTCTTATTCCATCTATAAAATGAATCAAACAAGACCTTCCTTTTAGAGTTATGGGGAAATTTTAGGAAGACAATATAAGTAGAGTGGTACAAAGTGTTCAAAAAGGGCAAATATATGCTAGACCTTCTGAGAGAAAAGAAAGCCATGCAAACAAATCTGTGGTTATGACACTTGTTCACCTGGACTCTGCACCTCCTTCCTCTGGGCCAACTGCTGAAGGGCCCTTGCCATACACCAGAGGGGCAATTATCATCTGCCCTCGCTGGGTAATTCTCTGCTTCCTTCAAACACCCCGACTGTTAACTTATTTCTGGTCTTAAAATTCTGTCTTAAGAAGCTTTCCTTGAATTCCTTTGACACCCCAACAGCAACCCCGAAGAATTTAAAAATCACACGTGACATCCATATTCCCCAATGATACATCCCCTTTTTTCTTGCAAGTTTCTTTTGCATTTTTACATAATTTTGAAGTTACACCTCTAGGCTTAGAAAGTGTTCATGTCTGAGTATGATGCATTATATGAAAGAAGCCTCCTCAGAAAGAGTTACATAACAGTTGCCAGGTTAATCCCTTGATCCTAATGGTGCTCAGGATTTGCACTAGGTAACCGGAACAGTCGACTAATCCCTATGCAGTTTCTGTCATAGATTTACCCTCCAATTCTCTCTGCAAAACCTTTAGGAAGGGTAGAACACCTCTGACCTTTTCCTGCATTGGAAGCCAGTCCTGTTGTCCATAAACATCACCAAAGGCTAACCTCATGCTGACCACACCTTTCTAGAAATTCTAAGGGCATCTGGAGCTGAGTAACCTTAAATGTATTATCAGACTTGATTTTAGCTGAAAGAAGTTTCATATTTTTTCCTCCAAAAGCATTAGGCAATTTATTCTTTTGTGAGCCAGAACATTTTCCTGTATTTAAAGCAATGTTAGCCCTTCCCCTTTTGAAGATTACAAACTGTTTTTCTGCAGAAATAAGTGGATGCAGCAAAGTAATATTTCAAGGCATACTTTTTTAGGGGACTGGGATTAGGGTCAACTTAACAAAGTTAAAGATTTGTATAAAGCAAAAAATCATCTTCTGTTTCTTTATACAGCAAAGCCCAGCTCTATATAGTGACAGAGGATGATCCTCTGAAAAGCAGTTTTAGGAGGTTCCTGAGACAGCTCTCTGATGCTGCTGTTATCACCTTACACTTCCAGTTCTCTTTTTCTCAGCAAAGCTATAGACAGGTAGACCAGTCCATTGTTGGTGGACAAAGAAAGAGGCAGGAAGGAGCTGGGAAGGGAAGTACTGCTGGGGTTGAGCCCATAAATATCACCCAGGGTCCTGCTGAGGCAGAGAAAATCAATAATTTGAAAAGCAAAGCAAGACCCAAACCAAAGCCATAAAAAAAAAATTACCAAAATTCCAGCCAGCACCCTGCTTCAGAATGGAACAAACACTTGACCTCAAAGGGAGAAGGCTCAGCCACCTGCCCTGCCCTGTGGTCATTCTCATGCTCTCAGCTCCCCTTCTCCTTTTCCTCACACTCACACCATCCTGGGCCAAGTTTGCAGGCACATCCTGGGAGTAAAGAACTGTTTTCTCTGTGGTTATTTAGTGCCACAGATTCCTCCTTCTTCAGAAAACTGTTTACTATGAAGCTGCAAACAGGGAGGTCACTATTGGGCTCCTTCTAAATGAATTCAGTAATCAAGTTTTGCAGTGACCTTGTAATAATCAAGTTTCACTTATTTGCTTGTCCCATGGCATAACAAGAAGGTCTGCATGTATCTCCTTCATGTTCTTTCCCATTTTCATCCCCAGCCACAGCCCAGGCCCACAGGTCCAACATGTTTTCTTCTGCAATTTTTCTTTTGGAACCTGATCAACCCCCCAAAGCCCTTCAATTATCCTGCTCAAATTCACCAGAAGTTCAGAAGTACTCACGGAGCTGAATGTTGTTCCTATCAGCTGCCCAGCTGCCTTCTTTGCAAAAGACAAAAGGATCTTTGCATCCTGACTTATCTCTCTGTAATACCCTCATGCTGCCTAATCTCACCGTCATAAGCTCAGAACAGCAACCCAGGTGCAAAGAAGTTAGGAGAACATGGGTTGATGCTGGGACAGGCTTAGGAGTTTTCCAATAATTAGAGGCCCTTTCAAAACTGACTTGGGTTCATTCCAGTCAATAAATAGGTATTGTATTCACAAAAACACAAAAAGTGTTGATATCCAAGGGTAAATTTCAGTTTGTGATTCAATATCTTCTGTCTTTTTTTTATTCTTACCTTTAGATTTCAATACCCCCATTTCTTCCCTTTCTCTGACAAACACACACCTATGTGCGCAATCACACACACACATATACACAGTGACATAATTCTTATGGGGCTCTAGATAACTGGAGAGAAGAGAGGGAGCCACAGTGCCTCCTGCTATACAGGGACATTGAACATGCGGGCAGTGACATTGGGAAACACACAGTATGTCTCCCTAACTGGTATTGTGCGAATTTCCTCAGAGAGATGGAACCTCAGAGTCAAAACTGATATCTGACACAGAAAGGGCCCAAATGACAGCTAGGAATTGTTAACTGAGGACACTTATTTGAGAATCGATTGCTGGATCTTCCGTACCTAAATGTTTCAGGGTGTAGGGTCTAGGGTACAATCCAATTTACTGAGACTCCTTGACTCAGTCTTCCTATTTTATTGATCCACTAGTATTAATTATTAATAGATTAATACTTTTTGTATTTTAAATAGATCTCAACCCATATGGTAGTTATCAGTAAGCTCTTTTGATAAATTTATCATAGAAAGATTAAGTGACCTATTCAAGACTGCAAATAAAATTAATAGTGGAGCCAGGAACAGGGCCCAAATCTGGAAGTACCTTGCATATTCAATTGTCTTTGTGCTGCACTACATCAAAGCAGACAGAGACCAAGATGTCTGTTTGCTGGTCACTTCCATGCCTTGCCAGTGAATTTCAATGTTCTTTCCCCAGTTGTTACCTATTAGAAAATTACACTCCATAACATTACAGAGAAAGAAGGTCAATTTATCCTTTCTAGACAGGGAGAGGTTCTTAACCTGCAGCCCTAAGCAGATTACATGAGCAACTAGACAGCTTGAGAGTCATTCATATGCTCTCCACTGGTCTTTACCAAAATTCCTCTGAGTTTTGAAAGCAATGATTACCTTGCAAAGCCAGGAAAGTGTTTGGTCTCTGGATGAGTCCCTCTGCTCCCTCCTCTGTATCTCCATTACCATTCACATCTTCCTTTACTATTACATACCAGGCACGTTAATGTTCAGATGCTTATCTGTCAAACTTTTACATATTCTCCATTTTCTTGATGAAAGAATACAAATTTTAAGGACAGTGGAAAGTGCCAAAAGCTGAGTGAATGTTCTAGAATGTTGTTACTCAAAGTGCAGCAGCAGCAACACCATCTGTGCACTTGTTAAAAATGCAGGATTTCAGCCCTGCTCCATACTTACCGAATCAGAATCTGCTTTTTAACAAGGTCCAAGGTGATGTGTTTGCATATTAATGTTTGAAAAGTACTGTTCTAGACCCATATGCAAGCTTGGGTTTACCACTTATCTGCTATATGTCACCTCTCTGAGTCTCAGTTTCCTCATATGTAAAATGAATGATTTAGAGTGTTGGGGTTCTCAATTTTTTTCCATCCCAGTACACTTGAGAAAGATAATCTTGCAATTCTCAGATTCTCAATTTTTGAATATGGGGGTGGTTGTGCCATAAGTCTTCTTCCTCCAAAGGAAATCCAGGAGAGAGAAGAGGGAGAGATTAGGAGTGTGGAGAAAGTCTAGGTGTATAGTTTGAAAAATTCTCCTAAAGCCACTCTAATATGGTTCTCAGGGGTTTAGAATTAGAAAATTCTTAAATTACTCTACAGTCTTAAAAATCTATGTTCCTTCTTGTTTTGGACCAAGTAAAGTAGACACATTTCCTCTCATGCCTCTTGCTAAGTACAGCTAAAAATCCTGGATACTATATATGACAGAAATATGGAATATTTCAAAATATTTGAGAGAAGAAAAACCAAAGACAGGCTTTAGATGCGAGGAACAATATGGCAGGAAGTTTCCTGAATTTTCTTTTTGTATATCCGGATGTTGATGCAGGAAAAGACAGTAACCCAAAAACACCAAGAGGAGTGAAAAAACAAAAAACCTCCCCAAAAGCCTGTTTTTTCTAGACAAGTGACCAAGAGAGTAGCAAACTAGCAAGAACAAAAACATTTAAACAAAAACCGCCCTACTCCAGTCAAATACCATGGAAAAAAAACATGACATGACTCAGCAAAGTCTGAGTGGAGAGCCAAGACTTTCATCTTGATTCAGCTACAACGGGGTGACCTTCTTTCTCCCACCCTAGCTGAGTAGCATCAGAGAAAGCCACATTGGGATCTTGGACTTTCACCTCCAACCAGTCATAACGAGGCCACCTTCTTCTCCCTACCAGAGCGGTATCAAAGAAGCCCAAGTGGGAAATTTCATCTCCATTCAGAAATAACACAGCATGTAAAAAAGCATGAAATAAAGATTTTAGAACTGAAAAATAGAATAACCAACATAAAAAACTTAATGGATAGGCTCAAAAACAGAATGGAGAATAAAGAAGAAAGAATCAGTGAACTTGAAGACAGAAAAATAGAAATTACCCAATCTGAACAAAAGACAGAAAATAAACCCACCCCCCCACAAAAAAAATGAATAGAACCTTACAGATCTGTGAGACTAAAGGACCTAATATTTATGTCATCAGCATCTCAGAAGGAAAGGAGAAAAGAGATGAAGCTTAAAAAGTACTTGAAGAAATAATGGCTAAAAATGTTCCAAATGTAGTGCAGGACGTAATTGTGTAACATCAAGAAGGTGGGAAAACCCAGTGGGATAAACTCAAAGAAATCTACACCAAAATACACCATGGCTAAACTTCAGAAAACTAAAGACAAAGAAAAAAAGTAGAAAGCAGTGAAAGAGAAGCAACACCTTATCTGTAAGAAAAATAACTCAACTGACAGCAGATTTCCCATTAGAAACCAGGGGGACTAGAAGGATATGGCACATTTTTCATGTCCTGAGAAAAAGAACTGTCAACCCTCACTTCTATGTCATGTGAATTTATCCTTCTTCGGAATAAGGGGAAATAATGACATCCTCAAACAAAGGAAGACTAAGAGAATCTATAATCAGAAGACCTACTCTAAAAAGATGGCTAAGGAAACTTTTTGAAACAAAAAATAAATGATAAAAGAAAGAATTTTAGTCTATCTGAAAAGAAAAATGGAAGATAAGAAACTCAACCACCTTCAGCAAGGCTTGGTGGAGAACGAAACATCGTTCAAGGCACTATGAGGTTCTAAGGGTCTGGTCATCATCTTGGATCAAGGATTCACCCACTGTTCCCTGTTTGAAGTGGCTGCTCTTCCTGTCTCTGCTACTCTGACTCCTACTGACTCTCAGGGGATTGGTGTAGGCTGGGCAAGCAACAATCAATACACATCACCTCTGTTGGATGGAGTAGTTTTACCAGATCCCTTCATAGTTCATTGCCTAGTCTAGTGATGGCTGATTTCTGGTCAGTTTGTCTCTCATCTTATCAACCAGGTAATCGGGCTATATGGCTATAAGCAAAATGACCAATCTCAAAGGAATTCCTCCAAAATAACTTTGGCGTATTGAACACTCTAAGCTTTCACAGAAACAAGAAATAAAGCTAATGGGAACCTCGCTATTGATACATTCAATAACATAAATAAATCACAGAAACATTTTGCTAAATGAAAAAATCCACAGTCAAAAGGCAGTGTACTGTTTGACTTCATTTTTGACATTCTGGCAAGGCAAAACTGTAGGATTGGAGAATAGATCACTGGGTGCTTGGGACCGTGATTGAGTGGAGAAGTTGACTCCAAAGAGAAAATCCAAGAAATTTTAGGAGCGGTGATGGAATTATTTGGAATCCTGATCATAGTGGTAGATATACAACTCGATGCATTTGTCAAAACCCATATGTCCATCACAAGGAGTAAGCTCTACTGTATGCAAATTTTATGACTAAATATAATAAAATTATTTTCTTAAATCTGTATTCCATAGCTCTATAACTTCTGGTTCTTGATCCCTTCTGACAGATGGAAAAGTGTTATTAATTATATATTGGAAAGTAGAGTGCAGGTACTAAGTAATTAGAAAGTAATTAAAAATTTAGCTGTCCTTTAGCTGCTTATGCAAGCGCTAATCTCTAATCTTTCTTTAGTGCTTCTTAAAATACCAGTGAGTGGGAAGACACATTAAAGTCACATTTCCTCCACATTTGGAATCTCCTAGACTGAACTTTCCACTCTGACTAATGCATAGTGGACTCCAGAGGGGAACACACTAAACGTGAAAAAGGAATGTACAAGCCTGGCCCCTCTTTCCCTAAATACCCTACGTTTGATTCTCCAGAACAACATTAATCTTGGAAAAAAACTTATGAATTAAAAACACAATATTCTTTTCCAGAAAACAGATAAGAGGAAACACTTCCCAACTCATTTCGTGAGGCCTATTTTATCCTGACACCAAAACCACACAAAGAAATTTAAAAAGGAAATTACAGACCAGTATCTCTCATAAATTTAGATGCAAAAATTCTTAACAAAATATTATCAAATTAAATACAGCAATGTATAAAAAGAATAATACACTACAGTCAAGTGGGATTTATTCCAGCTTGCAAGGCTTATTAAATATTCAAAAATTAATCAACATAATCCATTATATTAACAAGCTAAAAAAGAAAATCATATGATCACATCAATTGATGAAAATATGATTAACAAAATCCAAAACCCATTAATGATAAAAACTCTCAGCAAACTAGGAATAGAACTAGGAATTCTACTAGAATAGGATTCTCATAAAGAAGCTATGAAAACCTACACATCAGTGAAACAGAGTAGAAAACTCAGATATAGACCTACACAAATATGCCCAATTAATTTTTGACCAAAGAGACAAAAGCAATTCAATGGGAGAGGGATGGTCTGTTCAACAAGTGGTGCTGGAAAGCATGGACACTTTGTCTATGGGTATCCATAAACCAAGAGGAGAAGGAGAAAGAGAAGGAGGAGAAGGAAGAGGAGAGAAAGAATCTTAAACCTCACATATTATGCACCCCAAAAACCTCACACCTAGTACGGAAATTAACTCAAATGAATCACAGACTAAAATATAACATGTAAAACTATGAAACTTTAATTTAAAAATATGAGAGAAAATCTCCAGGCCCTTGGACTAAGTGAAAAGTTCTTACACTTGCCAGTGAAAACACAATCCATAACAGTAAAAATGGATAAATTTGACCTCATTAAAATTAAAAATATTTGCTCTGTGAGAAACTCTGATGGGGGAATTGAAAGACAAATTACAAATTGGAAGATGGTATTTGAAAATCCTATACCCAACAAGGGATTTGTACCTCAAAAATGTAAAGAACTCTCAAAACTTGAGATTAAAAAGGCAACCAATTCAATTAGAAAATGAACAAGAAATACGTGTAAACATTTCACTGACGAGGATATGTAGATTACAAGCACACAAAAATATATTCACCATAATCATCCATTAGGGAAATGCAAATTAAAACCACAATGAGAAATCACCACACACCTATGATAATGATTAAAAAAAAACATAGTGTAACACTAAATGATTGCACAGATATAGGAGAAGCTGGATCACTTGTGCATTGTGAGTGGGAGTGTAAAATGGAACAGCCACTGTGGAAAACCATTTGGCCAGTTTTCCTAAAAATAAACATGGATTTACCATGCAACCTAGCAATTGCACTTTTGGGTGTTCATCCAGTGAAGTGAAAACTTGTGTCCACAAGTGTTTATAGCAGCTTTATTCATACTAGCCCCAAACTGGAAACTATCCAAATTTCCTATAATGAGTGAATAGTTACACAAACTGTGGTACTTTTATACCATGAAAATACTGCTCAGCCGTAAAAGGAAATGAAGTTATTGATACCTACAACAACTGGTATGAACCTCAAGGAAATTATGCTAAAGGAAAAAAGCCAATTACAAATGTACGTATGATTCCGTTTACATAATATTCTTTTTAAAATTTTTTATTTTAAGTTCAGGGGTACGTGTGCAGGTTTGTTACATAGGTAGACGGGGGTTTGTTGTACACATTATTTCATCACCCAGGTATAAAGCCTAATATCCATGAGTAATTTTTCCTGATCTTCTCCCTCTTCCCACCCTCCATTCTCCAATAGGCCTCAGTGCGTGTTGTTTCCCTCTGTGCATCCATGTGTTCTCATCACTGAGCTCCCACTTATAAGTGAGAATATACAGTATTTGGTTTTCTGTTTCTGCATTAGTTTGCTAAGGATAAGGGCCTCCAGCTCCATCTATGTCCCTGCAAAGGACATGATCTCCTTTTTTAAGGCTTTTTTATGTTCTTTGTTATGGCTTCATAGTATTCCATGGTGTATATGTACCACATTTTGTTTATCTAGTCTATCATCCATTTATTTAATATTTTTAAAATTAAAAAATTTATAGAGAGGGTGAACAATTTAGTGGTCACCAGGTGTTAGGGATGGGTGTGAGGAGGTGGGTGTGGCTACAGAAGGGTAGAACAAGTAAGCCTCACAGAGATGGCAGAGTTCTGTAACTTCATTGTGGTGGTAGTTAGAAGAAGCTTCACATGCAATAAAATTGCATAGAATTACACACACACACACAGACACACACACACACACACACACACGAGTGCATATGTAACTGGAGAAATAGGAGCAGGCTCTGTGAATTGTATCAATGTCAGTTTCCTGGGTTGATATTATACATATTTATGCAAGATGGTGACATTGGCGGAGAGAGAGTGAACATTTCAATTTTCTGTAAACCTATAAGTATTTCAAAGTGTAAATTTAAATAAATTTGTTATTCAAAAATTCATAAGAAGGATGCATAGCAACTTCAACATAGTGGCAATCAGATAAATATTTCTTCAAAGCTGCAATATAGGTGACTTGACTCAGCAGGCAGAGCTGTTTCCCCTTTTCCTATACTCCCCTCTCAAGCCATTCCTCCTTTTCTTCCTTTGTAGGCATCTCTCACTTCATCTTTTCTAAATACTGAGGTTTCCTAGTATGTGGGCCTTTCTCATTAATTCTGCTGGTATTTATTGACAGTATACTATGTTTTCAGTCAGTGCTCTAGTCTCTGGGATACAGCAGTGAATAAGACAAGGTCCCTGACCTTATAGAGCTCACAGTCTTGTGGAGACGTGGATAACAAACAGAAAAAATAATACATGGGAAATATGTCAAGGGATGTTACATGCTAGAAATAAAGCAAAATGATGAAATAGAGGCACTATTTTAAATATAATGGTTAAAAAAGACCTCTCTGAGAAATTGACATATGAGCAGAGATCTGAATAAAGAAAGAAATGAATCAGGTATGATTATTTAAAGGAAGAACATTTCTGCAAAGAGAATGATCCCTAAAATGGGAACCTGTTTCTCATTAAAAGATTAGCAAGAGGGGCATGATCTGGAATGGAGGAAACAAGGGCTAAGCGTTACCAGATGAGTCTGGAGGATCTAGCAAGTGGCTAGATCATGAGTATGTTAGAATTATAGTGCTACATGACAAATTACCCCAAAATTTAGTAGCCCATAACAATAGATATTTCTTATCTCCCACAGTTTCTATGGGTCAATCAGGAGCGGCATAGCTGGGTGGTTCCTGCTCACATCTTCCATGAGGTTACAGTCATGCTGTCAGCCAGAGCTGTCATCATCTGGAGCTGAAACCTTCATTTCCAGGATGGTCCACTCAGACAGCTTTTGGTCCTCACCACATGGACCACTCCACAGGGGGCTTGAGTGTCCTTATGACATGGTGCCCTGCTTCCCACAGAATGAATGATCTAAGAGAAATCAAGAGAAAAGACACAATGTCTAACAACCTTGGAAGCGACATGCCATCATTTCTGCCATATTCTATTGGCCACACAGAACAATCTTGATACAATGTGATCAGGGTTGAATACCAGAATCACTGGAGGCTGTCTTGGAAGATGGCTACTACAATAAGCCAATTTGCAGATATAGGTGAAAATAGAATTCTATTTTATTTTAAGTGGATGAAAGATCCCTAGAGGTCTGAAAACGAAGGAAAGATGTGATTATGAGTATGCTTTTTAGTCTGTTATGAGAATAAAGGTTAAATCAGACTATTATGGAAATAGAAAACATATAAAGAGAATGCTATGAAAGTCCAGCAGAGGCACAATGATGGTAGGCTAGGGTGCTAAACAAGGAGGAGGTAAGAAGCTGTCAGCAGGTTATTCACCGAAAGTGGAGCTAACAGGATTGCCCCATGCTTGGCCAACTTCTCTTTCTCCATTCCTTCTGGGTGAATCCATCCACTTACATAGTTTAAACCAGTGTTTCTAAAACCTCAAAGTTTACCTGCAGAGCTTTTTAAAACATAGATTTCCAGGTCCAACCTCCGGGAGAGATTCTGATGTAGGAGGTTTGGCCTGAGACTTTGCATTTATTTCTAAGGAGTTCCTGGGTGATGGTAGTCTGCTGGTACACAGGCCACACTTTGGGTGTCCTGGTTTAAATTACTATCCATAGTCTGATGATATGTAAATTCAGGCTTATATATTTCACTATCTTTCAGAAATCATCTCCAACAAACGACACCATTTTTTTTCAAACTCAGGACTAGACACGTCCAAACGTATGTCCTTATTTCTCCTAATACATCTATTTCTTCTTTTGTATTCTCTATCTCACTTGGGGGTACCCCCAAGGACCCAATCATTCTAGCAAAAAAATCCAGAAGTCATTCCTGATTCCACAGTCCTCCTCATCCTCATCCTTCACATCCCACCAATTACCAGGGCATGCCAATTTCACCTAAATATTTCTCAAATCTGACCATTTCTGTCTATCTCATTATGAGTGTTCAAGCCTAAACAGTCTCCTAATAGATTTTATTCACATCAAATCCAACCACATCAGTTTGCCAGAGTAAACTAAGTGAAATGCAAAACAATCATGTCCATCCTTTACTTTCAACAGTTCCCCATCACTGATAGGATCTAGGCCGAGTTCGTTATTAACATGGCATAAGAGGTCCGTGGTGATCTGAACACTGTGCCTGCCCTGCTCTAGGTATATTTCTCATTCACATGTAACTTCCACTTTACATTCCAACAATCTTGAGCTGCTTGCTTATAATACCCTGCATATCCCACATCATTTTGGGAGGCCAGGGCCGTGTTGCTGCTCATGTTTCTCCTCTACCTCGAGTGCCTTCTCTTTCACTCCCAACCCTTCGCTCATCAACTACTCAAAACCTACTCTCCCTCTTAACTGAGCGCAGTGGTCACTTCCTCCAAAAAGCCTTCCTTGATGTCCTTACATGTACTCTCAAAACACACCATGTATTTTTTCTTTTCCTATGCTGACAAAAAAAAAATTAAATTTGTCTGCTTCTGTCTTCCCCATTACATCTTTTAGCTACTTGAGGTCTAGGACTGTGTCTTGTTTATTTCTGTACCTTTCCGTGGCTCCTTGCATATGACCAGGAATTAAGTATATTTTGATAATTGGAGTCCTTTTAGAACTTTCTAAAATTATGAATGCTCTCTCATCCCCCAATAAATACATTAATCTATAATACAAATCTGTAAAATATGTATTGATTTTACAGATTTTTCTGGGAAGGGGTGCTCCCATACCCTCCGATATACACTGGGCTCTGGAGGGAAAAAAAAAGCCAGGTTTGCCTAGTGAGGTGTTCCCTAATAACATGAGAAATGAGTGGTGGAATAGAGACCATGCATTTACCATTTTTCATTTTTAAATATTTCTTGTTACAATTAATGTATTCTGCCTGTGTTATTTTAATTGTCTCCTAGGTACAACATAAGTTCCACAGGGCAGCAGAGATGTCGCCTGCGGTCTATTGCTGCACAAGGGAACTAGAACAGTACTTGAAAGAAAAGAGGTGCTCGATAAATGTTATGGAATGAATAAATGTATCCCCTCTTGAGGGTGCAGAGCTATAGAATGTGTAAGTTACTGCCTTCTGTGTAAATTAGGGTTTGCTTTGTTTTTACAATAAAGTTATGTACATTGTTTCAAGGGCTGTATTCTGTCTATGCTATTTTAAAATTTATAGAATAAAGTGGTATTAGGCTTTTAGTATTTTTGCTCATTTTAATTATATACTATTTTCCTTTTCATATTTTTCTAGGCTAATCTCTTCTCACGTGAAATGACTCCCTTGATTATTCCGATTTCATTGACTCTAAGTAGAAGGCAAACCCTGTGGTATCAATTTACAAAGGGAAATGAAGAAGATGCAGTACATTTAGGTGAAAACAAAATAAACGTCAGTTTCTCCAAATTTGTGTGCTTAGTCAGATCTAAATATATTGATGTAGTGTAAATACTGAATATTGAAATATTAACCTAAATAAGCATTTATTATTGGTAACAGCTACGGGAATATACAGCATGAATGTGACTTGGCTGCTTAAAAACTGTTCCTCAGATGGTTTAAACATGGCCTCCGAGACTTGTTCCCATTTAAATTACTTCATAAACCATTTCCTCAAATATGGTACAAAGTCTATTTTGGCACTTGTTAAGTTGTCACAAATTCTGAGTTGGAAGACTATGAATTAATGAAGTTTTACTTCCTTTTGTAATTTCTTTCCTAGGTTTCATCAAAGACAGTACTTTCGCTTGCTTGTTTGTTTCATTTGAAGAAAAATCAGCCAAAACTATTAAAAACAATATTTGACTGTTTGTAGTGCAATACAAAGCTACGTCTTGAAATTATAACCAACAAAACTCCAAAAATCTGTTTAAGGACACATTTTTAAATTTAGGACCGTAGTATATGCAGTTAACAATCATCATTTCTTAGCACTCTACATTCACTGCCAGCAAACTTTCAACGTATCTGGTTGATAATGAAGCTGGCGGGGACCCAGTGGGAACAGAAGTGAGTGGTACAAAGTAAAGCCGATGTGAATTTATTGCTACTGGTTTCAGGCTCCTTACCTCCATAGGCTTATGCACTGCAATGACCTGATTATCAGAAATACCCTCACAATTATTCATAATACCCATAGCTATAGGCTCCACACTCTTGCGTGTACATTCATGCATCTCCACGTCACACGGGCTGTCATGCTCGCACATGTGCCATTAATTGACAAGAATGCTGCTCAAGTTGGCTGATCAAGAGATAGGCAGTGCAAAGGAACAGGATTTGAGACAGCCCAGGGTTTCCTCTTCAAGTAGGTCTAAAACATTTTTTTTTCTCATTGACTTCCTTCCTGTTCTAACTGCCAGTACTCAGAAGTCAGAGTTGAGAGACAGAGGCACCCCGGACAGAGACGTGAAGCACTGAATGTAAGTTCAAATACCTCGGGCTGGGGAGGCTTCAGGTGGGCACAGAGCAAAGTCGGAAACCTCTAGACGGGGCTACCGCCCTCGACAGTTTATTATTTTTTTAGAGGGGCAGTTCTTCTTTAAAACAAACTTTATGATAAGAAATTGCTAAGGAGGCTGCAGAGAAGGGGAAGTTAGAGGAGGGAAGGGTAGCAGTGACTCAGGGGAGGAGGCTTAAAAAAGGAGGGTACAGGGTGCGCTGCAGCCCAGGAAGTGCAATCCTGAATATTCTCAGAAGGGCTCTGAGAACACGCACCGGGAGTGCCTGGAGGGGTTTCCTGCAAAGTAGGAGCAGGCACCTGGCCAGGCTTGGAAGAAAAAGACTGTAGATCCAAAATGATACGGTCTGTGCTGGTGGATGGTGGGTTGTGCTGGGGTGGAGATATGTGGTTTCCTGTTTTTAAGCAGACAATGTAAAAAGACTGGTTGAAAGAGAAAAAAAAATGGTTCAAAGCTGTCAAATATTAAACTGTCTTCCACTAAATAATTTTCTGGTGATATAAGAGAAATGCATAATGAAATCCTCCCTTAGAGTGCAGGGGCTTTATCCCTCAAAGAGGAAGTATGGTATAGCACATTGTTATGTACTCATGAGTCATACAGTGATAGAATTTCTACCACTGACAAAGGCTGTGTATTAAATTCCTGCAGTCGGATGGGCAGATCTTTGCTGTTGTTGTCAAAAATAATAATAGGGCTGGGCGTGGTGGCTCACGCCTGCAATCCCAGCACTTTGGGAGGCCGAGGCGGGTAGATCACCTGAGGTCAGGAGTTCAAGACCGGCTTGACCAACATGGTGAAACCCCATCTCTACTGAAAATACAAAATTAGCTGGGTGTGGTGGTGCATCCCTGTAATCCCAGTTATTTGGGAGGCTGAGGCAGGAGAATCACTTGAACCCAGGAGGCAGGGGTTGCAGTGAGCCAAGATCACGCCATTGCACTCCAGCATGGGCAACAAGAGCGAAACTCTGGCTCAAAAAATAAAAATATTAATAATGATAATAGCCCTTTAGGTATGAGATAACTAACAGCAAACATGGAAAACACCAAATAACGTATTAAGAGACAGGTTTGAGAAAAATTCAAGGGGGCCCAGCTAGGACAGCTGATCAGTGGGCCTTCAAAATGTCAAGGTCTGAATTTCAGCCACCATTAGGAGAAGTGCTTTAGGTATGACCTGAAATACTTTCTTCCCTTTTAGAGGACTTCCCAGCCAGCATGTTTCATAAACATAATCTGTAATTAAACTCTAGACCTATGGTAACTTGAGGTGTGTGTCTGGCAAGCCCTGGGCAGTTCTTCATTCAGAGTGGGGAAAGGCAGACTGCTCTCACCCGGAGGGCTCATGGTCACCACTTCACATGGAGACCTAGAGCCCCTGGAGTCAGGGTTGGCCTGGCCATCTTCACTGCAGGGATGGTCAGGCACAGGAGATCAAGAGGACCATGGCACCTGTTGGTCCGGAGAGACAGGGGGCAGAGGTCCAGTCCCTAGCAGGCATCGTGAATCTTGCCATTGGCTTTGTGTTTTTTTAATTTGTAAGAATATATTCCCTCCCAAAGCAGATATAGCACAAGCTTAGTAACAAGAGCATCTTACTCTTTTGTGAGATGTGTGAAATTCTAAGAGACAGTTCTTTCTCCATCCATGCTTCACAGATGCAAAACCTGAGGACTAACTATGCTGTCACTGAACAGAAACTGGCAAGCATTTTTCAGGCCTCGACTGGAATTTGGTCCTTCCTTGCTTTGGAGAGCATGAGTTTGTCCCCTAGGGAAGTTAGCTCTGAGCAACATTAAGGTTCTGTTTTCAGTAGACACTCAGCACCACAAAGTCATTCTGAGGGAAAGATACGGGTCTGAGCTGATTTGGGAGAGCACAGTACATGACAAACATCAGCTAGCAGGAAAAGAGAAGCCCTGGGGAGTCGAAATTATGCAGATAGAAAAGGAGAACCAACATTCATTGAGTGCCTTCTATGTGTCAGGCCTGGTGATAAAAACTTTCAAATTTTGTTCCTGAGAAGAATGCAGAAGTGTTCAATAATTTGACTAAAATTACATACTGATACAAAAAGGATCAATAGCCACAATGCCTCTGAATTGCAATTCACAGGGCATGGTGGTGCGTGCCTGTGGTCCTACCTACTCAGGAGGCTCACGTGATCCTCCCGCCTCAACCTCCCGAGTAGCTGGGACTATAGGCGCGCATCACCACGCTGGCTAATTTTACCATTTTTAGTAGAGACGGGGTTTCTCCATGTTGCCAGGGCTGGTCTTGAATTCCTGGGCTCAAGCAATCCGCCTGCCTTGGCCTCCCAAAGTCCTGGGATTAAAGGCGTGAGCCACCATGCATGGCCTATTATTATTTTTTTGAGACAAGTCTCACTCTGTCACCCGAGCTGAAGTGCAGGGGCGTGAACGCAGCTCACTGCAGCCTCGACCTCCTGAGGCTCAGGTGATCTCCCACATTCTTTAGGAAGAATCACATGGAAGAAATTTTCTCCAATTCCATATTTTGAGAGTTCTTATTCCTGGTTTGTGTTATTGCTGCCCGGGATCCTGTATTCAAGGCTACACTGGCATACCCAGAGATGAGTCTCATGTTGCCCCTGAAACGTCAGCAACATTTATCTGTGCAATAAGCACATCCTGAATCATCCTGTGTTGTGTTACTCTCTGGTGTCCACAGCCAAAGAGTGAATTTTACCGCTGGTAAAAATTCACTTGGGCTTTCTTAAAGAGCCTAATAATCTTAGCACAAACGGTCATAAAAAAAATTCTCTCTCAATTCTGTCTAACTTTTCATGCTAATTTAAAACTTTTGTGAATATATTGAGATACTGAAGGCAATGGCTTCCTTAATGCACAGTTTTCTTTGAGAATTATTTAAAATAATATTTGTGAAGGTACTTGGTGGCATGACTTCACACGTTGGGCACTCAGCAAAGCTCACGGGATCTCTTTGAGTTCTCTCTCTTTGTGCATATGAATGTGGGTTAGAAAAACACACTAAAAAATGCACAGGCAAGAAATAATAAATTGTTTCTCTCACAAAGACAAATGGTAAGAAATTACGTTTCTAGTAATTTGTGCCCTTCTCTGGATTGATTACAATATTTATTGTCTCTTACAAAATAATCTTGTCTTTGGTTTTTCTCATCCAGTTTTGAAGTTTTCGTAGTCCTTCATGGGGCTGAGGTGGTAGAAAGCAGCACCGCAAAGTGGGGAGTATGGATTCCTCCATGTCACCAGGGACAGGGGCGGTGGGGAGAGGGTGGAATCCCGAACCAAGAAGGCTTCTGGTGTCCTGAGAGACAAATTTGCAATCCCGTAATACACCAAATTGCCAGGCAAGCAGCACAGCACATTCAAATCCTTGACTAGCTCTGAAATGTCAACAGTGTTTTAGAGATGGCCTGACTCTCCAGACCTGCACTAGACCCACAGCCCGATTTGGGGGAAGTCAGACATATCCTAGTCAGCAGGGAAAGTGGAGGTAGCAGGAGTTACAGAGAATGCTGATGCTCACATAGGAACTTCTCTGATAGAAATCCCCTACTTCTGGTATTTCCACTTTTCTCTCTCTCTTCCCTCTCTCTCTTTCTCCCTTCTCCCTCCTCTCTCTCTCCTCTTTCTCTCTCCCTCTTTCCCCTCTTCCTTCTCTCTCTCTCATCGCTATCTCTTCTACCTAATACATTAATATCCATGGCCTGTGTGTCTAGATGCATAATCCAGCACAATTTTGCAGATCCAGCTTTGGGCCGTGAGTTAAGTCTCTGTGGTATTTTGCTCCAGAGCCAGAGGGAATTCTCTTCATTAGCTGTGCCTGTGTTCACTGACATTTCTCATCATTCGCAGAGTGACCTCTGGCTTCAATGAAGACAGGGAGCAATAAATAAAACCTAAAATTAAATTGTTTACATGAAAGTTTTTAAAAGAAATATAATATAGTCTCATTTTAAGGTTGATTCAGTTTTTAAACAATCCTTTCAATTCCCCAGAACTTCTTATCTCTTTAATACTCCTCAAAGACAAAAATCTATTTTTAAGGAGGAAGGAGTGGGGACATAGCTCCCATCCAGGGGAAAGTATTTGGTGTGGAAACAGTTACCTAGCTTCAGTGAAGCTTTGCAACAAAGCAGACCACACTGGGGCAGGGAAGGAAGAAGAGGAAGGGAACAAATATTCACGGAACATCTATTCTTGACCAGTATAGTCCTATAATTTTTCATGTGTTTTCTCCAATCTTTCAACCCCGTAAAAAAGAATATCCCCATTTTAGTGGTGATAAAACTGAGGCTCAGTGAAATTAGCAACTTGATTGAGTCCTGTCATAATGCAGAGCCTGGTTTTGAATCCCTGGTCCATCTGACTCAATCTATGTTCTATGAGACATGAAAGTCACCTTTCTCTGAATTACCCAGGTAATTTGTTTAATCTAAACTCAGGAGTTCTACCTTTTCTTGTCCTCAGTTCATTTAGAGCTGCATTAATGAAACAGATGATGCTCTATCCTGACATGGGTGTAAATTTTTAAGTGTAATTCACTTTCAAAGTCTTGGAAATTTCACTGAATTTGCAAGCAAAAACATTGATGTGTGCTATGTCATATGCATGCTGTGAGTAACCATCCTAATTTAATTCGACATTTTAATTGAGCCTGAGAAGATTAAGTCCCCATCTCAGCACATCTAATGCTTGCCAGTGCTTTGCTGAGTAGCAAACATGAGGATGTGAGGCCTCCAATGTGAAAGTTAATCTGTATGCGCATCTGTGAAGCAGAAAATACAGAAAACTAGAGTAGCAAGCCTGTGTGAAAAAATGATATGTGCTTTGGGGCCTAATAAATGGGGTCCACATTAACCTGGTTAAACATATAACTGTTCATTCTCCATTTCATTTTTCCTGTGCAAAGGACCAAAGTCAAAAATAAGCAAAACTCAGCTCTGCCCTTTGTAGAATAGGGGATGAGCAGCTGAGGAAGGTGAGGAAAGCCCATCCAGAAGATTCTATGCTGATGGGCTGAGTCCTCCCCAATCTCCCTTTTACTTCCTCTTTTCTTTTCTCATTTCACAAGCTTCTTTAAATTAGGGAGCATTTGAGTCATTAAATTAAGAAGGGGCCTCAGAGATCCTCTCATGCCACGGCTTCTTTTTGCAGAGGATGAAACTGGGGCCCAGTGAGGTTAAGCAACTTGCAGGAGGTAACGCAGGAACCGAGTTGCGCTGAAACATCGTTATCTGACACTTCCCTGCTTTGTTAAAGCTGTCTCTGCAGAGCTTGCAAAGAAGCATTTACCTCTGCTTGTGCACCTCCAGGTAGATTCCCAAGATGACTAACAAACTCTAATTTTATTATAACTTCTTAAAGATGACTGAAGCAATAAAGCATAGTGCCTAAAAGTCAGACAACCTGGGCGCAGACATTAATTCTGCCTACCACGTGGTATGTCTTCTTAGGCAAGTTACTTAACGTGAACTTTAGTTTCCTGGTCTGGAAAAGAGAATGATGATGCCAACAAAGTTACTGTAAGAACTAAATGAGATAATCCTCTAGAAAGCACTTAGCACTACATGTGATAACTATTATAATTTGTATTAATAATATCAATATTATCAATAGGAAAATCAGTTGTCCTTTAGATGATGGGATTGGAAAACAGTCTGTAGAATTTTCATAAAATTCCTATTCTCATTTCAACACACATCCATAAAATAGGAGGATAAAAAGAGAAAATTGTTGTTTGTGGTTAAATATGCACACAGATAATTTGAGAAATCATTGTCAAACTGTATATGCCATTTATGGCTGGGGCTTCGGGAGAAACTGAGGTTACCCAGAAATAACGTTAAAAATGCAGTACAATGCTTAATAATATTGTATTGTACTTGAGTTTTGCTGAAGAGTAGATTTTAGGTGCTCTTGCCACACACAAAAAAAAGTGGGTGAGATGATGGATATGTTAATTTGCTTGACTATAGTAACCTTTTCACTATCTATGTATCCCAGACATATTTTACATCTTAAATATATACAATAAATACTTTTTAAGAAATTGATTCATAGGAGGTATTTATGTATTCCCGATATCAATCTCTTGTTAATACATGCATTGCGAATGTCTCATTTTTAGAATCCAGACCATTACTCTTTTCACTGTCTATAGGGTGATATTAGGAAAGGAATTTTAAATGCTTGTGTAATTGAAATATTTAATATTTTCTTCTATGTCTTAGTTTTTGCACTTGTAAAATGTAATTGTGCCTACCTCACAACATTGCGATGACTGAATGAAATAATGCATGCCAAGCACTTATCCCGTACTAACTGAGTTTTTGGCTCACAAGTGTTCAGTAACAATTTGCTATTACTATTATGGTACCCTTTATTATGCAAAGACCTGTTCAGTGAAAGAAAAATAATTTTATGTCTGGGAGAAAAATAAGTAAAATAAAATAAAATAAAATATGCAGCATCTGTTGGGGATTCACATACATTTTATTTTTTAATTTTTAAATTTCCTTTTAAAGATGAATTTTATTGCATATATTTAAGGTATACAACATAATGTTTAGGGACACACATCGATAGTAAAAATGTTAGTGAAGCAAATCAACATATCCATCATCTCACGTAGTTACCCTTTTTTTGTTTCTGTGCCAAGAGCAGCTAATGTCTACTCACTTAGCATGGGGATTCACATACATTTTAAATAACAAAACACAGACAGATATTCTCTCATATTCACAGGTGAAATAAGGTAACTGAATGGTAACTTAGCTGACCCATGACTGCAGGTCAGGAGAAATATGCGGAGGCCTTAGAAAAGTAATCATCTAAAGATGATGTGCTCTAATCCCTCATCCCCCAAGATGAGGAAACTCAGATCCGCAGTGGTTGCAACATTCAGTTAACAGGGGAAAAGCTAGTTAGTAGGAAAGCCAGAACCCAAACCCAGGCATGCATAACAAGGCCTAGTTCAATGAAGAGAGCATTATCCAAAATCAAACGGAATGACCACGGAATTCTCCTAAGGGTCTACTTCCTGCACCCATGTGCACCTGGGCTTCTCTGCCAGGCTTTGTGGTCATGCGCCCTCAGACACAGGTGTCACCTGATATCTTCTGCTTCAATATATTCAACACTTTGAGCAGGTGGACATGACTCTCAGCTTGAGACTAAGTTGTGTCAATGATCTGGTGGAGCTCCAGGAAAAAGCAAGCTTCTGCCCAGGCACCTGTAATCCCAGCACTTTGGGAGGCCAAGGCGGGTGGATCTCTTGAGCTCAGGTGTTCAAGACCAGCCTGGGCAAAATGGGGAAACCCTATCTCAACCATAACTACAAAAAATTAGCCAGGCAGGTGGCATGTGCCCGTAGTCCCAGCTACTCAGAAGGCTGAGGCAAGACAATTGCTTGAGTCCAGGAGGCAGAGGTTGTAGTGAGCCAAGATAGAGCCACTGTACTCCAGCCTGGGTGACAGAGTAAAACTATGCCTCAAAAAAAGAAGGAAAGAAGAAAGGAAGGAAGGAAGGAAGGAAAGAAGAAAGGAAGGAAGGAAGGAAGGAAAGAAGGGAGAGAGAGAGAGAAAGAAAGAAGGGAGAGAGAGAGACAAAGAAAGAAAGGGAGAAAGAGAGAAAGAGAGAGAAAGAGAAAGAGAGAGAGAGAGAGAGAGAGCAAGCAAAAGCAAAAAAGCAACCTTCCTCTGTAACACTCCACTCTCTGCTTCATGCTTCCATAGTTTTGAGGTTATGTTCCTAATCTGGAGATCTTGAACCCAAATAAGTCTATAAAGGACTTCAGGGGTCCACAAACCCCTGGATCATATGCACAATGTCATGGGTTTATCTGTTTTTTTTTTCCTTGAGATAATTACCATAATGTTTATCAGATTTTTAAAAAAGAGACCTGTAATCTCCAAAAAAAATAAGAAATCAACCAAACCAGGTGGGCCCTTTTGGTATAGTTAGATTGCCCAACTTCCAGCCTCTTCTCTACTCTGAAGAGTAATTTAAACATCAGTATGGCTGAAGTACAGTGTCTTGTAAACAGTGGGTGCTCACCAAATAATCATGACCCTAATTTTACTTTAAAAGGCTTTCTCTGAGAACTGCTCTTCCAGTCCTTTATTTGTTGTATTATTACTCTTTCTAATCAGCTTTCTAGAATGAGCTAGTTTGGGATCACCTGGTCTCATATCTCTTTTTCTTATGCTATAATTAAACCAAATGATTTTAATGTGGCCCTGAATTTCCCCCTTTTGACTGCAACAAAATTTTGTACAGAAATCCCACAGTATCCTCCACTCTTTAATGTCTAGGTAAATTTGTGTCTCTTTTTATGAAACAATTGTTATATCTGTTTGCAATGAATCGAGAAAATGTAGAACATAAGCCTCAGATTTACTGATGAGAAGATCAAGACCTATATGTTAGATAAATGGACATGCCAATGGTCATACTGTTAGAAGGTGGCAAATCTTGTCCTATACCTAATCCCTCTCTCGCTCTCTTTCTCTTTCTCTCTCTTTCTCTTTTCAACATTGAGATTTGAGCCTGCATAGTTGCAATTTCCTGGAGGTTATTGAAATCATCTTGAGCCAGTGACTGGATGTAATGTTACCATCTGATGGCCAGGTTTCATTCAATCAGGCGACTTGTTAGAACCAAGTGATACAGTTCAGAAAGGCCTGACCATGGGGGCTGGGATGTCTTCCTCTATGAACCGTTGTTCCGATGCTCGGTCAGCAGGTTTGTTATGTGGCCCCCATCCTCCGGGGATCACCAGGGTTCTGGGTATGCCCCTGTCTCATCTGATTAGTCTTATCTGGCTTGCTCTTCATTTGCCCCTTAATGAATGTCATTAAATTTCCCACAACCTACAACATCTACACGCTGCCTCCTTCATTTTTTTCCAACCAGTTCATTCACTTTCCCTGAGTGTTGTTTGGAATACGAATTGCATTAGTCACTATGTTTATTCTGCTGTGCTCTAGAGTCTCATCTTTGAGTGGTGCTGTTTCTTCTGCTAAAGCAAGAGTTGCCATAGGAACAGGCCTACATGTTTTCTTCCTGTACAGGAAGTGAACCTGGGCATTGCAATGCTGTTTTCAGAGTTGGTCAAGGCTAGCTCATAATGTTTGGCTGCTTATTTAGATGGAAGAGAATTGATGAGCCAAGGGATATTATTTCTTTGTTTCTCTTTTTTTTTTTTTTTTTGGTTCCATTAAAATTGCTCTCATTTGGCTTTACTTCCAAATTATTTTTCTTCCTCTTGCCAATAATAGTGACATTGAAACTCAAAACTAGAACTGATTTTGGCCAGAGATATCTTCACTCCTGGGAGACTTTATTAAGGTTTGCAGAACCACTCAGGATGTGATGTGACAGACATTTTCTTATAGTTGTGTCACTTAGGAGCAATGAAGGCTTTAACCACAGGCAGGGAAAAGAGTTACCCTCAAGATAGAATTAAGGAAATCAGAAAACAATCTCCTTGCCCAAATATCTCCCCGGCAGCCATCTCATGTGGCTGTCAGCCACAGGGCCTGAAATTCTTCCCAGAGGGACTTCTTCCTCTTGGTTAGTATACTGCCTCTCATCCAGCTGTGTGAACCTGGGCAATTCTCTTAACTCTGGATCTCAATATCCTCAATGATTACATGAACCCCAGTGGTTCATTTCAGCTCTGAAAAGCTGTGACTATACATCCTCTAAAAGGAATAATTTTTGAATCTACTATTCAGTCATTAACCCTTAACAGGTAAATAACTTGCCTAGATTTCTCCTCAATGTTTTAACACAAAACAAGTAAATGTAGATAATAAGAGATGAAGGAAGACTCCAGGGTATGCCCAGGTGGGGCCTTATAAGGTCAATGGAAACCTAGGAAGGGGAGAAGGGGAGAGACTGAAAGGGAAGTGGATCCAGAAAAGGGAAATGGATGGACAAATGCTAAGGGCAAATTTGTACTTACGATTTTGTCTGGAGGAATTTAAACTGTCCTTTGCTATTTTTGTGGCATTTAAAAAGAATAGAATATCTTTAGATATAAAACCTTATATATCAATCAAGGAAATTGTATAAAGTGCCAGAACTATGCAAGTGTTTTAGGGGGAATTCAAGAAAAACAGCAAACCTAGTACCCACCCTTGAGGGGTGATTAGCAGTGTTGGGTGTGAACCATGCAGGCACCTGAGGCAGGTATCATAAAGGTCAACGGTTCGTCATGAGTCATCTTTGAGGCATTGCTGGAGTTCAGGGACAGATTCCATTGATGGGGAGGAGCCAACCATTTCTCTGGCAAGTACTCCACCTCTCTCTTCTCTCTCCTGCCTCTCTCCACCATTATCACTCAGACTGTGCATGCTGCAAGCTTTGACGCTAGCCAGGCTGGCTGGATTTGGAGGACTGTGATAACTCCTACAGCTTTTTGACTGGGCTTTTGCTTCATTTGTTCAGGAGTCTTTGTGCCATGTTGCTTCACTCGTAGTACGTTATTCACATATGAGTGATTTCTTTCTTGTCAGTTTTGTTCAGTGAATAGAAGATACTACAATGGTACAGAGAAATTCAGGCAGGTCAGAGAAATTACTAGAATACATTAGATTATTATTTCATAGAATTTAATGAGATTGAATTAGGAAAACAATCAGGAAAGTGACTGATGATCAGAGAAGTCCATGAGGGTAAGGAGGCTGCTAACAGCAGCCCCACTAACATCTTTTATATTCATGACTTGTTGACTAACGGGCTGTCATTCTGTCTCCCAGAAATAGATCAGAATGACTGAAAAAGCCCCAGAGCCACATGTGGAGGAGGATGACGATGATGAGCTGGACAGCAAGCTCAATTATAAGCCTCCACCACAGAAGTCCCTGAAAGAGCTGCAGGAAATGGACAAAGATGATGAGAGTCTAATTAAGTACAAGAAAACGCTGCTGGGAGATGGTCCTGTGGTGACAGGTATGTGTGTACAGAGAACAGGGTGGGTGGAAGATCGCTGAGAGGGAAGAAGACATTTTGGCTGCTCAGGAGCAGCAGCAAAGGGAAGAGGACCAACTGCTTCCAGGAAAAAGTGAGCGAGGCACAATTTATATATGCTGATTAAAGTTATGAACTGTATAATTAAGTCTTCTTAAGAGATAAGATGCAAGTCAGCAGTGAGATAGGCACACATAACACACAGAGGGGATTTAGAAAGAATTCCAGGCTACCACTTAGAATTGTATTTCTCTCTCTCCATTTTCTCTCTTTCTCAGTCCTTACCTAACCGTTCATCTCTTCCACATACACCGCGGCAGAACAAGACATGGCCCAGAGATATAAATGGACAGTGCCCAATTAGCAGAGTACCTGACCCATAGCCATTCAGGAAATGTTGGATGTCAATAATTAGATGGACCTACAAGTGCCTAAAGCAGAAATAACTTTGCTGTAATTTACAAGGCCATCAAGACCAAGCATAGCAAACCTGCCACATCCATTTCTATTTCTACTCCAGATAGAAAGATCACTTTTATTTTCATACTCTCTGTCTCCCACTTGAAATGCACACACCCACTATACACATGTCTCTTCTTGGTACTTACATTCCCTTTCGATCCTGCAGATCCGAAAGCCCCCAATGTCGTTGTCACCCGGCTCACCCTGGTTTGTGAGAGTGCCCCGGGACCAATCACCATGGACCTTACTGGTATGTAGACACATCTGTACTGTTCAAAGGGGGCCTAAGATATCACAAAGAAAACTTGGTCTCTGTCTCCTGTTCCAACAGAAGAAAACTGGTGAATCAGAGAGATATATATGCTAGGACCAGTTAACAAATCATTGCTCTTAGAGTGCACAGTATTTACCATGTTTCATGAAAAGCCCAATCTTTATCTCTATTTAATTGAAGAGAGTGCAGGCATACACATTTGATATATTTACAGATTTTTGTCTCCACATGATAGTAAGAGAATTGTTATTTATGCAATAAAGACTGCTGATGGAAATATTAAGAAACAAATTGTGTGCTTCTGAAGTTATAAGGTTTATACAGTCTAAACATCAAAGTATTGATCTTCTATCCACTACAAAACTTACTGGAAGGTGAGAAGCAATCCGGAATTATACTAGAAATTCCACTGCTATAGATTGAATTGTTTTAGCTTGAAACTCTGATTCTTGTTAAATAAACAACGTCTCCTACTAAAGGCGTACAAATTAAGATGTTATTTTCTTTCACCTTATTGTAACTAAGGGTCAAGCCTTTCCCTGAGACTTAGGGCTTGAGGAGGAGAGAGACTGGGAAGGGGGTTATTGTGGAGGAAATGGGCATCAGAGGGGATATGAGAGGAGAAGCACGGAGCCAGGAGATTGGGGCCTTCAAAGGCAAGTTTTTAGTGGAAAAAAAAAATAGTTACCAAATGAAAAAATTGGACTCTTGTGAGACAGACAAAGCACAAGTCTAGAACAGTTGGCTTAGTTAGCAGCAGAGTAGTTCCCCTCTCACAGGACACAGCCAGTCTTTACCTTATATGGGCTTTTTTGTCAGAGGGAGGAAATCAGAGGCTGAGAAGGCACACTTCCTGTTCAACTGAAATCATTAGAGCAGGCACACACACACATTCAGCTACCCCGACATGCTGACATCTCTCCAGGAGAGAAACTCACGCTCTCTCACCAGAACTCAGAGTCTTCCTAATATTACCAGGTACAGCTGCCAGTTTGCAAGATAAGGTCTGAATTAGCGCTAAAGAAATCTGTTCTCTTCAGCAGGACCTGGTAGTATTGCAAGGAAAACTTGGTCTCTGTCCCCTTTCCCAGCAGAGGAAAACCAAATTGGGTTTTCTGTCACTAACAAGCTGCTATGCATGAAGAAAAGCATAGAGAGTGATTACCTCCTTAATCAGGGTACAGGAATTTGGGACAGATCCTGGTTTTATGGAACCTGAAGCTTTTATAACTTCAGTGATATTCCTTAAGAAAAATAGTATGAAATTGCAAATGAAAATACAAGAGTAAACACAAAGGTGAACATTTTCTTAAAGTGATAAAATGAATAAAAACAAGTAGAATTTTAAAAGCTAGAAAATGCCACAAACATCACCAAATCTATAAAAACAAATAGCTGACACTCCTAAATACTATTTTTCTTATATGTTTTATTTGAGGGGTAAGGGGCATATTCTTTAATAACCTCTTCATTTGACCAGTAATATAATTCTCAATGAGAGAATAAATGGACCAAAAAAAGATTTATCTTCACAACTCATTATTTGTAATGTCTTGTGTATTTTTAGCATTGTCATCAAACTTGGGGGCAGGGAAACTCTCATGTTTTTCATAACAGAGCTGTAAGATTTCAGGCATTAAGTGTGTGTGTGTGTGTGTGTGTGTGTGTGTGTGTGTGCAAGGACTAAACTCAAATACTCTGTGAATTGAGGGCCCTGTGAACCATGTTGCCCTCGTGGGCCCAACAAATTTTTCCGGGACTTAAAAGTCATTTATTAACTTGTGTATCTGCTTTTGAGGATAAACTCTCTCTAAATCTTCTTCTACAGGAGATCTGGAAGCCCTCAAAAAGGAAACCATTGTGTTAAAGGAAGGTTCTGAATATAGAGTCAAAATTCACTTCAAAGTAAGTATCCTGCCTTGTGTGTTTTTGTAAAGTTTAAATCTTTTCTTTAATCAGTGACTACATTTCTTGCATGATCATGTTGAGGTACTTTTTGTTTGTTTCTCCCCTAGTACCCCCAAGCTGGGTCTGGAATGTCCTCTTCCCAGCCCTGAGGGCTACCTGTTGAGACCCACGTTTGCCTCCTGTCTTTTCCTAGCCAGGACTTCTTAAACTCTTCATTATCTCTTAAGCCAATGGGATCCCTCTGTGAACTCCAAACACATCCTCGAGGCACACACTGCTTTGTGTTGTACCACCTGTGTCATTTCTTCTTCATAGAATATAAGCACCTCAATCTAGGGTGAAATTGTACATCTCTCCTTTCCAATATTTCACACAAAACTTTGTAAATAGCATATAGTTCATGAATATATATTGAAAAGTGGACAAACAAGTGAATCAACCAATAGGAAAAGAAAATGGGACAGGGCCTCAGCTCTAATTGCTCAAGGATTATATAAATCCAGGAAGTGTGATCTTTGCTAAAGAACTGGAAATTACAATTATAGTTGTGGAACAGGTAACCAGGAAAGAGGAAACTAAATAAGAAATAAACTGACATCTAATATATCCCAATGAGCCATATATCCCAATGAGCAGCCAAAATCACAAGAAAAATAACTTTGACTTTGAAAACAAATAAGTTAGAAATGCAGTGTTTGCACTTCGTGGTTTATGTTTGCTTTGGTGGCCTCTCATTCCCACTTAGCCTCAGTCTCCAGGGCCTGGGCTCCACCAAGGAAGACTCCATCTGCTCTCTCTATTTGCACACTGGGAACTTTTTTCCCCAAGGTACAGGATATGATTCAGGGTTTATGGATGACCTCCCTACCCCATACAAATATAACTGAAAATAATTTCATCCTGGAAATATTTGTTGATGCCTACTCTATAATGGACACTGAGCTAGGGTTCACTTACTTGTTTCCTGTCATATTATTTATTATTGGAGCACCTGAAGGTTTGGTAAGGCATTATATCAAAATATGCCTAGAATGGGTTGCACATCAGTTTCATTTTTAATCATTGATGCTATTGCATTAATTTGTCTATTTGGTAAACCAGGTTTCCTCAAATGAAATGTGACAGGTAAATTTTGACGTGACTAAGATGCAAAGGAAAGCTCTGGAACAGGGGCTTCTCCTCTGGATGGGGAGGTGGAGGAGGAATGTGGTATGTGGGTCTGTGTGGACAGGTTTACACATTAGGATGATGCAGGAGGAGGCCACAGAAAGGGGCTTTTGAGTACTCTCTAATTCAGAGGTTTGATGGCTCTCTGGGTAACCTACGTAAAGTTGAACCATCCTGTGGCTTGTCCCAGCATGGTGCTACAATTAGAAGAAATGCCAGATCAAAGTCAAAAATCCTTGAAAAACAACTTAAATCTTCACTGAAGTCTCTTGAAAAATGTCCAAGAAAGTTTGCATTTATAACACAAGTAACACATGTTAAGTCCTCTTTCACAATCTCTGTTAGTTGCACTCAATGTTCTTTTTCTCCTCCCAAACTTCTTAGCACTTTCTAAAAACCTGACCTACGATTGTTATTTTAGGTTCTTCCCAACTTTTTTTCTGCCTCCCAAGGAAATGTGGTATCTCTGACTTCCACAGCTCTCACTTTGATTCATAACACCAAGGCTTCTTCCCCCTGGAGTGGGAGACACAATAGGGATGGGGATGTGGGCAGAAGAAGAGGATTCTATGAATATTCATAGTTTTATTTCACCCACCCCAAATGTATTTATATTAAATGGACCCACTGAAGAGCGCTGGTGAGATGGTAGACTCTTTGTCTTGAAGTCCTTATTGCTACACCAATATAATTCTTCTTCTTAGGTCTTTCTCCCACTAGGTGAAAGGGATAAGCTTCGGGACATCTAGAAAGGTGCATTTATTTTCCCTATTCCTATGAGCTACATTTGAGACTCACAGTATTAGAAAGCCTGGGCTTTATCACAGTCTCTTTGATGATGCTAATTTTTTTTCTGACAGCTTTTCATAGGTTTATACTACAGATTTACCCTGTGACAGTCAAGAATCTAAGCTGGCAGAGTTCACTGCTCTGCCACCTCCCTGCCAACAAAACAAAAGATAGCACTGGTTGATTGGTTGAACTATTGTGTCCAACACAAAAGGACAGCCATAATTATTGTTGAAGAAAAATTATTTGAAGATGCTTTAATTCTTCACATTGGTGAACAGATAACCAAGCTCTTCGGCTAATGATGCAATGTCCACTTTAATTTGTTTGTATAGACATAACGACTGTGTAAAATTAACAGACAACCCAGGTCAGTCCCAGGTGAAATGAATCATGGAAAAACAAAGTTCTTGGGCTGTCCACATTTTCATTCTGCGTTACTGAATTTTCTTTGAAAGGCTTGGGAAAATAGCAAGATCTCAGACAACGTCTGAAAATGACAGACATCCAACATACTTGCCAGATACAAGTGAATTTCACCCATTATTTCAGTTATATTGCAGTCACAGCCATCTTCTAGACATGAATTTTCACTTTCCTCCTTGTTGTTTGTTTTTTATATGGTAAGTGGATCATCTCTGAGGTTGTGGTTTTTAGATATTTACATAATGTGCTCTATTGGTATCTTCATAACTTTTCCTAAGACAAGGATGGTCTCTTGGTCAGCAGTATTGGAGAGGGAAAGCTCAAGGCCATTCTTGGGACCATTGAGAAAGGAGAAATACAATGAAGAATATTGGGCCAATGTTTTAATGAACCACTCCTCTCTCCCAAAACGGTAAAAATCAAAATGTTCGATAATTAAACCAGTTTGGCAATGTTGCATTTTATGATTTCCCCTCTCTAATCTTTGCCTCACAGCCATGCTAAATAATTATAGAAACACCAATTCTGAACTAAATCTTTAGTTTTTTCATTGTCAGAGACGATTCAGCTAGGCAGGATCAGCATGAAAGATGAGAAAAAATGAAAGACCCTCTTAATCTGAACATCTTGGTTCCTTCCCACCTGCAGGTGAACAGGGATATTGTGTCAGGCCTGAAATACGTTCAGCACACCTACAGGACTGGGGTGAAAGGTAAGGGAACCCACATTTCCACACTGTCCCAAACTGCTTCTCATTGATACTTTAACTTCTGGTTATTAGCAACTTTTAGCTATAGACTCAGATGAGAATACAATAAAAGCTGTGGATGCCGGCTCTAGGAAAAGGCACAAATACACCTCTGATATAGACATTGACAAGGCCAATGCTCAGGGGACCTCGTTTAGACTGCATCAGCTGCTAACGTTCAGCAGTCAGCTTTTTGGATTCAATATTATCACTCGTAAAGGAGAAGAGTAACCAAGATAAGTTTAAAGGAAATAAAGTATATAAAAATACTCTACAAAGTAAACAACCAAAAAAGGCAGTTCACAGGTACAAAACCCAAGTGTCAGAGAAAACCAAGAAAGAAAAAACTTGCCCAGTGCCATGTGTATCTGGGGTGGGAGTAGGTGGGGGTGGCATTGGAGGGAAGGGGGAGGCAATGCTCAATTTCCTAACAAAGAAATAGAAAAAAAAATATTTTCTAGGATTGAAAAAGCCTGTCTAATTAAAATAACACAACAACATTACTTAATCTGCAATTCTTCTTGTCATGCCTTGGGACCCTGCCTTCAATTTTCTTTCATTAATATAGGCAGGGAGAAATGAGAGGCGGGAAGGTGATGGAGGCACTTTACAGTTCCTTTCTACCTAAGGGTCTGTCCCCTCCAGAGGCAAGAAACAACAAAGCATGTCTCAGTTTCCACCAAATTAATAAGCAAGATAGGGGAGAAATTGTCTGATAAATCTGGATGACATAGAGGACCAGTCAATTTCTCAAATCCCAGAGAAGACCATTGACCTGAAAGATATTGATTGGCCTTTCCGATACCTAGTCTCATGAAAAAAAAGTTTAATTTCCTATTTTCCTTTGGGCATAAAGCCCGTATCACCTCACTTAGACAAAAGGACAGTGACATGTCTGCAACTGTTTTTTCAAACTTATTAGCAACACTTAGCCAACTATATGCCACCTATCTGCCTATGTATACTTTTCAATGCCCAACTATTCTTAATATATATTCCAGTTAACCACCTATAAATAAACTTGATTGGCTATTTTCACCATTTGTCCTAGTTCTTCACTTTTTTTTTTACCAACTTACTGCTGTTGTTGTTCCATCCAGTTATTCTATCCATGAATTCTCATCACCATCTGTTACTTTATCTCCCCCAACTGATATGTTCATAGAATGACAGTTTGTAGATAGAAGATCCTTAAAGTCCATCATATACACAAAGAAATGGAGGCTCAAAAATGTTATATGACTTAGGCCATTGCAGGACTGAGATCAGAACTGAGGTCTCAATTTGTCTGAGTTTTTTAAAATGGTGTAATCTGCTATATCTCCATAAAAAAAACAACAACAACAACAAAAAAAAAAAAAACAGGCTTAATCCCCATTGATTTAGGCCACTGGTTCCCCAACTTTACCTCAGAATCAACTTTGTAGTTTTTTAAAAACACTGATCCCTGGGACCCACAGAAGGTTACTGAACCATAGCCTTTGGAAGTAGGACAAAGGAAACTATATTATTAAAAGGCACTCCAACTTAAAAAATGTTTTAAAGAATAATTTTTTTAAAAAGATGCCTCAGGGCCAGGTGCGGTGGCTCACACCTGTAATCCCAGTACTTTGGGAGGCCGAGGCGGGTGGATCACCTGAGGTTGGTAGTTCGAGACCAGCCTGACCAACATGGAGAAACCCCGTCTCTACTAAAAATACAAAATTAGCCAAGCATGGTGGCGCATGCCTGTAATCCCAGCTGCTCGGGAGGTTGAGGCAGGAGAATCACTGGAACCTGGGAGGTGGAGGTTGTGGTGAGCCGAGATTGTGCTTCCGCACTCCAGCCTGGACAACAAGAGCAAAACTCCATCTTAAAAAAAAAAAAAGATGCCTCAGGTAAATCTAATGTTTATTTAGGCTTGGAAACCATTGCTCTTGACTTTAATCACTGTAGGCTGTAGTCCAGATTCTCCAGTTTGCAGTGTATGTTTTTCCTCTATCAGGCTCTTACCCTAATGAACTCTTCTTTCTTCTTAGTGGATAAAGCAACATTTATGGTTGGCAGCTATGGACCTCGGCCTGAGGAGTATGAGTTCCTCACTCCAGTTGAGGAGGCTCCCAAGGGCATGCTGGCGCGAGGCACGTACCACAACAAGTCCTTCTTCACCGACGATGACAAGCAAGACCACCTCAGCTGGGAGTGGAACCTGTCGATTAAGAAGGAGTGGACAGAATGAATGCATCCACCCCTTTCCCCACCCTTGCCACCTGGAAGAATTCTCTCAGGCGTGTTCAGCACCCTGTCCCTCCTCCCTGTCCACAGCTGGGTCCCTCTTCAACACTGCCACATTTCCTTATTGATGCATCTTTTCCCACCCTGTCACTCAACGTGGTCCCTAGAACAAGAGGCTTAAAACCGGGCTTTCACCCAACCTGCTCCCTCTGATCCTCCATCAGGGCCAGATCTTCCACGTCTCCATCTCAGTACACAATCATTTAATATTTCCCTGTCTTACCCCTATTCAAGCAACTAGAGGCCAGAAAATGGGCAAATTATCACTAACAGGTCTTTGACTCAGGTTCCAGTAGTTCATTCTAATGCCTAGATTCTTTTGTGGTTGTTGCTGGCCCAATGAGTCCCTAGTCACATCCCCTGCCAGAGGGAGTTCTTCTTTTGTGAGAGACACTGTAAACGACACAAGAGAACAAGAATAAAACAATAACTGTGTGTGTTCTGGCTGAGACCTTCATTTCCCTGCTTTCTTGCTTTGAACAAATATGATAACTGGATGGTTCACATTCATGAGTTCCCTCAGAGGGGATGGGGATGAGGAAAACACACTGGAGGAGATATTTACATCTTTGGGAACAAATTGGTCCCCTATTACACTATAATAGGCAATGCACATTCAGAATACAGCCAGTGGGAAATCTACATTTTACTTATTTAGTTAGCTATTTTTAATTTCGACTTTTATATTAGGTATAGAGGGTACATGTGCAGGTTCGTTACATGGGTATATTGCATCCAGGTAGTGAGCCTAGTACTAAATAGATAGTTTTTCAAAAAATGCCCCACTCCCTCCCTTACCCCTCAGGTAGTCCACAGTGTCTACTGTTTCTATGTTCATGTCTATGTGTGTTCAGTGTTTAGCTCCCACTTATAACTGAGAACATATGGAAGTTGGTTTTCTGTTTCTGCATTGCTTTGCTTAGGATTATGGCCTCCAGCTTCATCCATATTGCTGCAAAGGACATGATTTTACTTTTTTATTATGACCATATAGTATATCATGGTATATATGCACCACATATTTTATCCAATCCACCATTAATGGGCAACTACATTAATTCCGTGTCTTTGCTATTGTGAATGGCACAACAATGAACATACATGTGCATGTCTGTTTGGTACAACAATCTACTTTCCTTTGGATATATACATAGTAATGGGGTTGCTGAATCAAATGGTAGCTCTGTTTCAAGTTTTTTGAGAAATCTTCAAACTGGTCACTCTCCATACGTTCGTAAAAATATTATGCCTTGGAATGCTAACGTTACTCCTAAAAATTGGAGTACTCTCCTTGGCCTTACTGTAGAGATAAAAGGTATAGATGTCCTCATTACTTAGAGTTGCTTTCCACAGTGGCTGAACTACGTAACTGCTTAAGCTACATCCCCATGAATAATGTATAAGCATTCCCTTTTCTCTGCAGTCTCACAGTGTCTGTTGTTTTTTGATTTTTTAATAATGGCCATTCTGACTAGTGTGAGATTGTATCTCATTTTGGCTTTGATTTGCATTTCTCTGATAATTAGTAACGTTGAGCATTTTTTGTAGGCTTATTGGCCTCTTGTGTGTCTTCTTTTCAGAAGTATCTGTTTATGCTCTTTGCCCATTTTCTATTGGGGTTATTTGTTTTTTGCTTCTTGATTTGTTTAAGTTTCTTATGGATTCTGAATATTAGACCTTTGTTGGATGCATAGTTTGCATATGCTTTCTCCCATTTTGTAGATTGTCTATCAATAGTTCCTTTTGCTCTGAAGAACCTCTTTAATTAGGTCCCACTTGTCAATTTTTGTTTTTGTTGCAATTGCTTTTGAGGACTTAGCCAAAAATTACTTGTCAAGATTAATGTCAAAAAGAGTATTTCCTAGGTTTTCTTCTAGGACTTTTATGGTTTGAGGTCTTAAATCTTTAATTCATCTTGAGTTAACTTTTTATATGGTGAAAGATGAGGGTGCAGTTTCATTCTTCTGCATATGGCTAGCCAGCTATCACAGCACCATTTATTGAGTAGGGAATCCTTTCCCCATTGATTGGTTTTGTTAACTTTGTCGAAGATCAGATGGTTGTAGGTATATGACTTTATTTCTGGGTTCTCTATTCTGTTCCATTGGTCTATGTGTTTGCTTTTGTACCAGTACCATGCTATTTTGGTTACTGTAGCCTTGTAGTATAGTTTGAAGTTGGGTAATGTGACGCCTCTGTTTTTGTTCTTTTTGATTAGGATTGCTTTAGCTAGTCAGACTCTTTTTTGGTTCCATATAAATTTTAGAATAGTTTCTTTTCTAATTCTGTGAAGAATGACGTTGGTAGTTAGATAGGAATAGCACTGAATCTGTTAATTTCTTTGGGCAGTATGGCCATTTTGAAGATACTGATTCTTCCTACCCATGAGCATGGAGTGTTTTTTCATTTGTGTCACCTCTGATTTCTTTCAAAAGTGTTTTGTATTTCTCCTTGTAGAGATATTTTACCTCCTTGGTTATCTGTATTCCTAGGCATTTCATTTTATTTGTAGCTATTGTAAATGAAATTGTGTTCTTGATTTTACTCTCAGCCTGGACATTATTGCTGTATAGAAATGCCACTAATTTTTGTACACTTATTTTTTTCCTGATACCTTACTGAAATCATTCATCAGTTCCAGTAGCCTTTTGGCAGAGTCTTCAGAGCTTTCTAGGCATACAATCATATTGTCAACAAGGAGAAATAGTTTGACTTTTTCTTTTCCTGTTTAGATGCCTTTTATGTCTTCCTCTTGCCTAATTGCCCTGGCTAGGGCTTCCTAATTTCTTTTGTAATATTTTCACATGAAAATTCTCCTAAGCTTAAAACTACATATCCCAATGCCTGTGGAAATCTCATCTTGGACTTCCTCAGACACTTGTGAGCAAAATCAAACTTCATCTCATTCTTCTGCTTAAGACTTTTCAGTGGTTCCCATCACCTACAGAATAAAATTGATGCTCCCGCGCTTAGTGTATCATATAAAGCCTGCTGTGAGCTGGTCCCAACATGCCTTTCTGTCCACATGTATCACTTCCTTCCTTTTCATCATTCTCAATTACTAGTAATTCTGTCACACATTATATTTGCATATCTGTGCTTTGGTTCTTTTTTTTTTTTTTTTTTTTTTTTGAGACGGAGTCTCGCTCTGTCGCCCAGGCTGGAGTGCAGTGGTGCTATTTCGGCTCACTGCAAGCTCTGCCTCCCGGGTTCAGGCCATCCTCCTGCCTCAGCCTCCCGAGTAGCTGGGACTACAGGCGCCCGCCACCACACCTGGCTAATTTTTTGTATTTTTAGTAGAGATGGGGTTTCACCATGTTAGCCAGGATGGTCTCAATCTCCTGACCTCGTGATCCACCTGCCTCAGCCTCCCAAAGTTCTGGGATTACAGGTATGAGCCACCACGCCCGGCCTGTGCTTTAGTTCTTTACATGAAACTCCCTTTCTACCTTGTGTTGCCTGGCAAAATCTTACTTACCCAGAACTCTGCTCCGGCATCCTCCGCAGGAAGAACACTTTCATTGAACCCTAGCATTGTCCCTAATACCCTTAATATGTATTGTCATAGCACCCTATGAATTTTTCTATATCACTTTCCATCTTATATTTAAATAATCTTTTTACTTGCCCATCTCTCCCACTGATAATCTAAGCTGGCAGAGGCTGGATCAGATCATAATTATCTTTCTATTCTTAGCGCTAGGATCAATGCCTGGCATAGCATATTTACATTTTTTATTTAAATAAACTGACCTGACTTTCTTCTGGTTGGATATGTTCTGAGTCCCTATTACTAACCTTGGTCTTTTATCTCAGAAGTTGAAGGCTCCCCTGGAGCCAGCTGCAAAGTTCCCAAAGCCCTAACAACCCCACAGCCAATCAGCTACAGAGTAGGCTGCCCTGAGTCGGCCTCCCCAACACAAAGTCCAGGGTTGGAGCAGGAGCAGGAGAGGGACAATGGAAGCTGCCCCGTCCAGGTTCATGTTCCTCTTATTTCTCCTCACGTGTGAGCTGGCTGCAGAAGTTGCTGCAGAAGTTGAGAAATCCTCAGGTAAAAGAAAAATGTAGTTGGGTGGCTATAGTGTGAAAGTGTTATTAGGAGAAGGAAAGGGAGCATGGTGGTTCTCTGGGTACTTTTCCTCCACACCTAGAAAGCTTTCCAGGAAATCCTGGATAAGTGCATTTTGCCTGGTAGAGAGTAGGGAAGTCTGGCAGTATCCTTCAGAGACAGACCATCAGTAGGGTCACCTTCCATATGTTAGTAAAAATATTATGCCTTGGAATGCCAACAGTACTCCTATAAATTGTGCTCTTCTTGCCCTTAGTATAGAGATAAAAGGTATAGATGCCCTCATTATTTAGAGCTGCTTCTTCTTGCCTCAGTACCCTGACATCTTCTGCTTCTCTCTCTAGATGGTCCTGGTGCTGCCCAGGAACCCACGTGGCTCACAGATGTCCCAGCTGCCATGGAATTCATTGCTGCCACTGAGGTGGCTGTCATAGGCTTCTTCCAGGTTAGTTCCCTACTTGCAATTCCCCCAAGAGCCAGAAATGTTCTACCTTAAGGGAACCACAGCAGCCACCTGCTGCTGGCAGATGGCACTGCATTAGAAGTGGGGGTAAAGGGAGACAGCCACCCAGTTTGATTTCATCTTGTCCATTGGGACCTCTTATTTTCAAGACATTCCCAGTCTCTAAATTATATCTTTCTCATACTTACTTCAAGAGTTCTGAGCCTGTGGGCTGCATCTCCTCATCTATGGATGCTTTGAAGCTCAAGTCAGTATCTGCAGAAAGAATGCCTTCATGGAACCCCACCATTGTCCTAAACACATTTGGTCTATACTCTCATAGCACCCTATGAATAGGCAGGGGCCAGAGTGAACCCAATTTATATCATCCAGCAACACTGTTTACAGGATGCCAAACATCCTGGACATTAGTCAGTGCACAGCCTTTTAAAGCCTTTCCCCCAAATATGGTAGACTCTCCTTCTTTCTCTTTGCCTTGTCTGAAATGTTGGAAAATGATGGCATTTTGTATATTCAAGGTGTTAACCTCCATCTTCCAGATTAGCTTCTTGACTAAGAAAGGCAGCCATAAATGAGACTGCCTCATTCCAGCATTTTCATCTTTCTCTGGTGGTAGCATCTGGAAATCCTCACAGCTGATCAAGCCCCTACTCTCTCATAGCAGACCTTCTTGTCTGTTTCCATTTCTCAGTTACAACTCCTGATTACCCTGTCAGTTCTGCGTACACAGTTGGAAATCACTGCAATGAGATGCAAGTCAGGGAGAAAGACAGGGACAACATTTTTCAGGAATGAGAAATCTGAGCTGTAGACAAAAACACCGTCAGAAAGATGGGGAAGGGGCAAGAGCATGGAATTGGAGGAGTGTGCAATAACTTAAACAGCCGCCAGATGCCATCATTTTATCCTCCAGCAATTCCATCTGAAGGAGCAGAATAAGAGAGGAGGCCTCAATTAATTATTGTTCATGGCCTCTAGAAGAGTAGATACCAGCTCCCTCTGCTTGACCCCAGATGCAAGACGGGTATGTTAGTTTCTTCTCATGCTGCCAATAAAGACATACCCAAAACTGGATAATTTATAAAGGAAAGAGTTTTAATTGAATCACAGTTCAGCATAGCTTGGAAGGCCTGAGGAAATTTACAATCATGGCAGAAGGAACCTCTTCACAGGATGGCAGGAGAGAGAATGAGCACAAGCAGGGGAATGCCAGACGCTTAAAAAACCATCAGATCTTGTGACTCATGCACTATCACGAGAACAGCATGGGGGAAACTGCCCCCATGATCCCATTACTGCCACCTGGTCCCACCCTTGACATGTGGGGATTATGGGGATTACATTTAAAGATGAGATTTTAGGTAAGGACACAGCCAAACCATATCAACTGGCCATCTTCTTTTCTCCTTGCACATCTCCTCCTTCAGCCTGGGGACTTGCAGGGTAGAACATGTTTGTTCCTGTTAATTTCCTGGAGCTGCTATGGATAAAGGTCCCGTGAGAGCAGGGAAAATGATGCCAGCGTCTATGGAAGGCCTGGAATCACTGTTCGCAAGTGGCTTCTCTGCTGCCTCCTGCAGGCCTGGGCTGCAGAGTTGAATGCGTGAACAGCATCTTCATGTGCAAAGCTCAGGTTTATCTACAGTGGCAAGAGAGGGACTGTCCTTCCATAACCTGCATAAACTTTTGTTAAAACTTCTAAGCTTTCATTTTAATTGTTTTATTTTTCTTCTTTTTTTCTTTTTTGGCCCTTTTGATGGCGTCTATTTCATATTTTTGCATTTTTTCCTTTCATCCACAAATGTAACCAAAGCCAAAACTCAAGAGGAAGAGCCGGTGGGAGGAAAAGCCAGTTTATTTGAAGATCCAGTAAACCAAGAAGACAGCGGACTAGCATCCTAAAGTACATCTTGGCCGGGCACAGTGACTCACACCTGTAATTCTAGCACTTTGGGAGCCTGAGGGAGGTGGATTGCCTGAGCTCAGGAGTTCAAGGCTGGCCTGGGCAACATGGCAAAACCACATCTCTACTAAAAATACAGAAAAAATTAGCCAAGTATGGTGGTGAACACCTGTAGTCCCAGCTACTCAGGAGGCTGTGGCACAAGTATCCGTGAGGCAGAGGTTGCAGTGACCCAAAATTTTGCCACTGCACTCTAGCCTGGGTGACAGAGCAAGACTCTGTGTCAAAATAAATAAACAAAGTACATCTTAAGCCACTACCAATTTTAGGTTCTTTGTATGTTAAGGGCAGGGTGAAGAGGAGGGAGTTGGGATCAAGTGATAACCGGCAACCACAGGCATCTGGGCCCCAGCAAGTGTCTCAGGAAGTTGGGAACTTCTTTGTCCTTGGTCAGGTCACAAGGCACCTATAAATCTGTAGCACTACATAGTTAGTTGTTTACATACTTTTCCTTTAATCCCAGAGTTAGTTTTAAAAACTATATAACTCCTATTTTTGCCTATTATCTCAGTGCTCTAAAATTATTCTAACCTACATGCAGGAATGAGTAAATAAATGCCCTTTAAACAAAAATAGAGTTGGTTATGTTAGTTTGTTTGCTATTTCACCGTTAAACAAATTGTTCCCAGAAGAGTTGCTTCTCATGTGTATCTACAACAGTGCAGCCAAACTAGGCAGGCCTTTATGATTTTGAGGCCTCTCTCAGCCCCTAGTAAACTTCAAGCTCTATGACAAGGCCTGACAGGAGTCTCAGGCTCAGCTACAATTTCGTGGTTACCTATTAACTTACAGAGCCTGGAAAATTCAAGAATGTCACTGCCAGTTAAACCTGAATTGTTAGGGGTAAATCATGTGTTACTGGGCAGTAAATCAAATCTATGATTTCTGGTAAACATCATATCATATTTCTTTTGCCTATCGTTTGTCTCTGCCCTTCGAAATAACCACTGTGGTATTATTTTTTCTCTTGTTTTTAGGATTTAGAAATACCAGCAGTGCCCATACTCCATAGCATGGTGCAAAAATTCCCAGGCGTGTCATTTGGGATCAGCACTGATTCTGAGGTTCTGACACACTACAACATCACTGGGAACACCATCTGCCTCTTTCGCCTGGTAAGTTGGGTGGGTAGCTTGAGCTTTCTCCCAGATTTTCACTGGGTTGTGGACTCATAAACTTGTGAGACTGGAAAGGACTCTATGTCTTTTACACTAATGATGGTACCAAATTCAGGGACATTGTTGACAAGGATGATGACTCAATTCAAGCTTCCCAAACAGGTACTGTAATGAAATGGAAAGAGGACAGGACTGAAAGCCAGGGAATGGAATTTGTGGTACTGCTTTGTCGCTCAACAGCCACATGACTTTGGGCAGTCACTTAACATTTTTTATCTCCAATTCTTTCCTTTATAAAATAAAAGAGTTAGACTGTATTATCTCTAAGGTCACTTTGAGCTCCAAAATTTTTATATTAAATATTTTGAGGAGTTCATTTATGTTCTTCAAACATTTATTAAATACTTCCTGTATGCCCTATGCAAGATACCGATAATAAAAACATATTAAATATATTCTCCAGTCTCATAGATCTTTAAGTATGGTAGGTATTGTATATATAATATGCAAGTATCTATAATAAAAAGAGAATCACTATGGGTAAAGTTTTATCACAGTTCAAAGGATAGAAACAGTGTGGGAATTCTGAAAAAAAAGAAAAGAAAAAGACAACAGAATTGAAACTTGAAGGATAGATAAGTTTAGACAAGCTAAAGAATTCATGGCCAACGGGAAAAAACTCAGGAAACAATAAACAGGCCAATCTCACTGGATCCCAGGGTACACATTGGGGAAAATGAATATAAGAGAAAGAAACTTGATTAAAATCGTATTGTGGGGAAAAAGTAGAATACCACTTTAATGAGTTTGTCCTGAATTTGGCTGTTACTGGAAAGCCCCTAAAGCCTTTACATCAGGGGAGTAACATGAACAGAAATGTGTTTTATTAGATTATTTTGACAGCAAGGTGGAGGATGGATTTTTAGGTTAAAAGGCAAGAGAAGAGGGAGCTTTTGTTAGGCTGACAAAATAGACCATGTGAGAAGTATTAAGAGTCTGTAGTAGAGAGGTAGCAACAGAAATTAAAGAAGAGGAAGATCCTGTGATCATTAGATATCACAGTTATGGAAAGCAGGCAAAGCTTAAAGCCAGGGTGTCTAAGAATAGTGAGGTCATGTGCAGAAATAGGGGTTTCTGATGCTTTCATTGGTCATTGAGTTCTACTTGTTGGTGGAATATCAAGAGTCCACTGAAAAAGAGTAAATTGATGGAAAAGAAAAAGTTTTCAGTATTTCGGGACTGAATGTCGTGCCCCTTCTAGTTTCCATCCTTTCTTTCCCTTTCTTTTCTCATTGAAACTTCTTTAAGTGTATTTTGTACTGTCTTTCTCTAAACTAGACACTACTATCTAGTTTATGCCCCCATCACACCATTAAAACTACATTTATCCAGGTCTGCATGGCTTCCATATTGCCAAACTCAATGAACCCTTTTTAGGTCTTATTTTACTCAACATTTCTGTCATGTATGATGTTAGTGATGACTTCTTTCTTTTTAATGTTCTCTCTTTCCTTGAATTCTAGGAAACTACTTCTCCTGATCCTCCTGCTGCTTTTATAATCTCTTTGAGACCTTCTCTTCCTGTATCTACAATGCTGCCTGACCCAACACTTTTTACAGTCTGGGTCATGGAACCCATGCTATGTGAAGGCAAAGACTGTTCTGTTCAGTGTATCCACAGAGCCTAGAACAGTGCCTGCTGTGCAGTAGGTGCTCACTAAGTATTTGTTTAGAATGAATATATGAAGAATCAATGAATGAATGAATGAATGAATGAATATGTTCTTCTTAAGAAGTACAATTCTTTTGCATATTCCACTATTATGTGCTTGCGGAACATTTAGAATATTTTATCCCTAGTCTGGACTTCTCTCATGATTCAAATGTTTGCTGGGTATATACCCTCATAAGCACTATACTCTTAAAATGTTCAAAACTGAATTTATTGTCTGCACCTGCTAATCATATTCCTCCATCTAAGATACTATTTTATTAAGTGGCTATGCTCATTTGGTCTTACATTTTTGCCAGTTGTATCTTCTATCTTGAATCTATATTCTCCTCCACTCCTTCTACCTCATTCTGTATTTAGGCTCTTAGCCTAAGCATAAGCAATTTCATTAGCTTCTGAACAGATCTCCTTTTACTACTTTATATACAGTTTCTAAAATGGTATCACAATGATGTATTTAAGATAGAAATTTGGCCATAGCACTCTTCTCTTTAAAACTCTTCAACATTTCTCATTTCTTAAAAATCAAAAATGAGATATTTAATGTTACAAATAGGCTTTGCTGGCCTGCCCCACTGCCTGCTTCTCTAGTCCTTTTTCCATCCAGCTTCCACCCTGGGCTTTATCCTCTCAGTAGCCAACTATACACATAATGATCATCCAATTCCATGATTTTGCCTAGACTATTCCTTCTGTCTAGAATGCCACCACCCGCCAAGGGTCCCCTTTCACCTAGCCTCACCCAGATGACTCCTTCTCATACTCCAGTGAATCAGTTCAGGAATGTTACCCTTCAGGAAATATCTCTGGAATCTCCAAATGGGCCTAAGCATTCCTCTATATGTAACTCCTTATCTCTATTTTCATATACCATTTTATAATTCATATCATATATTTACGTATCTGTCTCCTCTATTACCCTCTTAGGCCATGACCTATTCAAGGCTGGAAACGATGACTTATTCATCTTTGTATTCAAAGGGCTATAATACACCTCTGGCACCTTAAAGGCACTCGGAGGGTGCTTGGGGAACTAAACTCACCTCCAAAAGCATGTCTGAAGTTGTGTGAGCTCCCTTCAGCAACCCCTTTCCCACCTGCACAGTGGTTGCTGGTTTGCATTCTCACCAGTGTGAAATAAGATTAAATCAAATTCTTCTGTGAAAAGCTTTGATGAGGAATATATGGAAGGTTAGGCAAATGCCTTTCGTGTTGCCATTGAACCACTGGTAGAAATCCTTCAATACAAAAATTCTAATAAGCTACACTCCACACCTACTTCTTTCTCAGTTTTTCGTTTGTCGGTCTTATAAGGCCTGATTTAAAAGGCTTAGTACCACCAAGATACGCACATGGGGAAGAAAAACAAGTGCCGTTGCTTCCAACATCTCTACAGGTTTAACATCCTCTAACAGGAGCACTGGCGTTGCTTACAATTTATTCCTCATAAAGCTTCACTGATGACTTCTCAGTTTTTCAGTCTTCTTTAACATCTGTTTTTTGTTTACCGCTAGTGACGGACCTAGTCTAAATGAACTCTTGGGACCTCTGTGGGCAAGATTATTTATGTGCCATACCAGAAAACAAACAAAATGGTTCCTGCCCTACTTCACTGGCAGAGCTGGAAGAAGCTCAACTTTTGTCATGCCAGCTTTCAGATAAATATTTTTTTCACAGTTTACACTTTCAAAACTTTAGTACATATTTTAATAGGACCATTATTCAAGAGTTTGGAGCACTTTTTTTTTTTTTTTTTTGAAAAGGGAACATCAACCAAGACTATCCTATTTTACACTGGGAAACGTGAACCTATTGAAAATTTTCTGGATCCAGTTTGTTCGGTTTGCTTGTTTGTTTTCAGAGCCTAATCTATGATAGGCACTATTACAATATTTGACCATTTAATTCACACAAGAATCTGATGAAGTAATTTTTATTATTCCTGCATTTTTAATAAAGAAATTTCCATGAGAGAATGGTTTAGTTGCCCAAAATCTCACAACTGTGAAGTAACAGATGTCTGATTCGTACCCAGCATTGCTGTCTACAAATCATACCCTTTTTACTATATTATAGTGGCTTTCTTAAGCACTTGACCCTGAAGATAAACTTTGTTTTTACACTGAATTCTATCTAATGTCCCTCATTCTAAAGCCTACTTTTTTTCTTTCAACTATTTTCTCTTAATTTATTCCTCTAGCCTCCTAGCATTCCTTAATCAAACTGCAGAATTATTTATCAAGATTTAATCTAGACATTATATATTGTCTAAATTTACAAAATTTTCCATTTTAAGAACATATTTAGAAATAAGCTGAAATAATGATTAACTGAAAAAATAACAATAAATGGATATTACTCATGCTTGAAATGTTGGAGCAATAAAAGGCCAGCCAGTGCTGTATTTATGCAACATAATATTCTCCAAAAATAGTGCAGGCCAACTATATAAATGTAATCAGGAAGAATTTAGGTAAAATTCATGAAACCATAAGTTGCATATAACAGTCTTGCTGTGTGAGGGCACAGCCTGTCTTTTGTGAGTGTAACAGCATATAAACTCTCAAATTTTTCAACAGGACTCTTATTGTTGCCCTAGCAGAGATGTAACTCCCAGGTTAAATAAACTATGAGCCTGTCCTAAAATGGAATTTGAAATATTATTTGAATGTTTACCCTGCTTTGGATTTTTTCAGTCACTACTATTTAAAGAAACATAATTAACCTAACTTTGACCTAATGGGATAGTAATGAAAACACAGTGCAGTCATCCTTTATTCCTTTTACAGTTATTTATTGGGTAACTATTATAAGAAATTTACCTCACCAGACAAAGAGAATCAGAAGAAACTCGTGCATGAGAATAAACTGATAAGAAATGCAAGAAGATATGTCAGATTATAAAACATTTTTTATTTTATTCTATTTTATTTTATTTCATTTTACTTTAAGTTCCAGGATACATGTGCATAACATGAAGGTTTGTTATATCGTGTACGTGTGCCATGGTGGTTTGCTGCACCTATCTACCCGTCACCTAGGTTTTAAGCCCCGCATGCATTAGCTATTTGTCCTGATGCTCTCCCTCCCCCAGCCCCCTATCCCCCTACAGGCCCTGGTGTGTGATGTTCCCCTACCTGTGTCCATGATGAAACTTTTTTTTAAAGTATATATTTATTAAATATATGATAAGCTGAACAGCTTTAAAAAAACAAACCGAGGACGTGAGGACCTTTGTTTAACAAATGATTTCTCAGTGCCACCAAAGACATTTAATACTATAACTGTGGCATAAACTAAGACAATTTTAATACATTTTATAAAAATCTGGGTTGTTAGAAAATTCCATGGGAATTCAAATGAATATAGCTGAAATACTAATGAACAGAAAATGAGTGATTGGTATGATGTAGTGTCTACAACAACAAAAAAAATCTACTTCAGATACTCTTGAGGAAACTCAAAATTATGTTTTAAGGTAGCAATATTTCCAGTTTACTATTTCTGTTTTTCTTCTGCTGCCTCTTTTCTCTGAAATAAAAATATGATATTTTAAGTAAAATTCTTTCCATAAAACTGAAAAAAGACATTTTAAAAGGTTTTTCCAACTCTTGGTTCCTGGGTTGGATTTTCTTTCCAGTGCATTATGCAAATAATTCCCTTTACAGAGGGAGATTTCCTGTTCAAATGTTGCTTCCAGAAACCCTAAACATGAATGTTCCAGAGTTTATTAGTTTAAGAAATAATGAAAGATCGGGCATGTTTTCTTAAAAGAAGTACAACAAACTGGAGAGACTGCAGGAGAGTGGCTTTTATTAAAGCTCTTTTGCTTCTTAGAGAATGTTATCACCACTTAACATCCTCTGCCTCCAATTTAGTGCATTCTTTAAGTCCAGAAACACCCAGAGTAACTGGCTTTTCTTGTTCTCCCTGTTCTGGGAAGTATGAAGGACTGCCCGGAAAAGAGTACAGGGAGGGGGGGATTCTTGATCCATGCACAGCGATGTGAGCTGAGGTGCAGGCACCAGACCTAGGAATTCCTAGAAAAATAGTCAGGAAGCATTTAGACACATCAAATGTTAAACGAGTCCTGATTATGATGATAATGATGATGATTTTGGTGGTTGCAATAGCAAAGCCTTAAGTATGAAGGAGACTTGCCAGCTGGAAATACAGGTCGGTAGCAGCATTAAGTATCTAGAGGAGCTGCAAATATTATTTTTTTGTGTGCTCATTTTATTTCTTTACTCATTCGTCTTGATATGGGCAAGGGAAGGGGAAGGAGGTGGTAGGAGGGTGGGCAAGGATCTACCTAAGACCTTTTCTCTTGCTTTCATGTTTTGTTTTGTTTTTTCCCAAGCTTTCTACTCAAAACTTTGTGAATTTTTAAACAATTAAATATACACAAGGAGTTCATTTTTACCCTGTGGTTTTGATTTGTTTCAAAATTCTTTTTTAGAAATACAAACTTTTCTGTACCTCAACATTTATTTATTTCATAAATTTAAATTGTATAAAGCAGTCCCAAAATAAAGAGTGCTTAAATTGTCATCTGAATGAATGGCTGCAATTTTATGCCTCAGTGCATATAGCAGGCACTCGGCAAATAATTATGAAACAAATGGATTGGAAGAGAATGACTAGATCTATCCAGAATTAAAATTAACCATAAGGGGTGCATTGTGCATCTCCAGAGTTCTTATTGCTTTTAGTTACCCCAATGGGAGACCCTCTTGAAGAAAAGAGGTGAAATAGGAATCATCACCGGGATGACAATAAAGAGCAATCTTAGATTCTTGCTGTTTAGTGACTTTAATTTCCCTTTGCCTGAATTCCCTCCTACCTTAACTAACATGAGATTTGCTTCTGATCTTACTGGGTAGACTAGGAGAAAGTACCTTGGGGAAAAAAGGGTGGTTCTGATCCAAGGCAAGATCTGATTGGGCAGGACCTATACAGATAGCACATGGAGGGGAAAGGGTTAAGGAGATGTCCAAGAGCAGATGGCCTAAGGATCTCAAAAGTGATGCAAACTATTGTAGGAAATGGACAAAATTGTTCAGGAGCTGATACTAATAATTTTATCTATAGGCGTGGATCTATCTATGGATGGTGGAGGCACTATCTTTGTGTCTTTATGGGTATGAGTAGATTGGGGTGAGGAAATAGAAAACTGAGAACAATGATTGGAAGAATGAAGTCCTATCTTTCAATATATCTGAGTGTGGTGGAAAGCTTGTTCTGAAATACAAATCTGGGATAATGGATCATGTAGCTAGACAATCCTTTCCACCAAAGACTATTTTTAAAAGTTAAAATGTGTGTGCATGAATGTGTGTGTAAGTGTGTGTGTGTGTGTGTGTGTGTGTGTGTGTGCCTGAAGGCATTAGAGAGCCAGTAAAAGAGGGAAAATATCTAGGTCAAGATCTGGAAGAAGATGAAAACCAAAAAAGATGAACCCTGCATTGAGGACTGCTTTTTGTCTAGACGGCTTTGGTCAGTTCTAGAAGCAGCCAAGAAGCTAAGAAATAAATTTGCATTTTGAGATCCTCAGGAGTTGAAAATTAAATGTTGGAGTCCAGGCCTCACAAGGGGAAATAGGAGGTGAATCTAGTACAACACCTTTCACATCCCCTTTGAATCCTACAGAGCTGTACCTAAAAACAGGAATGAATCATAGTAGATAAGCCCTCTCAAGGGCTGCAGCACAGATGCAAATCATTTCAGCCCCTGAAATTGAATTAGAGTGATTTTAGATATATATATATATATACACACACACACACATGCACACACGCACACACACACAAATATACACACATACGCCTACACATATGCAAATATATATACATGTGGAATATGCATAATCCACTCTTAGCCATGCCATAGTACATCTAAAACTTAACAAAAGATAAAATGTTAAAAGAAGTCAGAGAAAAGAGAGACTATCATCAAAATACTCTCAAAGGGACAACCATAAGGTTCACAGCTGACTTCTCAATAGCAACAGTGGAATGCAGAATACAAAGCATTATATCTTTCAAATACTGAAAGAAAATCACTGCCAACGTTAGAATTCTACCCCCAGCAAAAACAGCCTTCAAAAATAAAAGGTGAATAAATATATATTAAACAGCCAAACGGGGAGAATTTGTCACTGAACACCTCCATCTCATACTAAGGAAAATAGTAAAAGGTCTTCTCTAAGCAGAGGAAAGAAAACCCACACAGAAGCTAAAAAATACAGGAATAAATAAAGAGAAGCTAAAATGCAAATATGTGCATAAATGTCAGTGTATATTGAAGATATAACAAAAATAATAATATCCTGTGAGATCTGGAACTAATCATGTGTAAGTCTTGAATTAGAGCCAGAAAATTGAATTTAAAAGAGGTAAACTGTATTTGAATATTCTAATGTTTGCATTGTCCAAGAAGAAGCTGAAATTGCCAATTAATATTAGGTTCTGAGAAGTGAAAAAAAATGCATGTTGTATAATGTATTCTGGCAATCCCTGAGAGAATAATTAAAGCCTATGTAACTTCTAAGCCAATAAAGGGAAAGAAGAAAATAATATAAAATACTCAGTCAATTCAAAAGTAGGACAGAAATAAAGAAAAATAGCATTTGGAATACATAGAACCAATGGAAAATGCATAATTAAATACACCAGTAATTTCATTTCGTGGAAATAATCCAATTAAAAGACAAAGATTATCAGGCTGGATTGAAAATTGCAACTATGTGCCTTCTACAAGTGACAAAAGTAAAACACAGGATGGAGCTATACCATGCAAACACTTCCAAAAGAAAGCTGATATGAATATATTAATACCAAACAAAGTAGACTTTTAGGCAACAAGGATTCCTAGAGAGAAAGAATAACAGTTCATAATGACAGTTTCAATTTGCCAGACAGATTTAATAATTCTAAATTTGCATTTATCAAATACATGTACTGATACTATATAAGCAGAAACTGACAAAATTGAATAAAAAGATGGCTAAAGCCACAACATAATAGAAAAATTTAACACCTTTTTTTTTTTTGGAGACAGAGTCTTGCTCTGTTGCCCAGGCTGGAGTGCAGTGGTGCAATCTTTGCTCACTGCAGCCTCTGCCTCCCAGGTTCAAGCGATTCTCCTGCCTCAGCCTCCTGAGTACCTGGGACAACAGGTGCATGCCACCATGCCCGGCTAATTTTTTGTATTTTCAGTAGAGATGGGCTTTCATCATGTTGGCCAGGATGGTCTCGATCTCCTGACCTTGTGGTCTACCCACCTCAGCCTCCCAAAGTGCTGGGATTACAGACGTGAGCCACTGCGCCAGGCCCCAACACTCTTTTAAATAAAATAAGCTGGTTTTAAAAAAAGAAAGATATAGAAAATTTCAACTATAAAATTCACCAAGTGACCTGATAAACATTTATAGAATACTGTATTCAAAAGCTGTAAAATATACTTAATTTTAAAGACACAAATAATACAAATAAAATATAAAAATAAAGCTAGAAATCAATAAGAATATAACCAGAAAATCTTACATTTTAAAATTAAGAAATACACTTCTAAATAACTAATAGTTTAGAGAAGAATTAAGAACAAAAAATTAGGAAACATTTTGAACTGAATGATAAAAATTCTACATATCAAATTTATGAGTGCATTTAGAGCCTTCTAAGGAGGAAATGTATAGATTTCTATGTATTTTTTGCTACTTACAAATTTAAAATTGGCCAGATAATAGGATTTTATATCTTGGAAACATAAAAACATGGAATGACCCTTAATTTATGATATAACTGAACCCCATCACTTACCCAAAGTTAGCCTTTGGGTCAGGGGGTTTCCTCACTATAGTTCCTTCCATGGTTTCCAGAAAGATGTTAGTGAAAAGGGGTCCTGATCCAGACCTCAAGAGAGGGTTATTGGATCTTGCGAAAGAAAGAATTCAGGGTGAGTCCACAGAGTAAAGTGAAAGCAAGTTTATTAAGAAAGTAAAGGAATGAAAGAATGGCTACACCACAGGCAGAACAGCCCCAAGGGCTGCTGGTTGTCCATTTTTTTGGTTATTTCTTGATTATATGCACTAAGCGGTGGATTATCCATGCCTCACCTTTTCAGACCATATAGGGTAACTTCCTGACATTGCCATGGCAGTTGTAAACTGTCATGGGGCTGGTGGGAAGGTAACAGGGACGACGACCAGAGGTCATGCTCCTCACCATCTTGATTTTGGTGGGTTTTGGCCAGCTTCTTCACTGCAACCTGTTTTATCAGCAAGGTCTTTATGACCTGTATCTTGTGCCAACCTGCTATTTCATCCTGTGACTTAGACTGCCTTAACCATCTTGGAATGCAGCCCAGTAGGTCTCAGCTCATTTTTCCTATCCCCTATTCAAGATGGAGTTGCTCTGGCTCAAACATCTCTGACAGCGATAGGCTCATTCTGGGGAGAAAAGGAGCACATAGGTCAAGTCAGGGGTTGCTTTCTACATTTTTTTAATTAAAAACTGGAAAACCACAATAAGATATCACCTCACCCCAATTAGAATGGCTATCATCAAAAAGACAAAAAATAACAAACGCTGGTGTGGATGTGGAGAAAGTATTTTTATACACTGTTAATGGGTATGTAAATTAGTATAGCCATTATGGAAAACAGTATGAACATTCCTCAAAAATTTAAAAATAGAACTACCATATGAACCAGCACTTTCACTATTGGATATACATCCAAAGGAAATGAAATCAATAGTATGTCGAGGAGATATCTGCACTCCCATGTTCATTGCAGCACTATTCACAATAACCAAGAAATGGAATCAACTTACGTGTCCATGAGCAGATGAATGGAGAAAGAAATTGCAGTACATATATACAATGGACACTATTCAGCCATAAAAAAGAGTGAAGTTCTGTCATGTGTAGGAGCACAGATAGACCCAGAGGACATTATGTTAAGTGAAATAAGCCTTGTACAGAAAGACAAATACCACATGATCTCATTCATACAAGCAATCTAAAAAATGGATCTATAGAAGTAGAGAGCACAATACTGGTTATGGAAAGCTGGGGAGCGGAGGGGGAAGTGGTGATGGAAGAGGGAAGAGGGAAGTGGGGACAGGGAGAAATTGGTTAATAAGTTCAAAGTTACAGTTAGATGAAAGGAATAAGTTTAGGTATTCTATTGCACAGTAGGGTGAGTATAGTCAACAATATTGTATTGTAATTTAATAATAGCTACAAGAAAGGATTTTTTAATGTTCTCATCACAAAGAATATTTGAAGCAACGGATATGCTAAATACTATGATTTGATTATTTACACAATGTATACATGTATTGAAACATCACACTATACCCCATAAATATGTACAAAACTGAATAGTAGGTTAAAAGTAAAATATAATAAAATAGGAAAAAGACTTCAAACACTAAGAAAAGTTTTCACCAATCAATTTGTCAATAACAATAATAGCAGTAAAACTAATGGCATGGCAGTATTATTTGCAATATAGTTGGTTCTGTTTTTCTGTTTCTCTGTTCACCAGAAAAAGAGAACCAACAGGAGATAGGTAATATAGATAGATAGATAGATAGATAGATAGATAGATAGATAGATAGATTGATTATAGATAGATAGATATTATATAGTAAAAATTACATTTTTACATTGTATTATTTTTATAACACAAATTATATATATAGTGGTAAATATTATATATATGAATATACATATTAAGAGATTTTTTTAATAAGATAATGGCTCATACAAATATGAAGGCTGAAAAGTCTCACCATCTACTGCCTGTGAGCTGGAGACCTAGATGAGCCAGCGTTTTAGTTTGAAGGCCTGAGGGCCGAAGCACCAATGGTGTAGATTCCAGTCTGAGTCTGAAGGCCTGAGAACCAGAAACACCCAGGACAGTAGAAGACCAATGCCCCAATTAATGCAAGCAATCAGAAAGAAGGAGACTTTAATATTCACTTTAGAGAAGAGTAATACAAAAATCAAGGATCTTAGCATTTTTTTTTTTTTTTTTTTGAGACAGAGTTCCACTCTGCCACCCAGGCCGGAGTGCAATGGCACGTTCTCGGCTCACTGCAACCTCCCCTCCACCTTCTGGGTTCAAGTGATTCTCCTGCCTTAGCCTCCAGAGTAGCTGGCATTACAGGCGTGCACCACCAGCTAATTTTTGTACTTTTAGTAGAGACAGGGTTTCACCATGTTGGCCGGCTAGTCTTGAACTCCTGACCTCAGGTGATCCGCTGGCCTCGGCCTCTCAAAGTGCTGGGATTACAGGCGTGAGCCACCGCACCTGGCCTACCTTAGCGTCCATTTTAAGAAGTAAGAAAAATGAGTTCCAAGTGGATTTTAGATCTATTGTGAAAGACAATGTTTCTAGGAGAAAATATAGGAGAATATCTTCATGACCTTGGTGTAGTCAAAGATTTCTTAAAACAAAACAAAAAAGTACACATTAGCGATAAAGATGATAACTTTAACTATGTTTAAATTACCTTCTTTCATGTGCAGTCACCATTAAAGGAGAAGCCCTAGTAAGAAAATATATATATTATAGAACCAACAAAGGACTCATATCCAGAATGTATAAAAACACGTTCAAATCAGAGAAAAAGATAGACAAAAGAAAAATAGGCAAGCAACATGAATAAACACTTCATAAAGAGGATAATTATCTTTAATTGTCCTCATATCCTTAAATTATTATTAAGTGGTTAATGAGAGAAATGCAATTAAAACCACTGAGACATAACCATATCCACCAAAATCAGTAAAATTAGAAAAACTGACAATAGCAAGTGTTGACAAGGATGTGGAGCAATGGGACCTGTCATACACAGTACTGGTATGTGTAAATTATCCACTTTGGAAGATAGCTTGGCATTTTCTACTAGTTAACTATATACATATCCTATAATCAAAAATCCCAATCTGAGGTATATGCTCAGTGGATACAGAGGCATATATGTACTAAAAGTCAAGAAGTGTTCATTATGGCATTGTCTTAATGACTAGAAACAACCAATGTTCATCAGTAGTAAAATGAATAAATAAATTGTGTTTATTCAGACAATTGAATATTATACAGCAAGGAAGATGAACAAACTACAGCTACATGCAATAACATAAATGACTTATAATCAAAATGTTAAGCCAAAGAAGTTTGTTTACATGTATTTAATGTGAAAAATGAGGTAAAACTAAACTATAGCATTAAAAGAAGCATCTTTAAGTTATAAAGGTATAAAGGAAAGGATGAAAATGGTCAACATAAAAGTCAGCATACCTTTGGCAAAAAAAAAAGGATGAATTATAAACTAGAAGGAAGCACCAGGACTTCAGGGGTTCTAGCAATATTCTATTTCTTGACTTGGGTGGTGGTTCTACAATAGTTTTCTCTGTGATAATTTGCTGAGCTTTACAGCAAATGTTTATACTGTGTTATATTTTTCTCTACATGTGTTTTATTTCACAGTAAAAGGGTACATAAATATAATACAAATCTGACCTTGCCAATGACCCCCCTTGCCCTCAGATAGAATTTAATCTACATGCCTTGGCTTCAGAACACTTCCAAATTTGCTCTTCCTTATCCCTCTAAGCTGATCTCTCTGCAACCCTCACATCACATCTGGTAGGGTCACAGTGAACTAACAGCAGCTTCCAGAACGCAACCTCTCACATCTCACAGTATTTTCATATGCTGTTCTCTATTTAAAGCTCCTTCCTCATCCTCATTTATCTGATCAAGTCTTAGCCACTTTTCAGGAGTAACTTCTTCCTTGAAGCTTTTCTGCTCTTCCATAGGTGACATGCGGGCCTGTGATTCTCCTGTGATGACACCTGCCACATCATGTGGGAAATTTCTCTTCACTTTTTTGGAGTCTACAGGACAGTTTGTCCCCCTAGGGCAGAGAAACTCTCTTACTTATCTTTTGGTCTTCAGAGCTTTAATCAGTGCCTGTCACATGGGGGTCTAAAGACGTTTATCAATACATGAAAAAAAGATGGAATAGTGACTTCATTCTTTTTTGTGTTATCCAGGTAGACAATGAACAACTGAATTTAGAGGACGAAGACATTGAAAGCATTGATGCCACCAAATTGAGCCGTTTCATTGAGATCAACAGCCTCCACATGGTGACAGAGTACAACCCTGTGGTAAACAATACTTCCTGTTCTTAGTCCCTTCAGACCCTGAGTCGGGGAAGGTACTGGTCTTCATAACAGAGGTCTCTTCCTCCCAGAGTTCCAATTCTTCGACCAATACAATACTGTATTGTTTATGTTACTATCCTTCCTACACCTTTTTAAGATTTAACTTGTTCCTGTTAGACAAAAAAACAGAGAAAAGTTAAATGAACTATCACACTGCTAGTAAGAAAGAGAACCAGAATGCACAGTTAAGGTGACTAACTCAAGGCCAGGTGCAGTGGCTCACAAATGTAATCCCAGCACTGTGGGAGGCCAAAGCATGAGGATCACTCGTGTCCAGGAGTTTGAGACCAGCCTGGGCAACATAGCGAGACCTTGTCTCTACCAAAAACTTTTAAAATTAGCCAGGTATGATGGTGTGTGCCTAAAATAAAATAAGAATAAATGAAAGACAAACAAAAAAATTTTAAATGAAGCTCACTGATCACATATTTGGATGTCACAGGAATGTAAAGTTTCTGTAATTGTTTCTAAACAACCATTTCATTTTCTGTATGTACCTCCTTGCAGACCAGTAACAAACAGTTCCTGGTCTGGCAGCAGCTGCAAACCATGCTTTGACTAGCAAGTGCCTACACCCTCACCATGCCTCAGCCTTCTCTCCTGGTGTGTCTTCCTCTGGTGTTGCATGCTGCATGCAATCTGAGTAAAGGTGGTGCTCCACCTGTCCTGATCACCAAATGGACTTCTAACACTTTCTATAGACTATAACAGTCTACAGAATTATCTTATGTGTCCCATCCTTTATTTTCCCTGACATAGATTACAGAACCTTACAGGGTATTAATTTCTAGTGATCTACATCAGCTCAAAATGCTGTACCTTCTATTCTCCAATACCAGTTCTTTACATGCATGGTATGATTTTTGAGAACTTACAGAGCCCTTTCATCCTCATTTTTTCATTCAATCCTCATATTGATTTTTTTTGAGGTAGAAGAGAGGAAATTATTGTGTCCATTTTATAGAGGAGAACATTCAAGATCCAACTGATAACATTATTCAAAGTCACATCATGAGTAAATAGAAAAGGCATAATTTAAGGGACAAAATGTAACTGATGCATTAGCACATTTTGCCAACTTCCATTTTACAGTAGAGTAAATGGGAGTTCAGAAAATTTAAGTAACTTCTTCAAAGCCCTATGGCTAGTAATTCAAGCTTCAGAGACAGCCTATGTAGTTGCCCTTGCTTTTTTATGACTGGTGCCTGTGACTGAATCCTGTGGTTGTCTATTGCCCTACACTGCCTTCAACAGGAAACACCCCTTTTCTTGTGGACTAAAATCTGGCCTACCTCTCACACCATCTTTATCTCTGTGGAGTTGGTGACTCTATTTCCACTTCTGCTAAGGCTCCAAACACATATGCCCCTGGGGTATTGGCAGTAATAATCAAAAAGGTGTTCTTCTGCATGTGGGGCCAGAAAAGATGATCTTATGGTCCCTGGGCTATGGCCTCCGTGTTGTGGCATTTTGCAAGCTAGCTAAGGCAGGGGCATGCACTAACCTTCCTGGTTTCTTATGCCTGATCTGTCTCTCATTTCGCAGAGCAATGACGTATCTTTTTTAAGTTCCATATTATTAGTGAAGGCAGATTATATCAAGAGAAAATTCAGTAAGAATTTCTTTAAAGAAGCAAGTTCAATCTGTATTGTTACTTTTTTTATTTCCTGAAAGTAATATTTTTCTCATTTGGAGAACTGCCCATTCTACTATAGCTGTTTCTCATCTGCTTCTGGTGCAAAGGTTTGCACCAGTAGCAACTGGGCAGAAAATCCCAGCCATGCACCTGACCTGCCACGCACTTTTAATGCACACACTCAGTACTTGGCGTCAAGGTGTCTGTTAGGATTAAATGAATCCATTCGGCTATGGTCAATCCCTTCTGCCAAGATAACTGTACCTTTTGACATCTTAGCTTTTATTTCTTTACTCTTCCCAGGAATTATCCTCCATCTCAGTGTTAGAATAGTGAATGAATGCTCTAAATTTAAGTAGCAGGATTTAGTAAAACAAGAGTAAATCATGTGTCATCCAATCTCCCAAATGAAAAATCTAAAACTTGATTTTAAACTCCACGGAGAAATCTTTAGGAAAGGACCTACTGGGCCCTCCTTGCCTACATATTGTAGGCAGCCAAAAGAGCTGGAGAATCTTTACAAACTTGTGTAAAAAATCAGGAAGAATTCTACCTAGCTGTGCCCTTCCCCATCCTCCTAAGACTCTGACCAAAGATTTGTTAACCCACCATGTTCTCTCTCTTCCTGTGTACACACTAGTTTTGTAGCAATGCTTTCTGAATTTAGGAGAGGTGAAAAGAGATGAGATTGGTTTGAAGTAGACTCGCAGCATTATTTCAGGACAGTGAAATGAAGGGAACCAGTGCCATGGATTCCCCTCTTTTTCTTCTCCTCTGTCTGACTGGTGGCTGTTCCACTCCTCTAAGTCATTGACAACTTCATGGAAAAATCACCATCTCTAATCAGCAAAACAAGGTCAATGCTTCTGGTCTCCTGAAGAGCTCACCTTCTGCTGACCTTTGGTACATTGGTTCAACCACATTTGAGATCGAGTTTGTTTATATGGGGTTTTGCTATCCACTGTGCATGAGGCAGTCCATCCTGATGATCAAGAGCATGGACTCTGGAGCTAGACCACCTGGTGTGAATCCCTGTCTGCCATTTATTTGACTCTTGGAGAATTAGTCTATCTATGCCTCAATTTCCTCATTTGAAAAACTGGGACCTTGAAGATTAAATTACTTATTCTTTGTTAAGAGTTGGAGACAGTGCCTTCCACGTAATGAACACTCAATAAGTACGAACTACTAATATGTACTCAAACAAAGACTACATTTTAAGTGTCTCTGACTAGTCTTGCAACAAGAGAGGGGGCTGAAATAAAGTGACTAATATGTTACATAGTGTATTAGTTGTCTATTGCTGCAAAACAGATTACTCCAAATCTTAGGAGTTTCAAATAAAAAACATTGATAATCTCATGCAGTTTCTGCAGGTCATCCAATTTGGGGTGGCTAGGGCTAGGTGCTTCTGGTTTGAGGTCTCTTGGGAGGTTGCAGTCATTGGTCAGGGCTGCAGTCATCTGAAGGCTCAACTGGAGCTGGGGATCTGCTTCCAAGATGGCTCCCTCACATGAATAGCAAGTCAATGCTGGCTGTTAGTAGAAGGACTTAGTTCCTGGCCATGCGTTTCTCCTCAGAGGACTGCTTGAGTGCCCTACACTGGGGCTGGTATTCCTCAGAGTGAGAGATAGAGAGAAGAGCAGAAACCATAATGTCTTTTAAGACTTCACCTTGGAAGTCACACTCCATCATTTCTGCAACATTGTCTTGGTTACTCAGTTCTGCCCCATTCAGGGTGGGAAGGAAGGATCTACACAGTTGCATGAAAACGAGATGGTAAGACTTAACTGAGAGCCATCTTGGAAGCTAGTTCCATTTGTGTTACCAGTGGCCAGCTCTCATTTAAGTTTCAATCTACCTATTCACTCCTTCCCAGGTACTAATGCATTCTTTCTCGCTTTCACTCTACTGTAACACATTTCGACTTGCCAGACTGTGATTGGGTTATTCAACAGCGTAATTCAGATTCATCTCCTCCTGATAATGAACAAGGCCTCCCCAGAGTATGAAGAGAACATGCACAGATACCAGAAGGCAGCCAAGCTCTTCCAGGGGAAGGTAAGGCAAGAATGGGAATATCCTATTGCATACACACCTCCAGGACACTAGGAAAAGGGAGATGGGGCTAGGAAGCAGAGATAAATAAGGAAAACAACTATGGTTAGGAGATAGCAAAGCAAGAAGTAGGACATAATAAATCACATTATTTGAAATTAGAGATGTTGTATTTTATCATATTAAAGGCATATGTAATTATATCTTCCTGTAGTGATTAAGTGTGGGTTTTTTCCTGCATTGATTAGTAGAGAGAAAATAGAGATCCAAAGAGACTGAAAGCAAAATCACCTCTAAGTCACCATTTGTTTAATCCTTCCCATAATTTCATAGAGATTTAGACCTCAGGGCTCATTTCTCATATAAAACACCTATCAAGTACCTGGTGCCTGCTCAATATACAATGAATATTTCTTTCTTTCCCTCCCCTCCTTTGTGGAGTTCTGCTTGATATTACTGAAATAGTAAAACTTCAACTACTTCAAGGCTACTGTGCCTAACTAGTGACTGTTCTAATGATGAGAACTGTCTGGTAATAAAATAAGCGCCTTTCTGATGGTTGGTTCTCTAACACTGAAAGTATTTAGTGTTACTGAAAGTAGACAATCATCTGATCAGAATATTATAAAGAAGATTTCTACTTTGGGTTGAAGGTTTGATTTAATAATATAAAATAATCTACATTTATCAAGCACTTACTATAGGCCAAAAGCTGAATAAAAATATTAATGCGTTACCTCATTTAATTTCCCCCACCAAAAGCCCATTTTGCCAATGAGAAAACTGAGTCTCGGAGAGGCTGAGTAATGTGCCCAAACTCACGTAACTAGAGAGTACCAGAGGCAGAATTTAAAACGTGCTCTCTGCTCCTAACCATTAGGCTATACTTCCTTTCTTAGGTAATCACTAAAGTAATTTCCAATTCTATGTTCTTAAAATTAAATCAATCTCGTCAAAGGGATAAAACATCAAAGCAACACAAAATAATAGGAAATTCATTTTTTTTAACTTTTAAGTTCAGGGGTACATGTGAAGGCTTATTACGTAGTTGAACTTGTGTTATGGGACTTCGTTGTACAGATGATTTCATCACCCACACATTAAGCCCAGCACCAAATTGTGATCTTTTCTGCTCCTCCCCCTCCTCCCACCCTCCACCCCCCAAGTAGACCACAGTGTCTGTTGTTCCCTTCTTTGTGTTCAGGAGTTCTCATCATTTAGCTCCCACTTAGAAGTGGGAACATGTGATATTTGGTTTTCTCTTCCTGTGTTAGTTTGCTAAGGATAATAGCCTCCAGCCCCATCCACGTTCCCACAAAAGACATGATTTTGTTCTTTGTTACAGCTGCAATAATTTATTTTAACTCAAGATTTCAATTTCATGGTGCAGACCATAAATTCAATCAGTGTGAGCTGCAACAATTACAAGGTATCTCTTTATCCCTGGACGTCACCTCAGATAGAACTTTTTCTTTCAAACTTCCCCAACTGCAGATTCTCTTTATTCTGGTGGACAGTGGTATGAAAGAAAATGGGAAGGTGATATCATTTTTCAAACTAAAGGAGTCTCAACTGCCAGCTTTGGCAATTTACCAGACTCTAGATGACGAGTGGGATACACTGCCCACAGCAGAAGTTTCCGTAGAGCATGTGCAAAACTTTTGTGATGGATTCCTAAGTGGAAAATTGTTGGTAAGTGTGAGACTGCAGGTAAAGCAAATTGTTTTCTTTCTATGTCCCTTTTATTTCCAGTTGAATAAGAATTCTTTGGGCTCAGAGAGGGAGGAGAGCAAAATGTTGGTTAATGGATACCAAGTGCAGATAGATAGGAGGAATGTCTAGTGTTCTGTAGCACTACAGGGTGGCTGTCATTAAGAACAATGTATTATATATTTTCAAATAGCTAGAAGAGTAGATTTTGAATGTTTCCAACACAAAGAAATGATAAATGTTTGAAGCAATGGATATGCTAATTGTCCTGATTTGATCATTACAAGCTGTATACATGTATAGAATATCACTCTGTACCCCATAAAAACGTAACTATTATGTGTCAATTAAAAACAAAGATAAAAGCAAAAAAATTAAAGTTAAAAAAATTATTTGGGCTCTACTAGATTTGATTAAAAGCAAAAGTCTATGAGGATATGGTGGCCGGAGTCAGGATGCTTGTTAGGATATATCGTGAGACTCAAACTAGAAAAGCATGTTTGGAAAGGCCTTGCATATTCAGAGGCTGAATTTTGGATTTCAGCATTTAGTGTAAAGCATTAATGGGCAACAAATCAAACTTCATATAACAGGGTTCATGAGATAAAAATTAAAGAAGGATTTAGGACTTCCAGGAGTAAACAGCTCAGTTTACTAATCTAAATATCATTGTTATAATGTTTTCCAGAAAGAAAATCGTGAATCAGAAGGAAAGACTCCAAAGGTGGAACTCTGACTTCTCCTTGGAACTACATATGGCCAAGTATCTACTTTATGCAAAGTAAAAAGGCACAACTCAAATCTCAGAGACACTAAACAACAGGATCACTAGGCCTGCCAACCACACACACACGCACGTGCACACACGCACGCACGCGTGCACACACACACGCACACACACACACACACACAGAGCTTCATTTCCTGTCTTAAAATCTCGTTTTCTCTTCTTCCTTCTTTTAAATTTCATATCCTCACTCCCTATCCAATTTCCTTCTTATCGTGCATTCATACTCTGTAAGCCCATCTGTAACACACCTAGATCAAGGCTTTAAGAGACTCACTGTGATGCCTCTATGAAAGAGAGGCATTCCTAGAGAAAGATTGTTCCAATTTGTCATTTAATATCAAGTTTGTATACTGCACATGACTTACACACAACATAGTTCCTGCTCTTTTAAGGTTACCTAAGGGTTGAAACTCTACCTTCTTTCATAAGCACATGTCCGTCTCTGACTCAGGATCAAAAACCAAAGGATGGTTTTAAACACCTTTGTGAAATTGTCTTTTTGCCAGAAGTTAAAGGCTGTCTCCAAGTCCCTGAACTCAGCAGAAATAGACCATGTGAAAACTCCATGCTTGGTTAGCATCTCCAACTCCCTATGTAAATCAACAACCTGCATAATAAATAAAAGGCAATCATGTTATAGGAGAAAGGCTGGCATCTCTTTGCAGGCCAAACCTTTTGTAAATACCCAGCTGCCCAACTAAGCAGCATGTTCCTCCCTCTGCAGTGCCCACTGTTTAGTGTCAGACCATAAGCCACTAACATGTTATTGTTCACTCTGTGGGTGGGATGGGTGGAAAATAGAGACCATCCTGCATGAGGATTGGAACAAATGTGGCAACTGAGCTAGGAAGCAAATTAGGTGAAAGGTTGGGGAGCAGATAGGAGAAGCAGGGCACTGGCAGTGGGACGGGCTGAGGCTGACTAAGCCTTGGATTATTGCAGGTAAGGTGTGTGATCCAGCTCCTGTGTGGTGAAAGGAGAGCTTGGCTGAGTGACTCTGGCCCATAGGCTGTTACTATCAACACACAGATGCTGCATTGTTCCCAGGAGGCCCTTGGCTCAGGAGGAAAGTGCCTAAGTGCTGAAGAGCTGAAAAACCACAGATGTACCTAAGGACTGGTCCAAGTGAGGAACAGGGAGTGAAAGGCTCAGTTGTTCTTTCTGTGGGGAAAACTCCACAGCCCCTGGGCGGGAGTCAGCTGCTGGCAACCACACTGTGAAAGCCCCAGTGTAAGGCGTGCCCTTCAGCAACGAGACCAAGGTATTCTGTGGAGGTCACACAGTCCAACCCAGGGCTGCAGAAAACCACCCAAACAGCTTCTCGCTTGAGGCTGAAAAATATTCCTAAGATAGGCACATCCCAGAAGGCTCCTTTGGATCCTGTAAACGAGAGCTCTTGACATTTACGGTCAGGAAATTCTTCCTGATATCCAGCTGAGGTCCTCTGGCCATGGAAGCTATTTCTTCTTGCCCACCCTTTGTGGAAATTCTTAACAGCTTCCAGATGCCCTCCTCAAACCATGCCTTTAACCACTTGCTGGCTGCACTGAAGCCCCTTTATCTAGCCATCTTTCCCCCATACTCACAATCTAACTCTCATCATTTGGTTTTTATCATTTGATTTACTTCATTGTTTTTCTCGCCTCATTCTTTCCCAACTTTTCCTCTTTCTTGCTTAAAATAGTTGGAACCCAAACTATAGTAGGACCCATGAGCTACATTTTGTTTGATATTGTGCTAATTTTTCAATTATTTTTCTTGAAGTGTTCCCCTCAAAAACAATAATCAAAATGGACCACATGGGTCTTAACATCTTTACAATGCATTTTTCTACTTGCTGACATTCAATAACAATTTTATTATATTATTTTATATACTTATTTGTATGTGTATAATATTGAAGTGAATCCTTCCTTCTCATCTTGTAGTTCTTCATAACTGCCAGTTACTTTTGCCGGTCTTCTTCATAGGCAGTCCTGTTCTTTGTAGCTCCGGGGGTCTCATAACCAAAGAATGGGACTTCAGAAAGAAGAAATTTGTAAAGATTCACCCATTTATTAAAGATCAGATCTTTAGAAGGGCACAGTGACTCATGCCTATAATCCCAGCACTTTGGGAGGCCAAGGCGGGCAGATCACAAGGTCAGGAGTTCAAGACCAGCCTGACCCACATGGCGAAACCCTGTCTCTCCTTAAAAAAAAAAAACAAGAAATACAAAAAAAAAAAAAAAAATTGGCCGGGCATGGTGGTGCAGGCTTGTAATCCCAGCTACTCAGCAGGCTGAGGCAGGAGAATCGATTAAACCTGGGAGGTGGAGGTTGCAGTGAGCCGAGATCCTGGATCCTGCCATTGCACTCCAGCCTGGGCAACAGAGAGAGACTCTGTCTCAAAAAAAAAAAAAAAAATCAGATCTTATAAACATCTGCAATTTTTTCTCTGTCTTGAGAATCTTTTGCCAGGTCTACATCCATTTCCCCAGGGCTATGTTATTGTTGAGATGTCTGGATACATCTCAGCTATTTTTCATTGTGGAATCATTCAATGGCCCTCACTGACAAGACTGCCATACTTTTTCTTTAGAGTACGAAGGAAGTGATAATATTATACAATATAAATTTGAAAAAGATGTTAACATATTTGGAAGACTATGATGGAAGGAGCGGGACTGAAGCAGGATTCAAAGGAATGACTGGAAAGTTTGGGTTTGAGTCTCACCTATTCTATGTATGTGCCTCTATGACACTGGAAAAATTACTTTTATCTTTGAACTTTAGTTTATTAAGGTTAATGTAATAATTATTAGGATTGCTTGAGATCCCAGGGTGATAATCCCTATTAAGTAAAGTTTGGCTATTACTTTTCTCTTAAGTTAATACTACATTGCCTTCTCTGGGAAATAATCATTTCTCTAATTGTTAGAACTTACGGGAAGGCAGAGACTTCATTCAGGCTGTTTCTTTGAGGCTGAAAAAGTATTTGAGATAACAGATTTTAAATGTAGCTTTTATTGTTTTCTAGGTATGGGGTGGCCAACAGATCAAAAAAGATAGCCATTTGAAAGATAGTTTATTACTCACAGTTCCCAAGAGGAGGCAGCATGCCATGCTGTGCAGGGCCACATAGGGAAGTATCAGGGTCAGTCAGAAGGCAGAAGGAGTAAAGGTGAAATGACAAGGGCCTTTATTATGGTCTCCATGGGAAGAAATGGGAAAGGGTTAGGAGGGTAAGGAGGCTTAGGATTGGCTGGTTTCGATAATTTCAGCAGGCTCTGGGGCATAGGAGCTTTCCCTTGTTGCCTGGAACCTGGCCCTGGGTGGAGTGGCTGGGTGGTAGCCCAGCATGTGAGAGCCCCATGAGAGTCCAGTAAGGAGATAGTTGGGGTATGGACTCTGGACTGGTTGGTTTGCATATAAAAGCTATACTAGCAGGTGAGTTTATTACTATCTCCAGGAATTGGCTATCTCTAGGAGGGAGGGGCAATCTCTCCAAGGTAAGCAAAGTCCCAGATGTCAAAGCATTAGAAATACATAGTAAAACAGCCCCAACGTCCACTTGTCAGGGGATTCCTGTCCTTCCTCGCCTATTGGGTCATGCCAGAAGGGAAGGCTGCATTCATCAGGCCCATCTTAATACACATATACCTTGAGCAGTCAGGGGTAGGATGAGGGCTATGTAGCGTATTGAGAGAGAGTAGTTTATTTATATACTCATTCACTCATTTAAATATTCATTAAACAACTATGAGTGTGGCAGGCAAAGCTGCCCTCTGAGAGAGAGAGAGCAATTGGTGATGATTGGATGATGAGCTATAGAACAGAGACTTTTCAGTTGTAGTGACAACAGGCAACATGGAAGCCACCAGAATGGTTCTGAGTCACGGACAGAAAGCAGCCAAACAGGGAAAGCAATACACAAAGAAAGAGGTATGTTGTGGAGGGGACTGGGCAGGAGGCTGGCCGTGGGCTGAGGGGGCCCCAGAGCTGGGGGAGGAGGAGCCACAAAGGAAACAGTCCACAACCATCATAAGCTAACTTTATTTCACAATTGAATTTGGAACCAGTCCTATTTATTTCACCTTTCTGAAAATATCTGGTTTTCTAAACAGAGAAAAGTAAGACTGGAAGTGGGATGGATCTGACTCATGGCTCCTAATTGCAGAAACCTTACATGGCGAGACCTAGAGAATTGGAAAAGGAGAAAGTTAAACACGAACACCTTTTGAGTGTTGAACTTTTGGAAAAAAGGTACTCTGGAAATCAAAGAAGCAAGTGAATTTTAAAATCATACCTCTGTAAATTTGAAGGTGATTCACCCTCCTTCGAATCACTTCTAAGATAGGTCTCTCTTTTCTTTCTGTTCTGGAACAAGAAGTCATTGTTTTTGTGGCCTTGACAATGAAATATCTGAGTCATACTAGGGGTGGAAGGATATGTGTGAGTAAAGGATGAGGGTGTTAAGCCACTTCTATAGTTTATGAAAAGTTGTGTGGAATCCAGGCTTTAATGTTTAATTATCCAAACAATTTCACTAAATCTTAATAGCAGGATTTAATTTCTACATTAGCCCACTGGTCTTAAAATGGTAATATGGTGTTAGCATACACTTAAGGAAGAAAAAATAGAGCACGTTTGACATAATTCAAGCTGTGGTGAAGTAACAATTTTAAAATTGTTAATTTTAAAATTAACATTGTATTACGGGTCATGTTTTCCAAGAAGACTCTGCAACTAAATTCCATTGCAAGGAGTTTATTGGGGAGCGTCTGGGGATCTGTGAAGAAATAAAGAAAGTAGGGTTCCACAGAAATATAAGTTAGGCTGCGATGCAGTCACAACAAAGGCTTAGATTATCCCATGTGGATATTTGGTGCTGAGGTTTCCTTGTAGAGTACCCCAAATTGGAGAATGAGACCCAGGCCTCTATACCCCAACATTGAACATCTGATGTTGCAAGCTGCACATAGGAAAGGTGCATGCTCGTGGGCAAGATGGCTCATTTGAGCAGAGGGAGATTTCTGGGCTGGTTGGTGGGTGGGATTCATCTAAGAGCTCTTAGCTGTCAACATACTCAGAGCTGGGAGAAGCTAATGACTTTGGGGTGATCTGTGCGGCTCACCACAGCATCCACTACACATGTCTAGAACTGTATCTCCTTTTATACCATCATAGTTATTGCACCAATGCTATGCAAAAGAATAAGGAAAGGATGGATTCATTTTATCAAATAAAAGATGTAGCACCCTCATTAAGTTTGTGCTGGGGGAGAACACGTCTATGTTGTCTTCACTAAAAGGTAATCCTGCCGGGGCAGTAGAAGTATTCACTTTACAATCACTCACTCATTCATTCCCTCACCAAGCATTTCTTGAGTGCCTACTAAGAGATAAAGATGTATCAGGAAATAGATCTGGCCAGGTGCAGTGGTTCACAACAGTAATCCTAACATTTTGGGAGGCTTAGGTGGAAGGATCACTTGAGGCCAAGAGTTCAAGACTAGCCTGAACAATATAGTGAGACCCTGTCTCTACAAAAAATAAAAAATAACCAGGGTGTCGTGGCATGCACCTGTAGTCCCAGCTACTCAGAAGGCTAAGGTGGGAGGGTTCCTTGAGCCCAGGAGGTCGAGGAAATAGATCAGACTCACGAAGCCTAATGTTGACTTCACATCTTCTCCTCTCCAGCCATCTAGTTCCCTAGTGTAAGATAAACATGAAGTTCACTGGGAACTTGAGGAATGGCCTGAATTTCTAATGTACTTAGTAGATAGTCAAATATTTTAATGATAATAATAATGATGATGATGTATACGCAATAAGAATAAGGCAAAGACTTGTATAGTAACTTGGGAGTGAGCAAAAAACGATGTTAGATTTAACTCCAAATTCTGACCTTAATGCTTATTTATGCCAGCTAAATTTCATGGAGGTGATCTTATCTGTTGTTAAATATCTCTTGTCTTTATGTCCAGAGTTGGTAGTACCTTACCTTCCTGTCTTCATTTCCTGCTCCTCACTCCTGCCACATCCTCCTTTTTGCTAATAATTGCCCACCCTGTGGTCCATCCTTTACTACTTTCCTACCAGTTCATGGCCTCTATCTCTACTTCTCCCTCCATCTCCATCTCTTCAAATAATGTTGCTCTAGGTCACTACATGGGACAAAAGTTCAGGCAGGTTGAGTGATAATATGAGGGCTGAGCACAAAGGGGAATGATCAGGGAAGGAAGTCTCTGAAAGGAGGTGGATACATATTGAACAGTACGTTGAAAGTTCTGGCCCTGTCCTGCAATCTCTACCTGGTACACCATGACCATCAGAATCTTATTGGTTCCAAAGGGCACTCTTTTGAGACCTACATACCCTTTACTCCACCACACTTTGGCAAACACGTCACAGAATGAAAATGGGGAAGAATGACTACTTGTGACCTAACTCCTCAGACCTGCAGCCTCTCTTGGATTGACTCATTCTCTTGACTCCATGCTGTTTTTTCCCATAACACCACTAATAATATACCAAGGCTGAGGAAGGGAAGAGGCTAAGTCAGCCAACAAGTGGTAATGTTAGGTGTTCATGGGAGGGCAGGGTGGTTTGTGGTAGGATATTTACATGATTGTGAAATACAAGAATGGTGGTGGGTGATAATGTGATGTTGACTTGTAAGGTGAGTGCTAATGGGTCAGAGAATCACTGCTCTGTTGAAGCCAGCTGATGTTTAGGAAAGAATGGTAGCCAATATAGTTAAGGCTGGAGATAATTATGCAAGCCAGACAAAGTGTTAAAATGGCAATTTACTAAAGGCTATCTACAGTTTGAGAACTGTCTTATGACCCTCTGGTTCCTCCATTTTCTCATTTTCCAATTTTCTAAGTTGCAAAATATTCAAGTTTCTCAAGGTTTCCTCAAGAAGATTCACCATTTCTGTCTGTGTGATTCTAATTACAACTTTGTATCTTAACATAGCCATTTCTGGAAAGCACAGGTCACAAAACACAATTTCTACATGCCTCTCAAAATGTCTGATTTTAAGTTCAATGTTATCAAATTCTAAGCAGAGATGGAAATTTTAGGAATGAACTTAAAAGGACTTCGTCACTTGATAACTAACGAATGAATGAGGAAAGCTGTGATAACCATCAATCAGGCTCTTAAAAGAAATGTATTTTGAAGAGGCCATTATTAGTTATGATTCTTAGTCATCAAAAACAGAATAGAACCCAAACCACAGCAAAGGCTATTTTGTTCATAGAACTAATATTAATTTCTCATCCTCCTCTACAAATTTCTACGTTTCTGTAAAAGACACACCCCTTAAATAAAGATACTAAAAAATCCTTTGAGATAGAAGGTTTTATTTTATTTTTACTATAGAGAGATTGAGCCTCTAAGATCTGAACAAAGTGGTCACAGTTGTATGAAAGGGAAGAAATCTCAAGGGAATGGAGAAATCTCCTAAGGATAAAGTCACTTTTCCAAGCAGCCATTGTCTTCACCAGTTATGGTGCTCAGCACTCAAAGGACTGTTAGTGTTTGGTTTAGTTGAAACATCTAGTCTTTTGCAGTCTGCCATTGGAAAATGACTGTACATTGGAAGAGTCAAGGAAGGAGTATCATTCATCATGAAGGGGCCTGTGAAAGAAGATGTCTCTTTGGGCATGAAGAGTTAAATTTTAAAACAATGAGTCTTAGAAATGAAATGACTGTTCTGGTTCCAAATGTTGTACATCTCCAAAATTAGCCCAACATGTTGAAGTAAATTAACTAGAAGCACTTTTTGTGAAAATGAACATAGTATTTAGTATTAATTTACTGTACAACTTCACTACATCTCAGTATTCATTTACTGTACAACTTTCCATTGTACATTTCGGGATTCATTTACTGTTACAACTTCTCTAATTCCTATTAATGGAGGGGATTGGGGGGAGATCATGGCCCACTGTAAAGAAAATTAGAGGAGGGATATTTGGGTTCTAATCCTGACCTCCCTGTGAAACTCAGTATGCCATTTTGGGAATATCACTGTATCTCGTTTTCTCCACAGGTGAAATAGAGTTCAAATTAATTTTCTTTTCTTTTTTTTTTTTTTTTTTTTTACAGTTTTTTTCGTGAGATAGGGTCTCACTCTGTCACCCAAGGTGGAGTGCAGTGGTATGATCATAGCTGTAACCTTGAACTCCTGGGCTCAAGCAATCCTCCTGCTTCAGCCTCCTGAGTAGCTGGGACAATAGGCACTTGCCATCACATCCAGCTCAAATTAACTTTCTGTCTCCTTATAAGTATACTGTAGGGATTAAGCGAGATGAGGAATGGAAAGCATTCTGAAATGTAAAAATACACATTGACTTTGGCCTGGACTCAGACATTCCTTAAACGTTGATTAAGTACACACCTACCTGCATCTAAATGCTGAAGCACTACTGAAGGCACCCTAAAATGGCTGAGAAGGAGAGGGAAGAAGCCAGATAATCTCCAAACACAGAGTCTACCAATTACTAAAGAGTTTACTGTGGGCCGGGCACCATGGCTCATGCCTGTAATCCCAGCACTCTAGGAGGCCGAGGCGGGGGGATCACAAGGTCAGGAGTTCGAGACCAGCCTGGCCAATATGGTGAAACCCTGTCTCTACTAAAAGTATAAAAATTAGCTGGGTGTGGTGGTGGGTGCCTGTAGTCCCAGCTACTTGGGAGACTGAGGCAGGAGAATCACTTGAACCCAGGAGGTGGAGTTTGCAGTGAGCCAAGATCGTGCCACTGCACTCTAGCCTGAGTGACAGAGCGAGACTCCTTTTCAAAAAAAAAAAAAAAAAAGAGTTGGCTGTGAATCTATGCTCAACTGTGTGCAAATTGAATTGTTGCCACATTTATGTTCCCAACCGACAGAAGCCAAAATTAAATCTCCCCATTTGTAGGTACTGTCTGGTAATTTAGTGATACATTGCTTTAATCTATGGCTGTGAATGCAGAGGCAAAAACATCTAACTTCTCTGAGACTCAGTTTTCTCCACACAGTTATGAAGAAAATGCCATAAGGGTCCTTCCTAGCTCTAATCTCTTGAGTTTTGAAAACTGAAGGAAAAGGAGGTCAGAATTGATAGACTAACTAGTTCATGTCCCAGGCACCAGGCCAGACATTTTGCCTCTCTATTGTCTCTTCATAATGAAAATAACTTCAGTTCAGTTAAGGCCAGTGCAGCCTTAATCTACTGCTGGTTTGTAAATCAATCACTCACCCCAACTCAAGAGCAGCCGATTCTATTTCTGTATGACTTTCTGTGCCAAAACTCAACCCCCAGTTTGTTTGGTTTTAATAAATGTATTCTGTTGTTACGGACATTGTGTAAAATGGAAAAAACAAGTCTAGACTGGTTTTAGTTCAGGAAGTTAGGGCAGGGTCCCTTTATTAAAAATAAACATCCTCCTGCTTGCTTCCTTTTCACTCTTTTCTCACAAATCTGTTCCCAAAAGCCCTTGGAATCCGGGACTCCAACATGCAATGATTGCCCCAGATCTCTGTACTACACCTGACCACTTTCTGAAATATTTGAAGCCGAGGATACAGGAAGTTCTTAAAGGTAACAATACAGGTTGTATGTGACACAAAATTAATGATCTGATAACTACCCTGATAGGATCTTTTGGCTTCCTATAACGAAAGTTGGCACAATTATCCTAGCGAATGAGACACATTTTTAGTCTGAATCTTGCATTCCTTGTTTTTTGGCACTCACTGCCTTTCTAATTAAAGATGGTGGCCTGTAACACTTCCTGTCCCGTCGAAACAGGAAAAGTTCCCTTGTCCCCCTCGCAGGGTGTGCGATGCAGATGTGGCTCGCTTCTTCATTGTCCCGCTGCTCAGACCTCTAGGGGAGCATGCAGATGGGCAGGTTGTTGGGCTCCGACCCCATGACAGTGTCTAGGGGTGAATGTTTACAGCTCCTGAAGCCCCAGTGGGTGTGTGTTACAGGGTGCTCTTTTAGTTTAGCCATCCGTAGTCGGCTTGCGTAAGCTCAGTTAGACCCTTTATCTTCTGCAAAGACGGAGGGCTTTCTGTACCCTGGGTTCTTGCCTTGATGTACCAGAAGAATCAGATCACACCGAGGCTTGGAGAATGAGTGCAAGGTTTTACTGAATGGGAGTAGCTCTCAGCAGATGGGGGAGCCAGAAGGGAGATGGTTTTCCCCTGAAGTCTGGCTGATCAGCAGCCTGGACTCTCCTCTAACTGTCCCTACCAAATTTGTGTCGTTCTGCTTCTGCCGGTCGGTGGCCTGCAGGTGTGCCAGTGTCAGTGTGTTCCTCTCGACGTCCAGCTCAGCTGCCTCTAGTCTGCCTGCTAGGGTCTTGGGAGTTTTTATAGGCACAAGATGGGGGCATGGCAGGCCAGGGTGGTCTTGGGAAATGCAACAGTTGGGCAGGAAATGCCTGTCCTCACCTAGGTCTGTGGGAGTGGAGCCCTAGGGAGGGACCACGCCCTCCTCTACCCAGCGCTTCCATATCAGCAATAGGGTATTTGATGCTGTAACTCAATCCAGGGTCGAGTTTGTTTTCAGTCCTTGTCTTTTCACCTTTGGGGTTTTCCTTTTTTTGGTGGGTCTGCCTCTTTCTTTTCTTCTCAGGGGATTTTGTGAAGTACCATTAAAATATAAAAGTTTCTGATTAGTGAAGGACACAAGTGGCCTGCAAGAAGAAATACATTAGTAAATATTTATTGTTCTCCAGCAAACACTTGGAAGAGCATAGTGTGGCAGTTAGGCGCAAAGGCTCTGGGGTAGAGAACCTGAGTATTTACCTACCGTGTGAACCTTCACAAGTCTCATTTCTCTGTGCTTCAGTTTCTGCAATGTGAAGTGCGAATAGTAACAGAACTAACCTTATAGCCTTATTGTGAAGATTTAAATAAGCAGCACAAGTTAAGCACTTGGAAGGTGACTTGGCACAGAGCAAGCCTCAGTTATTACAATTGAGGAATATCCCAAAGCACTCAGAAGTCACATACGTCTCAAGCTTTCTGTGTTTTTTCTTTGTTTCTGGTCTGTGCTAAGGCACTAGCTGTTCATTCCACCTAGAATACACTCCCCACCTTCCCTCGCTGGCAGCCTCTCATCAGTCATGAAATGGGTGTCTCTGGAAACTCCCTCATGCTCCTGGGCTCCCCTAACACATGGTGATACACCTGACTAATATAGAATTAATCACATCTTATTACCACCATTAATTTCTATGTTTGCTTATTTAAAAAAAAACATATAACACATATTGGGAACTCAATATATAGTTTAAATATCTCTGGGATACATCCAAACACTAGTTCCCAATAGCTTCTTTCTGCCACCCTGTTCATGTTGATCTGAAAATGTGTGAACACATGACAGTGACCAGCCAGAAAGCACAGAGCTGTCTGAGGCATGAAGAAGGTCTTTGAGCACAGAGCTGGGGGGACAGCAAGTGGGGACTTGAGCCTCAGGACCAGAACTGAGCAATTCAAGAGACTCCACAGAGTTTAACTTTTCAGTTTCCAAACTTAGTTTACTTACCTTCACGAATGAATTTGTCATAACCTATTGGTTTTCTCCCCTAAGAAAGTGTGTGTGTGTGTGTGTGTGTGTGTGTGTGTGTTTCCCTAGGAAGACCATATAAATTAGCCCCCTATGGGCAAATTAACTTTTTGGAATTTAGCTAGTTAACTAAAGAACCTTTGGGAAATTGTAAGCTTAGATTAGACCAAGGCATTTACTCATATAAGTAAACAATAAAAGAAAATTTTTTTTATAAATGGATGTTTTAATAACGAAAAAGAATATAATAATAAATAAGAAATGAATAAGGAATAGGGCCAAGAATTAAAAAGGGAAGACAGATAAAAACAAAAATAAAGAGAGAAACTAAAGCTTTCTTTCCTTGTGAAATGACAAGGCACAAAATGTGGTTTCAATATCTCCCTCTCTCTCTCTTTCCTCTCTTCTTACTGGCTCCTAGCCAGTCTGGCTCTGGGGATGATCGCAGAAACCCTAAGAGGTAAAGGACATAAACTGTGTAACCAACAATTTAGATTAATCAAATCAACAAATATTTAAGGCAGTGTGGAGTCATGAAGAGAGCTGAGATCTAAGTTCTGATTACAACTCCAGCATGTATTGGTTCTATCTCTGAGCAGGTTAGCCTTTCTAAGCCTAAAACGGAAGTAACACCCATACCTGGAAAGGTTTCTGTGAATACTAGAAATAGTATAGGTAACGTAATTAAGCATTTGATAAATAATAGATATTCTCATTTTATTAGCCTAACCAAGTATATAAAGCAATGCAAATAAAACATGGTTCCTAACTTCAAGCAGGTTCACAGGCAATAAATATGTGATGCATTACATTTAAAAATAGGACTAAAACACCTTAGGTAACTGTTTCCTGAAAATCCATTAGAAATTTTTCAAAAGTAAAAGAAGAGAAAGATTCTTTAGACTTTCTGGGGGAAAGGGGCAAAATGCTTAAGGCATGTAAAAGGTGGCAAAATTTGCCTCCTAAAACAAACATGCTATAATGATTTGGCATTTTGTTAGAAAATAGATTTTTACCCAAATATTTCTCAGGCTAATTAAATCCTCTATCAGTGGTCACATGTCCACAGAAAACAGAATTGAATTGGCAGGCAAAGACGGGAAAAGGCATTCCAAAAGAATGGAGTGGTGTAACACAAAGGGACCCAGGTGTCTGAAATGATCCTGAGCTTTTAATCACGTCCCCTACAGCTACCCAGCCCCACTGGAAGAAACTCCTGACACCCTTGTTTATTCGGAGCTACCTTTTGGACTTTTTCCATTTTCTTATAACCTTGCACTAGGCCTAGAGGCCTACTGCTGATCTCAACTCTCGACTTCCTGCCACATTTCCCATCTACAGTCTCACACTCTAAGATCCAACATATAATATCGTTTCCCTGGTTCTATTCCTTGGTCCCCTTCCTTGATAACAATTTTAACTTGCCTCTTACATTGTATCTGTTTCTAGTCCCTCCAGAGGACTCAGCCTGATCCTTTGAGACTATTAAGACTAGAGTTCATGTTGAATCCTTGATCCCTAAAGAGAGAATGGAAAAAGACATGGAAAATACAAGACATTTGTAAATTAATTTGCCCGAAGCAGAGTATTTGGGAAGTTGAGTGGTTAAAAACATTGGCAAAATTTTTTGCAAAATTACAGAGTTCTTTCCACATTGCCTCTCTCATAAAATACTTTGTGTTTGCCAAATTATATTAGCTGAGAAGGCCCATGGCCCACCAAAGGCTCAGTGACAGCCTGAAGCTGTGGATCTGAGGTTATGCCAGGTCACTGAACTGCCTTTGTAGCCAAAGTCAGCCTCCAGGGGGAGAAGGGCTTTCTGTTGTCTGCTTAAAGAGGAGTACAAAAGTATTTATGGCTACAGTCATGTTTCTGACAACAAACCCAATTATAAGCCAACATTAAGGAAGTGATTTAGCAACACTTTTAGTGTGACTTGGTCAAACAACAAATATGTATTGATCGCCTACTCTGTGCAAATCAACCCAATGGGCTTATGTGGTTTAAACTCTGTCTATATAACTCAGTTTTATTGATATTGTGCAACATATTGTTTGGTCTTATTACTGTTACTCATGAAAGAGTCAAAAAATAATAAGCAAAGGGAAATTATGGTCATTTGCTCCTAAAGGCTCATTTCTTTCATCTATCCCTGAGTACCAAATGGTTGGTTCTATGGTGGAAGATAGGTGGGACCCATTTAGGGAAAAGGGTATTGCCATTAATTTTGAAAAAATAAATCGCAGTGTTTTATTTGCATGGGATGATGACTCTCAAGTTTGCATTTCCAGCTAAGATTAAACACGGAACTCCTACTGCTTACTCTATCTTTCCATCTAGATATCACAAAAACATCTCAACTCTTTATACTGGCTTATATTTCTCCCTTCAAACTGTGAACTGCTCTAGATTAGCATCAATTGTGCAATCCAGAACAAAGGACCCATGCTTGACACCAGACCTTTACTCCTGCATTCGTTGGTTCACCACCACCTTCTAAAGAATTTCCATATCCCTCTTCTTCTTTCTTCCTCTTACACTTCATCTTGGTTTAAGTCATGATCACCTCTTACCTGAGCTGCTGCAGTGCCCGACCCCTAGCTGATTTCCCTGCATTAACTCTTACCAGTCTCTAATCTATTCTCCACAGTGCTTCCAGATTCATTTATAAAAAACACAATCTGTTTATGTCTCTCTTGTCCTTCTTAAAGTTCTTAATCATTTCCAATCACTTCAAGATCTTTTTAAAAAATCAGTTCTTTTGCATTTTTACATGGACCTGCCTAAATCCCCGGCCTCATCATGTGTCTTTCAATACTTCAAGCCTTGTTCCACCTTACAACTTACATAATTACTGTTCCTTCAGCCTGTAAGACTCTCTCTTTCTGGTATTACTTCCCCCTTTATCCATTTAACTCTCATTTATACTTCAAATTGCAGATCAAACATTCTTTTTAAGAATTTTTTTCTAACCCCCTAAACTAAGTCTGGATCCTCTGTCATGTACTTTCCTAACTGTCTATACTTTTCCTTCATTAACTTTATCAAATTTCATAATCGCACGTTTTTATGATGATCGCATTCCACAAAACTGTGTGTCCCACCAGGGTCGCAATCTACTCATCTTGTTCGTTAACACAGCACAACACACAGATGAACATCTACTGGGGGTGGGTAGGGTAAGCTAATCCAGACAAACATCCTAATGATAACAAGTGAACTGAAGATTATGTGGAATCAGTGCAGACCCTCAAAGTAATTCCTCTGATGCTTCTGTTTCCTTTTAGCATCTGCCACTACCTCACATAAAATTACTTACTTATTTTACTACTTTAGTGTTTGTCTCCTCTATGAAGCTGACCTCAGATTTTTGAAACAGCATTAGAAGAAACCAGAAAATCATAAAAAAGAATCTTCAAAGTATGAGGGAAACCAAGTTTCAAACTAAAATTGTATTTCTAAGTAAACTATCATTTCAGAGGAAAGACAAAATAAGTCTGTTTTTAGACAATTATTGTGATTGCTTACCACTCACAAACCCCGCTGATAGAAGCTTTACTTCAGAAAAATTGTACAACCATAGAAAAAATTGAATGCAAAGAGATTGTAAGCATGCATGTAAATCAATGCACACGATGACTGTATAAAGAATTAAGGATAATAGTGAGTAATTATGGCAGTGCTTTAATTGTCATTAAAACATTTAAACTTCCTTGCATTGCTCAAGAGGTATACAGAAGTATTGATTAATTTGTTATTGTGTTAAGAAAATATAGATGTTAATAATTCAAAGAAACTCTCTTAAAAAATTAGATAAGCTGGATGTGGTGACATTCACCTGTTATCGCAGATACTCAGGAGGCTAAGGTGGGAGGATCCCCTGAGGCCAGGAGTGCAAAGCTGCAGTGGGCTATGATCACATCATTGTACTCTAGCCTAGAAAACTGAGCAAGACCTTGTCTCCAAAACAAACAAAGAAACAAAAATTTAGATATTATATGTAAAATTTACAAATTAATAAAGGGATACAATTAAATAAAGAAGTGTCACATAAACCAATAGAAGAATGAAATTACTTTTTTAAAAAATAAGCATTAAAGGCTTAGCAAATAAAAGCACAAAATAATATCTTAGAAATAAACCTAAATATTATAATGAGAATAAATGTAAATTACCTTAATTTTAAAATTCTATTGATATGCATTAACAAGACAGCTAAATAAGATATAAGGATCTATAAAAATATAAATAAAAGAGTTAGAAAATAATGATAGCAACCAAATACTTAGCTAAAGAAAAGTGTTATAGTGAAATTTAGTTAATATAAGTTACTATAAACTTTAAGGTAGAAAGCACTGTTATAGACAAGAGATATTGAATGACAACTGAAGGAAAAATTAACTGGGAGTCCATAAAAATTCTCAACTTATATGTAGTACCTAAAACTATATCCTCAAAACATATAAAGCAAAATTGGAAAAATTGCAAGATTTGAAAAATCTATAATTAGAACTACATATTTTAATCATTAATGAACTAATCAAGCACACAAAAATAATTTAATAAAGCCAAGGAAGTTTTGAGTAATACAATTAATTAATAAGCTTGCTAAAATAAGCATTTATACAGCTTTGCATCCAATAATTAAAGAATAAACCTTTATGCAAATATGAAAACTTTATAAAAGTTGACCATTTATTAGGCCATAAAAAGCCTTGAAAAATACCAAAGAATAAATTTAATAATCATCACATTATCTAATATGCAATAATTCTAGGAATCAATATCAAAATATTTTAAAACCCATGCATTTAGCAAGTTGTAAACACTACTAAATAATTTGTAAGTCATAAAGGAAACAATATTTAATATATTTTTAAAATTTAAAGATTTCTCTTTTACATAAACTGTACCAGAGAATAGAAAAAAGAAGAAAGTCTTTGCAACTCATATTATAAGGCTAGCATAATTTTTTATCAAAATAGGACAAGAATAGTATAATAAATGTATTTCAAACCTTGCTGTATCTTAAATGTTTCTCTTAGAGACCACACATTAGACCTCCCCACCTAAATGGCGAGTTTGGCCCATTTACATTAATTAGAATTGCCACTATATTAGGACTACTTTCTGCAGTAAAATACTTTTTACATAATTGATTAAAGATTTTCCCATGTGCTTATAATCATTTGTTTACAAGACTTTTTATCCCTCTATCAAGTGTAATTTTTTTGAGGAAAGATATCAACTCTAACAGTATTTGGCATACAATAGTTTGTGTTTGTAGAATAAATGAGCAAATGAATGAAATATTATGATTATGCTGAGAAATTCCCATCATGGATATGTTAACTTGTTTTTATAAATTCAGTTTAGCAAATAATTATTAAGTGCTTACTATTTGCCAGGCAATGTAGCATGTGTTATATTGGAATACAACTACGAGTTGAACATAATCTTCACTCTTTAGATATCTATAATCTAATATAAACAATATATACACAAACACATAAATATGCACACAGAGAACTATTCTAAGTCAGGTAAAGTCCAAGGCATGAAAGCCCCTAGTGTCCCTCTGGACAAAATCAGTTGACACCTCTGAGCCTCCATTTTCCCATAAGAACTTTATAAAAATAAATTATATTATTTATATCAAGATAATATTTTAAACTATGTTTTATAATCACGTGCATGTGTGAATTTTTATTATGGATTTGCTCAGTTGTTTGCATACATTTTATTCCTGGTCCTCTTCAAAGATGCCTACATGAGTAATAGAAATTGCCTTCTTTTATGCATGTATTTTATTTTTTAAATATCCGTGCATGCTATAAGTAAAATGTTTTTCCTTAAAACATCATTTAGGCCCCAGATAGTTTAAATAATATGCTATGGCCTGTATAAATTTATTTAGAGACTCACTGAAGTGTTTTAATTTCTTTTCCTTTCTTGGTCTTTTCTTTCAGGACTCTTGAAACACCTTAGGGTTCTTTAACTGCCATGTGTTTGAGCAATTAATTCTAATCTTACACCATATGGAAACCATTCCTACTAGTCAGCCTTGCCAAACCTATTCATGGCAGCTTATGTTGTTGCTATCTTTTTGTGCAACAGAAAGACACGCTGGCAAGATGAGCAGTGAGTCAGATATTTTACTTATCTTTAAACCTACACAGCAAAAATCCTAGCCAGATAAACTGTGTCTGGCCCTAGAAAGGGTGAGTTCAGCCACAAAGCATAATTTAGAGATCAAATGTAGGCACTGAGAAATCCAAGCAAAATTGCCAGATTACCTAAGGTCAAAACTGACCTCCAGTTGTTCCAGGAACATTTTTATTTTTGCACCATTGTCCATTTGATTTATTTCTGGCAACAAAATGCTAACTGGTGAAACACTGCTGTTCTCGAGAGTCCATGGTATAGAGATGAGCCAGTATTTGTATCGGAGTTCGTACTCCTTCCCAAGAATCACTGGCTTTGAAACACATATCCCCAGAAATCCTCTTTCGCTGCTGACCCTGTGAGAAACATCATATGGCATCGTCATCTGAGGATCAGATGAAAGTACTGAAATGTATTCCAACAAATACAGCACAACTTCTCGGAAAAGGAAAGATGATACAAAATTGTCTTTCTTTCAGCTATTTGGTAAATGTTCTGCAAACATAAAAAATTTGCAGAGAGAAGTCTTGGGATAGCTATATTCTTTTTCACAAATTAACTTTTTGTTTATTACTTATAGATAATACATTCATACTTTTCTTTTTCAAACTAAAAATTGTGCTTTGTTTTAAGCAGTCTGGCGTAGATAAGAGGCTTGTTTTGATGGACCAGAAAAAAAGTGGAGAAAACAAAGAAATAAAACACTACTTAATAAATATTAGCTATTCCTATTACTGTAATGCAAAATGTATTAAATCAATTAATTCTATCCCTTGGCATTCTTTCAAATATTCTTGTTTTCTTTTCATTGAACTTCTAACATTCATAACTTGTTTGGTGCTCTACCCGGGGTCACCTTCTTTACACAATTTTATATGGCATGCACAAGTCCACTCCTGTTAATCAATATGTGAAAATACAGATGCAAAGAAAAACACATGTTTATATCCAAACACAGTAAGGGACTGTTTCTTACTTTACCCTTCCAGAGGAATTCTTGCTATTCAAGTAGTTTCACTAAGATTTTTCTTTAAAAAGAGTGAATTTTTACATGTATTTATGTCATAATTTAATTTTATAACATTATCTGGAAACTTCTCAGGAATATTGCTATTTCATAAAAAAGATAACCATTTAATTTAGTAGTTGGATTGCTGCATAAGGCAAGGGCAAAAAATAACAGTGAAATAGCATTTTTCTTTTATTTGACATACAGTGTAGTTATTTAGCATTTCAAATTACAGCAATTTCCTATCTTCACAAAAGGCAGAGATGTTTCTGTTAAGGTTCGTAGACCGCTGTAGTGGATTGTTAAGGGTAACTTCACTGAGCTTTTGTGGTGTTTAAACATTGCACTGGGTTTGCAGGATCAGCTCAGTTCCAGAAAAATAAATAAGCACTTACTGTGTTCCAGATGATGTGTAAGAAATAGAGAATACAAAGATGAAAAAGACACAATCCCTGATATCCCTTGTGGAGCTTAACGTTCTGTATTGAAATCCAGTAAGATCAATGAAAAAGTATCATGACTACTATGAGAAAACTGAGGCATCTAACTGGAAATGCAATTCAGCAAGAGAATTCTTTCTTCTTTCAGCAAGAAAGAAGTCTTTCTAGAGACGACAGTTTCCTAGATAATGAGTTGGAATCTTTTGGGTAAATGAGTACGGGGTGAGGAAGAAGAGGAGACAGGTGATTGTACCATGAATAGCTAGGAGGAGTGTGTGCACAAGATGGGGCACAGAAATGCCTGTAATTCAAAAAAGAAAGTATGTACCAGTAAAGAAATAAAAGTGCTAAGGGAGGCTGGGCATGGTGGCTCACGCCTGTAATCCCAGTACTTTGGGAGGCCAAGGCGGGCGGATCATCTGAGGTCAGGAGTTCGAGACCAGCCTGATCAAGATGGTGATCATCTCTACTAAAAATACAAAATTAGCTGGGCGTGGTGGCACATGTCTGTAATTCCAGCTACTCAGGAGGCTGAGGCAAGAGAATCACTTGAACCTGGGAGGTGGAGATTGCAATGAGCCAAGATTGCGCCATTGCACTCCAGCCTGGGAGACAGAGCAAAACTCCGTCTCAAAACAAACAAACAAACAAACAAACAAACCAAAAAACAGTGCTAAGGGAGTTTTTGAAGGGAGGAGAAATTACACCTGGTTGAGAAGCTTAAGTAAGACATCATGTAACAGGTGGTATTTGAGCTAAGCCTTAAAAGATACCCAACGGAAAGTTGGTATAGACAGAGACAGAGAGGCAGAAAAAGAGGATACTATAAAATGAGCAAATGTGTGATAGCAAACACTGAAGGGTGCGTCAGGAACAAGTTGCTCAGTTTGGCTTTAGAATTGGTTACATGAAGGGAAACAGTGAAAGAAATGAATGGGAAAGACAACTGGGAAGTAACAATTAATAAGCACCTACTACATCACAGACACCTGCTGGGTATTTTGCAAAGATTTCCTCATTAAATCTTTACAACAATTTACAAAAGAATTATCACTCACGTTACAGTGAAAAAATGACTTATTGAGGGTCACGTAATTAGTTAGACACTGTGATAATAATAATAATAGCTACTTTCATGGAATATTTACTATATGCCACCACTGGGCCAGCCAGGCCCTCACATGAATTATCTCATTTAATCCTCACTACAACTCTATAAGCTACTTTCCATTATTGCCCATATTTTATTAGATGACGAAAATGAGGATTTGAGAGACAGTAGGGATCATTCAGTGACAAATGGAGTGGGATTCACATGTTCTTTTCCACTCTCTCATTATGGCACCAGAGAATTTAGGATGCATGTGAATTTGAGAAGGATGTCAGCTTAATTCTGTAAGCAATGAGAAGCTGTTGTGTGTATTAATAAAAGATGACTAAGAGCCAGAGGCTAAGCTCAAAGAACTTGCTGTCTGGTAGAGGAGCAAGACAAACGAGCGTTCGTATCAGACTCTCATCCTTCCTAGTCCCTCACCCCAGCCCATATCCATTCCCCTGCCCTCCTATTGCTATCCCAAAACAGAGTAAGACCAAAAATTACATCTTGTTCCCTTCAGCTTATTGTCTCTTCCTTTTGATTCTATTCTTTTTCCCACTGGTTTATGGTTTACCAAAAGACAAAGAACCCCAGTGAAAACCCCTTTTATCCTCTCAACAAAATAAAAGTCTCTTTCAAAATTCCATAAAAGGCATGAAAAAAATTAGCATGGGATTATGAGAAAACAGGAAACACAGAGAGTGATAAATTAGAAGAATTGGAGTCAGAGCAAGGCCCCTGAGATTCAGACAAACTCTGGTTACAGGACCGCTTAAACAAACACCAGCAGGCGGGGTTGAAATAGATTTCCACAGTCAGCCCAGCCAACATTTCACTGCATTTTTTTCCATCAGGGAGAAATCAGATGTGGAAACAATCACTTATTTGACAGCCTGTTCTCTTCTTAGATTGATCAGCAAAGGCATTCCCTGTGATGTTCTCTCTCTCATGTTAACCTGGACATTTTTCCTCTGCGTCCTGTCTAAACTTCCTTTTCTGAATTTCATCCCATTTCCATGGTTTGTAATGACTAGGCGATGGGACAAAGAGGAGTTGCTCAGTTGCTGATCCCTTCCACGAGGAGGAGGGCTTTCTCTCACTGACCAAATCCTGGCTGAAAAGATTGACTTTCTTCTCCTAAGGATTTCAAAGTGTATCAGCATCCAACTCGAATGAATCAAGTTATTTGACTACAACTGGGAAACAACAGCAGACATGGCCTATTGGCAGGCAGTTATTTGAATGAAGCTTTTAAAAGGCATCTTGCTAGTGGTTTGTTGGCTGAGGGATGGACATCCAAACACCAATCAGCCCTAGAAACTCTTGCAAAATTGCATTAAGAACAAAGTGTTCCTTCAAACACTGAATTATATAATTTCTCTATCGTGTTTATTCATTTCAAGGATGAAATAATTTAGAAGCACAAAATTGTACAGGTCTATTCCAGCTCTTCTGTTTAAAAAGGCAAATGGCTTGCTCAACAGTAACGCAGCCATTGGGTGGCAGTGTCAGAACTACACTGAGCATCAGCCAGTTCCACAGTTCCCACTGGACAAGGCCTTGCTGAGTCAATCCCTTCCATGTTTTGCATTCTCTCCTCTGCTTTGGTTTTCAACAATCTATTCCCTCGTTATTGGGAAGAAGTGGAAGTAACACTAGACCAGTGGAGTTGAACCTATTTTTTGAAATAATATTGTGTGTGCATGTACTCCACAGCATTAAAAGTATGTAGGCCATTAAGCTAGGAGCTCGGCAGGTATTGCCTTATTTAATTCATCTAATGGTCCTCTGAGTTAGAGTCCTCTAACACTTAGTGAGCATCTAGTATGTTGCAGACACTTATAATCCCTACCTGTGTCACTGAGGCTCAGGAGCTTAAACAGCGTATCAAATGCCACACACAGAGTAAGCAGTAGAGGCCATGCACAGTGGCTCACATCTGTAATCCCAGCATTTTGGGAGGCCGAGGCAGGCAGATCACTTGAGGCCAGGAGTTTGAGACCAGCCTGGCCAACGTGGTGAAACCCCGTCTCTACTAAAAATAAAAAAAAATTAGCTGGGCATGGTGGCATGAGCCTGTAGTCCCAGCTACTCAGCAGGCTGAAGCAGGAGAATCACTTGAACCTGGGAGGTAGAGGTTGCAAGGAGCTGAGATTGTGCCACTGCACTCCAGCCTTGGCGACAGAGCAAGACTCGATCTCAAAATTTAAAAAAAAAAAAAGAAAAGGAAAAGCAGCAGAGCTAGAAGTCAAATCCAGGCTTTCTTATCCTAAAAACTACATCCTTTGGCCAGCTTCTACAGAGCCTGTCTTTAGAGTCCTATCAAGGTTTTGTAACGATTGTTTGTTAGAGTAGCTACCAAAAGTATGGAGAGAATATCTAGATGAAGTGCAGCTCGGGAATGCTCACTCCCCTCCACCATCTGCTTTTTTGTTGTTGTTATTGTTTTGAGAGAGCGACAGAACAGATGAAATGGGTACGGGCTGGAATATGGAAGGAACATGGTAGATTTGACTCATGCAACTACCAGATATTCTTCTAGTTAATTTATTACCTAAACTTAAAATCACCCTAAAAAAGATTTAAATTTCCATTTCAAGGAAGCACCCTTAGGTTAGACATGGGGTCCATTCAGATGCATACCTCTGACTGAAGGATTGCAAAGACAGCATATTTTCATTTCTCATGTCAACTTTAAAAGTTATCATCGACTAGTTTTAACTTCATTTGGTAACGAATGTTATGTTTACTTAACTTTTAAAAATTATTCTCTGTTGTTTAAAGCTTTACTTCTATCTTCCCTAAAACTACTTCTTTTAACTCATACCAGTGCTATCAAGTTCTTGGGTACTGTGATTTGGTGAATTAAGCTATCTTTCTCCCTACTCCCTTCATGTCTTCACAAGTGGTAAATATAATCCCACTCTGCTTCCATCTCACTCCTAGAGACATCATGTCATTGTTCTTGTATCCCCTCTCCTCACCAATCCTACCTTTAGGATCCTGTTTCTGCCAGTCACCAATAACCCCTGCAATTCTTGCAAGTTACTTGGCTCCATTTCTTGGGGTTGTAAATGTCTTGAATATAAAAAGGAGTGTTTTTACTTTGGTGATTTGGAATAATGAAAGGAGATTACGAGGATATCCCAAAGTGTGGGATGACAGCAGAATAGATATAAAAGGGTGCCTTCTTTTCCAGCTGAGACCATGGTACTGCAGGAGAAATTCCTCGGACTTTGTCTTGATTGCACCTCATCCAGAAAAGGCAGCCAGAGTCTAATGAGTAAATAGCCAGCCTTTAGTCAAGACATCTTCATCTTTAGTCAAGACAGGAGACATAGAACCTGCTCTCTATTTTGCTTTGAGTTGACAGAGCATTCTATAAATTAAGCTGAGATTTCCAGTTTTCTGGGGGTGGGGACGGGGGCGGTGGTCTAAGTAACTATAGAAATTGGCCTTGTGCACTGGGAGACGACATTCTTAATATGTCAGATACACCAAACCAGAGCAAGTGTCAGATGACAGCAAACATCGGCGTTCACAGACTGGATGAGACTTGGTGATTCCTGAAGGAAGCTGAAAGGTTTTGGAAAGTACCATATTTGAGTTGGAGCTTGTTTGGGCAGATGTTTAGTGTGCAGTGTACTGGAGAGAGAAACAGGGGACTTAGGATCCAATATTAAAACTATCCCTCTCTCCATTTTTATAAGTCATTTAACTCACTGGGCTTAAGTGTATGTAGACCTTTAATTTGTATTGCACTATTTTAAAGGATTTTGAGACAATTATCATTTTAAATGTGTATATCTTAATTTTGTGTAATTTTGTCTCTAGCTATGAAATTTGAAATTCAAGGAACCCTGTAAGACGCAATCACAAAATTATTTAAGCAGGTGTCAGAACCTGGAGGGATCTCACATGGTTGTATCATTATTAAAAACACACGATTTGACATCAAACAGTCCTGCGTTTTAATCCTGTCTTTGCCATTTAGTTGTTGTGTGATCTTGGATAAACTATTTTACCTCTTTGAGCTTCCATTTTCTTATATATGAGATGTGGGTCATTATACTTAGCTTATAGGATTATTAAGAGAAGTAAATAAAAAATAAAGAGTGACTATCAGAGCATCTAATATATAGCAAGCATTTGACATATGATAATAGCGCTTGGATAGATGTATAATTTTTATTTGATATTTGCTATCTTATTTAAAAATTGAAGCTTTTCTTAAGAAGGGTGGAGGAAATAATCGATAGGGGAGGAAAAGAAAAATCCCAGCCATTCCCAGCCAAAAGCTCTCCACCTCTCAGACTTCTCCACCTTTATTTTGTTTAATAATCAGGCACCTCCAACTTTCCCTGGAAGTTTCAGCCCATGAGTCCCCAGATGCTCCTCCCATGCCTGAGTTTGACAAACATTTATTCTTACTTAGTTCAACTAAGACAAATTAAGGAAAGGAAAGAAGGATTCTATCTGTGCCTAGGAAGTTATGTCAGTTAAAGAATCTGACACACAGAATCCTCTCAAGGGGCTTCCCTTAAAAGAAAAGAACTAAGAGCATGGCACTGTCCCACGACATTGGCTGGGCTTCTGTCTCCTAGTTCATTGTTCTTTGATGTCCTAGAGAGTGATTTCTGTTTTTGTCTTCAGGGCTGCTTCTTCCTAACTCTTCTTTCATTTGCGTTTTTCCTTTAATGGCAAGGGTAAGGACTTTAGTGCTGCCAGTTTAAAAAAAATTATAAAATCAAAATTCAGTAAATAAAGCTGAATTTCATGGAACAGCAAAAAAGAAAAAGAAATCTGACTGGAGCCAGGAAAATTCCTCAAAGAGACAAAATGCCTAGCCATCTGAAAAAGAGTTAGTTAAAGGATAAGCAAGGACAGAAAGAGAAGGAGGTAGAATTGATAGGGAAATATATTACACTTTCTACCTCTATGCCATTATTTTAGTCACAGAAATACCATGTGAAAGGGATAACTCTTTTGGTATATTCTCTGGCAAATATACTTTTCTGAGAAGCTTCTCCCCACAGTAATTCTCAGAAGCTCTGCCAATGTTCCTCTCCTGCATTCCCTCCCTAAATTCAGAATTATCTGAGCTGGTCACTAGCACCTTTCTTGATGCTTTGGAAACAGAGATGCTCCTGAGTGCCCATAAGAATGGTCAGCCCAGTGAGAAAGCTCATCACTTGGTCTCCTTTAAGGCCAGTTGGCTGCCTAACAATTTTTTAAATAAGAGGAGCCACTATTAAATTTTTGTTCAAAGAGCACACTTGATGCATGAGGACAGGGCCCATATCTGTATTTTTCTCTACTGTATTTCCAGCCTAGAGTTGACAAACAGTAGATGCTCAGTACATTTGTTGGCTAGATAGATAACTTGATGGATGGCTGGCTGGCTGGCTGGCTGGATGGATGGATGGATGGATGGGAGAATTATGAAATCATGAAGCTCCTTCTGGCCCTGACAGGCATGGTCATTCTTCTCTTTTCTGCCTGAGAGTAGGTGGAATAGGAGATCTGTATTACTCCATGGCTTCTCTTGCTTCAGTTCCTACGTTGCCAACCTCACATGAGGAGAATCCTACACATGTTTAAAAACTGGCAATCATATCACTGTCTCATATTTCTGTTATCACTTCTGGGAGTTTCTTCAAATATTCTCTCCTCTGAATAACACTTCTTTTTTGTTAAGGGAAAATGTCTATATAAGTGTCTTTCATAATTATCTAAAATCTAATTAGAATTTAGAGTTTCATGTGGTCTCGTCTTGACAAGATATCCCAATTAAGAAAATGCAAACTAGCTGGCAAAATTAATTTGTTCAAATTTCAATATTTTCTGAAAATTTTCAGACAGTATTCTGCAATCTCAAACAATGCTATTCCTAACCAAAGCAACTTTTATTTCTCTGTTCCCATGTCTCGCTTTTAATATGTCTCACCTTCTACAACTGCCTCCGTTTTTCTCTGTCACTCAGTCTCTACCTAAAACTCACCCAGCAAACCAAATTGGTAAGGCTCTTCTCATTTCCCCTTCTCCGTTTTTTTTTTTTTCCTACTTCCATTCTTTTCTTCTGTCTTCTCTCAGATGAGTCAATCTTGGTCCTTTCTAATGCAAAGCTCCCATCCCTGCTTCATGCGTTAGTCCAAGTCCTCATCATAAAAACATATGACTGGAGTTGGCATTCACAAAGTTGTCTTTGAAATGGGGAGTAAGGTGACAGAGGAGAAAAAGAAGAGCTCTGGATTCTCAGACATGTTAATAATTTTTACATATCATATATAAATGGGATTTTGCAGAGAAGAACCAGAAATAGATGGGAGAGCAATGGACAGGAAAGGCAGATGAGGGACCGAAGAGACACAGCTCCCAAAAGAAAGTTAGCCTTACAAAAACCAAGACGATAAAGAGAAATGCTTAAGTTTAGGGAATCCAGTGGAAGCAGTGATTTAAGGTGAACAAAAGGTGAACCTTAAGTTGAAATGAGAAGTGTAGGATTTTCAAGTTTAGTTTCTGGGAGTGTAAAAATAAAAAAACAATTGTGATGTCAGAGGTTGAAAGATTATAGTTGTCATTTGAACTTGGGGATAAAGGAGACATCTATGACTTGGCTGGAAAAGACAGAGCTAATGTACATTGCAAAGCACATATTTATAGCAGGAAAATGGGAAGATTTCTCTTTAATTCTGGAGATGGAGTGGGGATGGGGAGAGTAGACTACTCATTTTAAGGGTGAAACATTGGAATTCAACTTGTTTGATGTTATATTAATTGGTGGTTAATTACTAAGCTAAGTACGTATAAAACTTTTATCTATGGCTAGCTTGTCCCCCCAAAGTCATGCAATATAGTGAACTGGCTTTCGCACTTTAAATTATTCATTGATCATGTAATGATTCAGATGATTCATCTTCCAAGATGGACACTGAAACTAACACTCATAGTAGGTTGTGGTTTAAAGAGTGGAACAACCGCCAGTCTCATTAGTGGAAATTGTGATGGTTGAATTTATCAAGGATGAACATACACGGTCTTCTTTCTGAGATTTTCTTTAAGATTTTCGCACAGATAATCTATTTCTTAGGTTTTGGAGAGAAAACTTGAATTTTATTGATCCCTCAGAACTCAATCTTTCAGATTTCAAAGGAGCTATTTCTTTTAATGGGGACTCTGTTAATATTTATAAAAGCTCTTCACAGGATGGAGGGTGGGAGGGAAACTCCATCCCAACAAGACAAAAAGAATGAAGCATGAGGCTCCACCTAGTTCATCACTGCTCCTTGAAATACATCAGTATTGAAAGACACATCCACCCCACCCCCAACCCAGCCCTATTGCTGTTCCAGCTCAAGAGTCAGAGGTCCCGAAGCTGTAGCTCTTCTACAATCTGCTGCTCTGTGACTTCAAGTCTGTTGTCTGCAAAGAAAACTATTGGGTTCCCAAGCAAGAGAGGCACATCTGGTAGGACAGATTTTGTGATTGCAAAAGAAGGGGGAAAAAAAGAAAGAAAGAAAAGACCTCTCTATACAAGATAACCAGAGGCATCAAACTGAAATCCTCCTGTGGAAAATAAGCTAGTACTTCTGGGCCTGATGGTGTAGTGAAAACCTGTGCTTGAGGATACATTACAGTGAAAGAGCAAAGTGAATAGTAAGTAGCTATTACTTACCTCCTTAGGGAGGTGTGTTGTTTGTCTGTACATCCCCCACAGCACCTAGCACAGTACCTTGCATCTCACCTGCCACTCACTAAAAAGTCTATCAAGTTAGTTAATTATCGAGACAACGCCCTCAGAAATGAGAGAACAGTACCCTCTTATCCTTGCTGCACTTTCCAGCACTGATACGCTGCCTAAAAGAGGACTAGGGCACAGGTTTGAATTAATGTCACAAAACTGGATGGGCAAGTTACAACGGTGTTGATTAAGGAAACAGAACTCATGGTGCACCGGATATCTCCATCCTGATGAACCCTTGGAAAAATGCCAAAGATGCATATCCCCAGGCAAATGCCTGATTAGTCTGGGATTGATAGATTGGTCTAGGATTCAGCCCTACTGGGAAGATGTCTAAATTATAATCAGTGTAGAAAGCGAAGTTCTCCTAGAAGAAGAGGCAAAGGTTAAAAAGAAGAAAAGAAAAGAAAGTGAAGTCCTTTCTCCCCCAAAACCTCTCATCAATCAATCAGGGTAACAAACAGAACACTAGGGCTCTGTCTGTGGACCAAACCCAAAAGCCCTGCGGTCAGGGCCAGGAGGGTAGATCATGTGTTTGTGGCAACTTCCTCTGTGGGCTTTTGCCCAGGTCTGTCCCCAAGCATACGATGGCCAAAACTTCTGCACCAGAGCAGCATCCTGTGTAACACAGTCAGGTCCAGCAGTTAGGGAAAACTGCCCACTCAGAGTAGATAATATCTGGAAGGAATGACTGTTTGGGAAAAGTTCCAATGCTAGTTCAGTGCCAACCCTTCCCCACCTTCTCCAGCTCTCTCCCACTGGTTCCTCCCCTCTCAACTGCTCTGGTTCTTATAAAAACCTCACAGCCTTCCACTAACATCCCGTAGGAGCCTCTCTCCCTACTGCTGCTACACAAGACCCTGAGACTGACCTGCAGGACGAAACCATGAAGAGCCTGATCCTTCTTGCCATCCTGGCCGCCTTAGCGGTAGTAACTTTGTGTTATGGTGAGAAACTTTTCTCCCATTTCTCTGTGTTTACTTTTCTGCCTCTGACTTTGGCTTACTTCTATTTTTCCTCTCCCTCCTCCTCTTCTTCCCCCTTTCTCTGTTATAATCTTAAAGTACCATTACTTTCACATTTCCCAGTCTCCGCAGAAACTGATCTGTTCTATTAAGTCTTTTTTATATCCTAAATATCCAGAGTCTTATGCAACTTAACAGGCAAACCCGTTCAGTGGTAAGTCTCTGTATATCTAGAAACTCATATTTCAGAAAGAAGATACCAAATTCCCAGCCCCCTGCATCCTCATTTTTAAGGATATTTATTTAGACTTTGGTATCAATGGGTTAAGGGTATTGTTTAAACCACTTGCCTTTGAGAAAATCCATTTTTATGTGAAGTATTAAGTATAGCCCTTTCTAGGGACTGGACAATCTCATGAACTTACTATGTTTGTTCAGTTAATTAATTTTAAAATAAAGTTTTACATCAAAAGAATTTTAGAAAAGAATCATTTTCATAACTCCTGTTGTCAGAAAATAAATTTTGCCTGTTTTCTATATGTCATTAAATATACCTGCATTTGTTCAAAGCTTATAAAAGGAAATCTGAAGCAAAGTTATTTACTTATTTCAGTCTTTTGTTTCAATTACCTAGATATTTTCATTGTTTTAAAATTTAAATTACATTAACAACCATAAAGATTATGCTTCTCACTCTTGTATTCACAAATTTTCTGTATTAGAGGATTTGATTTCTTCACCTCCTTTTTAAGTTTTGAAGAAAATTCACTTGCTGGCAAATATTAATAGAAGCTTCTTATTCCAAAATTTATCTGCTGTGCTCAGGAGAGTGGCAGAAAGAAGAAAACTTCGGCTTTGATATCGTTTCAGTTCTCTCTCTGAACTGGCATCGTGCCCAGGGTGAGCTGTCAGCTGGAGCTAGTGGTTTCTGTGGCTGCCAATTTAACACAGGTTCTTAAGAGGCTTTCGGAACCCTCTTAGAAACCTGCCCTAGTAAGCCCAGCAGAGCAACTGCCCTGTAGTTCTCTTGCCTGGAGAAACCTGGCTGTCTTCTGGATCCTTCTTAATCCTCTTTGACCCTGTTCTCAAACAGGCTCTGAATAAATCAGAGAAGAAGGTTCTCTGGAGACTTCTGTACAGCACTTAAAGTGTCTTATTTTGCTTGTCTGAAGACGTCATAGCCCTTGGGAAATTTTAGCTGAAAATGGCCACTCCCTCCTTCAACATCAGAGAAACTAAAATATAGAGATATCCACAGCAAGGCCAGAGCTAGAGAAAAACCTCATAAATCCTAAATTCCTGAAATTTCTAATAACCACACTGCTAAATATATTCTTCATGTTTTTAGACTCTTTCCTCTTCTTCCATCCCTGTATTTAAACTATCACAGTGTCTAAATTGATAAATAATAACATAATGAATCATGGATAAATATTGATATAATGAATCTTTTTTTTTTAATTTCAGAATCACATGAAAGCATGGAATCTTATGAACTTAGTAAGTGAATATTTAACTTCTTTATTCAAATCCCTTGCATTAAAGAACCTCTTCTTATTTTTAAATAAACAAGATGGAAAGATATATAACAGGGAGGGAAAAGGGGGCCTCTTTTGGAAAACTAAAGTAAATTTTTAAATCTAATGACTATAAAAATTGCCAAAGGAGCAATTTTTTAAGTTTGAAGTAGTGCAATATGGGATTTAAGCTACAGGCGACATATTTAGAAGCCATAAAATCTCATTTGGAAATTTTAAATTGGCACCACGTCAACTGCACAGATGGAAAACGAGGAGTAATGACAAATGGTAAAGCACAGAGCTGGACGCCAAGTCAGCTGGGAGACCACAGGCGCCACGTTAAGCTGAGTGCTGTTTTGGTTTTTTTGTGTTTTTCTTTCTTGTTTTTTTTTTTGAGACAGTGTCTCACTCTGTCGCCCAGGCTAGAGTGCAGTGGTGTGATCTCGGCTCGCCGCAACCTCCACCTCCCAGGTTCAGGCAATTCTCATGCCTCAGCCTCCTGAGTAGCTGGGATTACAGGCCCATGACATCATGCCTGGCTAATTTTTGTATTTTTAGTAGAGATGGGGTTTCACCATGTTGTCCAGGCTGGTCTCGAACTCCTGGCCTCAAGTGATCCACCCACCACAGCCTCCCAAAGTGCCGGGATTACAGGCATGAGCCACCACACCCAGCCAGCTGATTGCTGTTGAATAGCTGGATTTATAAAGACTGAGCATAGGAGGAAATGGCACATCACTCTCATTTTTAATTTATTCATTATTTTTATAGTGTTTAAACTGTTCATGTATCGGCAATCTAGTTATGCTTCATAAATCCTCAGGACAGAGAATTTCTCCTCAAAAGGAATTTAAAATCTACCAAGTAGAAATACAGAAATTAAGAAAGGCAAAGTGATCGTCCAAACTCAAAACCAACAAAGCCTATATGACAAGTCTCTAAGACACATGGATTGATTACTGATTTCATTTGATCAGGAAGTTAATGAAATCTACTTTATACTCTCCTTTAATTTTTGCCAATCTCCGTTTATATGAGTTGCATAAGTTAAGGCACTTTCAAATATATTTGTGTCAAGGAATATTCACGGAAATATTTCCAGCTATGTGTCGCTAAAACTGCATTTATTTATTTTCTGTTCTAAGATCCCTTCATTAACAGGAGAAATGCAAATACCTTCATATCCCCTCAGCAGAGATGGAGAGCTAAAGTCCAAGAGAGGTCAGTAACAAAACTTCATGAGGAGTGGTCATTTTTCCCAGTGTAGATCACAGATCTGAATTGGAGTGGGAAACAGCTTTTTCATCATATACATTATTTCTAATTGTATCTTTAAAATCAAAAAACTTAAAAGCAATATTCAGAAAACAACTGAATTATTAGAAAATTATTTGGGGAAAGATCCGGAAAGGAGAAGGAAGGAGGAGAGAAAGGAGGACAGAAAGAAAACTTCTATTTTCATTAAAAAAAAAAAAAAAATCTCCTGTTCTGCCTTCCCTCCCTGGTTTTTTTTTTGGTTGGTTGGTTGGTTTTTCTGAGACAGAGTCTCACTCTGTTGCCCAGACTGGATTATAGTGGCACTATCTCGTGCCTCAGCCTCCCAAGTAGCTGGGATTACAGGCACGTGCTACCATGTCCAGCTATTTTTGCATTTTTTGTAGAGACGGGGTTTTGTCATGTTGGCCAGGCTAGTCTTGAACTCCTGACCTCAAGTGATCCACCCACCTCAGCCTCCCAAAGTGCTGGGATTACAGGCCTGAGCCACCGCACCCAGCCTCTCCCTGTTCTTTAAATATCTCTTAATATAGGGGGGCATGGAGAGAAAGTCTCTCCAATATTTTCTTCTTCTTTTCCATTTTTGTATTTTTCCACTTTATCCTTCTCAATTTTGGCCTCTTCTTCCACTTTCTAGGATCCGAGAACGCTCTAAGCCTGTCCACGAGCTCAATAGGGAAGCCTGTGATGACTACAGACTTTGCGAACGCTACGCCATGGTTTATGGATACAATGCTGCCTATAATCGCTACTTCAGGAAGCGCCGAGGGACCAAATGAGACTGAGGGAAGAAAAAAAATCTCTTTTTTTCTGGAGGCTGGCACCTGATTTTGTATCCCCCTGTAGCAGCATTACAGAAATACATAGGCTTATATACAATGCTTCTTTCCTGTATATTCTCTTGTCTGGCTGCACCCCTTTTTCCCGCCCCCAGATTGATAAGTAATGAAAGTGCACTGCAGTGAGGGTCAAAGGAGAGTCAACATATGTGATTGTTCCATAATAAACTTCTGGTGTGATACTTTCATCTTGTAAATCTGCTTTCTTTTGGGAAGATATTGAGATATTTAAATCATGGCCCACCTTACCCAAAATAGGAGATTCTGTTCATCTCATATCTAGTATTAATTAGAAAAATAACTACATAAAAAGAAGGAAGCTAAGAAGGCACTCACTCAGCCATAAATTCTCTAAACCCTCTCTACCTTGGAATCCGTGAATGGAATCTGGTATGTTTTTTGCAGGATTTTCCTATTGTAAATTGTGGCAAATACAGGGCTCCCTTCATTTGCTTTTCATCTCTTATGCATCAAAGTCAAAAACATTTCTGAATCAAGATAATCTAGAAGAGAAAAAAGGAGGAAAAGGAAAAGAGAAAGCAGAAGGGACAAATAAAAGCAATTGGCAAAAACTGTCAATAATAGTTTATACACTTAACTATATCAATAATCACATTATATGTAAATAGTCTAAACAATCCAATTATTTTTTACTTCTACTTATGTTATATTTTTACTTCTACATTTGTTAAAGGTTCCACGCTACATTTTTACTATTCTTGCTTTAAATAATTTTAATAATTTCTTTTAAAGTTTAGATAATAAGAAAATATCCCGGGCCAGGCACAGTGGCCACACCTGTAATCTCAGTAGCCATGACCATACCAATGCACTCCAGCCTGTGAAACAGAGTGAGACTCTGTCTCTACAGAAAAATAAAAAAGAAAAGAAAGAAAAGATCTCATATATTTACCCATGTAATTTTCATTTCCTGTTTTCTTCATTCTTCTTTCCATCTGGTGTCACTTCCTTTCTGCCTGACGACTTCCTTTAACGTTTTTTATAGTTCAGGTCTGCAGGATTCTTTAAGTTTTGTATGCTTGTTTTTATTCTTGAAAGATATTTTCACTGTATATTGAATCCCAAGTTGCCACGTTTCTTTTAATTATTTTAAGGTATTCCACTGAATTCTAGCTTGCACAATTTTTCGATATAAAATTTGTTGTAATTCTTACCTTTGTTCCACTGTGTATACTGCATCTTTTATCTCTGGCTGCTTCTAACATTTTTATCTTTATTAGTGCTTTTGACCAAATTGATTCAGACCTATCTTGATTTGATTTTTCTTATTTTTCTTGTTCTTGAGGCTTATTGACCTTCTTGGATTGCATAAAATTAGAAAAATTTTCAGCCATTATTTTTTCAGATACTTTGATCCCTCACTCCTCCTCTCCTTTAGAGGGTCCAATGACATGCACATTTGACCACTTGAAGTAATCCAACTCTCTGATGTTATTTTAATTTTTACAAATTGCTTTTCTCTGTGTGTTTTATTTTTGACACTTTCTATTAATGTGTCATCAGGTTCATTAACCTTTTCTTTGGCAATATCTAATCTACTATTAATTTCATCTAGTGTATTTTTCATGCCAGACATTGTGGTTTTAATCACCAGAAGTTTGATTTGGATGTTTTCATATCTTCCACGCCTCTACTTATCTTTTTAAATGTCTTTGATACATTTAAATTGTTCCAATAACTATTTTAACATAATGTCAGTTATGGGTTGGTTTGATTGGTTGATTATTCTACTTATGAACCACAATTTTCTACTTTTCTGCATTCTTGCTTAATTTTATTTGACGCCAGACATCATTTGATGCCAGACATTTATTTGATGCCAAAATGCAGAAAATTTTATTTTCTGCATTCTTGCTTAATTTTATTTGATGCCAGACTTTTTGTGTACTGGATATTCTTCTATTTCTGTATGTGTTCCTGAGCTCTGCTCTGGGATTCCGTTAAATGATGTGGATAAAATTGATCAGTATTTAATCTAAGGCTAATTATTTCCCCACACTGAGGCAAGACCTTTCTGAGCACTGCGCCCAATGTCCCATGACAATAATCGTAGCCCTGAGTTAACAGCAGCCACTGTTTCCTCTATTCCTCTTGGATGGTAATCTCCCCACACACATATGCCGATCAGTCCAGTGTGTGCACGAGAGTGCCCTCCACTGATATCCAGGGATCCCTCTCACTCTTTCCTTTGCAGTATTTTGCCATGTGAAATATAGTCGCTGTGTTTTTCCAGAACTCTCAACTCCACCTCAACTCAAAATGTCCACTGGACTCCATCTTGGTTCCCTCTCCCTAAGCTATGGCCTAGAAACTCCCTTAAGGCAATAGGCTGGAGAAGTCATAGGACTTACTCTGTTTTCCATCTCATAGCAATCGCCATCTTTAATTGCCTAATGTCCAGGGTCTTGAAAGACATTTTTTCACATGTATTGCCTGTTTCTTTAGTTGTTTCCGAAGGGAAGGTAAATCCCCCTTTCTTAGATGGAGCCTTAGTTCCTTAGACTCCATCTTAGCTAAAAGTCCATTAAAACAGGCAGGGCTATTTAAACGGTGATCCCAGCCTCAGAGTTCCCCAGTAAAATTGGCTCAGACATATACTGCAGTTACATCACAATTCAAATGCTCACTCTGGCTAGCCCTACTTGCCTCACCCCTCTCATGTGTTGTTCCCCAATAAACCACTCACACACAAATCTCTAAATCTTAGAGTCTGCTTCCTAGGGAACCAAATCTGTGACAATCATTCGGGTGGTAAACAGTGAATAGTCAACCAGCATTTTCTAGCTCCAGAATCCTCTCGCTCCAGCTTGTTTTATTCGTTACATAACACTAGTTTTATAGTTTTGGAGTTGTCAAGAGGTTCAGCAATAATCTATTTCAATCCCCTCATTTTTCAGTTGAAGAATTTGAGAGCTTAAAATCTAAGTGACTTAAGTGACTGTCCCAAGGGCAGGTAATTCTATTTTCTTGAGAAATTCAGTTATACTGACCTCATAAAATCTAATTCTTTAAGCCAGTTTCTTAAAGAGTTGTGTACAAATAGCCCATATATTTTTACCAGCCTCCCATTGTGTACAGTTACACTTTCCAAACTGATGAAGCTATTTTTAATGTAGTTTCTACCTCAGTCAAAATTTTATCTACCTACCGTCTCAGCTCTATAATTTCTTTTTTTGATATATCCTTGTTTTTCAGAACTAAGACACATAAAGTAACATATTACAGGTCTTATTCTCTTCCCCTTTGCTCATCTTGGTAAGGTGTTTCTGTAGATTAATTTAGCCTGAGAACCAAAGCGTGTTTCAACATAAGCAGATTACTCTGCCACCACCCATAAAAGCAATTTGCATCTTAGAAGAGTGTCTAAGAATAAGCACTTTGTAGATAGGCCTCCTAGTTTTTAATGCCAGCTCTGCCTCTGAGAATGTGTCAATCTTGGGCAAGTTAAGTAATCTCACTGGGCCTCAACTCCCTTATCTGCAAAATAAGATTATTCTAGTACCTATCTTAGAGTTGCTGTCAACATTAAACAAATTAATATATGTAAAGTGCACAAAACACTGCCTGGCATGTAGTAAGTGCTCAATAGCTGTTAGCTATTTCTATTGTATTGTATTATACTATTACTATGGTCTGGATATTAAAAATGGCAAGACAATGACTCTTTGGAGAGTCACACCTACACCTCAAGCATCTACAATTGCCTATGAAGAGCGGTCTGCAGGATTCATAGCCAAACACTATAAACAGCACTGGCTAGTTTGTACTCACTTCACTCTTCCTCTCCTCCACCAGGCCATGGCTACCTATGCTGAGCAGCATGCAGTTTCAAAAAAGTCTAGAAAATTAGTGATCTTCATTTTTGTACTCAACTGGGTTTGAAATTTTTGCAGCCAAAGTAATTCATACTAGAATGGAACTAAACTTACATTCTTATATAGTAGTACTAGTAGTAGTAGTAGTAGTAAAATATATGCAAGCACCATGTACCCTTATCCTTTGAATGGAGGGAATCTGTAAATAATCTGTTGTTATATGTACCTTAAGTTCTTGATGTCCTTAATTATCTATCATTAGTAGCCTTTCCATCAGTTCTTCAATTTTAATGCTTCCTTGTTATAATACAGAGCTCTAATGAGAGTGAATTCTATCCTAAACTCATGCTGATTTGGAACCCTGAAACTTTGCCTCTATTGCCTCTGCTTTGCCTATATTTGCCTCTATTTATGAACTAGGGTTCTATTTTATCCTAGTTGGCCCTCCTCTGGAACCCAGACATTGCTACCCGTCTGATTATTCCTAGATATACCTTCTGCCATGTCCCTTACACCAGTAAGTATCCCTGGCCATTAATGTCAGTTCAGAACAAAACACTTTAATCTACTCTGCTTCACTGGCAAGAATGAGACACCTTAATCCAGGATGTGTTACATACCCTAAACTACCAAGCATTGCATAGGGCTGTGTCCCCAGTAGGTAGACTATATGTGTCCGACAATAAGGTGTGGAAGCAGGAGTGGCCTTACTTGTCATCATTTGTAAGCCACATGAGGAATTTATACTTTAAATCCCTACAATTCCAATCTATAGGCCTGGAAATTGTGGTTTAGAAAGAGGAAATATTTTCACCATGGAACATAGGAAGAGTCTCATTTATGTTCTAAAGCTTCACAGTAACTTCAGGCCCTTCATGCCAGGCAGCAAATGAAGGAGTCATCTTCCTAACAGGGTAATTGCCATCAGGAGAAGGTAGGGCTTCCTAACAGGGGTAATTGACATCAGGAGAAGGTAATTTCATCAGGAGAAGGTAGAGCTTCTGTTACACAATCTAAGGAGGGAGAGTGAATCTGATACCACTGAAACATCTCTTGATATGTCTGTGCCCAATCATGATAGTAAATGGACAGATATATCAGCCATGGTCTAGAAGAGCATAGTGCAGAAGCTCCCAACTCTCAAGAAAGGAGCTCTAACTCCCTTACCAGTTAGACACCAAGACCACCAGTTACGCTATGAGTGAGCAAAATCTAGAATGGGTAGTTTTTAAGAGGGAAACAATGAGTATTAGCAGTGGCCTTGCAACCATCTGTACCAAGACAGGCTATAGTTAGTCCCACTAACCTTCATACGTGTTCTGGCTTGACCCTACAAGTGAATTAGACTTTAAATATGAGAATATACCAAAGGAGAAATTATAGAGCTGGGAAAGATGAGATAGTTATCACACTAAAACTGGGAAATACATTTGCATAAAACAACCACAGTATCCAGGAAAGTAGGATTAGAACCTCCTATTAGACCAATCAGAATCTTGAAGAAGCTGTTTCTGGAACAGTTTGTATGAAGCAAGCTCAAGCATGATGGGTAGGTGTAATGAATGATGTGGTGCATTGTCCAGATCCTTCAGGACTGAGGCATTCATTTTCTCAGTTGCCTGAGTCTCTTTCCTGAAACCGCTCTTAACTGAAGAAAGTCATCTTGCCCCAATTTTCATCTCTCTCCAGAAGCAGTCTGTATCCAAAAACTGGTCAATGCAGGGATATAAACACCTAGCCCTCTTCCCCTGACACTGACATTTTTCAGTCTTGTGGTTGCATCTTTCTTATCTACCCTTCCCTTGTCAGCTCCATGTTGAAAAGCCAAGATCTATCATGACTTAACTACTCAGTTTATGACTTTACACATTCTGAGTAATGGGAAAGCAGAAGTAGGATATACGAACCTCTCTTGGTGGTCTCTGAATTCATCCTAGGACTGAAATTGGCCCCAATATTTCTGAATTTAAAATGAAACCCCGGCCCATCCTCAAGAACGTTAAAACCAGGGACTACATTATGAGATTCATCTGTTAATTCCTTTAAAGAAATGAGCTGGGTGACCTGTTGGGAGATTTTTCCATCTCTAATTTTTCTGAATTCAGGCATTGAAAGCTAACCAACAATTAAGAAAGCCAGAAACATAAGTCATCTGGGGTTGTTCAAACAGGAGGTTAAGCTTTGAAAAATACTGTTCAAGAAATGTGCTCTTTGCTCATTTGGTTAATACAGTAGGCTTTCATGGTGTTTGCCTAGAAACCCTCTGACTCCTTTACTTTGGGTAGAGCAATACACGAAATTTGTCCCTACCCATTTCATCTAAGGATAATGACTACTTCTTGTGACCACAAACCTATAATAAATAAAGTAGGAAAATAATTTGTGTACATTGATGTTTTCTAAACATTTTGAGAGAGAATTTTCCTCCTTATGAGGAGTCTTGGAAAGGCCTAAAAGATAATAATTTTGTATTATAAAAGTATTCCAAGAAAATCATAAATGTTAGTACTTACTCCTAGGAGTGAATTAGACTTCAAACACAAGAATATACCAAAGAAGAAATTATAGAGCTGAAAAAGAGGAGATAACTTTTTCACTATCCTGGTTAATAAATTTCTATAGAACAGCCACAGGATCCAGAAAGATAGGTCTAGAACTACAAAGTTTACTAGAAGCATATGGGCAATCTGCACCCATCTCTTTGAAAACATAAAAGAGAATTGGAAAAAATATAACGCAAATTTAGTTCAATGTTCCCCAAACAAGTATTCCAGTAATAATACTCCAGTCCAGTGTGCTGCCAAAATTGTTCTATGCCCAGACAAGTTCTATTGTCTTTATATATCTCCTCGTAGATATATATATATATATATATATATATATATATATATATATATATATATATGTTTAATATACTAAATGTAATATATCAAATCTTCTGTGTGGTCCATAAGTAAAGGAATTTGTTTGAGTCTGTTTAGCACAGGGGTTTGCAAGATACTTTGACAATACAATGTTTTTATCAAGGGGCATTGACCAAAATCTTGCAGAACACTATTTAGAACCATTAATCAAGCCCAGCCTCCCACTATTTCTTTCTACAGCATTCCTAGCATTCCACCTACGTGTATGTAACATTTAACAAATATTTATCATATGCCTACTCTATGCCATATGATGTGGCCAATGTAGCAGATGGTCATTCAGTTTGTACTTGCAAACATGTGTTATGAAGCGCTCTAGGCCACATGATGCCCTAGTTTTTGTATATTGAATAAATTTAAACATTTTGGCCTTAATTCTTCTCTCTCAAACGAAACAGAATGAGTCTATTCTACTCACTCATTTCTCTGCTCTTCTTTTCAGTCTTCCACATTGGATATGTTGCTCAGATACCTTCACACTCCCATGCAACTTTTTCTGATTATATCCTAATTTATCAGTGTCTGTCTTGCAGGACCCAATGTGAAGCACAACACATTTTCTGATAGTCTCAGAGTGCAACTAATTATGACTGTTCATGATCCAAGTCTTGTTGCACCTATGAGGAATCTAAGACTGTATTTGCTTTTCTCATAGTTGCTTCTCACCAATGCCTTTGTTAAAATCTTCAGGTATTTTTAACATAAAGCACTAGCAAGTCACATCTTTCCCCATGCTGTACTTGTGAGCACATTTTATCATCTAAATGCAAAGTGTATTTTATCACTATCTAAATGTCATCTTGTTGAATTCAATAGTTGAGATAATTTCATCATTCATTTTATTAGCTATCTGTTGGAGATATGAATCTCCTGAAAATTTGATGGCAATGCCTTTGTGTATGCCTTTGAATAAAATATGTTAACCAATAGGGATTAGAAACAGATATATCAACAGCAAAGGCCAAAAGGGCCAGGTGAGGGAAGGCCTGGGAAGGCAGTGCCAGGGAGAAGTGCTCGGCACTAAAATTCACTTCAAAATTAATTGTATTCACTGCTGTTTCACAGGCGTCCTCATTAGTCTAGTCTGCTATATCAGAAATCCCAATGCAGATTTAGGAAGCCAGTAAATTTGTCACATGCACTATGTATGGTCAGTCAATTGGCCCTGCTAGCTCTGTTCCCTTATTCAAAATGCCTAACAAGTTGCCAGGTGATGCAAAATGATTAGCTAATATATTATCCAGTATAAAACCAGCTAACTGGACCAGAAGGACAGAAGGTAGAGGAAAGCTCATCAAAAGCTTACAGTGAATCAGATGCAGTGTCCTGTATGCAATGCTATTTATAGGACTTCCCAGGCCAGGCTTCCTCACTCTTCCCCACCCTAGAGCTTTGAGTCCATGTTAGGGAGGTTGTATCATGAGCTTTGGCATAGAGGGCCTGACATCAGGTCAGTCTGGTATAGAACTATGACAACCAAAAAAAAAAAAAAAAATCTTGTCTAATCATCCAGACTTTCTCATTCTAGAAAAAAAAAAGTTAGACAAATTAAATTTAGCAGAGTTTATTTGAGCAAAGAAACAGTTCATGAATCAGGCAGCATTCTGAAGCAGTAAAGGTTAAGAAAGCTCCATTCAGCAATATGAGCAGGCAGTATTTATAGACAGAAAAAGGAAGTGACGTGCAGAAATAGCCTGATTGGTGACAGCTCTGCATTTGCCTCATTTGGACATGTCTAAGCAGTTTACAGGCCCTGATTGGCTGAAAGCTCAGCTGCTATGATTGGCCAAAACTCAATCAGTCATGACAAGAATATACTCACTGCAAGTTACATTGCAGTGTATTTACATATTAAGTTACAGTTTGCTACATATGGTTACATATTAGGTTACAGTTTGCTACATATGGAGGCAGCTTTAGGCCAAATTTCATTTAATTTAACACTAGTGTCTCTTTTTCTATCTACTCCCTTCCCACCTACAGACCAAAACAAGCTGCCTTAGTCTTCCCAAGGAAATGTCTGCTTTGTAAAAATGGAATTTGGAGAGAACCATGTTGACCCAAAGAAACTGGCATCAAATAGTGACCCTAAAGCTAGCCCAACAAGCTCTGGAACAAGATTCTTTGGAGCATGGGCCTTCAAGTACCTTTCAAATCATATTATAAAGTAGCAACCTAGGCTACCAACTCGTAAAGACGTTCTTTGCTGGCTGAACAGCAATCCAGGTTTCTCAAGCTGTCAACCAAATGTAAGGGAAAAATAGACCCAGACTGACATGGTTTCTGAGAGATTCCTCAAATGAAAAGAAACGTGTAGTTTATCTGGACCCCTCAGAATTACCAGTTCCTGGAGAACCTGCATTTGTCCAGGACTGGATTGAAGGAGAAGCACACTAGGCCTAACCACTAGAATGTCAGTTGCAGACTTGGACCTAGAATAGAGATGAGGTGTGTGGGTGTACATGTGTGTTTGCAATGAGAGAAAGAGGAGACACAATCTCAGTGAAGTATAACCCTCCTCTGACCCAGCTCAGTAAACACCCAATTCTTCACACAGACTCTACTCATGATTCTGCTCTAGCAGCCCCAGGTGTATAGTGTTAACGTCTCATTTTTAAAAACGTATGTACTTCTAGTGCTGTCACATAGACACTTTATTTCCACTGGTTCTGACTGCATCTATGGGGAGTAGGAACAGTATTGTCTGCAGTCAAGAGGTGTGGGAACAAAGTCAGGTAAGTTAAAGTCACTAAAAGCAAAACAAGCACTGGAACTCAAATGTCAATATCTAAACACACTCTTTGCTACTAAAGGTAAAACGCTTGGAAAGTCTTTTTGCAAAGGGAAGACTAGGGACACAGAGCAATGTGTGCAAACTGATCAGACTTGAAACCATATAGAAAAGAGAAGACCCAACCCTAATGCTAGAAAACATGTTGAGAATGAAAACCTCCTTTGCAATCATCTTTCATTTTCTAATAAGACTTCCATGGAAATCACAAAGTCAAAAGTCACAGAAGTAACATGAAATCAGTCTAAAAAGCATTTTTGAGTGGTAGAGAGTCGGCCTCTTGTCTAGAACAAATTAGTTCCCTTGGATAAAATTAAATAATTCAATTTTAATTTTGCAAGAGGGAAAAATAAACCTGTGCTTCAAAAATATTTACAGGGTTTTTTTTTTTTCCTTTGCACTCAGTGACCTGGAAGATGAAAAGAAGGCCCTGAGCCAAACCAAAATCTGTCCATGGTTTTCCACAAGCTGGACTGGGTTTGTAAATGTTGCAGTGAGAAAACTTCAAAGTCATAATTTAGGTCTGTGCTGCCTGGTATACACATACCTTGCAATTTTAAACATTGCATGATTTATTTCCTTCATGTTAAAAACAGATATTACTTGTAGAGGCTAAAAAAGACCTTGATATGATAAAGTGAGTTTTTAGATATTCAAACTCTAGAATTGGCCCTACAAAGTCTACAATGTTTTTCTAGTATCCATATTCATAAGCCTCTAGGTTTCCAGGATCTTTCATGAGAGGCCACCCTGTAGCACAGTTAGTGTATCTACCAAAGATGCTTTCCTGGCTTTGCTAATGCTGGTACACACAAACCTGGGCTTTCAAAAAGAAATGACAAACTGCCTTCCTTACGGCTTCAACTGCAAAACGACCTGCAGAATAAGTTAGGATGGGTGGATGCACTAAAATGAAGGCTTCTCGATGTTCCCCATTTGATGGTGACACTCTGCTTTTTTTCCACAAGTCATCATTGGCTGATGTTCCACTAAACATGCACTCTTTGAGAAGGATGTATTAGAATGGTTACTCCTTCCTGAAAGGGCATGAAATGTAAATCACCTTCATCTCCACTTGTACTTCTCTAAACCTAATTGGGACTGATTTTCAGTATCTCTTTTCATGTCTTCTCTTTGTGCCCCAGTCACTGGAACCAAAGAGGGCCAAAATTGGAAGAGTAGACCCTTTCATTTGTTTAACATTTTCTCACACCATAATCTCATGTAACCCCACTTCTCCCTTTAGAAAGCTTAGGTGCATGTGTCTCTTAAGTTAGTATGGTCATATATATATCCTGCTCATTTCATGGCTCCATTTTACAGCCCAGAGATGGACTCTGGAGACCAGGGGCACTGTATCTAGAAGAGAATAAATACAAAAAGGAAAGGGGCTTAAAATTAAGCTCCATGACAAATGGTGAAAGAAATGAACTATTTGATCTGAAGCAGACAAGGCATGTGTGCCTCAAGGTACAAACCTACAGAGGTCTAACATGTGGAAAGGAAAAAGGTATACTACCCTAAGAGTAGAACTATGAACAAAGGATAAAAATTACAAGGAGAAAGATTTTGGTTCAACGAATGAAAAATCTAAGACAGAAGTTCCATTTGAAAATGTCTGCTGGAGTAAGCTTATCATCACAGGACACATTTAAACAAGGGGAAACGCCACTTGACAGGGACAAAGAAAAGGGAATTCCTGGAAAGGATGGTCAGGCCAAATGAAACTTCAAACCTTAAAATCCTATAATTGTTACCTATGCCTAAATGAGAGAAATACACAGATCCAATACTTCTGTTCATAAAAACAGTTGTTAGCCCCTTCCACTCAGGACAGGGAGAGGGTTAGACAGTAGGTTAAGATACAGAAACAGGCTGAAGGAATTTAGGCACTCCAGGAAAGACAGAATGGGCATGTGAGAGTAGGCAAATAAGATGATTATAACTGTGTTATTAGATAGGTGAGTAGTCACATAAAAAACTTTAAGTAAGGAGCAACTATCTAGCATTTTAAGCCTCCATCTTGACTCTTCCTTAATATGCACAGATAACATATATTTGAGGTAGGCATATTTAGGGCTTGGAATTTCTTTTTTGGACAACTGATTTAATTCTTTAGGTCTTATCGAAACCATAGCTGTGAATTAAATGTGGTCAGAAGCAGATAGGTAACTAAGAGTTTGACAATAAAGGAAAGAAAGGAGTTTCTATTATTTTCTAAGCGTCTCTGTGACTCATAATCTTAAGTGTAATTAAACTAATACAAGCATGTATTACACATTTTATTTTGCTATGGTTTGTGTGATGTACCGGAAATGAAGCTGATGGGGAGAGGGCAGAGATGGCCAATTAGAAGCAGCTGTGGTACCTGGCTCTCACAAAGAGGAAAGAAAGGAGCAAGTGAATACCACACCTCCAACTGAAATATCCAGGTACTCGCAGTGAGGCTGATCAGGAAAACAGCTTGACCCATGGAGAACATAGAAAAGCAGGGTGGGGCGATAGCCCACCTGAGAGCAACACAGAGCCAAGGGAACCCCCATCCCCAGCCACAGGAAGCAGTGAGTGACTGTGTGACCCCAAGAAACCAGACTTCTCCCACAGATCTTTGCAACTGTCAAATCAAGAGATTCCCTTGTGAGCCCACACCACAGGGCCTTGGGTCCGACACACAGAGCTGTGTAGAGTCTCAGCACAGCAGCTGCTCAGGCACACACAGAGACCCAGGAGCTTTACCTACTCTGGCTTTGGGATCCTCAGCAAGGCAGGAGACCTGTATATACCCCTAGGAAGGGAGCTGAATCCAGGGGGCCAGTGTCAGTCTGTGGGCCTCACTTCCACGGTACCTCACAAGATAAGATCTACTGGCTTGGATTCCAGCCAGCTACTAGCAACAGGGTGGAGCCTGCCTGAGATGGGTCAGAGACCCGGAGGACAGAGGCAGGCCACCATCTCTGCTGTTTGGTCAACTCAGCCATTCCAGCCTGTGAGCTTTGGAAAATCCAAATGGTCTGGACAAGGAAAGATTCCCCCCAACACAGCAGAGCTGCTTTGCCAGAATGTGCCCAGATTGCCTCTTTAAGCAGTATCCCAAAACATTCCTCCTCACTGGGCAGGACCTCCCATCTGGAACCTTCGGCCACTCCTGCCCATTTTCTATGGACAGAGTTCTGATCTCTCCCTGAGGGAGAGGTGTGGGCCACCGCCTTGGTTGTTTGGACAACTAAGCCACTCCAGCCTGCAGGGTGTGGAGAGTGCAAGTTGACCAGCACAGAGGCAGCTCCCCAGCATGGCAGAGCTCTTTTGTCAAGGTGTAGTCAGACTGTTTCTTCAAACAGGAACCCAATCCACTCCTCCTTGCAGGGCAGGTCCTCCCAGTCAGGGCCTCTGGCTACCCTGCTCTAAGGACAGAGGTCTGATTTCTCCCTGGGATGGGTGCCCAGGGGGAGGAGCAGGTCACCATCTTTGCTGTTTGGGTGACTCAGCCATTCCAGCCTGTGGGCTTTGGTGAGTCCAAGCTGACATGGCCGGGGATGGGTCCCCAGGACTCCATGACTGTCTTGTTAAGGTGTGGCCAGACTGCTTCTATAAAAGGGGGCAGGATCCATTCCTCCTTGCTGGGCAGGTCCTCCCAGCTGGGGCCCCAGGCCACCCCTGCCCATGTTCTATGACCAACAGAGTTCTAATTTCTCCCTGGAATGGGGGAGCCCACGAGATGGGGCAGGCCACCACCTTTGCTGTTTGGGCATCTCAGCTAGTCCACCCTGCAGACCTTGGATTGGGGGCTGAAGGGATCCTCAACATAGCACAGCTGCTCTACCAAAAAGCAGCCAGACTGATACTTTAAGCAGGTCCCTGATCTCGTTCCTAGTGACCCCAACCAGGGTCTCCAGCCACCTTGTACAGGCATGTTTAGGCCAGCAACAGGTCAGTAGCCCTCAGGGCAGAGCTCCCAGAGAGAGGGGCAGGCTGCCATCTTTGCTGTTTTGCAGCATTCACTGATGATACCTTCAGGTACTAGAAAAACCGAGGTGACTAGGGTCTGGATTGGACCCCCAGCCAAACACAGCAGCCCTACAGAAGAATGGCCAGGCTGTTAAAAGAAAAACAAACAAAGAAAAAACAACAATAACAACAACAAAAGAAAACACAAAAGAACCCATCCAAAGGTGAGCAACCTTAAAGATCAAAAGTAGATAAGCCCACAAAGATGAGAAAGTATCAATGCAAAAACAATGAAAACTCAAAAAACCAGAGTGCCCCCTTTCCTCCAAATGACCACAACACCTCTCCAGCAAGGGTTCAGAACTGGGCTGAGGCTGAGATGGCTGAAATGACAAAAGTAGTCTTCAGAATGTGGATGAAAACAAGCAAACAAACTTCGCTGAACTAAAGGAGCATGTTGTAACCCAATGCAAAGAAGCTAAGAAACATGATAAAACAATGCAGGAGTAGACAGCCAAAATAACCAGTATAGAGAGAAACATAATCGACCTTATAAAGCCAAAAAACACACTACAAGAACTTCACAATGCAATTCAAAGTATTAATAGCAGAATAGACCAAGCAGAGGAAAGAATCTCAGAGCTTGAAGACTGTCTTTCTGAAATTACAGACAGACAAGAATAGTGAAAAAGGAATGAACGAAACCTCCAATATGGGATTACGTAAAGAGACTAAATCTATGACAGATTTGGGTACCAAAAAGAGATGCAGAGGCTGGAATCAATTTGGAAAACATACTTCAGGGTATCATCCCAGAGAACTTCTGCAATCTAGCTACACAGGCCAACATTCAAATTCAGGAAATGCAGATAACCCTGGTAAGATACTTTACAAGATAATCCCCAAGACACATAATCATCAGATTCTCCAAGGTCAAAATGAAAGAAAAAAATGTTAAGGGCAGCCAGACAGAAAGGCTTGGTCACCTAACGAAAGGAAGCCCATCAGACTAACAGCAGACCTCTCAGTAGAAACCCTACAAGCCAGAAGAGATTAGGGGCCAATATTCCACATTCTTAAAGAAAAGAATTTCCAGATTCTGTTCCAAGATGGCCAAGTAGGAACAGCTCCAGTCTGCAACTCCCAGCGTGATTGATGCAGAAGATGGGTGATTTCTGCATTTCCAACTGAGGTACCTGGTTCATCTCATTGGGACTGGTTGGACAGTGGGTGCAGCCCATGGAGGGTGAGATGAAGCAGGGCCGGTTATCGCCTCACCCAGGAAGTGCAAGGGGTCAGGGGATTTCCCTTTCCTAGCCAAGGGAAGCCACAACAAATAGTATCTGGAAAAACGGGATACTCCTGCCCAAATACTGCGCTTTTCCAATGGTCTTAGCAAATGGCACACCAGGAGATTATATCCCATGCCTGGCTCAGAGGCTCCCACGCCCATGGAGCCTTGCTCACTGCTAGTGCAGCAATCTGAGATCGACCTGCAAGGCAGCAGCCTGGCAGGGGGAGGGGCATCCGCCATTGCTGAGGCTTGAGTAGGTAAACAAGGCGGCCAGGGGAAGCTGGAACTGGGTGGAGCCCTCTGCAGCTCAGCAAGGTAGACGCCACCTCTGGGGGCAGGGCATAGCTGAATAAAAGACAGCAGAAACTTCTGCAGACTTAAACATCCCTGTCTGACAGCTCTGAAGAGAGCAGTGGTTCTCTCAGCACAGTGTTTGAGCTTGGAGAATGGACAGACTGCCTCCTCAAGTGGGTCCCTGACCCTCGTGTAGCCTATCTGGGAGACACCTCCCAGTAGGGGCCGACTGACACCTAATACAGGCAGGTGCCCCTCTGGGACAAAGCTTCCAGAGGAAGGATCAGGCAGCAATATTTGCTGTTCTGCAATATTTGCTGTTCTGCAGCCTCCACTGGTGATACCCAGGCAAACACGGTCTGGAGTGGAACCCCAGCACACTCCGACAGACCTGCAGCTGAGGGGCCTAACTGTTAGAAGAAAAACTAACAAACAGAAAGGACTAGCATCAACATCAACAAAAAGGACATCCACACCAAAACCCCATCTGTAGGTCACCACCATCAAAGACCAAAGGTAGATAAAACCACAAAGATGGGGAGAAACCAGAGCAGAAAAGCTGAAAATTCTAAAAACTGGAGTGCCTCTTCTCCTCCAAAGGATCACAGCTCCTCACCAGCAATGGAACAAAGCAGGACGGAGAATGAATTTGACGAGCTGACAGAAGTAAGCTTCAGAAGGTTGGTAATAACAAACTTCTCCAAGCTAAAGGAGGATGTTTGAACCCATCACATGGAAGCTAAAAACCTTGAAAAAAGATTAGATGAATGGCTAGCTAGAATAAACAGTGCAGAGAAGACCTTAAATGACAAGATGGAGCTGAAAACCATGGCACGAGATCTACGTGACACATGCACAAGCTTCAATAGCTGATTCGATCAAGTGGAAGAAAGGGTATCAGTGATTGAAGATCAAATTAATGAAATAAAGTGAGAAGAGAAGTTTAGAGAAAAAGAGTAAAAAGAAACGAACAAAGCCTCCAAGAAATATGGGACAAAGTGAAAAGACCAAATCTATGTCTGACTGGTGTACCTGAAAGTGACGGGGAAAATGGAACCAAGTTGAAAAACACTCTTCAGGTTATTATCCAGAACTTCCCCAACCTAGCAAGGAAGGCCAACATTCAAATTCAGGAAATACAGAGAACACTACAAAGATACTCCTCAAGAAGAGCAACCCCAAGACACGTAATTGTCAGATTCACCGAGGTTGAAATGAAGGAAAAAATGTTAAGGGCAGCCAGAGAGAAAGGTCAGGTTACCCACAAAGGGAAGCCCATCAGACTAACAGCGGATATCTCGGCAGAAACTCTACAAGCCAGAAGAGAGGAGGGGCCAATATTCAACATTCTTAAAGAAAGAATTTTCAACCCAGAATTTCATATCCAGCCAAACTAAGCTTCATAAGTGAAGGAGAAATAAAATCCTTTACAGACAAGCAAATGCTGAGAGATTTTGTCACCACCAGGCCTGCCTTACAAGAGCCCCTGAAGGAGGCACTAAAAATGGAAAGGAACAACTGGTACCAGCCACTGCAAAAACATGCCAAATTGTAAAGACCATCAATGATAGGACAAAACTGCATCAACTAATGGGCAAAATAACCAGCTAACATCATAATGACAGGATCAAATTCACACATAACAATATTAACCTTATATGTAAATGGACTAAATGCCCCAATTAAAAGACAGAGACTGGCAAATTGGATAAAGAGTTAAGACCCATCAGTGTGCTGTATTCAGGAAATCCATCTCCTGTGCAGAGACACACATAGGCTCAAAATAAAGGGATGGAGGAAGATCTACCAAGCAAATGGAAAGCAAAAATAGCAGGGGTTGCAATCCTAGTCTCTGATAAAGCAGACTTTAAACCAACAAAGATCAAAAGAGACAAGGCCATTACATAATGGTAAAGGGATCAATTCAACAAGAAGAGCTAACTATCCTAAATGTATATGCACCCAATACAGGAGCAGCCAGATTCATAAAGCAAATCTTTAGAGACCTACAAAGAGACTTAGATTCCCACACAATAATAATGGGAGAGTTTAACACCCCACTGTCAATATTAGACAGATCTACGAGACAGAAGGTTAACAAAGATATCCAGGACTTGAACTCAGCTCTGCAACAAGCATACCTAGTAGACATCTACAGAACTTTCCACCCCAAATCAATAGAATATACATTCTTCTCAGCACCACATCGCACTTATTCCAAAATTGACCACACAGTTGGCAGTAAAGCCCTCTTCAGCAAATGTAAAAGAACAGAAATCACAACAAACTGTCTCTCAGACCACAGAGCAATCAAATTAGAACTCGGGATTAAGAAAATCACTCAAAACTGCATAACTACATGGAAACTGAACAACGTGCTCCTGAATGACTACTGGGGAAATAATGAAATGAAGGCAGAAATAAAGATGTTCATTGAAACCAATGAGAACAAAGACACAACATACCAGAATCTCTGGGATACAATGAAAGCAGTGTGTAGAGGGAAATTTATAGCACTAAATGCCCACAAGAGAAAGCAGGAAAGATCTAAAATCGACACCCTAACATCACAATTAAAAGAACTAGAGAAGCAAGAGCAAACACATTCAAAAGCTAGCAGAAGGCAAGAAATTACTAAGATCAGAGCAGAACTGAAGGAGACAGAGACACAAAAAACACTTCAAAAAAATCAATGAATCCAGGGGCTGGTTTTTTGAATAGATCAACAAAATGGACAGACCACTAGCAAGACTAATAAAGAAGAAAAGAGAGAAGAAACAAATAGACACAATAAAAAATGATAAAGGGGATATCACCACAAATCCCACAGAAATACAAACTACCATCAGAGAATACTATAAACACCTCTATACAAATAAACTAGAAAATCTAGAAGTAATGGATAAATTCCTGGACACATACACCCTCCCAAGACTAAACCAGGAAGAAAGTGAATCTCTGAATAGACCAATAACAGGTTCCAATAATTAATAGCCTACCAACCAAAAAAAGTCCAAGACCAGATGGATTCACAACTGAATTCTACCAGAGGTACAAAGAGGAGCTGGTACCATTCCTTCTGAAACTATTCCAATCAATAGAAAAAGAGAGAATCCTCCCTAACTCACTTTAAGAAGCCAGCATCATCCCAATACCAAAGCCTGGCAGAGACACAACAAAAAAGAGAATTTTAGACCAATATCCCTGATGAACATTGATGCGAAAGTCCTCAATAAAATACTGGCAAACCAAATCCAGCAGCACATCAAAAAGCTTATCCACCACGATCAAGTCAGCTTCATCCCTGGGATGCAAGGCTGGTTCAACATACGCAAATCAATAAACGTAATCCATCACATAAACAGAACCAACGACAAAAACCACATGATTATCTCAATAGATGCAGAAAAGGCCTTTGACAAAATTCAACAGCCTTTCATGTTAAAAACTCTCAATAAACTACGAATTGATGGAACGTCTCTCAAAACAATAAGAGCTATTTATGACAAACCCACAGCCAATAACATGCTGAATGGGAAAGAACTGGAAGCATTCCCTTTGAAAACTGGCACAAGACAGGGATGCCCTCTCTCACCATTCCTAATCAACACAGTGTTGGAAGTTCTGGCCAGGGCAATCAGGCAAGAGAAAGAAATAAAACGTATTCAATTAGGAAAAGAGGAAGTCAAATTGTCCCTGTTTGCAGATGACATGACTATATATTTAGAAAACCCCATCGTCTCAGCCCAAAATCTCCTTAAGCTGATAAGGAACTTCAGCAAAATCTTGGGATACAAAATCAATGTGCAAAAATCACAAGCATTCCTATACACCAATAACAGACAGAGAGCCAAATGATGAGCGAACTTCCATTCACAATTGCTTCAAAGAGAATAAAATACCTAGGAATCCAACTTACAAGGGATGTGAAGGACCTCTTCAAGGAGAACTACAAACCACTGCTCAACGAAATAAAAGATGACACAAACAAATGGAAGAACATGGATAGGAAGAATTAACATCATGAAAATGGCCATACTGCCCAAGGTAATTTATAGATTCAATGCTATCTGCATCAAGCTACCAATGACTTTCTTCATAGAATTGGAAAAAACTACTTTAAAGTTCATATGGGACCAAAAAAGAGCCTGTATTGCCAAGACAATCCTAAGCCAAAAGAACAAAGCTGAGGGCATCATGCTACCTGACTTCAAACTATACCGCAAGGCTACAGTAACCAAAACAGCATGGTACTTGTGTCAAAACAGATCTACAGACCAATGGAACAGAACAGAGGCCTCAGAAGTAATACCATACATCTACAACCATCTGATCTTTAACAAACCTGACAAAAACAAGAAATGGGGAAAGGATTCCCTATTTAATAAATGGTGCTGGGGAAACTGGCTAGCCATATGTAGAAAGCTGAAACTGGATCCCTTCCTTACACCTTATACAAAAATGAATTCAAGATGGATTAAAGACTTAAATGTTAGGCCTAAAACCATGAAAACCCTAGAAGAAAACCTAGGCAATACCATTCAGGACATAGGCATGGGCAAGGACTTCATGACTAAAACACCAAAAGCAATGGTAACAAAAGCCAAAATAGACAAATGGGATCTAATTAAACTAAAGAGCTTCTGCACAGCAAAAGAAACTACCATCAGAGTGAACAGGCAACCTACAGAATGGGAGAAAATTTTTGCAATCTACCCACCTGGCAAAGGGCTAATATCCAGACTCTACAAAGAATTTAAACAAATTTAGAACAAAAAAACAAGCAACCCCATCAAAAAGTGGGAAATGGATATGAATAGACACTTCTCAAAAAGAAGACATTTATGTAGCCAATAGACACATGAAAAAATGCTCATCATCACTGATCATCAGAGAAATGCCAGTCAAAACCACAATGAGATATAATCTCACACCACTTAGAATAGCAGTCATTAAAAAGTCAGGAAACAACAGACGCTGGAGAGGATGTGGAGAAATAGGAACACTTTTACACTGTTGGTGGGAGTTTAAACTAGTTCAACCATTGTGGAAGACAGTGTGGCAATTCCTCAAAGATCTAGAACTAGAAATACCATTTGGCCCAGTGATCCCATTACTGGGTATATACCCAAAGGATTATAAATCATGCTACTATAAAGACACATGCACACGTATGTTTATTGTGGCACTATTCACAATAGCAAAGACTTGGAACCAACCCAAATGTCCATCAATGATAGATTGGATTAAGAAAATGTGGTACATATACACCATGGAATACTATGCAGCCATAAAAAAGCATGAGTTTGGCTGGGCGTGGTGCCTCACGCCTATAATCCCAGCACTTTGGGAGGCCAAGGCAGGTGGATCACAAGGTCAGGAGATCGAGACCATCCTGGCTAACACGCTGAAACCCCATCTCTACTAAAAATACAAAAAATTCACTGGGCATGGTGGTGGGCGCCTGTGGTCCCAGCTACTCAGGAGGCTGAGGCAAGAGAATGGCATGAACCCAGGAGGCAGAGCTTTCAGTGAGCCGAGATCACACCACTGCACTCCAGCCTGGGTGACAGAGCAAGACGCTGTCTCAAAAAAAAAAAAAAAAAAAAGGATGAGTTCACGTCCTTTTCAGGGACATGGATGCATCATTCTGGAAACCATCATTCTGAACAAACTATCACAAGGACAGAAAACCAAACACTGCATGTTCTCACTCATAGGTGGGAATGGAAAAATGAGAACACTTGGACACAGGGCAAGGAATATCACACCCTGGGGCCTGTCATGGGGTGGGAGGCAGGAGGAGGGATAGCATTAGGAGAAATACCTAATGTAATTGATGAGTTAATGGGTGGTGCAGCAAACCAACATGGCACACGTACACCTACATAACAAACCTGCACATTGCGCACATGTACCCTAGAACTTAAAGTATAATTTTAAAAAAAAAAGAAAACAAAATAAAGAAAATAAATTTTTTCAAAAAAGAAAAGAATTTCCAACCCAGAATTTCATATCAGGTGAAACTAAGCTTCATAAGCAAAGGAGAAATAAGATCCTTTTCAGGCAAGCAAATGCTGAGGAAATCCATTACCACCAGACCTACTTTAAAAGAGCTCCTAAAGGAAGCACTAAATATGGAAAGCAAAAGCTGTTATCAGCCACTACAAAAACATTGAAATACACAGACCAGTGACAATATAAAGCAACCACATAAACAAGTTTGCAAAATAACCAGCTAGCATCATGTTATGTGTGGATCAAATCCACCCATGACAATACTAAATGTAAACAGGCTAAATCCCCAATTAAAAGACACAGAATGGCAAGCTGGATAAAAAAGCAGGACCCATTGGTATGCTGTCTTCAAGAGACCCATCTCACACACAAAGACACACATAGGCTCAAAATAAAGGGATAGAGAAAAATTTACCAAGAAAATGGAAAACAGAAAAAAACAAGGGTTGCAAACCTAGTTTCTGACAAAGCAGACTTTAAACAACCAAAGATCAGGGCTGAACACAGTGGCTCATGCCTGTAATCCCTGCACTTTGAGAGGCCATGGTAGGTGGATCACTTGAGGCCAGGAGGTCGAGACCAGCCTGGCCAACATGGTTAAACCCTGTTTCTACTAAAAATATAAAAATTAGCCAGGTGTGCTCATATGTGCTTGTAGTCCCAACTACTCAGAAGGCTGAGGCAGGAGAATCGCTAGAACCCAGGAGGCAGAGATTACAGTGAGCCAAGATCATGCCACTGCACTCCAGCCTGGGCAACAGAGCGAGACTCTGTCTCAAAACAAAACGAACATACAACAACCAAAAAAAAAAAAAAAAAAGATCAAAAAGACAACAAAGAAGGGCTTTATATAGTGGTAAAGGGTTCAATTCAACAAGAAGAGCTAACTTTCCTAAATATATATGCACTCAATACAGGAGTATGCAGATTTATAAAGCAAGTTCTTAGAGACCTTCAAAGAGACATAGACTCCCGCTCAATAATAATGGGAGACTTTAACACCCCACTGACAATATTAGACAGATCATCGAGACAGAAAATTATCACAGACATTCAGGACCAGAACTCAGCTCTGGATCAAGTGGACCTGATAGATATCTACAGAACTCGCCACCTAAAAACAACAGAATATACACTCTTCTCAGTGTCATAGGGCACTTACTCTGAAATTGATCACATAATCAGAAGTAAAACACTCCTCAGCAAATGCAAAATAACTGAAATAATAACAAACAGTCTCTTGAACCACAGTGCAATAAAATTAGAACTCAAAATTAAGAAATTCACTCGAAACCATACAACTATGTGGAAATTGAACAACCTGCTCCTGAATGACTTTTGGGTAAATAATGAAATTCAGGCAGAAATCAAGAAAGTTCTGTGAAATTAATGATAACAAAGATACAACATACCAGAACATCTTCGATGCAGCTAAAGCAGTGTTAAGAGGGAAACTTATAGCACTAAATGCCCACATCCAAAAGCTAGAAAGATATCGTTAACAAACTAACATCACAACTAAAGTAATTAGAGAACCAAGAGCAAACAAACACCAAAGCTAGCAGAAGACAAGAAATAAGAAATAACCAAGATCAGAGTGGAACTGAAGGAGAAAGAGACATGAAAAACCCTTCAAAAAAATAATGAATCCAAGAGGTAGTTTTTTGAAAAAATTAATAAAAGCAAAAGACTGTTTGCTAGACTAATGGAAGACAAAAATAGAGAAGATTCAAATAAACACAATTAGAAATTATGAGGGGGATACTACCACTGACCCCACAGAAATACAAACTATCAGAGAATATTATAAACACATCTATGCACATAAACTAGAAAATCTAGAAGAAATAGTAAATTCCTGGACACATACACCCTCCCAAGACTGAACCAGGAAGAAATTGAATCCCTGAATAGACCAATAATGAGTCCTGAAATTGAGGCAGTAATAAATAGCCTACCAATCAAAAAAAGCCCAGGACCAGAAAGATTCACAGCTGAATTTGACCAAAGGTACAAAGACGAGCTGATACTATTCCTATTGAAACTATTACAAAAACTTGAAAAAAAGGAACTCCCTCCTAACTCATTCTTTGAGGCCAGTATCATCCAAAACATGATACCAAAACATGGCAGAGATAAAAAAAAAAAAATACAGAACAATATCCTTGATGAACGTCAAATCCTCAACAAAATAATTGCAAACCAAATTCAGCAGAACATCAAAAAGCTTACCCAACACAATCAAGTAGGCTTTATCCCTGATATGCAAGGCTGGTTCAACATATGCAAATCAATAAATGTGATTCATCACATAAGCAGAACTAAAGACAAAAATCACATGATTATTGCAATAGATGAAAAAAAAAGGCCTTCAATAAAGTTCAACATGCCTTCATGTCAAAAACTCTCAATAAAGTAGGTATTGAAGGAACATACCTCAAAAAAATAAGAGCCATATATAACAAATCCACAGCCAATAATATACGGGAATGGGCAAAAGCCAGAAACATTCCCCTTGAAAACTGGCATAAGATAAGTTTGCCCTCTCTCACAACTCCTATTCAACATAGTATTGGAAGTTCTGGCCAGGGCAATCAGGCAAGAGAAAGAAATAACAGTATTTAAATAGCAAGAGAGGAAGTCAAACTATCTTTGTGTGTAGATGGCATGATTCTATATCTAGAAAACCCTATTATCTCAGCCCAAAAGCTTTTAAAGCTAATAAGCAACTTCAGCAAAGTCTCAGGATACAAAATCCATGTGCAAAAATTGACAGCATTTCTAGACATCAACAACAGGTATGCTGAGACCCAAATCACGAATGAACTCCCATTCACAATTGCCACAAAAAGAATAAAATACCTAGGAATACAGTGAAAAAGGGAAGTGAAGGACTTCTTCAAAGAGAACTACAAACCACTGCTCAGAGAAATCTGAGATGATACAAATGAAAACATATTCCATGCTCACAGACAGGAAGAATCAATAGTGTGAAAATGGCCATACTGCTCAAAGGCATTTATAGATTCAATACTATTCCCATTAAACTACCATTGACATTCTTCTCAGAATTAGAAAAAAACTATTTTAAAATTCATATGGAACCCCAAAAAAAGCCCGATAGCCAAGACAATCCTAAGCAAAAGAGAACAAAAAGAACAAACCTGGAAGCATCACACGACATGACTTCAAACTATACTACAGAGCTACAGTAACCAAAATAGCATGGTTCTGGTACAAGAACAGACACAGGGACCAATGGAACAGAATAGAGAACCCAGAAATAGGACCACACACCTACAATGATCTAATCTTTGACAAACCCGACAAAAGCAAGTAGTGGGGAAAGGATTCCCTATTTAATAAATGATGCTGGGAGAACTGGCTAGCTATAAGCAGAAAATTGAAACTGGACCCCTTCCTTACATCATATACAAAAATCAACTCAAGATGGATTAGACTTAAATGTAAAACCCAAAACTATAAAAACCCTAGAAGAAAACCTAGGTAATACCATTCAGGACATAGGCATGGGCAAAGATTTCATGATGAAGATGCAAAAAGCAATTGCAACAAAAACAAAAATTGACAAACTATCAACAGAGTAAACAGACAACCTACAGAATGGGGAAAAATTTTGCAATCTATCCATCTAACAAAGGTCTAATATCCAGGATCTATAAGGAACTTAAACTTACATTAAAAAGACAACCCCATAAAAAGTGGGAGAAGGACATGAACAGACACATCTCAAAGGAAGACATACATGCGGCCAACAAATATATGAAAAAACCTCAACATCACTGATCACTAGAGAAATGCAAATCAAAATCACAATGAGACATCATCTCACACCAGTCAGAATGGCTGTTATTGAAAAGTCAAAAAGCAACAGATGCTGGCAAGTTTGTGGAGAAAAATGAACACTCACTGTTGATGGGAGTGTAAATTAGTTCAACCAGGCTGGGCACAGTGGCTTACGCCTGTAATCCCAGCACTTTGGGAGGCCAAGGCGGGTGGATCACCTGAGATCAGGAGTTGGAGACCAGCCTGGCCAACATGGCGAAACTGCATCTCTACTAAAAATATGAAAATTAGCCGGGCATGGTGGTGACCAGCTGAGGCACAAGAATTACTTGAACCTGGGAGGTGAAGACTGCAGTGAGCCCAAATTGCACCACTGCACTCCAGCCTGAGTGACAAAGCAAGACTCTGTCTCAAAAAAAAGAAAAAAAAAAATTAGTTCAACCATTGTGGAACACAGTGTGGTGATTCCTTAAAGATCTAGAGGCAGAAACACCATTCCACCCAGCAATCCTCTTGCCAGGTATAGTTCCAAAGGAATATAAACCATTCTCCTATAAAGACCTTACATGCATATGTTCATTGCAGCACTATTCACAATAGCAAAAACATGGAATCAACCTAAATGCCCATCAATGATAGACTGGATAAAGAAAATGTGGTACATATACACCATGGAATACTATGCAGCCATAAAAAGGAATGAGATCGTGTCTTTTGGATGTCATGGATGGTGCTAGAGGCCTTTATCCTTAGCAAACTAATACAGGAACAGAAAACCAAACACTGCATGTTCTCACTTATAAGTGGGAGCCAAATAATGAGAACACATGGACACATGGAAGGAACAACACACAGTGAAGCCTGTCAAAGGGCAGGGATGGAAGAAGGGAGAGGATCAGGAAGAATAGCTAATGGATGCTGGACTTAATAGCTGGGTGTTAAGCCCAGGTATTAAGATGGGATGATCTGTGCCGCAGACCACCATGGCACATGTTTACCTATGTAACAATACTGCACAGGTACCCTGAACTTAAAATAAAAGTTGGAAATAAAAAAAAAGAAAGAAAGAAACTGGGCTTAAAGACACTAGAGAGTAGATGTGAGTCTTACACATAGTCCTAACACATACTAGTTATGTGTTTCTTAACAGTCACTTAGCTGGCCAGGCGCAGCTCACGCCTGTAATCCCAGGACTTGGGAGGCCAAGGCAGGAGGATTGCTTGAGCCCAGGAGTTTGAGACCAGTCTGGGCAACATGGTGAAACCCCATCTCTACAAAAAATACAAAAATTAGCTGGACATGGTGGCACACGCCTGTAGTCCCAGCTACTCAGGAGGCTGAGATGGAGGGATTGCTTGAGACTGGGAGGAGGGTGCAGTGAGCTATGATCATGCCATTGCTCTCCATCCTGGGTAACAGAGAGAGACCCTGCCTCAAAACAAAAACAAAAACAAAACAAGGTCACTTAGCCTATTTGCCCTCAATTTCCTTACCTGGAAAATAGGGCAAATAGTGTCTATTCTAACTACCTTTTAGGTTACTATGAAGATTAAATTGAATAATGATGAGAATTTTTAAACTGCTAAGTGTATATTTAGTATATGAAAGAAGAAAATATGTATAAAAAGAGTTCTGGAGCTAGGTTAGATATTTTTATCTACACTACTACATACTTCTTGGTATAGAACTTATAAAAATATACACATCAACCACTTGTTAGCAGAACATAAATCATTTCCTTTTTTGTTGTTTTAACTTCTAACACCAGTCTTTAAAATAGAAGTTTCTTACATGTAATACACAGAAATGTGAAAAATGTATTAATTTCTGTATCTCCATATTTTCTAAAAATCCAACACTTTTAAACTAAATGTGAGAATGGGAAACTCTTCATTATACAAAGAAGTAATTGAAGGTAAAATACTAAAATAAGTTTGTTTTTCTAGTGTCTCTCATTTCCCTTTTCTTTGCTCTTCCTTTCACCACCATCCATTACTTGCAGGTATAAAGTAACCTTGTGCCAGCCCCTTTGATTTATACCCCAGTAAAAAAATCTCCTTTGGGAGTAATCTGCAATCAGTCATGTGTACCCTGATACATGAAAGTCCATGTATGACTTTTTCCGTAGATAATTGCCATGTAAGATTCCTCTCTAGCTATACCCTGAAAGCCTAGCCCCTGTTTGGTTTAGGGGACGTCAGGCATGAGTGAGCAAGTAGAGAAGATCATGTGCTTAGCTGCCCAGCTCTTCTGCCCCTACTGGCTCTGGAAACTTGCAATTCAAATTATTGACAGAATTATAGTAAACTGTTCCGCTGGGCCAATATGTAAACGATGCTGTTTTCCTGGCCATTAGTCACAAAATTTCAATGTTTGTGTAACTGCGGTCAAGATCCAGAAGGAGCAGCTTGACCAAAATTTTCCTTTCTCAATACTACAGTACAGTTCTGCTTTTGTACACAAACTCACATGAATGTAGAACCGTGTGGCTATATTAAGTTGGCCAGAAAACTATGTTTTCCTTGACAGCAATTAAAGTTTTACCCAAAGATCTCCCAGTCTGAAACAACATCTAAAGGCATATTTTTTTAATTAAGGAAAAAAAGAGATATAAATGATGCAATAAAACCCCACACCAAGTCCAGAAAACTTACATTATATTTCAGCTAAAATATCATTCTAACTGTTCTCTACATTTGGACAATAACATGCTGTCTTTCAAGTAACATTTTTATAATTAAATATGTTAAACATCCATTGAATTTACAAACCATCAACTTGAGAAATGTACAAAAAATTTTATAGGTATTTTCTTCTATTAAAAAAATAATTCTTAATAATATCCATGCTTGCTTAAAAAAGGAAAAATGAACAATAAAAACTGGTAAGCAGCCCAGTGCAGGGCTCATGCCCATAAGCACAGCACTTTGGGAGGCTGAGGCAACACAGCAAGACCAGATCTTTACAAGATAATAGAAAAATTAGCTGGGCGTGGTGCGTGCCTGTTGTTCCAGCTACTTTGGCAGCTGAGGAGGGAAGATGGCTTGAGAATTCAAGGCTGCAGTTAGCTACAATCACACTGCTACACTAGAGCTTGGCAACAGAGACCGTGTCTCTAAAAATAAATAAACAAACAAAAAAATCCAAAACACAAGCAGTTGCAACTAAAAAGAATTACATAATTTAAATCTTTTTTTTAAAAAAGGACCTTTATTTAAATTTGAAAAAAAATCCTAAAGGCCTCTCATCTGATACTTAAATCTCTTTCCCATCTACCCACTCCCCAAAGTCTTTGCTAGGCAGCCACTCAACTATTAAATTCAACTGAAAACATGGATATATGAAAAGTGAGGTACATTTGTCAAGAAACTGTTGTGCATTTAGATGATTGTGACTGATTTGATTGACTAATTGGCCTATAAGGCCAAGAACACTGAATGTATCAATTTGGGTCTAGCCAACTTCCTTCTAAAGAATAATAATCATAATATTAAAAACAACAATAATAATTGCCATTTAGTGAGCACTCTCTAGGTAGTAATAGACACTGTCCTAAACACTTTACAAACTTTAATCATTCAGTTCTAATGACCATTTGAGACGGATAATGTTATCTCCATTTTCCAAAGTGTAAGCTAGACTTAGAGATGTTAAATAATATGCTCAAAGTCGTTGGACTAGAAAAAGTAGAATCAGGATTGAAGCCTAAATCTGCCCATCTCCTAAACAACTGCATCCTTTGATCATGCAGGGACTTGAAAAAGATAATTTTATTGAGGATCAAGACTATAGGGCTGACCGAGAGGTGCTAAAACCATGTCTGGAATTCATCTAGACTGGAGCAGAGAATCATAAACCCTGCACATGAGGGTCTATAACTTGAGCTGTCAAATTCAGAAAAGTAAACTTAATCAGAAAAGAGCCACTAGGTCCTGCAGTTTATGTGAACAAGAACCAAACATAGAAAAGTTGGCCAGCTAGAAAAGAAACAAGCCAGTACCACCACTTCCAGAAAATAAATTTCAGAGCATGTGGGCTCATCAACCAGGTCAGGGTAGTGAGGACAAAAGGGACAAACAGCTTCCCACTCACCTCATCCCAACAAAGGATATGGAAAACAAGAGACAACAGAGACAGGGTAAGAAGGCTGAAAGTTATTTTAGTTGCTTTAATCCTCAGTTCATCAGCACTTAGAGTATTGATTATACTATTAAAAAAAAGGGTAGTTGGGGAATTGAATGAGATAAAACATGTACAATATTTAGCACAATATCTGATGTAAATATTAATAGCAGTAAATATTAGCTGCGGTTAGTATTGTTCTGGAGAATCACCTACAGCTAACTATAGTGTAGTTTCATGCAAATCATCATTGACTGGAGTCAGAAGACCTGGTCTGGGCCCAATGCAGTGGCTCACCCCTGTAATCCCAGTAGTTTGGGAGGCTGAGGTGGGAGGATCACTTGAGCCCAGGAGCTCAAGACCAGGCTGGACAGCAGAGTGAGACTCCATCTCTACAAAAAATTTAAAAATCAGCTGGGAATAGTGGCATGTGCCTGTAGTCCTAGCTACTTGGGAGGCTGAGGTGAGGGAATTACTTGAGGCCCAGTCGAGGCTGCAGTGAGCTGTGATCACATCTCTGCACTCCAGCCTGGGTGACAAAGCAAGACCCTATCTCAAAAAGAAGAAGGAGGAGGAGGAGGGGGAGGGGGAGGGGTTGTGGGACTGGGAGGGGGAGTGGGAGTGGGAGAAGGAGAAGGAGAAGGGGAGACCTGGTGTGAATCTTTTGTTTGTTTTGTGTTACCTGGAGAATTAAGCAAACATGATGATTATCATGAAGAAATTTAAGTTAATAGATATTATAGACCAGTTTCTAATGAAGTAGACTCCAAGAAGTTAAAAAAAAAAAAAATGGCCACAACTATGGATACCGATTCTTAAAATGTCAACTGCTTTAGGAAAATTAGGATATGTTAAGTCTAGATTTTAGGAAAGCATTTGACAAACTTTCATACTGACTTTAACCCATCAATCATAGTCATTTTAAAGTCCCTGTCTAATGTCTCCAGTATGGTTCTGTGGATTGCTTTATCTCTTGACAATGGATTGTTTGTCTCATTTTTGTGTGAGTGTAATTTTTTTTTTTTTTTTTTGAGATAGGGTCTTACTCTGTCACTCAGGTTGAAGTGCAGTGGTGTGATCATAGCTCACTGAAGCCTTGACTTCTTGAGCTCAACGGATCCTCCTGCCTTGGCCTCTCAAGTAGCTGGGACCACAGGTGTATGCCACCAAGCCTGGCTAATTTTTAATTTTATTGCAAAGATGGAGTCTTACTATGTTATCCAAGCTGATCTCAAATTCCTGACCTAAAGCCATCCTCCTGTCTTGGCCTCCCAAAGTGCTGGGATTACAGGCATGAGCTATAACTCCCAGCCCATAATTCGTTATTGAATGTTGCATGCTGTGCATAGAAAAACAATAAAGACTGAGGTAAGTGGTATCTATACCCTGAAACAGACACATATCTTCTTCTTTCAGGCAATTAGTATGGGAGTTGAGTCAAGCTAGTCAGTAGTTGAGCTGGGTTTGGGTTTTGTTTGGCTCTAGTTGCCTTCAGTGCACCACAACTTCAAATTCCTCCAGCTGTGGGTTGCTTTTACCTTGTGTCTATTGTGGAGTCTGAGACACCTGAGGGCTTTTCTCTGTTTCTGTTCTGTGTTCAGCTTGCAGCAGGCCCAGCATGCCCCTCCACAGACATGCACCTCCCTCTGCAGTAGTCTAGTGTTTCTTGCTTGTTACTTGCTGCCAGGCTTGTTGTAAGGCAGGGCAAGGGGTTTCCCTGGTATAGCCTCAAACTAAGGAAGGACTCTTGTGCCTGGGCCATGGCCTGGGGCTTTCTCAGTACTCCTCCCCTTCCTCCATCTTCCCTTCTCATCCCTGCAGCAAATTCTGCCTTGTGTCTAAGAAAGGTCTTGCATGGAGAGTTTCTACTCTGCCCTGGTGATGGCTGACCTCTGTGCTTTGTTTGATTGCAGGTTCCTGAACCAGACAAGTGCCCTTCACCCTCCCCCCAGGGCACATGGCTTTTGCTTCAAATAACAGCAGAGACAGAACAGCGAAGGCTTTGTACCTGCTTTCATCTCAGAGAAGGAATCTCTCAGGTCTCCTGTCCTGTCTCCAGTCTTTCTTGTGAATTCCCCATGGAGGCTTATGGAAAAGGATTTGAGAATGAGTGTCTATTCTTCTTGAGTCTAGATCTCTAGAAGATTCTGAACTGTCGCACTAGCCTACACTGGACCTTTAAGAATTTGTTAAAATTTTGGCTGCTTATTTTTTACCCACTCTTAAGACAGCTGCCCCTTTCTCCTCTACTCCCACAAAGATGTAGCAATTCATGTGCCCCATCTCTCCTCAGAGGGCCTGTTGCCCTCTGAAATTCAGTTAACCTGGTTGTCTTGTGACCTCGGCTTTTTCATAGATTCAAGAAAATTTGTGATTTTATAAGTTATATAGCTTTTCCTCTCATTTTTAGGCTAGGGGTGACATGCTTTAAAGGTTTCTATATCCTAAGTGGAATGATTCGGATACGGCTGGCAAACTCAAATGCCTACAAAGTCCAGGCGGAGAATATACATGATCAAACGAGTCTAAGGGTGAAAGGTGTGAATTATGAGTACATGAAGAATGCTTGACTACCTGAGGGCATACAAATATTTTTTAAATTATGCATGCTAAACCAAAAATGTCTTTAGAATTCAACTGACAAGTTGAATTTCCTAATTAAGATATTAGCAGAATTATGTGTTCAAACCTGGTTAAGCAGAACTGGTTGATCGATAACTAAAAAGAGCTTTAAAATGCATCATTTTCAATCTAAAAGGAAATTCTTATTGTCACGGCCAGCAGTCGCTACTGAGTCCTGTGCTAATTTTAATATTTTAAGGTTTGGAATGAAGATATGAAAAGAAGAGTATTCTGGTTTTCTTTCATGAAACTAAACCAAGAGTTATTGCTAATATACTTCATATTAAGATTCATGAAGTGCTTGACAGGTTAAAATAAAGAGACTTAATATGCATAAATGTAAGGTTCTAAAATTGGGCTTGATAAATCTACTTCAACTTTACAGGTGCATAGAATTGGTGAGAGTTGACTTACTAATAGAAGTTCATATGGTAATGACTTATGATTTCTATCACGTGCAAATTCAGTGAGTCAAAGTATGACATAATTGCCCCCAAAAAAGCTGCTTTGCCTTAGGTTATAATAACATCAGTGGAAGCAAAGTGTTCAGAACAAAGGAAGCCTTTAGTCCCACAGATTAGACACATGTGGAGTGTCTCGTTGCTGTATTTTACAAGGGTCATGGGCTTACTGGAATTCAGAAAGAGAAAGATGGCCAGGATGATAGTCTGGAAACTGTGCTCTCTGAGGAAAAGTTGAGTCAGAATGTTGAGTCTGGAAAGGGAAAACTTGGAAGAACAGAATAGCATCTTCAAACATTAGAAAAGAGCAGTGAGAGAGACTTGGCCCCCGCAGACCAGAAACATTCTAAATAATAGTGAATGAATTTGGATTCAATGAAACTGATGTAGTAAGTGTTATTTGATATGTTATTACCTTTGGGGTAAGGTGGACTGAAACATTTTCCCCTCCAGTCAGTAAAAACAAAAAAGTAGTGATTAGAGAAGTGTGATTTATGTTTGTACCATTCATTATTAGTCAATGCAAGAAGATTGTAACATGTCTCGTAGCAAGGGAGGAGCAAAATCTCTGTTAGCAGGAAGCCAGCGTTATGAATTTTATAAGAATATGATCAATTTTATGTTTATGAATGTAATATTAATTTCTCAAGTAGATGAGAGTTTTTTAAAGAAAATCAATCATTAAACTGGTAGAATGGATTTAACTCCAGATACTCATGGAAGCTAAGAGGAGAACAGCTATAGTACAAATTTAGAACCCACCGTATCCATAAAAAGGTAGCTCACTCTTCCCACCTCCCCAGGAACAGTAACAGACAGTGAAGCCAGGCTATGTTTTCCTTCACAAAGAAGCTACAGCTGAGTGGAGGAGAAAAGCCATCAATTTCTAGTAATGAATAGAAGCTACAAATTGTTCAAGATACAGTCAGACAGAAGATGCTAAAAGTTAACTTTATTTCTAGGGAGTAGCTTGTGATCCAGGGAAAATAGGGAGTGGGGCAAGAGCTATTATGTTTGGCAGGATAATAAGTTAGAAAACCTTCAAAAGGCAGACTTCTGAGCCACACGAAGCATTTACTCACCATGATCTATCCAGAGAAAAGCAAGGTCCATCTTCCCTGAATTGTGCCCCTCTGTCCAGTATAGTAGAGACACATGGAAATGAAAGAAGGGGTTTGACTACAGGGTGCAGATAAAAAACCTGGTAAAAAGGCCTTCAGTTTGTTGTCTCTTAGTGAACAAAATAGAAATGTATAAACAAAGGATTATTTAATATAAAGCCATTATAACCAAAGAGAAGTAGCTTAACTTCAAATTAAGCCTGGGCGCTAACTTAAGTGTAGAAGTAAATTTACAACCACTAATCCATGGAACACAGAGAATTGCTGCTGCCAGTGGTGGGAAACCTTGGTCTGCTTAGCAAGCTCAACGTACATGAGAAACAACCAAGGATTCCACCAAAATGAATGCCAAAGTGGGGGAGATGCTGAAAATAGAGGAACACAATGCAATAGAAAACTCCAGATTTTGAAGCAATACTTGCCCCCCCAAAAAAAAGATATATTGTCACACATACATGTGCACACACACACACACAAATTTTTTTGTGCTGCTCTTCCTTGCTTAATCTCTCGTTTCTGCCATCCTGTTTCCCATAGATGCGCCCACTCATTCCACCTCTAAAAGCTCAGTCCTGCCCTGTGTGCAGACGGCCTCACGTGCAGCCTCACAAGCCCTCATGCCTCAGTGGGAGCCGGGCCTGGTGCCTGGGCATTGGATGCTGGGTCCTCTCAGTCACTGCTCTTTTCATCGAGGAACGTGATCCCAGACTTATCTGGGATCACAGCTCCTCCCTAGATATGTAAGTAACTTCCAGTTCTCTTAGTCCTGACGATGCCTCGAAAATTTTAGAGCTTCTACTCTCCACTAAAAATTGATGATTTGGAAATTAAGAACCCATTTCTAATCCCCATTCTCTAGTGAATTAATGTGACTAGTACTCTCTTTTTTTAAATTCCCTTTGGGAAATGGAGCTTTTTTTCAGAATCTCCTCCTGACTGCTAGGCCCCGTTACCATGAGCTGACTTTCAAAATTGAACAGATCTAAGTTCCTAGAGAGCTGGGACCATATCTGGTTGGTTATGGCTGAATCCCCAGAGCATCATGCACAGCTCATGTTCAGCAAATATATCATTTTCAAATGTGTGAAAGGATGGCTACTCCCTTACCCTGTATTCCCAATCACTCTGCTCTACCCAAGGGTTGAGACGGTCCCTGAGTTATGTCAGATCTTCTGCTGCCCATTGTGTCCCCAGGATTTGGATAGACTCAGGCATAGTCCTTGGGCAAATGTCTTTTCTGTGAGCCTGGGCCTCAGAACCTCCTATGCACCACTAGGAATTCTGCTCTATCTCTCCCAGAATAAATGGCCTTCTTGGGGATGGTACCCAAGCTACTGAAATTTGGAAGCATTTATTCATTCACTCATTCATTCAACAAACACTTACAGAATGTTAGCCGTTGTGAGAGCACATGCAGCAGAAGTTGCTCTGTCAACAATGTTGAGGAAATTCACAGAGGAGTGTTGGGGATGACGATAAGGAAAACAAAGCTCTTTCCTGACACTAAGATCCTATGCTTTTAAAGAAAAAGGTGAGAAAAAGAAAGGGTAAATAACATAATCTGATGATCAACATATAACCAAGCAACCAGATACTATAATAAAGCAATTGCTTTAATAACTATTATTGCAAAAGGTATTGAAACAATAGATGCAAATGTCTCCTGAGAATGGTAAAACTTCTCCCTGTGATTTCCCTGCCAGAACTGCATAATCTGAATCTAATTACCAGGAAATAATGTGCAAGCCCCAGTTGACAGACATTCCACAAAATAACTGGCCAATGCTTCTCAAACCTGCCAAGGTCAAAAGGCACAATAAACACTGAGGAAGTATTGCAGCTTAAAGAGACTACAGAGACTTGACAACTAAGTGCAAATTGTGATCCTGGGACGAGACATAAAGGACATTATAGGAACAGTTAATAAATTTGACTATGAACTATGGATTAGATAACGATATTATATAAATGATATTTGTAATTAACTGTGGTTATATAAGAGAATGTCCCTGTTTTATGAAATAAATGCTGAGGTATTTAAGGGTAAAAGAGCATGATATTTGCAATTTATTCTCAAGTTGTTTAAAAAAAGAGAGAATGATAGAGCAATTGGGGTAAAATATTAACAACTGATTAATTTGGAGAGTGTATCGAAATTCCTTCTACTCTTGCACCTTTTGTGTAAGCATGAAATGTTATCTAAATAAAAAGTTATAAAAATGTGAAATAACTGAGGGAGCTTTGCTCACTTCTGTAAGAGTGTTAAGAGTTAAGAAGGAACTGATAAGTTAAAACGTAGATAACTCAAACCCATTCTGCCTACCAAATTATGGGGTCACTATCAAACAACTTTCCTGTGACTAACAAGTACTTCTGGCAATAAAACACTCCTATTAAATTTAGACACAGATCTGAAGGAGTTCAACAAGATCCAAACAGGAACTACTAAAGGTCATTGCCAAACCTCAAGGACGGTAACAGAAGATAAGTTTCCTCCCTGGGAAAGGCCCTCTAGTGAGTACTGCAACCCATTCTCTGAAAGAAGGTTTAGAATAGTCTAGAATATCTAGAATTTATTCCAGAAAATAGATCTGGAAAATTAGCGAAACCTCTTCTTAAACAGCTGCTTAAAAAAAAAAATAAAGTTAACTTTCACTGTGTTGGACACCCTATGAGTTGTTGGTCTTTCATTTCATTGTCAACAGAACCCTGCAAGACTGGTGTTACCATGTCTACTTTTACATATGAAGAAAATGCAACTGAGAATTAGTGTAATTTGTTCCAACTCACAAAGGTAGGAAGTGATGGAAGTAAAATTCCAACACAAGGTCTGTGCTACTTCAAAACTTATATCCCAACCCATCAAGACAGCACAAATAGGCTGCATTTTGAAGAACTGGGTATCATTAAATGATAACTGAATGCACCCCAAACTCTAAATTAACTAATATTAAATTATTACATGAGAATCTTAATAAGATAGCCCTTAAGGCAAAAGATGACTTTTTATTGACTCCAAACAATCAGAAAACTTAACTTTTCATTTTAATTCAAATATGTTCACATATACACCAGAACTTGAGCTTTTCCCTACCCCAGTTGTTTTCACTGATGGTTCTCTCTCTCTGTCTCTCTCTTTCTCTCTCTCTCCCCACCTTCTCTCTCTCTCCCTACCTTCTCTCTCTCCCCTCCCCTCCCCACTCTCTCGCTCCCCTTCTCTTTTGCTCTCCCCCTCACTCTCTCTCCCTCTCTCCCTCTATCTTTCTCCCTCTCTCTCTCTCTTTCTATCCCCCTTCCTGCTCCCTGCCCCATTCCCTTTTCTGTTCTCCCTCTTTTAGACTGAGTGGTATAAAATGTTACAAAGTTTTCTGCTGCCCTCCAGTGGTCTTATCCTGGAAGTGGCAGTCACGATAGGAAAAATAGCAAAACCTTTATAGAAGATAATAATAAAATGACACACTCTTTTAGAGTGTTTTAAGATCGTGGGCTTCAGGAGACAGAAAAGCACCTGTGATTACTAAAAAGTTATTAAACTTCACAGGGCCTCAACAACCACATTTATAAAGGAAAGGTTAAAATATCTCTTCATGGTCGTCCCATGGGTTGAGATAACATGCAAAAAGGTCTTGAAGTACAGTACTTGCTCAATAAAAGAAAAGTTTCACCTTATTTAAGCCTGACAACTTTCTATAAGGTTAAGGAAACTGAGGCTAAGCACAAATTACTTATTTTTTAAAGTTACCTCAGCCAGCATTGTGGGTAGAACTCAAACTATAATTCAAATTTTCATATTCTAAGTCTAGTTCTCTTCATGACATCTCAATATTCCAAAGTAACAGTTGCTAATAAGGAACCTTAAGAATTGTTAAAGTCTTAAAGGGATATTTTCACACACTGCTAGTGGTTGCCATTAAATCTGAAAAATATGCATTCCATGGATCAGTAGTCACATCTCTAGAACTGCATCTTAAAAATTGTGAGAAACACACAAAAATTTATGTAGTTGAAAACAAGCTAAATATAAGATATTTATTAAATAAACTTTGGTGCAAATAATAATAATTGGTTTTATTTGTTGGAAAATTTCTAGGTGCCAGATGCTATTCTAAGGAGTATGAATGTATCAACACTAAAATGAAGTTGGTACTATTATTATCTCCATTCAACACATGAGGAAACAGAGAGACAGAGAGGTTAAGTAGCTTGTCCAAGATCACACATTTAGGAAGAAGGAGCACCAGGAATTGAACTGAGATGTCTTATTCAAGAGTCCATGTTCTAGTCACTTATCAATCTTCTTCTGAGACTGTCCATGGATCCACCCATGCTGTCCCATTGTGTGGCAGCACCTATGTAATGGAATATAGTGAACCTTTGTTTAAAAAATGTTTCAATAGGTATTAAATTATATAGGGACATGCTTACATTAAAATATTAAGGGGAATAAACAGTATGCAAAACTGCATACTATATTATTTCAGTTCTAGAAACCTGTGTGTGTGTATGTCTAAGGGTGTATAAATCAAAATCCAGACCTAATTAGTGGCTGTCTCCAAGTGACGGGTTATGTGTCATTTTTTTCTCCTTTGTGCTTTCTAAATATTCTGAATATTTGTTAATGAGACAGAACTGCTGTGATCATCAGAAAATTTAGATTAAAAAAATTCAGGGTGCCAAAAAATTCTAGAATACTTAAGAACAGCACTTAGTTTACCTTAAAAGTTAAAAATTGAATCCAGAAGTAAATATTTGCAAGAAAAACAATTATCAAGGATTGCTAACTTTTAGTTTCTTAAATAATGAATCCAGAAGTATAAATACAAAATATTTGCAAGAAAATATAATTATATCAAGGGTTGGGAGGAGAAGAAGGATGTTTAGACTAGAAAGGGTAGTACCTACCTAAAAGAGAGTGCTTAATAGAACTGTGCTGGATTAAGTTTGCACAGTGGACCCTATTTTAACTTATGTCAGCTCTACATAAGCAGTCTCCTGACAGTCGTCATTAGGATTCACTGGAGACTGGAACTGTGCGGACAGAGGGCCTGTCTTCAGAAGAGAAAATGGGGGAAGAGCTTTGAACCCAGAGGTACAATCTCTGGATTGGAGAGTTTCAAAGGTGCCAGGGAAAAGCAGTACAAAGAGCCTTCTTTTTGACAATAACTCTAAAACACACTTTGCTCTGTGAACGCCCGTCCTGGGCAGGGCCTATCAGCAGGGCCAGATGAGCCTATAGACACCCAGGGTGGCGCGTTCCCAGCCGCCCTGCGCATGCCAATCTTATCAGTTTTGATGGAAGCCTGGGGCTCCAGATAATGCTACTTGGCCCCAAACGCTGGACAGAGCATGCTTTTTCCTGTTTGGCTGGGAAAGGGAAGGCTGAACTGCTGAGTCTGACACTTAACAGGACTTCGGCATTCCCCTGAATACAGACTAGATCAGAGATTTTATTTTTTTAATTGAAAAGTAACTTGGGTTCTCTTTAGAAACCCTTATTTGGTGTGCGCATCTGGCTATTTCACAGAGATTTCAGTTTTGCAAAGAAGTCGGAGTTGATTTCTTCCCTCAGACAAGCTATTGGTTGTTGGTGGGCAACAGAAGTTGCTCAGCATAGACAGGGGAAAAAACGGTTACGGATGAGACTGAAAGAAAACCTCAAAGGAGAACTCTGAGAATTCATCTCAGGATGAAGCTGCAAGGGCAAAGGAGAAGTACTTGTGACACAAGCAAATGGGTCCATTGATCAACAGATGCAAGAAGATTCTTCTCCCAACTACTGTACCTCCTGCAACGATGAGAATCTGGCTCCTTGGAGGCCTGCTGCCATTCCTGCTGCTCCTCTCTGGCCTGCAGAGACCCACAGAGGGTTCTGAGGTAGGGGGACAATTGAGGGGGTGATCTCTTTATGATCAGTGCTCCAACAGAGCATTCACCCGGCCACAGCCTTTAAATGGCCGAAAACTTAGGCATTCAGAATCTAGTTTCATTCAGACATTTTAACAAATCATGTTAGTAAAGAGTGTTGAAAACAGTTATGAAAAATTGTAGAATCCTTCACTGTTAGTACACTTGACATTATGGATGCTAGTGGCATAAAGTTATTTTCCTGATCCACTGTAAAAATTAAGTAAAATATTGCTTCCATAGTACAAACAATGCAAAATAAACCAAGTCTATTTGGCTTTAAACTCTAGCATACAGATTGACTTAAGTTTTAAGTGAATATTTTAATAAAGATCTGTGTAACAAAAAACAACCTAATGTTAAGAGATGACAGAGTACATATTTGAGATCTAGTAACATATTAACAAAGTTTCAGAGTTCATCATGACAGTTGACAGAACATTGTATTATTGGTTTGGTTTGGCTCGGCTTGGCTTAAATAGATACCGTAGACCTATTTTAATACCTGATGTGAAGAGTTATTGGTTAAAATCATTTAATCAGTCTTAAAAATGTGTTCTAGTTCACAAACAACTAGCTGACGTCTCATCATAAATAACATAGTAAAAATACCAAATGGGATGTTCTTTAAGTTCCAGTTCCAACATCCTTAACATTGACTGGATGGAATGTGATCCTTTAACATGTCCCTCAATGAGTACTGTTTATTACGAAAACATCATTTCTTTGCCAAGAAAGGAATGTTTTAGAATTTATATAATTTATATATGGCTCTAAATGATAGTCTGATGATATTTTGTGGACTTCTATTCAAATCTGTCATTTCAGTTTAGCATGCACTAGACGTGAATAAACAACATTCTGTTGGCTACCCATTAGAAAGGAATGTCCTTTTCCAGGAGGGGAGGGACTTTCCTAGGCACATTCCTGACCACTGTCCAACCCTTGACTCACTCTGCTGTCCCTGAGGGGGACAAATGTACTTGACTGGTAACATGGGAAAAAACAACTGGGTGTGCTGAGTTTGGCTCTGCTCTTCATCCTCCTGGGAGTTAGCCTGATGGCAAAGGGCATCAGTTCTCTGTTTCCCCATGACAAGAATCTTACCTGGGCAGGCCCCAGTTCAGTACTGCCTGCAAACGAGTCGGTCCCATTCTGGAATTTGCTCTTAACAAGCCACTTGCTATCAGACCTAACAATGTGACTGCTGTAGCGTGCCCTTTTTCAGTAAGAAAACAGATATTTTGGCTTTCATATTTTGCTATTTTTATTATCAATGTTTTCAGAACCCAGGTAGACAAGAAGGTTGTTACTTATGAGAGCCCCCTTAGTACTATTCATAGCTTAAGGATAAAGTTCAAGGATTTAATTTGGTTTTGGGCATTCATAAAAGTGATATTTTTGAAAACACCAGTGAGAGACTAGAAAGAGGGGGGAAAGTAGAGGAAACAGAAAGTGTAATTAAACTACAAGATTTTGAATTTTTTCTTCAAAGTACTTACTATGCAAACATGCTGTGATTTTAGTGATATTAAAAGAGTTACTTCCTCTCTGGGGAGATGAGTTTTTCAAGCTTTCAGTAATTTATTTATCAAACCAAATTCAATCTCTAGCACAGGTCATTGATGCAGTAAGGATTGGAACAGTGTAATGATTTTCAGTGTAACTTACTTCAGTAAATATTGGTTTCCAGGAGAAGACTTACCCTTATAGAGTACAGCAAATCTGCAACCACATTCACCATCTGATTTGAAAAATTAAACTCAAGATTTTTCTTTTTTTACAGGTTGCAATTAAAATCGACTTCGACTTCGCACCAGGTTCTTTTGATGATCAGTACCAAGGCTGTAGCAAACAGGTTATGGAGAAACTAACTCAAGGGGATTATTTCACAAAAGACATAGAAGCCCAGAAGAATTATTTTAGGATGTGGCAAAAAGCCCACTTAGCCTGGCTTAACCAAGGAAAAGTTCTACCCCAGAACATGACTACCACACACGCTGTGGCTATTTTGTTTTATACATTGAACAGCAATGTTCATTCTGACTTTACTAGAGCCATGGCCTCTGTTGCCAGGACTCCACAGCAGTATGAACGTTCATTCCACTTCAAATATTTACACTACTACCTCACCTCAGCAATCCAGCTGCTGAGGAAAGACAGCATCATGGAGAATGGCACTCTGTGCTATGAGGTGCATTATAGGACGAAGGATGTCCACTTTAATGCCTACACAGGGGCCACCATTCGATTTGGCCAATTCCTCTCCACATCCCTCCTGAAAGAAGAGGCACAGGAGTTTGGGAACCAGACACTATTTACCATATTCACCTGCCTGGGTGCACCTGTACAGTACTTCTCCCTCAAGAAGGAAGTCTTGATCCCTCCCTATGAGCTGTTTAAAGTTATAAATATGAGCTACCACCCAAGAGGAGACTGGTTGCAGTTGAGGTCAACTGGGAACCTGAGCACATATAACTGTCAGCTGCTAAAAGGTATTCTTTATCTAAATTGAGGCCACTCAGGATCACAGACCACTGCTCTTTTATAAAAGTTATTTTTTCTCAGTGGGTTTTTGGGGAAAGATCAAAAACATGAAAACTAGCCTTCGGTAATGATGGAACTGATAGATTAGAGAAAATCCACTTTATTTATTGACTTCTCTTTTCTTCCTACTCCATTACCTCCAGGACAATAAGTTCTGCAGTGAAATTATTATGTAAAAAATTGCAGACAGACAGAGTAAAGCTTGACTGGAAGGTGGAGCATAAAGATAGCACTTTTACCTTCTCCCTCAAACTCATTGCTTTTCTCATTGTCATTACATGGATAAGGAGTTCTAAAAGTAAAGCAAGAGGCAAGATATTTATTCATTAATTTTCTGTTCATTAATCATCTTCTATTGTGATGGGGGCCCTGGAAATACAGAATGAATAAAGCAAAATTATAACCTAGGAGGATTTTTAGTCTAACGAGAAATGGAAATATGAACAAATGTATACACTCAAAAGTACTAAGTGATATACCAAATATTTAAGCAAACAGCTGTGGCTGCTCAGTGCAGGGAGCTACTCATTCTCTCCAGGAAAAGTGAGGAAGGCTTCATAATAGCCATATGGAACTTGTCGTGAGAATGGGGGTTTTCAATGAAAGAAAAGTCATTTTAAGCAAAGAATACCTTGCTGTGGTTTGAATGTGTCTTCCAATAAGTTCCTGTGTTGGAAGCTTAATCTCCAATGCAACAGTGGTATGAAATGGGCTCTAATAAGAGTTGATTGGACCTTTCCTAATAAGAGATGATTGGATAAATGGATTAATGTTGTTGTCATGTGAGCAGGTTAGTTATTGTGAGAGTGTGTCATTGTAAAGAGAATCTGATCACTGGAGCCTCTCTCTGTCTTGTGTACCAACTTCTCTTCCACCATGCTATGGTATAGCATAAAGGCCCTCACCAGATGCTGGAGCCATGCTCTTGGACTTCCCATCCTCCAGAATTGTGAGAAATAAATTTATTTTCTTTACAGATTACGCAGTCTGTGATACTCTGTTATTGCAACAGAAAACAGACTAAGACACAGCATATGTTAATCACAAGGATTTCAAACAGCCTGGTGTCTTCAGGGACTCTGAAATTCTGGATGGCTGGTGTGTAGGATGTGTAGGATATGGGAAAAGAATAGGAGTAGGAAGGGAGGAGGGGATTTATCCAGGTAGGAGAATTCTGATGGGGCTTCATTATAAAAGGTCTTGTATTTCATGCTAAGGACCTTTTAATTTTATGCTGTAGGTAATAAGAAGTAATTAGAAGTTTTTAAGGAGTAGAAATCAATTTGGTCAACATCTTAGAAAGGGCTCTGATGACACTGTGAAAAATGAACTGAAGCAGGAAAATTTAGAGATATCAAAATACAAAAAAAAGTTAAACTTTTTTTAAGAAAAACATGGCTGATTGAATTTTATGTTGCCACCTAGCCATTTCATGGAGGGGTAGTTGTGTAGCAAATCCTGTGCCCTTTTTGATTCAGAAAAAAAAAAAAAAAGACTGTTCATATGTAAATTTATTCACACTCACAGTCAGCTGGAACCCAGTTGCAGGGTCTACCTTCAATATATCCCCAAATTTGTCTTCGCTTTATCATTATTGCTATGATTTATAATTCAGGCTCTCAGCATTTCTCAACATTTCAGGGCAGTAGTGTTGCAAAAGTGTTCAAACTGGCATCCACACTGAGGTCTAGAATCTGCTCACTCTGTCCTAGCCATAAATACAGACCAGGGAGAGGAGACCTATCAATACTTTCATCTCCTCACATGTCACCTTGGAAACATGGCAGCAAAACGAGTGAAATGAGTATCTGCCCCACAGACACAGGAGATTAGTGTTTGTAGAGGATGAAAAACTATAGTAGAATATGAAGAAAACAGTGAGATTTTGATAATAAATGAAAACATTCATAGCCAGGTTCCAGGATTCTTTGGAACTACACCTGACTAGGATATGATTACTTCATTCTCATCATGAATTTGGAACATATAATTCTTCACTAGGATAGTAAGCACAGTAAAATATATTCAATGAAAAATTACAGAAGATTTATATTAAGCATTGAGTGGGAAACTGAGGGAAAGGAGTATATAATATAAACCATTACTCACATTCTGCCACTCTATAAACCTCAAAGAAAAATATTTCAGGACACCCCCACCCAAATTAATGATCTTTGCTTTCCTATGGCGAAACTACCCAAATGCAACTTTAACTTAGTTTTGAGTTAAGGTTTAGCTGGGGTAGCCACATAGATCACTAAATTCTGACAGTTCGGTTGGTCTTAATGAAATATTTGGAATCACCAATCACACTTAAGGGAATCAATAATCTTGTGTCGCTCTATAAGCTCCCTGGGGGCAGGAACTCGACTAGTATTTGAGGAACTAGTATTTGAGAACTAGGCAGGCAGGCAGTTTGAGCCCAGACCCACTCTGTTTGAATTTATATCCCACTGTACCACTTAATAGCTATGTGTTCTTGGTCAAGTTGCTTAAACTCTTTTTTCATCTACCTAATAATTATCGTAACAGAACCTCAGAAGACTTTTGTGAAAATGAAATAAAATGTAAAATTATTGGCCAAGTGCGGTGGCTCACACCCGTAATCCCAGCATTTTGGGAGGCCGAGGTGGGTGGATCAATTGAGGCCAGGAGTTTGAGACCAGCCTGGCCAACATGGTGAAACCTCGTCTCTACAAAAAGATACAAAAAGTAGCCAGGTATCATGGCACATACATGCAGTCCCAGCTACTGAGGAGGCTGAGGTAGGAGAATCGCTTGAATCCAGGAGGCGGAGGTTTCAGTAAGCTGAAATCATGCCACTGCACTCCAGCCTGGGCGATAGAGTGAGACTCCATCTTAAAAGAAAAATAAATAAATAAAATTATTTATATATTCTATAGCATATAATAATGGTAAATTAGTGTTAGCTATTACTAACTTCAGTCCTCTGGCACATAGAAGTGCCCAGCCTATTTTGTTGAATGAGTGAATGAATGATGGTGAATATACCTCTAAGCAATCTGAGCCTTAGACTACATGACCATCTAACACAATTAATTAAAAACAGTTCCAATATTTGAAGAAGGGAAGATATTCTAGAAGCTTCAACCCCTAGTCAAAAGTAAGCTGTTGTCACAATGTAAATGATCAACATGGTCACTTGCAATGTGAGTTACCGTAACTAAATTTTTCCCAGAAATTTATCAATTAGAAGCTTGTGTGGCCATGCAGAAAAGCTTGTAAACGGCAGAATAAAAATACCACTGGTCATGATGTGAATCATCCCGTTGTTTGGGGGATCCACAGTCTACACTGTGAGTCACTTAGTAGCCCTCTCAGTGATCAGATCTGCTGTCTCGGTATTGCAGTGTTTGTTTTCAAGTGACCCTCATTTTATTTCATAATGGCCCCAAAGTGCAAGAATAGTGATCTTGGTGATTCAGATATGCCCAAGAGAAAGTGCCTCCTTTGAATGAAAAGTTTAAAGTTCTCAACTTAATATTTTCTTTATAAATTGAAGTGAAGAGGGAAGAGATAGGTCAGAGGCATCATATAATCAGCCAAGAGCTGGAATTGGAGCATTTTCTCACCCTCCACAGCTACGAAACTATCTGGGAAGGTAAAAGAAGGAGAGGAATAAGCTCACATTGCAGGGATGCCTTTCTTCCTTTGATCCCAGACTCTGACTAAGGGTTGCAGAGAAGGCTGGTCCATCCTCTGGTTCTACCTGACCTACCTAAGCCTCATCTGCCATTGGCTAGTTAGCATCACAGTCATTTAGTTGAGGGCAAAAAATTGCAGTAATGCCCCCTTACCTATGGTTTTGCTTTCTCTGGTTTCAGTTACCCGCAGAATATATTAAATGGACAATTCCAGAGATAAAGAATTCCTAAGTTTTAAATGGTATGCCATTCTGAGTGGTGTGATGAAATCTTGTGCCTTCCCTCTTGGGATGTGAATCATCCACAGTCTACACTGTGAGTCACTTAGTAGCCCTCTCGGTTATCAGATCTGCTGTCTCGGTACTGCAGTGTTTGTTTTCAAGTGACCCTCATTTTATTTCATAATGGCCCCAAAGTGAAAGAATAGTGATCTTGGAGATTCAGATATGCCCAAGAGAAAGCGCCTCCTTTGAATGAAAAGTTTAAAGTTCTCAACTTAATAGAAAGAAAGAAAAAATTGTATGCTGAGGTTGCTAAGATCTACTGTAAAAATGAATCTTCTACCTGTGGAATTGTGAAGAAGGAAAAAGAAATTCATGCTAGTTTTGCTGCCACACTTCAAACTTTATCATTGATGATATATATATATATGTATATACATACATACACATATGAAAATAACATAGGGTTCACTACTACCTGTAGTTTCAGGAATCCACTGAATGTCTTGGAATGTATCCACTAAGGATAAAGGGACACTACTGAATACAGTCTTGGACAGGACACAATATCTATCTCTTATGATTTAAAAAATGTTTGATTGCCAGCCAGGTGCAGTGGCTCACACCTATAATCTCAGCACTTTGGGAGGTCGAGGCAGGTGGATCACAAGGTCAGGAGATCGAGACCAGCCTGACCAACATGGTGAAAGCCGTCTCTACTAAAAATACAAAAATTAGCCAGGAGTGGTGGCACGAGCCTGTAATCCCAGCTACTCAGGAGGCTGAGGCAGTAGAATCACTTGAACCCAGGAGGCAGAGGTGGCAGTGAGCCAAGATCGCGCCACTGCACTCCAGCCTGGGCAACAGAATGAGACTCCGTCAAAAAAAAAAAAAAAGTTTGATTGCCTTCAGAATGTTTTCAGTTATTCGCTACAGTGTTGTTTGTTTGTTTCTTTGTTTCTTTGTTTTTCTCTCAATCAGTAAGCGAAGGAACATCAGAAAGGTCCTTAAAGTGATTTATTTTAACTGATAAGTAGTACTTACCCCAACATTCTGGAGCAGTATTGGACTGAGCCATACATGAACAATAAGAGGAAGGAGGTAGTGTGTCTTTCTTATCTGGGATCCTTAACAGGGAGGAAGTAAGATCAGTGGACTCTCCCCAGACCCAACTTTCTAGATAGCTACCATTTCCCACTTCACTGCTCCACTAACCCCAGCCTAGGGAATTCACAGATGGTGTTCTGGAACACTGATATCTAACTCCTCACGAAACTGTAATCTTCTCTGGACACTATTTCTCATTCTTTCAGCTTCGTTTTGTTTCATGAGCAGGAGCCACAAGCTATTCTGTGTCCCCAGAAGTCCCTATAAGCCAAGTGAATTATGTTTTCTCTCCTGTTCCCTCTCAATCTGACAGACGTGATACTGGAAAGACCACTTGAAGACCTTTAAAATTACCCAGCAGCATACTGTAATTCTCCCAAAGAAGAGACAGTATATTTAAGAGCATAGCTTCTCCAGTCCTTCAATTTATGCTAAAATCAGTCCTGTTAGCATGTAACTCAAGTTTAAAGAGTTTCCAGGAATCTGTTGCTTTTAGAGAGACAAGAGATCAAATTAATAGAATTATACTATTTAAGGAAGTAAATTTGCAAAAGGAAAAATTGTCATTCTAAACTAACAGCTTTCCTCTCTAATTATTCCATCACCCCTCACATGACCTGTACTGGTTGCCATAGAAACAGGTGTCTTCATGCCCATTGGAAGACTCAAAATATGTTAACAGAATGTTAGTTATTTGCCCTTAAATCTTGCTTCTTTCAGCAAAATAACCTATGCCAAAAATCTGTAGACACACAAATACATGCTCTGTTCTATATCATTGGATTCACAAAGAACAGGGATTTATTTGTTAAAATGTTTCACATAATCAAAATTCTTAACATGTTTCTAGAGAAATATAGGCAATTGTTTGTAGTCAGCCTGGTTTTACATGTAAACTTCACTTTTTAAAAACCTGTACGATTCTAGTGGGGAGAAAATGAATGAATGCATGTAAAATCTCTTAGAATAGTATCTGACAAATGTTAAGTACTCAAAACTTTTAAGATACTATTATCATTATTATTATTTATTTTATTAGCTTTCTATTTTGCCTGTTTTCTTTTACTCTGGGCTTCAATTATCTAAAATTAGTTTACCCTATTTGTGGCATCACAATGACCTTGAAGTAGAGTGTCTGTCTCAGATAAATGGATGAAAGAATGAGTCATTGAATAAATCTGGGAGACCACACGGCATGGTGGAAAGTGAATAAACTTTGGAGCCAGAAAGATTTGGGTATATGTTAGTAGCTAGGTGACCTTGTGCAAATGACTTAACCTCTGAGCCTGTTTCTTCATTTATAAAATGGAAGTGATACTCATCTTGTGGGAATGTTGTGATAGCATTGGTGTCTCTGCCTCCTTTCAAACACAACTGAGAAACTCTGGGAAAGTACTTTGCACATGGAAGTGGGATAATGGTTTAATGGCACAAGCATGTGCTTCAGTGAAATTGATAGTAAGAAGAGAAACAAAGGAAGAGGCAGAAGGAATAACGCTTTTCATTTTCGGGTGCTAAGTTTTTGCTAGGTAATATTCTACAATATTAACACTCTTGCTCCTTGCATTTTGACAGAAAGAGGCTATAGATAGCATTTGCCTCAAACACTAGACTTGGTATACTGCACGTCAGCTTTACCTTTTTCTGTTTAAGGACTATTTACTTCTGAACAGTCTGATAAAATTCAGATTCAGACTTCATGAAATAAAAGTTATAATCATTATGTATTTCTTCCAGACTTTATACCCTAAGGCAGAGATGACCAAAATCAGGTTATAATACACTGATAAAATGATATTTGTTTGGCAGTTTAGTTTACAAAACGCTTGGACACCCATTATCTGTTTAGTTTTCACAATCACCCTGTAAGTCAGGTTATTGACTCCGCTGTACTGATGTGAATGCTGAGATTCAGAGAGCTTAAGGGATTTGCGTAAAATTATTCATAGTTTACAAATGACAAAAATAGGATCCTTCCCCATGTTTTCTAATAAGAATTCCAGGACAATATTCTCCATAGACTGGTTTCAGGGGATTCATCCATTCTTCAACAAATATAGCTGAGAAACTACCGTTAGTTTTAAGCTTCTTGACTATGACTGTTTACATTATAAATCAGTTCACACACACATAAATATGCAAATACACACATATTCATAAAATACAACAGTTACCCTTTTCATAGGCAGTGTTAATGCTAGTGTTTCTATTCTAACTTATTTTATTACATTATTAAACAATGATGGCTATGACCTCCTAAGCTGATGTCACAACCCATCAATTGATCACATTCTCCAATTTTAAAAATCCTGTAAAAAGGTAAAGAGAAAATTAAAAACTTTGAAGAGATAGTTGAATAGAAAACTAAAGACAACTACAAAAGTAAAAAAAATGTGAGGTATCCTCAAATAAAACTTTAGTTTGTAATTAATGCACAGCTGTCTTTCATTTATTTTCCTAAATATATGGTCCATGTAACAACAATAATAATAATAATGCCAGGTAGAAATGATAATGGCCATAAAAGAGGTAGAGAAAAAGTATCAACAGAGTTAGTTACTTTAACCTGACATAATAAAATCAAAAGGAAGCTATTTTTAACATCCTAATTATTATAAAGAGGACTTATGAATTTTTTTGAAGAATGACTATGATTGCAAGACAGTAGTGTCTATGTGTTTGTCTCTTATTTGGGTATCATCATAATAGCAGCTATTATTCATTCATTCAACAAATCAGTATTTATTGGTCACTTGTTATTTGCTAGGCACTATCCTAGGTGCAGGGAAGGAAATAGGTGAAAATCCCTGCCCTTGGGGATTTACATTCTATTGATGTGAGGCAGAAATAAACAAAATAAATAAGTAAATTATGTCGTAGTTAGTAGGTGGTACATACTAAGATGAAAAATAAAGCAGAGTAAGGAGACAGTGAACACTATGGGAAGGAGTGGCAATATTAAACTGGGTGATCAGGGGAAACTTCACTGAGAGGGTGACATTTGAGCCAAGGTTGAAAGGAGATGAGAGAGCCAGTCCCATGTATATCTGAGGAAAGAGCATTCCAGGAAGAAAGCACAGCAAGTGCAAATGTCTCAAGTAAGAAGCAACAGCAAGGATGCCAGTGTACGGGAATGAGAGAAAAATAATAGAAAGCGAAGACAGAAGATGATGTAGATTCGATCACATAGGACCTTGAAGGCAGTTGTAAGGACTTTGGCTTTTCCTCTTAGATAGGATACCACTGAGAGGTTTTGGGCAGAAAACATAGAAGATTGTGTCAAAACTGACCTAGCAGCCCAGTAGAGGATAAACTGTAATGAGGTAAGCAGAGAAACCAAGTAGGGGGCTATTTCAATCATTCAGTTGAGAGATGAAGGTGGTAGAGTGGAGGCAGTAAGGTTTGACCAGATTCAGAGCCAAAAGGAGGTCCTGACACACTGGAAGTGAAAAGTGAGGGAAAAAGAAGAGTGAAGAATGACTCCAAGGTTTGGCTAGAGTAACTGAAAGGATGGAGGTGGCACTCACTGAGATGGAGAAGCCTGGGGATGGAGTAGATTTAAGAGCAGGAGTTTGGTATTTGACATGTTATATCTGAGCTGTGCAATAGTAACCCAAGCAGAGATGTTGAGTGGACAGTTGATGCACAAGTGTAGAATTCCGAGTGACCCAGGATGGAAAGATAAATTTGAGGTCAGTGGGTTATGGGTGGTATTTAAAGCCAAGAGACTGGATGAGCTCCCCACAAAGGTGTATAAATAAAGGAGAGAAAATGTCCAAGGATCAAACCTCAGGACACTCCCATTTTAAAAGGTCAAGTACAAAGAAGATGGAGAGGCCAGGTGTGATGGCTCACACCTATAATCCCAGCACTCTGGGAGGCCGAGGTAGGTGGACTGCTTGAGCTCAGGAGTTCGAGACCAGCCTGGGCAATGTGGTAAAACCCCGTCTCTACCAAAAATACAAAAAAAAAATAGCCAGGCATGGTGGTGTGCACCTGTAGACCCAGCTACTTGGGAGGCTGAGGTGGAAGAATCACTTGAGCTGATGTTGCAGTGAGCAGAGATCACACTGCTGTACTCTAGCCTGGGTGACAGAGCAAGACCCATCTCAAAAAAAAAAAAAAAAATGGAGAAGGAATGGCCAGTGAGGGAGGAGAAAATTGATAGAGTTGGTGTCCTAAGAGCAAAATGAAGAGTAAGTATCAAGGAGGATGGAGTGATTCACTACCATAAATATGGTTGATAGGTCAAATACAGTGAGGACTGAGAATTGACATTACATTCCAGGAAGCTCAACATATAATCTCTTAAATCAGACTCTCTAGGTTAAATACTGGCTCTGTCACTTACTGTGTGGCCTAACAGAGACCCTTAAGCTCTCTAAATACTGGGAAAGGGTGGGACTGGAAATCCTTGTGATCTTTAGCCTCAGTGAAGAGGAAAAAAAAACAAAAATCGTTTGAGAACCATTCTAATGATTGACCTGCTAAAGTGGTATTAAGGCTTCCTAAGTCTCTGTAGGGATTCATATAATTTGATTTTAACACAAACTTTGACAAAAGTTTAGAAAGACATATGCTCTTAATTTTCCTTGCCAACTCTTATTGGTGAAAATTGAGGTCTTGAAAATTACTGTATCTACTCCAGCTTGGTGACAGAGTGAGAACTCCAACTCAAAAAAATAAGACAGAAATTACTGTATATATATATATATATATATATATATATATATATATATATATATATATACATACATACAGTACACACATACACACACAGAGTAATTTCTGTCTTTTCTGTCTTGGAATTTCTACTTGTATACACACACACACACACACACACACACACACACACACACACACTCCTATATAGAAATTCCAAAAAACTAAAAAATGTATATATTGTGTGAAAATAGTAGAAATGTATTTCTCCCTCATCTGGTTATCCTATCAAACAATATGAGCAAATATTGAGGCAATTAGAGTTGAATCTCTTCCTCCCAGAAACATCTTTTCTACCTTAAACAATAGTGAAAACTGGCTGCAAAGAGATTCCAGTCTTTATTTAGACTATTTTTTACAGGGTTTCCATCTCCCATCTCATTTCAGTCCCCACCCCATTATATGGCCAATTATTAGTTATATCTGACAATATTTTTTTTTATTTTCCAGTTTTGCTTCCACACCTAACTGGCTGCTAACCTGTCCCACATTTCCTGTGAAAGGTGTATATGTGTAGTTAGAACACACACACACACACACACACACACACACACACACTCCAAACAGGATTGTGTGAATATTTCTTGCTCACCTTGTAATGAAAAATTCTATGGATGGACATGTAATACACAGACAAACAGGTTAGTGGTTAAGAATGCAGAATTGAGACAAACTGGCCAAGTTTGAATGGTGCCTATACTATTTACAAGATGTGTGACACTGGCAAGTTTTTTCTCATCTCTGTGTCACAATCTCATCAAGTAAAAACCAAGGATATTGAGAATAAAAATCTCATAGGTTTGTTGTGAGGCTTAAGTTAATATATAGCAAGGGCTCGAAATAGATCCTAGCACAAAATCAGCATTCAGTCTGTGTTAACTTTCATAATGGTGATGAAGATGATGATAATTAAGATGGGGATAATGCTAACAGTGATTATGCTGCTGGTGATGATAAAGATGGAAAATTAGATCTCTACCACCAGCTGGCTGGGTTACCTGGGAGTACATCTTTTAACCTCTTGGTGTCTGTTTCATCATCTGCAAAATAAGCAAGTTATGTTAGAAAAATCTAAAATAATGTGTTTTAAGTAGCTAACTTCAAATGTTTTTATTAGGAATTTTCTAAGTTAAGTAAGTGGATCAATGGATAGATGAGGTAGTTTTAAAAAAAACTCTGCTACCTAAAATATTTCCTTTGTTTTGTTTTTTACAGCTTCCAGCAAGAAATGCATCCCTGATCCTATAGCTATTGCATCTCTCTCCTTTTTGACCAGTGTCATCATCTTTTCCAAAAGCAGAGTATAAAGAAATCTTGTGGCTCCTTTTATTTAAAAAAAATATTTAAATAAAATCTTTTTTATTGGCCTTTTGGCTAGAAATGGACATTTATTTTCCAGGAAGGATGATCCCATCATACTTCTGCTGAAACCAGTGCATGGCCTCCTCTTTGCTAATTCTCTTATGCCTTTCCTTGTACCCCTTTGCCTTATTTCAATCTGGGCACCCTAAGTACTCTTGGGGAAATCACTCTGCCCAGCTAGCAACTGATGCAGAGCTGGCTCAGCCCACTGACTGTGATTGGCCTGTAACTCAGGCCTTAGCCAATCAGTATATTTCTTCTTCATGGACACAAAGATTCATGCTGGAATAGAAAATGATCCAATCAGAGCCTGTGAGATACAATCAGGGTACTTTTGTGGAATTGCAATTGGAAATAGAATGGGAGCTTCTTTTCTGAATGGATATTAATGAAAGCAGGGTAGGAGCTTATAGCTGCCAGCAAAGATCCCGCCACCAGGAGAGGAGACCCCATCTCCTTGAGAAAGGATCTAACACAACAAAGGAAGAGCTGATAAGTGAAAAGAAACTGAGACCTGATGAGAATGTATAAGCCTCTGGATCCAACTTTGCCTAAAGCTGAATACTACAAGATTTTTCATTACATAAATCAATAATTTATGTTTTTGCTTGCATAATTTGAATTAGATTTTCTATGTCAAGCATCAAGCAGTTGAAGTTCCAACGAATACAAGCACTCTTCCTTATTTTTTTTAATTTAGTTATTCTAAATAGGAACAAATCAAAGAAGATTAAATTAGAAAGCAAAGGACAAATTCTTCACCAAACAGAAAAGCTTTGAACCCCAGAGATTAACCAAGGTGTGAATTTTCTTCAGAGATTTTTTATGAGCATTCAAGATTAAGCTAGTATGGCCTCAGATGAGAAGACACATGGAAACTTGAGAAATAAAAGGGAAAGTTAATGAAAGATGTTAGTGAAATTTCATTCACCAGCAGTAATGGGTGTTCATGCATGTTCCTAAGACATTACAAAAGTTAAAATTTAAACTCATATGTTAATTCATAGAGAACTTGATGGCAAATTTAAGTCTTCATAGCAAATTTAAATATTAGGAAAACATGAGGGTATGTGTGAAGGTTAACAGAGAGTATGAGAGAAAAAAACACTGATTACAAACAAATATCAGCAATATAGCGAGGTCTCATTACATGTAAACTAGTACATGCAAAGAAGTATAAATTGTTGAATTGTATAGCTGGAAATGTCCTCTAACGCTTCCCTCAGGTAGTAATTTAGGTAGCGACATAAGGGATTATTTAACCCGATCACGATCACTGAAGACCCTGGTATCAGGCTAAATGGAGTAAAGATGAGGGCTAGCTCTATAATTTTGGATTTTGAAAGTCCATGCTCCTTATCCCTTTTAAGATTTGGATAAGAAACAGCAAAACTGAAAATCGGTCCATCTATTTACTCTCCATAGGACTTCCTGAATGGCCTGTGTCATGATCAAAGAAATGGAATGGGGAATAAGCTACATAAAATTACCTGGCAGGGAGTTCAGGCATCTCTGTACTATCATTCTTTAAATTGGGATTTGAAACTAACAGGGCCAAATCACCTCTGTCACCTAGTTGCAGTAGCCTCTACAGTCAATAAAGGAAAGAATTTCTGCCAGGCATGGTGGCTCACCCCTGTAATCCCAGCACTTTGGGAGGCCGAGGAGGACGGATCACGAGGTCAGGAGTTCAAGACCAGCCTGGCCAGCATGGTGAAACCCCGTCTCTACTACAAATACAAAAATTAGCCAGGCATGGTGGCACGCACCTGTAATCCCAGCTACTTGGGAGGCTGAGGCAGGAAAATTGCCTAAACCCAGGAGGCGGAGGTAGTGCAGTGAGCCAAGTTCACACCACTGCACTCCAGCCTGGGCAACAGAGTGAGACTCGATCTCAAAAAAAGAAAAAAAGAAAGAATTTCTACAAACAGACAATTTATGTGACTTGCATAGGATAGGGTCTTTGGCAGTTTGGTGGCTACCTAGTAGAGAGTCCTGGGGACATGGCTCTGGGAGCAAGCTTTTCCAGTGAGCATCGATGAGTCAGTAATGACATGCTATGTTGGTAAAAGCCACCCAACATCTTAAGTACATTTTTCCTGTGCCATATAAATGCATGTATTGAGCCATACTGTGTACAAAGCACTTTGGGGATTAAAAGTTAAGAACACTAGGCCAGATCTCTCATGAGTTTACAATCTCTTAGGAGAAATTAAGAACATAAAGCAAGCCACAAGTGAAATGCCAAAAAAAAAAAAGGCAAAAATCAAGTTTTCTGTTCATAACAATTCAAAAGAAAGATTTCTTCCAACTGAGGCAAGAAGAGACACCCGGAAGGCTTTAAGTAAGAGGCTGCATTTGAACCAGCCGTTAGGGCTCTAGGCTGGGAGAAGGGGTGAGCAGAAGGAGAAAAAAACAAGAAAGAGTATGTGCCAAGTGCGTAGTGCCCAAAACAAGGCCAAATATTAAATGCTTGGAGCTGAGAGAAAAATGTGATTCCTCTGGCCTATGGTTAGATAAAGCTTTCTATCAGAGATGATGTTTTACTTAGAGGAAAGCAGAAAATAGAAGCGAATACGGAATGATCGATGTATGTACAGCATAAGGTCAGGGAGCAGATAGGTCTGGCAGAGAGTGAGGGGTAATGTGGGCTGGAGAGGAAATTGGAAGCCACTCAGTGAAGCTAAAAAGTCAGCCAAAAGCATTTGATTTCCATGAGAAGTCATAATTTTCTGAGTAAGACAATTCTCCTAAAGCGTTGACTCTCTAGGCACAAGCAGCAATAGCATCCTTTAAGAACTCATTAGAAATGTGAATTTTAGGGCCTGATCCCAGACTACAGACTACAGAAATTGAACAGTCTGTTTTAATAAGTCCTCTAGATGATTCTGCTATACACCAACATTTGAGAACACTGTGACTTACACAATTATGATCCTTAAGGGAATAGCCAAGTTTCTAAAAAAGATAACTTAGTTCTAACTCCTGCTGCTGTTTTACAGATCAAATCTCTGGAGACAGAAACTATTCTCTTAAAATTATGTAGATTCATGAGTTTGGTTAAGGATAAATGTACATAGCTCACATCCCCTCAGTCTCTCCCTATAGTCCAAAGTTGTTGAGCAAGGAATCTGTAGAGTATTGATTTAAATTGATTAAGTTACATGTTTATGAAACTCTAAGAGACTAGTTTTAGAAATTTCACTGTAATTTCTGCTGGGATAAATTTGTTAGCCTGGGATATCTTCCAAAGATAAGGCGGATGCTCAAATATGTGTAAATTCATGCAACTGTTAACAGAGACTGTGCTGTAAGGAGTACTTATGTCCTATAGTAATTTTATTAAACAAATACATGTATGTCTCCTTTTGATGTGTACAGAAATATACTGTTTAATCTGAAGAAGCTGATTGAAACAGGAAAAATTTAAAAAGTAAAAACACTCAACCCATGTAATACTTTATTTTTATAACAAGGTGTTCTCTTTAATACGCCTATTAGATTATCCTGAAGTTCTCTATTTACTCTTACTTTAAAAAAAATCCAATGAAAGAAAATTTCAGTAAAGTTTGTTTTGCTAGAAGAATCAGGATTCTTGTACTGAGTTGTCTAATAATATGAATCAAATTGATTTACACTGAATGAACTAGCTCTTGATTTGGTAAAATTCAACAAGCATTTATTAGGTGCTTTCAGAAATACCAAGATGCAGCAAACACTGGCAACTAATAAAAAAAATTACAAGTATAATAGTATTTCATTTTTTTTAATAGTAAATGATCATGTGTTGTGTTGTGTGGCAGTTCACTTTTTCCTCCCTACTGATGATTCATTCAAACAGCTAGGCCATCCCATGCTCACAGCCTAGAGGAGGAATGAGACCAGGCATAGTATAGAAACACACCCCACTTTGTTCTTCAAAAACTGAAGGATATTAGAGAAAATGAGAGGAACCCAAAACCAAAGTATTTGAGAGAAACATTAAATGTGAGTAATAGGTTTGAGAAAAAAATACAGCTTTTCCTCAGTATTTCCAGAAGCCAGGAGGCAGCAGCAGACATGATGTCATTAGAGTGGTCAGACTGGTGGTACCCAGTGGTGGGAAAATGTGAAACACTGTAAGTGATCACCAGCCTAACAACAGCCACCAGCACTGGAAGACCACTCATCTTTATTGAAGTGGGCACTTCCCATCTCTAACACCCTGGTTGTCATTCCCATTGGCATCTGGCAAGGACTTCCTGTGAACTGCCACCAGCTATTCTTCCAGTCACCTCACAGAAAGACTATGCACCAAGACTTTTCTTGGTCCTTGTCTCATTCATTTCCATATGAATCCCCCTAGCTGTTGCATCCAACATTCTGAAACATAATCCTAAAACTAAAAGGAGATTGAAACCCTAGACACATATAGGTCCAGAAAAAGTAGCAAAGTGAGAGTCCTGTCTCCCTTCTCCTCTCTCTCACCCTCTGTGTGTGTGTGTGTGTGTGTGTGTGTATGTGTATGGTAGCAAATGAATCAATTTAACATCCTCTTCAAAATAATAGAGTTCTTAATAGAAACCTATTACAAATAAGCAAGGTTTCAGCTTTGCTGTGGAGAGAAAATGAGAGTTAATGTATTGAAACTCATCGTTTTTTCCAGAACCTCCAAGCTCTGGTAATGGTCAAAATCCACTTGACCCTCCCTACCAAACATTTTGAAATTATATGAGGATGGAGAAGGGACTCCTTATTTTAAATGACAATGGGAATTACAATGATGGCTTTGGCTTGGAGTTATTATTGCTTTTCCTATTCTCAACAGAGTTCTATCAGGTATCATGTGAAATAGTTAACTTCAACACCAATCTTAGGAGTACATACTCATTTACAATGCATGAGAACCAAAGACTTATGGTAGACAAAGAGACTGCCCTATCTCATTTCTTTAAATAAAGCACATCTCAGATATCCTACTTCTGCAAGTGTTTTCCTTGTGAAAGTCTTTTCTTTGTGAAAGGCTAGAGTACTTCCATTTTTCCACCTCTAGTATTTTCTAATCATAAGACCTCAGGAGACAAGTGAGAATGAACTATCTGTTCTGGTCTTACTCACATAAGCAAGAAAAGTCTATTATTGCTCATTCACTGTTCTCACTTACTTATGAATCATATTTAAAATATTTAGTGATGGCTTCTGATCGTCAAGGTACTGAAGTATATAGAAATTGGTATATGAGTGACAAAAATGGAGTTTATTTTGTTTCCCAGGCCTAGATTTTCTATCTAATGATAATATTTACAGTTTACCTGGATTTCTCACTGGAAATAGAATAGTTAAGAGTGGGAACTACTTTAGGGTTGTTTTAATTATGCTTTAAGATGAAACACAATATTTAGAAACATCCTCAAATGTAATACCACTTTGTTTTTTTCAACAATATATTCTTCTTAGTGACTGACATTTCAAACAGGCTTTCTTAATTATTTCTTTTTATTTTAATAAAGCAAAACTACAGGTAAATGTTTTGCCAGATGACTTTTGTGTACTTATGTTCTAACATAGCACATGTTTGGCACCAAAAGATCTTAGAAACTACTATGAAAAACCATAAGATTTTAAGTAGTTTTCTGACAGAAATGAACATTTCTGTTGCATCCCTACTTGTCACTGGCTTTCTTAAACACAGAAATATTCATTTCCATAGTCTTTATCGCTTTTTGGAGGATCTCTAAGATTGGTCCCATAGCCTTGACAATTTGTTCCAACAAATCTGCTGCTGACTTTGTGGGATTTTTGGAATCCTCAGTTTTTAGTACATCCTGCAGTTTTTTCAAGGTGTCTATCATAGTGGTTTTGGAAGAACCTGGAGGACTTCTGGTTCTCTCAGATGTGGTGACATCTGATTGCTCTTTGGTGTCTTCTGTATAGAAGTCACTTAATTGAAGATTCATGATGGGGAATTTCATCAAGTGTGAAAGAGAAGATTCCAGACTCCCAAGGATGTTACTGCTGTTTAGCACAGAGATGATGACTGGCGTATGGGCACTTTTGAATACTTCTTTAGCTGACTGATGCAACTCCTCTACATTGGTACTCTTCTGAACCACAGAGCACATGGCCATTGCAACCTTGGAACATAAAGACTCCTTTTGAATTTTGTCATGTCTTGCATCCACTACAGATTGCATCTCCTTAAAAATTTTGAGCATTTGCTCAAAAAAATCCTTAATGTAACTATTGTTTTTCACAGCCATCAAAAGGATTTGAGTATTCATACTGCGGCTAAACAATTCAGTCAGTGTGTTTATGACAGAAGCAAGATCTTGTACATGAAAGAAGAACATTTTGGCAGCTTGAATCAGTCTCTCTTTATCCTTTTCTGACTCTGAAGACATTTCTCCAACAAATAAGTTCCAACACTGCAAAGCAAAGCAGTAATCCAAATGAAAAATAAAAGTCGATTTGGCAACCATAAAGAAACTGAAAGTATAGTCTAAATATGAAGATAACTCCCCCTGCCAAGGGCAGGAAAGCTATACATACGTTGAAACAAAAATGGTACTATGCTTCAATAAAAATAATAACAAAAATAATTAAAACAGGGTAGAATAGGGTTGTATCGCCAAATTTATACCACATATCAAATACTGGGTGCTGGATCCCGAATATATGGATAGATTGATATACTGAATTACACTACACTCAAGGATACTACCCTTAACTATTCAATGTAGTGAAAAATACTGGATAAAGCATTACAAATTACATAGAGGGGCTCTGGTTCCAGTTAAGGTAGACTAAGCACACTCCATCTGATCTTTCCTACTGATTACAACTAAAAATCCTGGACTGAATATATAAAATCACTATCAGATAATTCTGAAAGGTGGATGACAGAAGGCCAAGGAAGTAGGGAGTACAGCATTTAAAGGACAATAAAGCAATGAAGCTCTGACTTTTTGTTTGAGGGTGTGTTTTTCTGTGTTTGTTGTTGTTGTTGTTGTTGTTGTTGTCGTTTGTCTTCTCCTGCTTCCTATATATCCCATCTTGGGCTCTAGGGCAGCCTGGAATTAGAACTGTGAACAAGCCCAAACAGGGAAAGCTCCAAAATAAACCCACTCTACACAGCAAATCAGGTGCAGGGGCTCTGCCGGGCAGATCCCTTTTGATCTAGTTGCCAACAACAAAATGGTAGCCCCCCCACCCCACCCTCTGTCTGCCCCCAACTAGTCGTGACCAGAGGCAGCTCCAAACACTTTTGACTTCGAGCGTTAACAAGTAACAGCAGTGCCACCCACCCCCATCCCCTACTCCCCACCCCACCCCCACACACACCTCACAAGTACAGCAGAGGTCAGCCAGTCCTTTGCCCCTGCCCCTGTCAACTGGCAGTGAAAACGCTGTCCTTATGGGGTGGACCCCTTTTCACTCTTCCCACTCTACCCTAGGCAGAAGCAACTGTGGTGCAGGGATGGTGGTAGTGACCTTGCAGGCTTCTTTCTCTCACTGCTTTGCCCCCAGGTGAGAACCAGTTGCAATGGGAAGAGCTGAAATTGTTTTCTAGCCAGAACACCAGGAAAGGGGACCCCCGGGAATCAAACAGCAGGTGGCAGACCACAGAAAGAAGCAAAAATTATAACCAAAAAATAGCACTGTTGGGATTTTCAATGCATGTAGACTTAATGTATATGACAATTACATCATAAAGGAGAGAGGGTAAGGAGACTTACGTAGCTGAAAGACTTCTTGATTTTACTTGAAGTGATAAAATATTAATTCTAAGTAGATTGTGTGAAATGTGGAAGTATATTATAATCTCTAGAGTAACCATTAAAAACAGAGCAGGAAACAATGGGGCCATGGAAGCAGAAATGGAGGTGATGTGGCCCCAACTTAAGGGATGGTCATGGCCACCAGAGCTGGAAGAGGCAAAGAATAGACTCTCCCTCAGAGCCCCCAGAGGGAGAGAGGTCCTGCTTGACTTCAGCCTTCCAGCCTTGAGAACTCTGAGAGGGTACATTTCTGTTGTTTAAAATCACTAAGTGTGAGGTAATTTGTGACAGCAGCCCTAGGATACTAATTCAGATTTTCGTCAATAGGCAAATTAAAATGAAATTTCAAAATTATTTAAGTAACTACTTATATTACTCAAAAGATGGCTTGAAAAGGAAAACAGAGAAATTTGAAAAACAGAACAGAAAAACAGAAAACTAAGATTAAATGTTACACTTAATTTAAGCATATCAATAATTACATTAAATATGCATTTCTAGAAGTAATAACTAAGTTTCACAAGGTTGAAAAATACAAGATCAAATGTACAAAATCAATTGTATTTCTATATACTAGCAACAAAATAAAAATCAGAAATTAAAATTAAAACAATGACCTTTACAATATCATTAAAAATATGAAATATTTATAGATAAATCTGACGAGAGATCAAATATCTCTACACTTACAACTGTAAAATACTGCTGAGAAAAATTAGGGAAGACCTAAATAAATAGAAAGATATATATTGTTAATGGGCCAAAACACTCAATATTGCTAAGATGTCAGTACTCCTCAAACTAATTTATAAATACAACACAATTCCAATTAAAAATTCCAGCAGTTTTTTTCATATATGTAAAAGACAATAAATCTTCTCTTAATAGAATTAAAATAGAAGTCAACAAAGAAGATACATGAAAAATTACAAAATATTGTAAATTAAACAACACACCCTTAAATAATCTGTGGCTCAAAAAAGAAGTCACAAAAATATAGAAATTATTTTGAACTGAATGAAAATGAAAATATATCAAAATCTGTGGGATGAAACCAAAGCAGTGTTTAGAGAGAAATCTGTAGATTAAGTGTTTATATTAGAAAGGAAGATATAAAATGAATAATTTTAACTTCTATCTTAAGAAGTTAGAAAAGAAAGAGCAAACATTCAAAGTAAGCAAAAGGAAAAAATAATAAAGAGTAGAAATCAGTGAAATTGAAAACAGAAAAAATAGATAAAATCCAACAAAACTACAAAGTGTTTAAAGAAAAACCAATAAACTTTAAGCCAGATTGACCAGAGAAAAAAGGAGAGAGAACACAAATTACCAATGTAAATAATGAGATGTCACTATGACCCTACAGATATAAAAAGGATAACGAGAGAACACTATAAACAACTCTGAGTGCATAAATTCAACAGTCTAAATATAATAGGCCTATTCCCTTAAAAGACATAAGCTATGGAAACTCTTCCAAGTAGAAACAAAAAACTTAAATAAACCTATATTTCTTAAAGAAATTGCGCCTGTAGTTAAACACCTTCTAGAAGAGAAAATCAAGGCACAGATGGTTTCACTTGTGAATTCAAACAAACATTTAAAAAAGAATAACAATTCTATACAATATCCTCCAGAAAACAGAAGGGAGAATACCTCTCAACTCATTTTATAAGGCTACCATTGCAGAAAAATAAGAAAACTCTAGACCAATATTCCTTAAGAACAATTTAAGGTGTATCCCAAAAATGTAAGGTTAGTTCAACATTAAAAAATCAAACTAAACAAGAAAAACCATATGATCATATCAGTAGATGCAGAAAAGGCATTTTTAAATATTCAATATCCATTAATAATAAAAATTCTTAGCAAACTAGGAATATAAGAAAACTTCCTTAATCATAGAGGGCTCTTACAAAGAACCACAGCTAACATAATAAAAGACTAGTTGCTACCCCCCAGGATTGGGAATTAGTCAGGTATGTTCACGTTCACTAGTTCTATTTAATATCATACTGGAAATCCTAGAAAGTGATGTGGGACAAGAAAAAGAAAATATTCAAATTGAGAAGGAAGAGATAAAACTACCTCTCTAGACAACATGATGTCTACATACAAAATCCCAAGGAATCTACACAAAAGTTCTTAGAGCTATTAGTAATTTTAGCAGATGCAAGGTCAGCATTCAAATATCGATTGTTTTCTATTCACTAGGAATGAACAATAGGGAACCAATCATTTGTATAAGTATCATTTATAATACTCTCTCAATAAAATACTTAAATATAAATCTAAGAATATATGTGCATAATCTGTGCACTAAGATTTTAAAAAAATAAAATTCTGAAGTAAAAAAAATCAAAGAAAATGTAAATAAATGGAGAGATAAACTCTGTCCATGAACTGAAAGACTCTATATAGCAAAGATGTCAACTCAAACTCTGTCCATGGATTGGAAGACTTATGTAGTTAAGATGTCAATTTTTCCCAAATTACTCCACAGAATTAATGCAATCACAATAAAAATGCCACCAAGATTCTTTATAGATACAGAACAGTGAATTCTAGAATATATATGTAAATGTAAAGGAACAAGAATAAACAAAGATTTTTCTAAAGGAACAGAGTTAGAGGACTCACACAATCTAATATTAAGATATACCACAGTAATTGAGACAGTGTAGTATTGGTGATATGTAGACCAACCTAACAGAACAGGAAGTCTAGAAAAAGACCCACAAATGTGGTCAATTGATTGTTTTTGTTGTTGTTGTTTTGAGACAGAGTCTTGCTCTGTCACCAGGCTGGCGTGCAGTGACGCAATCTCAGCTCACTGCAACCTCCGCCCCCAACCAGATTCAAGCCATTCCCCTGCCTCAGCCTCCCAAGTAGCTGGGAGTACAGGCACACACCACCATGTCCAGCTAAATTTTTTGTATTTTAGTAGAGAAGAGGTTTCACCAAGTTGGCCAGGATGGTCTCCATCTCCTGACCTCATGATCTGCCTGCCTCAGCCTCCCAAAGTGCTGGGATTACAGGCATAAGCCACTGTGCCTGGCCGGTCAACTGATTTTTAACAAAGATGCAAAGGCAATTTAACATAGAAAGTTTAGGTGTTTTCACCCTAGAAGAAAACCTAGGCAATACCATTCAGGACATAGGCATGGGCAAAGACTTCATGACAAAAATGCCAAAAGCAATTGCAACAAAAGCCAAAATTGACAAATGGAATCTAATTAAACTAAAGAGCTTCTGCGCAGCAACAGAAATTATCATCAGAGTGAACAGGCAACTTACAGAATGAAAGAAATTTTTTGCAATCTACCTACATGATAAAGGTCTAATATCTAGAATTTACAAGGAACTTAAACAAATTTACAACCCTATCAAAAAATGGGCAAAGGATATGAACAGACAGTTCTCAAAAGAAGATCTTTACACGACCAACAAATGTATAAAAAAGAAAGCTCAACAACACAGATCATCAGAGAAATGCAAATCAAAACCACAGTGAGATACCATCTCATGCCAGTCAGAATGGAGATTATTAAAAAGTCAGGAAACAACAGATGCTTGCAAGGGTGTGGAGAAATAGGAATGCTTTTACCCTGTTAGTGGGAATGTAAATTAGTTCAATCATTGTGGAAGATAGTATGGCAATTCCTCAAGGATATAGAACCAGAAATACTATTTGACCCATCAATCCCATTATTGGGTATATACCCAAAGGATTATAAATCATGCTACTATGAAGACACATGCACATGTATGTTTATTGCAGCACTATTTACAACAGCAAAGACATGGAACCAACCCAAATGCCCATCAATGATAGACTGCATAAAGAAAATGTGTTACATATACACCATGGAATACCATGCAGCCATAAAAAGGAATGAGATCATGTCCTTTGCAGGGACATGGATGAAGCCAGAAGCCATCATCCTCAGCAAACTAACACAGGAACAGAAAACCAAACACCACGTGTTCTCACTCATAAGTGGGAGTTGAACAATAAGAACACATGAACACAGAGAAGGGAACAACACACACCAGGGCCAGTTGAGGAGTGGGGGGCGAGGGGAGGGAACTTAAAGGATGGGTCAATAGGTGCAGCAAACCACCATGGCACATGTATACCTGTGTAACAAACCTGCACATTCTGCACATGTATCCTCCCTTTTGTTTTGGAAGAAATAAATAAAAACAAAAAACAAAGAAAGAACAACAACAAAAAAAGAAAGTTTAGGGTTTTTCAATGAATGGTGCTGGAAAAGCCTGATACCCATATGCAAAAACATAAACCTTGATTTTATGTCATACCATACACATACATAAATTAACTCAAAATGGGACATGAAAAATATAAAACCATAAAACAGAAGAAAATACAGAAGAAAATCTTGTAACTTTTGGTTAGCTGATTAGTCCTTTGATATGTATGACACCAAAAGCATATCCATTAAAGAAAAAACGATAAATTGGCCGGGCATGGTGGCTCATATATTCTTAGATTTATATTTAAGTATTTTATTTTAGTGTAATCCCAACACTTTGGGAGACTGAGGTAGGCAGATCACTTAAGGCCAGGAGTTGGAGACCAGCCTGCCCAACATGGCAAAACCCCGTCTCTACTAAAAAATACAAAAATTAGCTGGGTGTGGCACACGCCTGTAATCCCAGCTACTCGGGAGGCTGAGGGAGGAGAATTGCTTGAACCTGGGAGGCGGAGGATGCAGTGAGCCAAGATGGCACCACTGCACTCCAGCCTGGGTGACAGAGTGAGACTCTGTCTCAAAAAAAAAAAAAAAAGAGAAAATATAAAGACCTGATCAGCAATTTCAAATGCTGCAAGTATGATAAACACTGTAAATTATTTCTTATGTTTAGTCATTACAATGTCATTGACAATGCTAGAAAAGCAATTTTGCAAGAGGCAGGAATATGTACAGAAGCTAGATTATAAATACTGGAAAATTAATGGAGAAAATGAAGTAGAGGCAATGCATGTACACTACCAAACTGGGAAGTCTAACTGTGAAGAAGAAAGATAAAGGAGGCTATTGGGTCAAAAAGGTGATTATTTTTAGGTTTGCTTGATTTTTTTTTAAGTGCAGCATTCATAAGTGCTGGCAAATTGTTGAAACAATCGTAATTGAATCGGGCAGTTTATTCAGGGTCATGTAATATATGGTTTTTGAGCAGAGATTTTAGGAAAAGAAGGGGATGAGCTTTAGGATAAAAGGGAAAATAAAGCATTCTAAATAAAAGACGATCAAGTGAGAGCTACATGCAGATAAGTTTGGAGATATTATTGCTTTCACTCTCATTTCCCACCACTGTCAATCCAGCAGTGAAACTTGTCAAATCAGCCTTCCTGATTCCCTAAAACCACCCTGACTCCAAGATCTACACTAAGAAAATGTGCCTCCTTCCTAAGGTTCAGTTCTGACTATTGACTTGACGTTAATACTGGCTTTAGTAGTCAAGAAAGATTTAAGAAGTTCAAGTTTTCAACCTGAGAAACTGATTGCAGAAAAAAGAAGTTCAAGTTGATTAGGGGGCTCAGTATGAAGTCAATATTGCTTCTAGTTTTTCTCTGATAATTATTTTGCATTGTTACTGTTTATCCTTAATTTTGGCAACTCCACTTAGGCTGCTATGTGGTAGGAGAGAAAGGAGTGGATGAGTAGGCAATAAATGTTAAGAAGGGTAGAAATAGGAGAGAAACAAACACCTTAGGAACAAGTGGGTTAAATGGTACTCTTCAACAATAGCCTCTTCGGAAACAAAATGCAACTGTTTTAAGACAGGGTAAAAGACAGACATATTTTGTCCACATACTGTAGGCAATGGGGTTGGTAACTTATGCTTTATTGTCCATACCTACTAATCAAGTTTACATAATGTACCCTTCCTGAAATCCAAATCTCCAAATATTACACCATAATTAAAAGGATTTTTTAATGGTTCATTATTATCTACAGAATGAAATACAATTTCCTAGCATGACATCTAAGGCTATCTACAAACTATTTTCAATTTTCCATGACTTACCTTCCCTTAACTGCTCCCACTTACACCCTGTATCACCAGCAGGTTGGTTTTTGTTCCCTGAAAATGTTCTACAATTTTTGGTTCAGCTCCTTTGCTCTCAGTGTTCCCTCTATCTGTATTATTTCCTCTATACCACCATCCTCCCCAAACATCTATTAAAATCCTACTTAACATCCATACCTAGTTCAGATACACTGGCCACACATCCGTACGTGGTGGGGCCCTGGATACATCAAGGGCAAGATGATCCACTGGGACAAAAGTAGAAAAGTGACCCCACTTAGCCCTTCTTTAGAATCACAGGGCAGCATCTTTAGATTTTAAAGTTTCCTGTCTGCCTGTCTGGCATTTTGATTCTGTATCCTGTACCCACCCATTCTCCTCTCCCCTCCACCAGGAGATACTGTTGTTAATATATGAATAGCTACCGTTTCATAAGATTTTGCCACATATCAGCCACTATGCCAATTACTTTATAAACACTATCCCATTTAATCCATAAATTATTAACTAATACTCATATTACACCAATGGGAAAACTCAGGCTAAGTGACTTTCTTAGGATTACATGACTAGTAAGTGGTACTTGGAGTACACAAAACCAGGACTGTCTGAGTGTAAAGCCTGCTGTCTTTCACTAAGTTACACTGGGGCTGAGTGATTTCCCTGCCACTCAGGTGTCTTTGCTGTGGAGGAATTAACGGGTCTGAAGACTGAAGCTGGGAAGAAGCAGCAGGGAAGACTGATCTGAGCTTTCAGGGAAAAGAGTGAAGTTGGACTTTAAGGTTTTTATATTGTCAAGACAATTTACAAACACAGGAAGAGAAAGAATGACAAAGAGGAGAACTCCTAGCTGGAAAGAAGAGAAAAAAAAATTGGATGCAAGTAACTGCATTTATATATCTTGAGAATTTAAATAATCAGCAACAGTTAGAGGTGCAAATGCAACAGAAGCTAAAAGAAACTTAGTATCTGGAATAGTTGACAAGATAAAACCCCAAAATCTGAGAGCTGCAATCAAAGAGCCATCTTCTCTACTAAATTGAATTAGCTCAGTTATATAGCGCTTCTCAACAATAAAAAGTCCATTAAAGAACAGAAATTTAAAAATAAGTTTTACACACTATTAGTCTTCCAGTTTATATAACTTAATACTGTATACTAAGTTTTTATTAATAGGAAATGAAGGAATTCTGAGGGCCAAGCCATGTAGAAATAGCCTATAAACCAGACAGGCAGAGGGACCCAGCAGAGACTAGCAAAGTCTGTAAGTCATCACATTCCATCAGAAATATCCAGATGAAACCAGATGAAAAAGCACTTTAACAATACTCCTAAACAACTGCTAGGACCACGGAACTCAGAAACACAGCAAGGTAAGCAACGTGGATATTTCTATTAGTATTGATATAATACTCTGTTTCTCAGTAGTAGGAGGAATTTGAATTAGCCCGTCAGTCTTGAATCCTAACCATAAATAAAATAAAGTAAAAAAACAGCTTTGTTATAAGAGGATCCCATGACATGTTCCTTGTGATTTGGAAGGAACCTTTCCTGGTGCCTTCTCTGAAGACAGCAGAGAAGGAAGAAAATTAACAATTTCTAGGACTGATTAAGTCAGAGTGGAAGAGAAGCAGTAAAGACATCAATTCTAAGAAGGATTAAGGATGAAATGATACCTGTGTGAATGTGTGAAGTTTACATGGATAGTAACATTTCCTTCTATGTCATTAATATTAATATAGGCACTCAGTACCTATCTATGAAAGAATGAATGTGGAATCTAATACTGGTTAATGTATAGTACTTATACTCCTTCATAAATTATGTTGTATCTAAATATCTCTGAGCATTTGCTGTGTGTCTCCAAACAGGCTGTTATCGTCTTGAGGGCAAGGAACATTGTCGTTTTCAAATGCCTCAAGGGACACAGTAGAGGCTTCACCAGTGAGCACTTGATAAATGCTGATGAATGACTTTAATATTCTTCTTTCTGGTCAGAAACATTTTTTAAATGAATTTATATCAGAAAGTATATCATCACATCATGATCAATTTTTGTTTTAATTAAAGGCCACAGATTTTTATTTGAATTAAAGGAGACTCAGAACTAGTTAGAAGCTGTTATTTTCTTCTGAAAAGCTCCTGATTTTACCTATACCCTATTTCCACACTCCCAGATAAGGAAACTGTGCATGATGGCAAAACCCTGTTTGGACAGTGAAGAAAAGTGACAGCAAGAAGAAATGTAAAACCTCAGAGAGCACTAACGACTAAACATCAGAGGTTTAGACAGGGTCACGTTTTTCTTTTTCTTTCTTTTTTATTTGTTATAAGAAAAGTTCAAACATACACAGAAGTAGAGACAATAATATAATAAACTCCCATGTACCCATAACTCAGCTTTAAAAATTATCAAAACAAGGCCAATCTTTTTTCCTCTATAACCCTACCCCACTATTCTTTCCAGATTATTTGTGAACAAATCTCTGAGACCATTTCATTTCATCTTAAATGTTTTCAGTATGTATTTCCAAATAGGCAAGAACTTCTCTTTTTGAAATTTAACCTTACTCTTCCCAAATCAACAATATTTAAACAGGACCATCTTTGACTGGGAAATATACCAGCACTATGCTCAGTATCTGGGTGACAGGATCATTCACAGTAAACCTCAGCAACACACAGTATAGTCAGGGAACAAACCTGTGTATGTACCTCCTGAATCTAAAATAAAAATTGTAAAAATTTTATAGCAGGATACCCAGTATCCTGCTATAAAAATTTATTTGGGGTAGCACAGTAAAAGCTTTTGGAATGCAATTTACGATACATATCAAAAGTAATAAAAATTTAATTCCCATTACTTATGCCACTAATTATGTAATTCTTCTAGGTACTTATGCTGAGGAAATAATCCAGATAATGGAGGAAAAAAAATCTGTGGGTATCAAAATGCTCATTAGAATATTAGTGATAGTGAAACAATTTTAGATTTATTGAACCAGGGTAAAGACAGGGAATAGTATACGTAACCAATAAAATTTTTTTTTTTTTTGAGACGGAGTCTCCCTCTGTCACCCAGGCCGGCGTGCAGTGGCACAATCTCGGCTCACTGCAAGCTCTGCCTCCCAGGCTCATGCCATTCTCCTGCCTCAGCCTCCCAAGTAGCTGGGACTACAGGCGCCCGCCACCGCGCCCGGCTAATTTTTTGTATTTTTAGTAGAGACGGGGTTTCACCGTGTTAGCCAGGATGGTTTCGATCTCCTGACCTCGTGATCCGCCCGCCTCGGCCTCCCAAAGTGCTCGGATTACAGGCGTGAGCCACCACGCCCGGCCAAATATTTTTAAAGCTATAAATAGGGGAAAGTGTTAAGTGAATAAAAGATGAATTTTATTTATACTATTATGATAACTTTGTGAAGATACTTATGCATATAAACAAATTTTGAAAAAGAATAACAAAAATCAAAAGTGAAATGGTAGGTTTATGGGTGTTTTTCCTCCTCTATTTAAAAAAGTGTATATGTTACTGGTAATAAGTATATATTTAAAAATCGTTTTACCAAACCGTTCACTTTTAATTTCTCCATAATGTACCATCTATCAAAGTATAAATCATATATTGCATTCTCCATGAAGCTTTCTCTAATCACCTTGATATTAATTTCTAAGTTCAACAGCACTTGACAGTCAACGCACTACTGTTATTCACGAAAGTACCCTGAAGAGTTGTATTTGAACATATGATGATCAGTACATTTTCATTTTGTAAGGTAGTTCCTTTTCTGAAAAACTAAAACAACTGTATGATGTCATTAAATAAAACTTAACTTTTAGACACAATTATCAGCATATTTCTACCATATCTTAGATGCCCTTTAATCTTAAATGTTGACTTCTCAATTCAAAAAAATTAACAAGGTTAGGTGCAGTAAGCATCCATCTCAAGCTAACCTTTGTCTCCATTTTCATTTCTTAAGGTGTGCTGACCAATGACATCAGCACTTTCAGATGTTTTTTGTCATTTTTTAATAAAATAACAAGTCAAAAATTTCCAAACTTTGTTTTAGCAACAGAACTCTCTCATCAAATAAAATTTTACCTACCCAGAGCCCAAATGTGTAGAGCAAGAGAAAGCACAGCTGCTCCAGTCCAGCAAAGGCCCAGGTGAAAAATGGGAGACCCAGAGACCAAGAGCTCCACCTGCTGTCTAGCAATTCCCAATGGGCTGCTCCAGGGCACTACAGAACCCATTTCATGGATAACTACAAGAAAATATTCAAATAATAGCACAAACTCTGTACAAAAGTGGATGGTAATTCCCCAAGTGGAACTTTTCACCAACAGGAAGCACCATCATGTGACAATTCAAATTATGTAAAAGTTCAAACTTACCATACAATAGGTGTAGTTAATTAGAGCTGGATTAAATATACCACTTGCTGTTGGTGCTACAATCTTTGAAAGTGACAGGTCATCAATGAAAATGGAATAAGATGGAGAAAGTATATGGCTCAGAACTCCTCTCGGGCACAATATTATGGGTTGTTTGTAAAATATCACTTGAAGCTTGCCTGAGTAACAACTACGATCTTTAAGAAGGGTGACTCCAAATAATTGCAGGGCTTTTGTTTTGCTGAGTGGAGTAATCACTTTGGGAGTCAGAACTAAATTGTTAAGGGCAATAGCGAAAATACTGCACACTGCCAACTATGGTTCTCCATGTGGTGCCCAGCCTCTCCTCAACTGTCAAGCACATATCTAAGAATACTTGAAAGGTTACAAATTGTTAACCTTACTAGATGACTAAATGTCTCCACATGGCCACAGTGCCAATATATTATATATTAAAGTGTGGGTTGTTTAAAACAAATTTGCACAAGTCAAATACCAAGTGTACCTTTAATTTTGTACGACATATTACTTTCAACTTGATATTACAGTTATAAATCTGTCTTAACTTCCTAACTAGATTAGAAATTCCAAAAAAGCAAGGACCATGTCTTTTTCATCTTTGTATGCTTTGCAGAGTGGTGCTGGCATATGACCTTACACGTGGTAAGTACTAACCTATTAGATGAATTGTTAATGAATCAATAATTGCCTTCTTCGCTAAGCTCTTCAAACTTCACCTGTCCAAAACACAATTCAATGGTTTCACTTTCAATCCCCACCTCTCCTCTTCCTAATTCCCCAGTGCTTCTTATCTCATTTGGGGTGTAGAAATAACCTTGAGCTGTATTCAGAACTGGAGCTCAGACATACCTAAGCAGGTATGGTGGCAGGCCTGCTGAAGATATGTTAGCACAAGAAAACCCTCCCCACTCCCCACCCAAGGAAAAAAGCTAGGAAGGTAAGTCTGACTCAGAATAAAAGTCCTTTTTCATTATAAGGGAAACATAATTCTTAGCACATCATAACATTTCTTTAGCCAAACTCGTTATTGGAACGAAGTCATGAACTGATGTCTAGATCCCACGAAAAAGAGTCTAAGCGCAAGTGCAAGAGCAAGACTACTTAAAAGGAGGAAAAACATTACTTTAGTAGTTGAAAACGTACAATGTCTTACACTTTGATTTCTAGTAAGACTGAACTTTTCCCACCATTTTATTAGATACTATTTTTTGTACTCTGTTCAGGGTGGTTTGCTCATTTATATATTAGATTGTCACTGCTTTTTGAAAATAATAACAATACTTTTTTTGCATTCTCTCCAGCTTGTTTTCAGTTCTTTTTACATTGGCCATCTTTGTTAGTCAAATTTTTGCATGTGCTTTTTTTTTATTGGTTTTAGGCTTATAAAGTCCCACTCCATACCGATATTTGAAAATTATCCATTTTCTTCTAGCTATTATTTAATTTTCTACATATATTACACTAACAATTTTGTTATTAATTTTTAACTCCAAAGTCTAGCCCATGACTCAAGACCATTTATGGAGTAATAATTTCGATTATTATTGATTTGAGATTCTACAATTTATTATTATTAAACAGATAGAAGGGTCTGCTTTGGGGACTAATTTGTTCCATTAATTCACTGACTCTTGTACCTGTACCATACTGTTTACTATTTTGTTTTTATGGTGTTTTAATACTGGGGGGAGAAGAGTTCTATTTTATTTTCTGAAAAAAAATAAGGCTCACCTGTTCAGTCTTTCAGATACATTTTACGATTAATTCGTGAAGTTGTGCTAAAACAATGAGTTAATTGAAAAGGAGCCGACCACTTGGAAGCATTCTGCCTCCCATCCAGGAGGAAGGTTCATTTCTCCATTTGTTTATCTTGAGGTAGACAGAACCACCCACCTTTTCTGGAAACTATGCCTTCATATAATGGCATATGATAGCTGCTAGAGATATTTTGAACTTTTTCAGGATAAGAAAACTCCTCTCACCTAACTGTCTGAAAAGGAATATAGCTAATTTTCTCCTGTCAGTCAGAAACTAGAGTTTTCACTTCATAATAAGATCTGAAAACCGGGAGTCAAAAAAGACAAACGTTTAATGGAAAATTACTAGAAGAAAAAAGAAAATTCAAAGTCCAAATCTGTGCTTAGCAAATTACAGTTTCCAACCCATTGTAAGTTTAGAGAATATTTACTGGATCATCAACAAGCAATTTCTTTAAAGGGAATTGGATTAGGAAATTTTCTAAGTATTGTTTTGTGGAAATGTGTGTCTGTTACATGTGTGCATGCCTGTATATATGTGTATGTGTGCTGGATTTGAATCAAGGATAAAAATTAATTTCTGACCATGGTAGTTTATTTTACCAGGAGGTTCCAGTGCATTTTTCTAAATCTAACAACATACATGGTTATTTATGTTCCTAAACCATTTCAGAAAAATTTTCTCTTTTCCGTTGCCAACTTATATCCATACGATTTGGAGGATAGGTTATTTTCAGGTTTACTTTCTTGAAAGAAAAAAATCTTCATTCCTACATTCCATACTTCTGAGGTTCCCCTTAAGCAGAATAAGAACCGTAGTGCTAGAAGACATACGGTCCAAATTAATTACGATATTATTTACTCAAAAAGAGGCTGTGCCAGATTCCACATGGATATGGATAAAGAACTCCATTTTTTCTCTCTTTTCTCTCAAGAGTGTAATTTAAAAAAAAAAAGTACCAGCCACATAGGAAGGCTACTCAAAGTATGCATATTGAGTAGCATCGTGCTCTTACTGGCTCAAATTTAGATTTTTCACCCAAATAAACACAGAAGAGCATGACTGTTAGGTACTGTAGGCCAAAAGGACAAACACTGAAGTCTCTTGTCAAGTTTATTTTATTCATTCTATGATGTACTCTCAGTACTTTTTTTTTTTTTGAGACAAAGTCTCGCTCTGTTGCCCAGGCTGGAGTGCAGTGGCACCATCTTGGCTCACTGCAACCTCCACCTCCGTGTTCAAGTGATTCTCCTGCCTCAGTCTCCAGAGTAGCTGGGATTACAGGCATGCACCACCACACCCAACTAATTTTTGTATTTTTAGTAGAGATGGGGTTTCGCTGTGTTGGCCAGGCTGGTCTTGAACTCCTGGCCTCAAGTTATTCACCTGCCTGGGCCTCCCAAAGTGCTGGGATTACAGGCCTGAGCCACCATGCCCGGCCCCTTATTCTTTAATACTTTTGTAAAATGGCATTTTTTTTCTGACGTTCACTCTAGTTTATCTAAATAATGCCCAAGTGCGATACTATTTAGACTATTCTAAATAATTTAATTTATAAGCTTTGCAAATGGAGAATAATCACATGATTATCTGATTAACACTGTGCCCTGTATAGTGCCTACCTTCTCCCCACATGAAATTTTAATCCAAAGAGTCTTGAATATATACTCTTATCACAAGAAAAAATTTGTTAAAGATTCTAGCATGATATACATGTTGCCTTTGGATATCCTTTAGGTTTAGAAAACAAATAACTTGCCTGTAGAGATATATAAAGTGACTTGAATATTTTAAGTTAAAATAACCAAGTATTGAAATACAAAAAACAGCCCTGTAAATTTAGAGATGTTAATATTTATCTGGCCCTGACTAGAGTTTAACTCCAAATGCTAGAGAAATCAGTCTGGTAGGTGTGGTCAATGTGGTGACTAGGGGTTCGGGAAACTAAGGAGCACTAGTAATCAAGAGCTAAGCATTTCAAATTGGGGTCTGTTTCAAATAAAAGTTATTAAATATTACCTAGAAATAATCACGCTTATTAATAAACAGATGCTTGACAAACGATGAATATTTCTCACCACCACAAAATCTAATAACTTAATTTATCCATCAAAGGGTTGTATTCTGTTGCCTACACTTTCCATACACTGACTCCAAATTTCATAAAAATAACTGTTTTAAAGAACCTGCTGAGGGCGGGCACAGTGGCTCACGCCTGTAATCCTAGCACTTTGGGAGGCCAAGGCAGGTGGATTACCTGAGGTCAGGAGTTGGAGACCAGCCTGGGCAACATGATGAAACCCTGTCTCTACTAAAATACAAAAATCTAGCTGGGCATGGCAGTGTATGCCTGTAATCCCAGCTACTCGGGAGGCTGAGGCAGGAGAATTGCTAGAGCCTGGGAGGCAGAGGTTGCAGTGAGCTGAGATCGCACCACTGCACTCCAGCCTGGGTGACACAGCGATACTCCCTCTTTTAAAAAAACTTGTTGAGTGTTCTGAGGAATTATCCTTAGACAGCATCTTGCTTCTTTGCTATGCATGAAGAAAAAGATTTCCTAGTCCCTTCTACACAGTTAGCAGACATTTTTTAAGACTTTCAGTAAAAATTTACCATTTTATTTTTCAGCGATCATATTGGAAATATGGCCCAAAGTGACTTCCTTTACCCAGAGAACCCAAAAAGGCGGGAAGAAGTAAATCGTCTTCACCAGCAGCTTCTTGATTGCTTATCTGACAGCTTCGATGTCACCAATAAGCTGACTGAGGTTCTAAATATGCACTTGGGGTGCAGGCTGGCCTCCATTGAGATGAAAAGAGATGGGACCATCAAAGAAAACTGTGACCTCATCATCCAAGCCATTATGAAAATCCAAAAGGAATTGCAGAAGGTTGATGAAGCACTAAAAGATAAGCTAGAGCCAACCCTCTATAGAAAACTTCAGGATATTAAGGAAAAGGAAACAGACAAAATTGCAATAGTGCAAAAGGTTATTTCGGTCATCCTGGGAGAAGCTACATCTGCAGCCAGTGCAGTCGCTGTTAAACTTGTGGGCTCAAATGTCACAACTGGCATAATTAACAAGTTGGTCACTGTGTTAGCTCAAATTGGTGCTTCTCTCCTTGGTAGTATTGGAGTTGCTGTTCTTGGCCTTGGCATAGATATGATTGTCCGTGCCATCCTGGGAGCAGTGGAAAAAACACAGCTTCAAGCAGCCATCAAAAGTTATGAGAAGCATCTGGTGGAGTTCAAATCAGCCTCAGAAAAATATAATCATGCCATTACTGAGGTCATCAATACAGTGAAACACCAAATGAAATGAACAGCCGTTTTATTTGCCACTGAAGTGTTTTTCTGCTTCCTTTTCAGTAACAGTGTTTGCTTCTTTGATTAGGTTCATTTTCTATAGGCTTCCAATATGGACTTAAATAAGATAAACAATTTGGAGAGGGAAACTGGAGATGCCAAGACTAGATGACTAGATGAGTTTTGAGTCAACAATGCCTGGATCAGCTGATGCTAGACCCTGTGAGGTAAAAAAATTTTCTCCCTGGATGTTTTCACACCCTGCTCTACCAGATCAACATTGGGGTAAATGCTATCGTAGAGTAGCAAGTATAGGGGTTACTTTTCTCTTTTCTAATTTCAGTAAAATTCTTAAATTTCACATTGAATGCAGAGACTTTCATTTCTACCACCAGCTTCAAACATCATTTAGTTATAAGGGGACATACTCAGTAACTTCTGCCTAGACACAAACTCTAGGCCTTCGAATGAGACAGAAATACTACCATATTTTTGACCATCAGAGTAAATCTGGTTTTCTGTAAACTAGAAGAGACTGAAAAATGGTTTGTAACAATGTGCTTCAATTAGGACAGGAAGCTGATCTGTAAACGTCTACTGATTACACAATGTAAACCGGATGGATTTGAAAATGGTAAAAATCAAAACTAAAAACATCAAGGTCCTGTTTCAGTCACTGCAATCAACCCTGACCAACTGTGATAATTAAATATCGCTCAAGTGAATGTTCAAACACTGAAACATTTAGAAGACAAGAAAGCAAAACACAGCTACACATATTGCATTTAGGATGCAGAATAGAAGGTCACTACTCAAAGCATTTGTCATTTAAAAGAAAGTCATAATTTATTATAAGCTTTCAGAAAAAAGAATATAATTTCATTTTCAACACTAGCAAAAAGGAGGCAGCTGCCTTTGCTACATGACGCATTAGGTGGGCCATTTCACTAATTACCTGATTTTAGAAAACGCCAAAGGCTATGGAAGCCTATTAATGGTTCCGCTGAATCTCTGCAGATGTGTTTGTTTTCTAAATCCTTTGCCAACCAATAATTCCCATGAGGACTCTTTTAGTCTATACTGACAAAATTATTAATATGCTGTTGATGCCAGACTGTGTTTGTTATAGTTGATTCTCCCATCCAAGTACAAGAAATGTATTGAAATAAAAACTGCTCAGCATATCTTAAAAATAGTAGCTACATATAAAATTTTAGCTACATGAAAGACTTTAATATTTCCAACATACACTGTTTTCTCTTTCTCTTCTTGCATTGTTTTTCAAAACGAGTTGCAAAACTATGATCACTAATGTGTTAGGAAAGAAAAAAAACTAGTTGCAAAACATTACAACTTAGCTCACCTTCGCAGTTCAAGATTATTTTCTTTTTTATGTACTACCTGGTTTATCAGCTTTAACCTACAATATCTCGTCATTGCTTTCTGACACTCAAATTCAGTCTAAAATCAAATCAAGAATTTCCTAACACAAAGGTAAGTTTAGGTATAGGACCGATCTTATACCTTCAAGGGCAGTTTAAAGATTCTGCTAAAAATTAGTATGTATCTCCATCAATATTTTGAAATATTTATAACTGGTGGTAAGAATAGCCTTCCTACATGGGATAGTCAGGTTAAGATTAGAAATAACCAAGCGTATCCTCTAAGATAGTTTTTTAAATGTTTAAACTTACCTTTAAGGGAAATAAGTGGGGGCTGACTCACGGAAAGAGGGGATAGAAGGTAGGGAAAGGGCGAAGGCTAGAGTTAAGTGAAGAATCCCGTACGTAGAGTGACATCATAGAGGACTTTTGGCTGGTGAAAAGACCAGTCGGGAATATAGCCAATATATATCAACCTTGCCACTCATATAACTTAAAACCGACTGCATATGTATCCCCGTATTTCTTCTTCAAAACACTACTAACAAATAATAAATCACCGCCCATATAAGCAATCTGCGACTCTAATACGGGTGCTAATTTATTTGTTCAGGTGGTCTACAAACGTTCTGTTCTGCCTGTCTATTAAATTTCCACACGTACTAGGCGCTCACATGGGATAACCTGATGCTTACAAAGCGGATTAAACTCAGTGGCAAATGTTATCTGGGTATTCGTTTACACACGGAGACACCCCTAAAGGATCGCACCTGCTTGGGTCATAAGAAACAGAAAAATGCAAAAACTAAGGTAATTCCAAAAGACAGAAAACGCAGAACGCTTCTTTATCTGCAGAATGTACCGTTCTCGGACGGCTCAACGTACCAGGCTCCCAGCAACTAAGTCAAGATGCCTCCAACTCGAGAGACAGGACCGTCAGCCACTCAGTTAGCAGCTATCTTCTTCTAATTCCTATTGTACTAGATGAGCGCAATGAGGCGGGCTCTTAGCCGACAACCAACCAATTGAGTATTGTATGGAACCGGAAGAGACTCTGGTCCTGGAATTCTTGGGTATTCTCTATGGTTCCAGGGTCAAGCGGCGCTAAGAGAAGGCGGGACAGAGGAATGGGAAATGACGTGAGGAGTGCGGAGGGGCGCGAGGTTTCAAGATGGCGGTAGCTGAGGGGTTGACCGAGAGACCCAGTTGAAGGCCTTTACGAAGTGAAAGAGGCCGGGAGTCGCCCCCTACCCGCTTCTCGTAGTCCTGGGAGCACAGCAGAAGTGTGAGTGTATTGAATTGATTTACTACTCTTCCTCACCTCTTTCGTCCCTTCCACGTCCCGCGCAGCGGCTTGGGGGACACCCAGCCCCTTTGCCCCGCTCCTCCTCTCCCTGGTTGAGGTCTCCCTGTTGCGGACTGGGCTATTCCTGGGCCTGGGGTGGCGCGGCGACCAGTGGTTGCGCGGTTGGCATCGCCCGGGTCGGTTGGGGCCGCTTCTTACGCACGTTGATTAGTAGCCTTAGGTTTGACGTCTTGTACCTCGAGTCATGGTCGGTCAGCCGTCGCTATGGTTTCGTCAGTTGCTGGTGTTGCCTCCTTTGGTGAACCTGGACCCTATCCCATTGAAGCTTCTTTGGCTGTTTAGAGTTATCCAACGCTTATTTGGCTTGATTTTCCAGTCGCCTCCGCTTGTAGACAAAAAACTAATCTGCAGACTTAAGCTCCAGTGTCTTCCGTAAAATTCTCTGTAATTCGTATCCGTTGTGTTTCATTTGTGGGGGAGGAGATTCAGAACATGAGCCTGAGGAAACTTGAGAAAGGAAAGCACAAAAAACGCAGGCAATCAAAGATGGGAGAGCTTGTATATGTACTGATTTTGCTTGTTTTCCTCCTTCCCTACCTCCTACTCCCTGCTGCTCTCCCACCCCCCTAACCCCCCCATCCCCAGTTTTTCTTAGAAGGAAACCACTTGACAGGGTGTATGGTAGCTAGGCCAGGAATATGGATCCATTATAAAGATTTTAGTTAAGTAGTGAGTCAAACATCACAGGATATTTTATTTGTAATCTCATTGTATCATCAGAGCTTTGTTATAAAGTAATTGATGTCCCCATTTTTTAGATGAGGAAGCTAAAAATCAGAGCCTTTGATACCGCTGTCTTGAAGTAATTGCCACCAGAACAGCTGTGAAACATCTGGCTTTCTGAAACATCTGGCTTTCGGGGCAGTTGGACACTTGGTGAAAGAGACATTAACTGTAATAAACTGGGCTGACAAAATCTTCCCTTTCTTACCTTTAAAAAGTGTCTACTTGCAAAAGGAAGCAAATTTGTCCGCCTTTATTACTGGAAAGACTGCGCTTCAAAAAATTAAGCCCCATTATTTTGGAATAAGAGGAAGAAGTCATGTAATAGGGTACTGTGTTAATAAAAGTTTTAGCTTACAAAATATTTTTTCCTCAAACAAAAATAAGTATTCCCTTTAATTACCTTAAGAAATATATATTGGGAGTCAGGTCTTAGTAAGAAAAATATGTGTCTTAATATTTAAGTTTTGGGGAGCTCTCAGTATAGCACTAATTTCAAATATTTGCATTTTTAGTTGTGTTTTGAACTCTTGAGAGTCAAGCATTATATCTGAACTAGAACTGAATCTGAATTAAATATGCTTAAATTAATGAGTTTTTAGTGTCTTAGAAGTATTGAGAATGTACAGCATACATGCCAAGAAAAACCATGGAGAGAGGCAAAGGTGAGGTATGTGTTTTGAGCCTAGATCCATTACCCCCATTCCCTTCTTATTCTTCTTTTACAATTACATGTTAATAAAGGGAGGTTATAGAAGAAGGACTAATGAATTCTGATGTTCATGGTTTGTGCCATATCGTTAAAGCATTTTCTAGTTGTTTTTATCAGTTGACAAAGTCAGTGCTGTGATCCATAAGAAAAAAGCTAAACTGATGACTTGAGGATATTCAAAGTGGTCTTCACACTCATCACATTTCTGAAGAATGATAGAGATCTAAATTTTCATGGTCAAGAAAGGTGATGCCATCTTTCTTGGACATTAAAGTCAAAACTAAGGAAAGAACAGTCTCACAGAATTTCTAATTAAAGGAATTTTTTTTCAGAGATTGGTAGGGACTAGAAAAAGGAAGAAATACATTTAGGAGATATAAGCTATTTCTTTGTCTTCACCTTCACAGGTTTTTCTTTTTTTAATGAACAAGTAAACCATACAAATTGTCAACATGGGACGGAGATCTACATCATCCACCAAGAGTGGAAAATTTATGAACCCCACAGACCAAGCCCGTAAGTGTCCATTAGTGTGGAATGATGAAGTAGGAGAGTGTTAAAAATTGCAAATATTAGGGAATTTCTTTCTCTGTGGCTTAATTACAAGACCAGCAGTGATAGGAGGAATAAATTATATATTCAGGGTTTGTATGGGCACATTAAGACTTTAAATATGCAAAGAAATTAGTACCCGTATTTTATTTTTCAAATTTGATTGACTTGCAAAGTAGAATTGGCTGAAATCTTTCTTTTTATATTGGAAATTTTGAGCAAATTAGTTTTGCGAGCCCTTGTTTCGCGTTTTATGTTATGTTTTTCCTTCAGATTCATAGTTGTTTTTTATGAAACATTAAACAAAAATGTCTTGACATTTTTGGTTGTCATAATTAGAGGGATGCTCTTGGCATGTAGTGGAGAGAATCCAAAGATGCTGCTCTTTTACAGTGCATACTGTAACTTTCCACAATAAAGAATTACCTGTATTAAATTGGAGGAAATGCTAATGTTCAAGATTCAAAGATTTTATTATATCTCCCTCTCTCCTTTTAAAGGAAAGGAAGCCCGGAAGAGAGAATTAAAGAAGGTATGATTTTAGAGGCATCTTATAAAACTTTAAGTATTGTTTGGTACATCTTGTGATTTGGGATTAGTGGGTTTCAGAATAACATTTCTAATATTTTCTAGAAAAGGTACTTTATGCTTTTTATAAAAACTGTAAGATATACTAAGCCAAACTTTATTTAGGAACTGAAGTAACTTTGCAGAGAAGCTCACTACAGGTTATAATGCCATTGTTTGATTACTTTTCCCAGTGAGTTAAAAAATACTTTTGAAAATAATTCTTTTTTTTACTCATTAAAACATAACTGTTTTAAAGTCTACTGATGAGGATGGAAATAAACATGATGCTAGATAGCTTTATCCATTTTCCTGATTAGCTGTCTATTACATATATTACATTAGCTTAAATATATATATGTAGGTTTATAATATTTATAGATATATTAGATTTATATATCCATTTTCCCAATTAGCATTCTCCTCTTAGCTGTTGAATTTGTGGCAAAGTACTTCAAAAGAATTAGAAAGGATTTGCCTTATAGTATTGTGCTTTATAGTATTATAGTATAATACATTGAAGCAACACAGATTTTAAATAATGTTCGATTGTGTTTTCATGTTTAGCATTAACTCCTGCAAAATTTTTAAATATTCTTTATATAATTTTAGAATTTAGCTTCAACCTTTGCTTTGGACTTCAACTAGCAGAGGTTTTACAACAGGGGGCAGGAACAATCACCCAAGGTCTTCAAGAACATAAGGGGTTAAAAAAAAGAAATTTAAAGTGTATGTGTGTTTAAGTAACTGCTAAAGATCTCAGAGTTCAAAGAAATACTTTACTAAGAAAGCACATCTTAAAAATAGCATTTCTTTATCTTTTTGACAAGTGTAAACATTTTTAAGGCAAAAAATTACATAGCTGTTTCTGGTGGTTGAAACAAGTGATCAGAAGCCAAGGAGTTATTCTGTTTAGATTCTTAAAGCAAGTTGAAGTAAAACTCCTGAGTGCCTGACTTCTTGACATCTGCCCTTTTATTTTTCTAAGAACAAAAAACAGCGCATGATGGTTCGAGCTGCAGTTTTAAAGATGAAGGATCCAAAACAGATAATCCGAGACATGGAGAAATTGGATGAAATGGGTAAGAATTTACAAACAGGCAGCTATAACAGTCTGACACGTACAGAGGCAGGCAGGTAACGAGTGAAGCAGCATAGGCGTAAGTAAAACAGAACAGCATGATGGCATTTGATGCTTGGATTTAATGTTAGTTTCAGGGAGACAAAATGGAGTGCTAGAGGGCTGTTGCAAACTGGAGACCCCAGATACCAGAATAAGAGGGAAGCGATTATTTGGCTTTCAGTTAATTGTTATTGTGAGATAACAGAAGCACAGTTTGGCCAGCTTGCTTTTTGGGAGAAGACTTAATCTGATTTATGAAATAACCTTGGGTTTTTTGTTTGTCGTCTTTTATTTAATGTTGGCAACTACCATGTAAATCTAAGTATTAGGCCCCTGTGAATATAAGGCAATTTCCAATTTTTCCAATCAGAAGATCCAAAAAGATACTTATCCATTTAGTAAGGATATAGAAAAAAATCATCAAATACCTAAAAACCAAATAATAAAATACTATACCAGGATTCTCTGCCTTTTTCACATTTTATAGAATAGTTTTATTCACTCTTCATATGCATTTTAAGTATCGCTGCTTTGTTATAACTGGAATCACATGAAATAGCTGCATGTTATCTTTTTTTGCATCTAAGTTTGAAAATCATTGATGTTGCCACTGGAAATTTTATCCTAACCCACAAATATCCATTCTGTTTAATATTAGAACATGTAGAATATTTTGTTTTTTTAATAGAAATTTTCAAACATGCAAGAAAATAAAATAGTCTAGTTAACTTCCATGTGCTTTTCACCTGTCAAGTTTCTGCCACTTTGTCTTCTACCCTTTGCCACTTTTGTAAAATAGCATTTTAAAGTGATCGTTACAAGTTCCATGTTTTGCCCAAAAACAGAGTAGTAAGTAAAAGAGATGGAATGAAACTCCTCAATGATACATTAAATGGGGTACAAAAAAAAAATTCAGTCATGGCATTAGGCTATTACAAGGTTTCTGAAATAATGTGGGAGAATCTGTGCAGCTAGCCTGGCTAAGAGTTCTGGGTCAGGCTTCAGGATCCCAGATATTTCCCAGTTCAGTTGTAACTGATTCCACTTCCTGCCTCTGGTCTAAATATCAGCAGGGATAATTACTTTCCTTGGGGAATCAGGGAATCCTTCTTTAAATGACCCCAAATGTTATGTGTTGTTTTAAAAGGAGATAATAGGAATAACTGAGGTTTCTTGAGTAGTTGTCTTGCTATACACCTACGCACCAGTTTTTTTCCACCAGTTTTCTAATCGTCACAATTTTTTAGGGTAGGTGCACTGTCCCTATTATACAGGTAAGAAAACTCAGGCATGGAGAGATTACATAGCTTTCCTCAAGGTCACACTGCTATGTAGTGGCAAAGCTGAGATTAAAACTCAGGCATTCAGCGCTTTTACTAATCACACTAGGATTAGTATGGTGTAAGAATACGCCCTCTGGATTTGAATAAATTGCCAAGATTAATAATAGTTAATAGGATTTAAGGAAGAAGATAAATTTGTTATTCTTTTAAGAAAAAGGAAAGGGGTGAAGAGAATACTATTCATCAGGGGTCTAGTTACAATTTATAAAACTCAATACAGACTAGTTAAGGCAGAAAAAAGCATGCATTGGCTGTCTTAATTAAGAAGTCTTAACATAAAAAAAAGATGAGAAATCCCTGAGAGAAACTAGCCTCAAAATCCAGTCTCATCATCAGTACTGTCCATCTGTCTAGTCTGATGTCTGTTAGCCTCATTCAGCTTACTACTAATGAACTCCTTGGGATAGAAGGTGGAATATATGTGTGTAATTAGTGATGATTGAGAGACAAGGCCACAGGCAGCTCTAGGTTTGTTTTCTCTCTACATAACACATTCAGAAAGAAAATCTGAGAGCTTATCTCTCTCACATCTACATTTAAAATCTCAGGGAATGTTCTGGTCCCAGTTTGGATCATGTGCTAATTGATCTCTGAGTCATTCACTGAAAAGGAAGATGGGGGGATATGATTGACCAGGCAGGCCTGGAGGTCTTATTCTTGGGATAGAGGACCTGCAGTTAAGCCCCATATTGACACATGATTAGTTAGGGAGAGAAAGGATTGTATAGTAGCTAGGCCAGGAATACGGATCTGTTATAAAGATTATAGTTAAGTGGTGAGTCAAACACCACTGGATATTTTATTTGTAATCCCATTGTATCATCATAGCTTTATTACAAAGTGATTAACGTCTCCATTTTTTAGATGAGGAAGCAAAAAATCAGAGAATTCAAGTAAAATGCTTAAGATCTCAAAATTTGACAGGACTAACGTAGTAGGTAAACACAAATCTGACAGAATCTTCACGAGGTTTTCAGCACAGAGCAGTGAAAATTGATTTTTATTACAATGAAGATGAAAGTCAATTAGGTGGCATTTCTGAGAAAGGTAAAATTAGTGGCCATCTAAAAAGGGTGGGGATTTTAATAAATATTGTAGTTCTTCGAATAAAATTGAAAAGAGTATGTCTGGTGTCTAGATCTCTTAAAAATTTTTTAGCATATATGGAGGTTTTTATCATGTAACCTATTGATACCTAATTGAAGTGGCCTCTTATATTTAATTCCATAATCTACTTTTTCTCTTAGAGTTTAACCCAGTGCAACAGCCACAATTAAATGAGAAAGTACTGAAAGACAAGCGTAAAAAGCTGCGTGAAACCTTTGAACGTATTCTACGACTCTATGAAAAAGAGAATCCAGATATTTACAAAGAATTGAGAAAGCTAGAAGTAGAATATGAACAGAAGAGGGCTCAACTTAGCCAATATTTTGATGCTGTCAAGGTAATCAAGGTTTTTTTTTTGAGAGATAAACTAAAATATTATACAGATTGAGTATCCCTTATGCAAAGTGCTTGGGACCAGAAGTGTTTTGGATTTAGGGTTGTTGGGTTTTTTTTATATTTTGTTTTGTTTTTGTGTATATTTGCATATATTTTGGGGATGGAACCCTAGTCTAAGCATGAAATTTATGTTTCATATACACATAGCCTGAAGATAATTTTATAAATTTTGTGCATGAAACAAAACTACGACCCATCACATTAGGTCAGGTGTGGATTTTTCCACCATGGCATCATATGGGAGTCAAAAAGTTTAGGATTTTGGAGCATTTTAGATATTCAGATTAGGGATGCTCAGCCTATACTTAGATTTAAAAAGTTAATGGGAGAATGTCATGTTGAACCTCTTCCTTATAGCAGTTTCTTCTAAAACTAAACATATACCTACTGTGTGAACCTGCAAATCTAATCCTCTTTATTTAAACAGAAGAAATTAATTCAAAAACTTGGATCAGCCTAAGTGTTCACTAATAGGATAATGGATAATTAAACTGTAGCATATTTATACAATAGAATACTATTCAGCAATAAAAGGAATAATCTAATACTCAAAACAGCATGGAATAAAAAAAGAAAAATTGTGAGTAAATCTCAAAAACATGCTAAGTTTATCTCATTGTTATGATTTCATTTTTATGAAATTCTAGAATAGTCACAGATAATCTGTGCAGGAAAAAAAAATGTAGCCGTGGTTGCCTTGGGGGATGATATTAGAGATGGATTGGGAAGGAGTATGAGGTATATGCATTTGTCAAAACTTACTGAATTTGTAAATTTCGTAAATTTTACCTCAAAATAAAGATGGGAAAAAATCAAATGCTATAATTTCTGTAAAGGAGGTAATATGTCTCCCATTTTACAGATGAAGGCACAGGTTACCTTGCTTAGTCAAACTAAGCTAATACACAACAGAAATTCAACATAGGCAAGCTAATGAGCCCAACCTCCACCACTGGATATATACTATTTGTTAGTTGACATATATTATTTTTCTTTTTTTTGTTTATTTTTTGTTTTTGAGACCGAGTCTCACTCTGTTGCCCAAGCTGGAGTGCAGTGGCACCATCTTGGCTCACTGCAACCTCTGCCTCCCAGGTTCAAGCAATTCTCCTCCCTCAGCCTCCTGAGTAGCTGGGACTACAGGCACACGCCACCACAACTGGCTAATTTTTGTAGTTTTATTAGAGATGGAGTTTCACCATATTGGCCAGGCTGGTCTCAAACTCCTGAGCTTGTGATCGACCTGCGTCAGCCTCCCAAAATGCTCGGATTACAGGTGTGAGCTACCACGCCCAGCCTGACATGTATTTTTCTATCACATGTTAAATAGGGTAGTTCTGGTGCTAGATACTTGTAACAGTTGGCTTTCTCTAGACAACAGCTGTTTCGAATCATCCAAAAAGAATTACCTGATAAGAGGAGAAAAAAAACAGCTGGGTTCTGACGTTTTTAGAAGTAAAGATTTCTTTCAGTTCTTTGACAATGTGGAAGTATTGACGTAAGGTTATTTTTCTGGGGGTTTTTGGTGATATTTATGTTAGTTGGAAAGCATGTCCAAGTTACGAAACAGCTGACTTGTCATTTTTAGTGTTTAGTTAGTAGATGACTTTTTTATCATACTACTGAATGGTTCTCTGTTTCAGAATGCTCAGCATGTGGAAGTGGAGAGTATTCCTTTGCCAGATATGCCACATGCTCCTTCCAACATTTTGATCCAGGACATTCCACTTCCTGGTGCCCAGCCACCCTCTATCCTAAAGAAAACCTCAGCCTATGGGTAAGGAAGCAGTGTCACAATCAGAGAGCATTTAGTAAAGGCACAAGTTGACTGTCCAGTGCCAAAATTAATGCAGAGGGAAATAAAAGACAATATGGATGTAAACAGTGTGACATTTGATTAAATGTAAAATAAGAAATCCCTTGAAAATTGTTTAGAAGAGAAAATAAATATCTCATTACTGTTAAGTGATTACTGTGGGGGTTTTTTTGTTTTTGTTTTTTTTTTTAACAGACCTCCAACTCGGGCAGTTTCTATCCTTCCTCTTCTTGGACATGGTGTTCCACGTTTGCCCCCTGGCAGAAAACCTCCTGGCCCTCCCCCTGGTCCACCTCCTCCTCAAGTCGTGCAGATGTATGGCCGTAAAGTGGGTTTTGCCCTAGATCTTCCCCCTCGTAGGCGAGATGAAGACATGTTATATAGTCCTGAACTTGGTGAGAAGTGACTGTTCTTTTGCTTTTATAACTATCATTTTTTATGTTGGCCCTGTTTAACATATTGTTCACCACCCTCAGAACTTAGAAAGTAAATGAGAGGGTATCATGTACATAACTAATATACATACAGTTGGATAAATCATAGGATCTTCTCAAGTAAAAGCATCATACATAAGTATAGAAATGTTTATCGTGTTTTAAATTAGGCTTTTCCTGGAGATGTCACTCTTGCTGCTAATCCTTTAAGACTTGTATATCTGGTTCCCTTTTAGCTTTATTGTCATCAGACTAGAGCGTCATTGTATACATTCACTGACTGTGTATGTGTATACAAACATGATTGTTGCTAAAGGAGGAAATGGGTTTTCAAATTAGAACTCTTTTTAAAAAAATCTTAAATTACCAAAAAGAAGTGTTTAAAATTATTGGCAGAGGAAAATTTTGTTAGACTGTATGAGTAGCTATATATACAAGAATTTTTTTTTTTTTTTTTTGGTAAGAATTAAGTTGTTACAGTCTGAGTTGAATAGCATAATTTTCTGTATTTCTGGGTACCATGTAGTGGAGGGTCCAATCATACTACTTCTCCATGTTCCCTTCCCACTTTTCAGCCCAGCGAGGTCATGATGATGATGTTTCTAGCACCAGTGAAGATGATGGCTATCCTGAGGACATGGATCAAGATAAGCATGATGACAGTACTGATGACAGTGACACCGACAAATCAGATGGAGAAAGTGACGGGGATGAATTTGTGCACCGTGATAATGGTGAGAGAGACAACAATGAAGAAAAGAAGTCAGGTATGTGCAGATGAAGGATTCATGGTATTGATCAATAAAGAGAAAACAAGCTGAAGGTCCTAATTTATTAATGAATCTGTGAGAGTACTCTGAAATCTTTGGAAGTCGGGATCATAGCTGTGTTCATCTTATATATTAAAATTTTGAAAGTTTTTGACACAGTAAGTACTCAGTGGATGTTTATGAGGAAAAGCATTAAACTGTATGTAATAAAAATGTCTATGTAATAAAGTTCACTTTGGGGTAAAAGGTATAACTATTCAACAGCATAAACGTATTATGGGTATGTTACAGGAAAGAAAGGAGAGTAGCCATATTAAGAAAAACATTGATGTTGTATTTTATAAATCTGTTTAAATATCTACCTTTGAAGCCCTTTTATGGTATCTTACATGAACCAGGATCATAATTATAACCCAGGTACACTCATGAGTGGAATCATGAAACATATTATATCTATAATGTGTGTGTTTGATTATTAAAAAATTCAAATAGGACATTTGTCAAGAAAATTTTAAGCATCATAATGGGTACTGACAGTGGAAAATGCACACCAATTCTGTCAAACCTCAGCAATTTTGGAGCTTCTTTTGGGATTGTTTATGTGGCCTACAACAGAATATATAATACTATGTAATATTAATATTGATAATGACAAATTTTTCTCCTGCTGTGTCTTAAGAATCATGGTTGCAAGAACAAAAAAGCTGGTTAAAAATGATAGAGCTGGTAATGAAAGATAATTATAGAGGACTATTAGGTAGGAACTAGGACTGGAAAGTAGAAAGCCATTAGAGCCATGGCAGCTCCATTTTTTTCTGGGTCTGTGTGGTCTCTTGCCTTCTTTTCCTTTTATTCTGCCTACAGATTTTTTTTCTTTTTTTCCTTTTTTTTTTTTTGAGACAATCTCACTCTTGTCGCCCAGGTTGGAGTGCAATGGCACAATCTCAGCTCACTGCAACCTCCATCTCCTAGGTTCAAGCGATTCTCCTGCCTCAGTCTCCCAAGTAGCTGGGATTACAGGCACCCGCCACCACACCCAGCTAATTTTTGTATTTTTAGTAGAGACAGGGTTTCACCGTGTTGGCCAGGCTGGTTTCGAACTCCTGACCACAGGTGATCTGCCCCCCTCGGCCTCCCAAAGTGCTGGGAATACAGGCATGAGCCACCAACCCAGCCAGATTTTTCTTATATATTCTCATCAACACACATGTTCTGAAAATGGCCGTCCCAACTCTGAGTTGATACTCACTCAGCTAATATTTATTGAGTTTTTACTATATACGGCATTTTTTCTAGGCACTAAGGATACAGGGTAAACAAAACTAAAGTTCTGTTCACATGGAACTATTCTCCTAAAATGTTTACCAACTAAAAATACTCCTATCCAGTGTCTAATGGATAGCCTTTGTCAGTTAAGTTCTTTTTATTCTTAGCTTGCTAATAGGTTTTTTTTAATCATAAATATTTTTTAGGTATCTGTTGGGATGTAACTTTTTTTGTTTTTTTTAAGTTCTTTAGTGAATTAGATTGCTGGCTTTTAGAACACTTGGATTCAACTTGCTTGTATTTTTTTTCCTTTTTGTAAATTTTAATTTTGATAGTTTTTGGAGAACAGGTTGTGTTTGGTTACATGGATGAGTTCTTTAATGGTGATTTCTGAGATTTTGATGCATCCCTCACCCAAGTAGTGTATATACTGTACCCAGTTTGTAGTCTCCTTTCCTTCACTCCCCTCCCACCCTTCCCCACTGAGTCCCCAAAGTCCATTGTATCATTCTTAGGCTTTTGCATCCTCATATCTTAGCTCCCACTTATAAGTGAGAGCATACAATATTTGATTTTTCATTCCTGAATTACTTCACTTAATTGCCTCCAACTTCATCCAAGTTGCTGTAAAGGCCATTATTTTGTTCCATTTTATGGCTGAGTAGTATTCCATGGTGGATATATACCACATTTTCTTTAACCACTGGTTGGTTGATGACATTTAAATTAGTTTCATATTTTTGCAATAGCAAATTGTGCTGCTATAAACATGTGTAACTTGCTTATATTTTATGTTGGCCAGTAGATGAATTTTGGTATCATGGTTAGGCTAGTTTCATGAGTTGGGTAACATTTCATCTTTTCCTATGCTCTTTATCAGATTTCTGTAACTTAATGTTTGGCTGAATTTCCTCCTAATATTATTTGTAGCCTTTAAGGAGTAGATCTTCAACTACCATTTAAGTTTTGTATATTCTGGGCTTATCACTTCTTTGGCCAACTTTAGTAATTTATCTTTTCTTGAAAATTGTTTTTATCTGGGTGTTCGTATCATTAGTATAGCTATCTCATCCTGCACCTCTGCCAAGTAGTGGGTAGCAATCATATCTAGTACTTTATAGTGCTACGTAGTAAACATTTACTGAATTTTGTTGATGCCAATCTACTCCACTCCCTCCTTTGTCCCCTTAGGTCTGAGTGTACGGTTTGCAGATATGCCTGGAAAATCAAGGAAGAAAAAGAAGAACATGAAGGAACTGACTCCTCTTCAAGCCATGATGCTTCGTATGGCAGGTGAGGCAGGGAAAAAATAGTGAATCACCTTTTGGTGTATCCTCACGCTAATTACTTTACATACGTTTTTCCATTTAGTATCTCAGCAACCTTCAAGTAAGTAATAAGTCCTTGTTTTACAAAAATAAGGTTTGGAACCATTATATAGGCTGCCTAAAGTTACACAGCAAGTAAATGGTGGGGCTGGCATTTAAATATTGGTCTGTCTGGTTTTAAAGCCTGAGTTCATTCCACTATGCTGCATTAACATAGATAAGTAGAATGTTATTTCTTTCACATCTAAGTATTTTATTGAAGAAGACTATTTGGTTTTTAATTTTGAGAACACATTTATTAACCATGTGTATTCAGTCATTGCTGTTCTCCAAACTGTAAGAAAATGAATCAACTCCATTTACTGGGTTTAAAATTTCTTTCAGGTCAAGAAATCCCTGAGGAGGGACGGGAAGTAGAGGAATTTTCAGAGGACGATGATGAAGATGATTCTGATGACTCTGAAGCAGAAAAGCAATCACAAAAGCAGCATAAAGAGGAATCCCATTCTGATGGCACATCCACTGCTTCTTCACAGCAGCAGGCTCCGCCGCAGTCTGTTCCTCCTTCTCAGATACAAGCACCTCCCATGCCAGGACCACCACCTCTTGGACCACCACCTGCTCCACCATTACGGCCTCCTGGGCCACCTACAGGCCTTCCTCCTGGTCCACCTCCAGGTAAACACTTACATAATGTGAATAAAGTTTAAATGAGGTTAGAATGAAGTCATTCCAAAAAATACTATGTGTTGTTAGTGTTCATGTTTTCTTGTTTCCTCCTAATTGGATTCTCTTAAGATGTGAAGGATTCTCAAAGGACAAGTAAAGGTTGTTCATTCCCAAACCATTGTTTGCAACTCATAGTTCTACTGACAGCCACCTGTTTTTCTCCAGAGCACTCTTGTTTTCACAGTTTTTCTTATTACAGCAGACAGAAACTTGAACATGTAATGGAGGTTTTCTTTAGTATTGCTTTTTAGTATGATAGGTTGACCTAGCTCTAAATTGGCAGCAGGTGGGAGTAAGACACAGTTAATAATGTCTTGTGTTCTTAGGTTAGGAATGTTGAATGTCAGTGTAATCTCCATAGTTTTTTAGTTGTAGTTCTTTTTTAGAGGCAAAGGTGATTAGTCTGTTTATTAAGTGTTCAGTTTGAAAGTATAAAAAGATTATTTATGAAATGAAGCAACAGAGAACTTTTCAGCTATTTGTGATTTTAGTCCTTCATCCTATTGTCAGCCTACTAAGTTTTCTTCAGTTGAGCTAATCATTTTCCGATTGGTGCAAAGCAAAGTTACCTATTTTATGTCATTCTTAGTGGTCTTTGTCTATATATTCATGAGTTTCAAGGGGTCCTTAAAGCATTGTGTTTTATATTCCATTTTCAGCTTATACTGGAACCATTTAAGAATTCTTATCACCTTTGTATATTTCCAACATTGCGGAGCTGTGATTGAATATGCTTTTTGTCAGTGTTGGGAAATAAAGTGAAAAGATCCACAACAAATCCAGTACCATTTTTCTGGTGCTCAGATATATTTTTTTTTTTAAGACGGAGTCTTGTTCTGTCACCCAGGCTGGAGTGCAATGGCGCAATCTCAGCTCACTACAAGCTCCGCCTCCCGGGTTCACACCATTCTCCTGCCTCAGCCTCCCAAGTAGCGGGGATTACAGGTGTCTGCCACCATGCCCGGCTAATTTTTATGTATTTTTAGTAGAGATGGGGTTTCACCATCTTGGCCAGGATGGTCTTGAACTCCTGACCTTGTGATCCACCCACTTCAGCCTCCCAAAGTGCTGGGATTACAGGCATGAGCCACCATGCCCGGCTGTACTCAGATATTTATTGAATGAATTCTGTTTCCATGTATGTTTCATTAACTTCTTGAAGTTAATCTGATTTCAGGTTAAAGTCAAACCATATTTGAGTTACTTTTAAGCCATAATTATTACTTAGTGTACATTTGTGTGACATTAATTTATCATTTTTCTCTTTTCAGGAGCTCCTCCATTCCTGAGACCACCTGGAATGCCAGGACTCCGAGGGCCCTTACCCCGACTTTTACCTCCAGGACCACCACCAGGCCGACCCCCTGGCCCTCCCCCAGGTCCACCTCCAGGTCTGCCTCCTGGTCCCCCTCCTCGTGGACCCCCACCAAGGCTACCTCCCCCTGCACCTCCAGGTGATGCTTTCAATTTCTATAATAAAAACTTAGCCTGCTGTTTATTTAATTTGCTCTAAGACATATGGTCACATTTCAGTATTCTGAAATCTGAGGTCATCTTACAGTCAGTGGTGGTTTTTAAGTTGCCGTTGACCTGGCTTGAAGTACAGTTCTTCCAGTGGGTATTTGCACTTGGTTCACTTGAGGAACTTGTAGCCAGAGAACATGGGATTAAATTCTCTATTTGATAATTTTTTGGTTTTAGTTGTAGTTACGAAGCCGTTTCATGCATCTGCATGAGTACCAACTTAAAGTTTAAAATTAGAGTGTTTTTTTCCCTTACCTCTACCTAATGTCAAGGTTAGACATGCAGATTTTCTTGTGGGCTTGTTTTATGTGGTAGGTATATTTCTAGTTTACAACACTGAAATGTCCCAGTTTCATGTGAATATCTGCTTTTCAGTGCCCCAGCTGGGGCTTTTTTTCCTCTCTCTCTCTCAGTGGTACACAGAATAATTATGAGTTTGTAATCAATAGGATCTTAGATTTGATAAAATGTACTTAATATTTCATTTAAAAGTGGTATTTGAAGAACTGAAATCTGCAGTTCTTGGTATATGAATATTGTGTATGTCTGAACTGTCCATAGGACATGAGTTCTTTTCCAGTAATGATGACAGATTGTGATTAGTTGCATTCTCTTACTCCATGTGCATTGTTTTTTTCTTTGAGACGGAGTTTCATTCTTCTTGCCCAGGCTGGAGTGCAATGGCGCGATCTGAGCTCACTGCAACCTCCGCCTCCTGGGTTCAAGCAATTCTCCTGCCTCAGCCTCCCAAGTAGCTGGGATTACAGGCGTGCACCACCACGCCCAGCTAATTTTGTATTTTTAGTAGAGACAGGGTTTCATCATGTTGGTCATCAGGCTGGTCTCGAGCTCCTGACCTCAAATGATCCACCCGCCTCAGCCTCCCAAAGTGCTGGGATTACAAGTGTGAGCCACCATGCTCGGCCTCCGTATGCATTTGATGACCAGGGTTAAAATTTTATTTCCTGCCCATTGACCTTTTTGTGCAGGGGAAATGGTATGGAATATAATGCATGGGGATCAGTCTCCTGACCTTGTCCTTACTAATACCTGCACTATGCAGCTGGAATAGAACCTTGGGATGTGAGATTTGAGATAGTAATTTGAAACCAGTTGATGTCCCTTTATATTTTAAAGTAGGATGTTATTTAGAGAAGAAGAGAACATAATACTGTAAGTACAGGAATATAGGCTGAAGGTAAATACTGTTTTATAATAAAATATTCCTGAGTTTCAAATAGCAACCAATATGAATTCAGCTTATTTTCTGTAAGTTGTTATCCATTTATTTAAAAATTGGCAACCAATATTTAAATGTCCTTAATAGTAGTTAAATTTTATTAGTTCTTACAGTATTCATCTTGCCTATTTTATTCATTTAGGTATTCCTCCACCTCGTCCTGGCATGATGCGCCCACCTTTGGTGCCTCCCCTTGGACCTGCCCCCCCTGGGCTGTTCCCACCAGCTCCCTTGCCAAACCCTGGGGTTTTAAGTGCCCCACCCAACTTGATTCAGCGACCCAAGGCGGATGATACAAGTGCAGCCACCATTGAGAAGAAAGCCACAGCAACCATCAGTGCCAAGCCACAGATCACTAATCCCAAGGCAGAGATTACTCGATTTGTGCCCACTGCACTGAGAGTACGTCGGGAGAATAAAGGGGCTACTGCTGCTCCCCAAAGAAAGTCAGAGGATGATTCTGCTGTGCCTCTTGCCAAAGCAGCACCCAAATCTGGTCCTTCTGTTCCTGTCTCAGTACAAACTAAGGATGATGTCTATGAGGCTTTCATGAAAGAGATGGAAGGGCTACTGTGACAGCTTTTGATGCCAGAAAAGGCTTCTGTTCACAACAGTGGCCCATGGAGAAAGAGGCTCTTATTAAACTTAGATGAAAGAGCTGCTTCCATTGTCAGGGTATTTTCTAATTTCAGTTCAAGGAATATCCTAAAATTTAGCCTTGTTCAGAATTTACTGCACATAAAAAAGGGTATTTCATCCAGAATAGATCAGTTATTGAAGCAGTGCTGCTAACATCCATTCCCTTTCATACCACCATTTTCACCCTGTTTCTTCCCCTCCTCCAGTTCTTTGGAAATTTGTGATCGGGGGATCTTAGTTGCTTATTTGTTTTGACTCTTGTGTGCTGTGGGCACTGGAGTAGAGATTTCTGGAGAAAAAAAAACAGTTTATTTCATCTTGCCTTTTGTGTTTGAGTTATTTTTAATATTTTCCTGTAAATATTTTGTAATATTTTACTTGTAATGAAATGGATCACAATGTCATTTCCTAATACAAGGCAGGATATGTGGGAAGAATATGTACAATTATTTGATTAAAATTATTTCCCACTGACCTAAACTTTCAGTGATTTGTGGGAAAAATAAATAAATGTTCTACACCAAGATACTCTGTGTTACTGATAATATGTAAACATAATACCTATTTTATGGACAGAAAAAGTTAAATATTTAAAACTTGGGTCTTTAAGGAACTGCCTTTCTGGTACAGAATGAGAATCTTACTGAAAACATGGTAAAAACTACATTTTAAATTTTAAGGGATAAAAAGGAGTAATTATTTCCCTTTTTTAAGATTGTCATACTGGCTTTAGAGAAACTGAGAGGTGTTAAGAATAGTATGGTTTGGCTTTTATTATTTAAAAGATGTCTTACCTTCAGTGGTTACTTATTCCAGAGCTTCTTGAACTGATACGAGTTGAATGGCAAAAGTCATTTTAAACCATTTTTAAGCTATAAAAGAATCAGAAGAGGTTAGCTTTTTTTCCTTTCTGAATTGGTGGGTTTGGTGTGCTTTTATATTAAAATATGAATGAATAAGAGTGCTTAACATTAATTTGCATTTATACCATTTTCTTTACAAAGTGCTTTAATGTAAACTCATCTACCAATTTAGACTAACTCTTAGTAAGTTTAATGTTAATTTAATGACTAACTCATCTACCAATTAACCCTATAGATAACTTTTCTGGGTATTTTCCCCATTTTACATTAGAGAGTATTGAAACTTAAAAAGGACTCGTGATTTATCCAGTGATCCAAAGTGTGTATTTCATAAACACATACACACAGTGCGTGCATTGTTTAGGCATACGTTACTTTCCACAGTATCTCAAATGCCTTTTACATGAATCCCATACTATCAAAAATTGGTGATAACCTAAAATGTAGTGCAATAATACAATAAGGCATTTATTTTCTTAGAGTTGAGTTGATGGATTTTTAGATTTTTATTCAAGATCTTTTGTTTGTTTGGCTTTGCTTGGAAGATACTGATTTATTCTTTCATATTAAAGCAAATCCTGCCAAAGCACTAAATAGACCGTTTTGGGTTGGTTTTTTAGTGTAATATTAATACGGGTCCACAGGTGAATTGAGTCTGTTCAGATGTAAGGATTGAACCTTATGTTATCAATCCTTGACACCATCCTTGATAACTTACGGATATCAAGGATCAAACCATATGGTATCAATATTGTTAGTTATTCAGCATAAACAGAATTATTTCCCAATACTTGATCTGAAATATTTTTAATGGTCTTACTTGAAACTTATATTCTTTCTGGGAGTGATGTTTTTATCATTTTTCCATGGAGACAGGTTCTAACTCTGTTGCCCAGGCTGCAGTGCAGTGATGTGATCATAGCTCACTGCAGCCTGAAACTCCTGGGTTCAAGTGATCTCTGGCCTCAGCCTCCCAAGTAGTTGGAACTTCAGATACGTGCCACCACAACCAGCTAATTTATTTTTTAGAGATGAGGTCTCGCTATGTTGCCCAGTCTGGTCTCCTAGCCTCAAGTGATCTTCCCATCTCAGCCTTCAGTTGGAGATTTCTGATTTATGTTAATATAAGAAAGCTGTTGATAGTTTATCATAAAGGCATTTCCTTATATTGCTAGTATAATTTTCTGAAAATTAGTGGTGTGACAATACATCAGCTGCATCCACAGGAAAGGGGAATTAATTAGCAGTTCTGATTCTGGGTACACTTGTTATGATCATAATTTACATAATATTTTCATGAAAATGGTCAGCTCACAGCTATGAAATGTAAATGATAGAAATCTTTAATCATGTATATGGATAGACTTGTTACTATTTCCTTATCAAAGTGTCACTTTAGGGACAGCAGTTGCCCCTTTAAATTAAGGATCACCACAATAATACTCTGCCATGTCATGGAATCAGCATGAAGCCCTGGATGCTATCCAAGATTCTGTTTCAGTTCTCATTTTGTATATTCTTGTTTGTGCTCTTGATTAAAATATCTCCTTATATATAGCTGGGAAGGGTTATTTATAAGTATTTTTTAAATCATTTTTATTGCATTCAAGTAATTCTTCAGGCCCAGAAGATGGGACAATCGCTACCCATATAGAACTGAACGGTTTTATCCCTAACTCAAACTACAGTGGATCTAACGTCTGAAAATGTTCCTCAGCCAGTTTGGAAGACTCGCCTTATTTAAGGACTACTGGGGCTCAAAGCTGTCAACAAGCAGAACTACACATAATTTCTTCATATACAGATCCTAGATCCAGGAAGGTATTAATGAGTTGCTGGAAAACATATTTTTACATTCTTAGAAATAAGAGCTTTTGGCAAAAGTCAGAACCAGAACTTCTGTGAAGCCAAAAGAACTGTCTCCCAGCTTTTTTCTCTAGGAAGGCCTTGTAGTTTATGAAGGAAAGAGGACAGAAGGCAGGTGGCTATGTTCTGGGTGAATGGAGGGATTTTAATTGGTAGACTTTTGCTGAGGGGCAATAGCCAATAGGGAGAGGGTGGAGAATGATGGTGTAATTGATGGAATGACGTACTTGAGGATCTGGGGACATCAGAGTCAGAGTTTATGAAGTTTACTTATTCTATAGACAGTTACTGTCCAACAACTGAGCTAGGTGCTGGGAATACAGTGGTGAGCTAAATCAAGTAAGGTCCCTACCCTCATGGACCTTAGGGAAATTCAGGGAATAAACTTCATTGTCTTTATCTGTCTCAAATCTTGAGTACAATACTTACTAATGCTACATTTTTAAAGAATCGTTAACTTTATGAGCAATTTGGGGGAAAAATCAGCTATATATGCCATGTGCCAGTGAAGACATATTCATTTTACGTTTATAATTTTACATGTTAACTTTTTAAAAGTTTTTTTTAAAAATTGAATATTTTCTCTGTAAGTTTAGAAATATTAAATATACACTGTGGGTCTACTGGTGCTGCAACCAAATAGAGAAAGTATGTATTTCAAATAAATCAGAAGTCTGCAAAGAAGTTTGAAGACCATGGGTCCCCAAACACATTTTTCCTTGACATGTTATTCCAGTCACAGAGTATTTCCCTTCCAGGCATATTAAGCTTAAAAATAAGCTGTGTTTTTAAAATTGTAAAATACCACGATAAATCCATTTTTAGTAAGAATTACACCACTTCTGCAGGAGATAAATACATGCAGAATTAACACTTTAAAAATGCTGTAAGAAATGTAAAAAATATTTTAATGGCTTTTGTAACAGTATTTTGTGAAGAAAGAATACCACAGAGTTTCTAGCCATAGAATCTCTAGAAAAATATACAGTCCAAGGAAGAACAGAATTAACTACACTGTTCATTATTACTGTCTATACCCAGCAATCTTAATCCCAATAAAATGGGGAGTGAGACAAAAAAGGAAGATGGCAGCCAAAGTTTAGGCAGGAAGAGGGGGAAACATATCTCTGAAATCCTGTCTGATTTTATAAAACACACCACCCACAAATGAAAAAGCCATATTATTTTTATGAAGGCTGAACTTCTTTGTAAAAGTGAAAAAGGGCTTCAGCAACTTATTGCAAAGAAAACCATACCTTCAAAGAATGTTTGATGCCTTTCTTGATTGAAAAGGGAAGTAAAACCCAGGCCAAGTACAAATCCAACATCTCCCCCTAAGACTGTTCTTACTGCATAATAACCCAGACCAAAGGAGGAGGTATTTTTAAATTTACACTTGTACCCTCAAAGTTCATTTACAAAATACATGTTCATGGGGAAAAAAAAAAAAACTTGTATTTGAAGAAATAATTTTAAGACAGATTGTTTTAAAACTGAAGGGTTAACCTTAAAAAGTATCTGTTTGAAATAACTGATGTTGTTCTGCTAGTTTTTTTATGGGAAAAAAACTAGCAGAACAACATCAGTTATTTCAATAGATGCTTTGTGGTTTGGGGAGCCTTGTATTCTTCATTTTTGTTTCCACACATAGACTGGAACAGGGATCAGCAAACTTTCTCTAAAGGGCCAGATGGTGAGTATTTTGGGCTTTGTGAGCTATACAGTTTCTGTCACTACTCTGGTTTCCTAACATGAAACCTGTACTGAAGGCAGGTAGCCTACCTTACTTGGTGTCCAAATGGAAATAACGCCCTTTCTTCCTGCAAGGTTTCTCTACAGGGCCCTCTACTGAGAAAACTTCTCAGAGCCGAATTTGAAGTTTTAATTTGGAGCTCAGAACCAATAAATTCATAACTGGCACACATGAATCCAAAGAAAACTCAGTGGTCTTTACTTCTACTATCACAACGTTTTAAAACAATTCTTAGCATAGGTTCCTTTGGCAAAAACAAATGGAATATTTCTCAAGCACCTTTTGGCAGGGGCTACTAGCTAGTACTGTTAGCTTATGTGTGCTAGCTAATATAACTGTGTGTGTCACTTTTCTTGAAAAATCTCAAAGGAACTTTAATTAACTGGCAAGCTCCACAACAGAAGTATGTTAAATAGAACAAAGCTAAGAACTAGGAAGTAAGCAAAAATGCTCCAAGAAACTGGCAGAGACAATGGTACTCACCAAAATATTTCATCTTCTCTTCTATATTTCCTGGGCTTCTTTGCAGTTAGATTAAGCCTGAGCTAGTTCTAGTGGATGGGCTGAAGCAAAAAAGAGGTTGTGAGTTCTCTGGGCCCTTGTACCCTGCTGGAAGAGACAAGAGAGAGTTTTGTATGGCTGGTGAGTGGTATAAAGAATGGCAGAAGAACAGGCTGGAATCTGTAAAGCTATAAATTTTATAGACTTCATTTAAGGACTACTCTTATGACAGTTTTGCAACACAGAGGTTTCATCTGGACTGTTTGCTCTTGCTAGAACACTCTGTATATCAAGGGTTTTGTGAGGAGATAACCTTAATCATGTTGTAAAACGTCCAGTGACACTCTTTCCCCAGCAATGGATGCATGCTCATATTATATTTGGACAACTAAGAGGTCTGCCCTCCTAACGCCCTCTTTATACTTTTCTACCCTGCTGTATGCCTCCAGAAGGCTAAACTGTAGATAGGGCATCAATGGGCTTTCTTTTGTCTTCCATTTGGGCTGGGCAATGGGAAACAGGATATTGGAAGAAGGGAGGAAAGTGAGGTCATGGTATTTACCTAATATATACGTTTAAATAAATATAAGTAATATGCATATACAGATATAAAAAATTTAAAGCATGATTTATTATGAGGAACACCTGGAATACCATGTTCAAGAAACAAGGACATTCTTACCCTATGTGAAGACATGGACAAAAAGATACATTCAAGATAGAAAGTTACTTGATAAACATGAAAATGAGGATTTTGTTAGCGGATATGGATGCTTAAAATATGTAAATGTGTAACTAAACTACTCGAAGACAGTAGCTCCCTCTTTTGCATGATGCTTGGACACTGCCAACATTTGCCTTGAGATGTATTTGTCTACTTCCACCGCTGAGCAACCACTCTTCTGGGTGTCACATTATTTTTTAAGCTAATGAGCAAGGGAAAAGCAGCCCATGACCTGGACTATCAGCTAGACTGTGCTGTTGCTAGGAGTTGGCCTGACACAGCTACACTGTGGTGATCTGTTGAACATAAACAATTCACAGAACACTAACACAAGACAAGGCTGTGAAAAATCAAATTAAAAAAAGACCATTCTGTAATCATGTCTGAACAGAAACAAAAACATGAACATTGTCCAAACAACAAAAATGAACAAAAACCCACTATCCTGACTAATATGCATTAGCATATTTACCAATGACAGCTTTAGTTTCACTTCATTCTGCACATTACAGCATTCCTTGCACCCTACTTCCTGACAGGATGCAATTCTGAGCAAAGCCCCCAAATCAACTAACACAAACCCAAATCCTGTAATACACCCTAACAGCCTCTTACTGAGACACCCCACATTTCCCCATGGAATGTGTTCCCCCTTGCTGCAAAGAGAAATAAATCCAACTTGTTCAACTACGAGTATGTTCCTGATGGTCTTGGGCTGGAGGACACAGACAAAAATACAGGTTTGGCCAAAGCTCTCATTGCTTGCACCAGGACTCTCAACGCAGTGCACACATCTGAGACCTCTTGTGACTTAATGTTTATGAGGTGCCACTTGCTCATGGCTGGGAAGTAAGTTCACATTGAACTGAGTTCCTATATTCTGTTGAAGCACTTCAGTGTTGACTTTATGTGTTTCCCTAGGAAGACGGTCTCTTGGAATTTTTTAAATTATCTAATCAGATTTATATTCTTTCATCAAACCATTTTTAGTCTTCTATTCCTTGCTTCTACTGCTTGCTTAATATTTAGTGTTGTCCACAGGGAAAGTTATAAACATAGTTCTGATAAATCTGTTTGCAAGTGACCTCCAAGTGCTAATGAGTTCAGAAGGTCTCCAGACCAGACATCTTAGGATAAATTTTGCCTGGGGTTACCATTTCCAAACCTGATTAAGATGTCTTCCTCAGTCTTGTCTATGTGCGCCTGAGAACTGGACTATTTTGTTTTGTCTGCCTAGACTAATAGCTGGCCCATGGCCAAACTCTGGGGGTTAGAGGTTACACATCTTTACATACCACTGCATTTCTCCTAGTCTTCACAATTTAAAACTGCACTTCTTTCAGGCCAAACACATGCTTTCTTCATGATGTCTCACTACAAGGCTAATCTGTACACTTCCATCTCTAAAACGCACCATTTCATCAGGGATATTTAGGAATTGTAGTGGTCACTTGGGCTTTTGACATGAAAAAGACAGTTCATTTGAGAAGTACTTTAAAACAGAAAGCAAATAAACTCCCATGAGCAGATGGCTTGTTTGTCTAAAAGAAAGATAATTTTGTTGAATATAGGGTTCATCTCTCCTTTGATTCCATACTTTGGGGTTAAGCAAAGCTGGCTTTTTTATTTCATGGCTTGATAAAATTATCAAGGATCTATGAGCGTGGTAACTCATGCTTATAATCCCAACACTTTAGGAGGCGGAGGCGGAAAGATCAGTTAAGCCCAGGAGTTAGAGACCAGCCTGGGCAACAAGGTGAAACCCCATCTCTACAAAAATTATTAATAAAAAAATTAGCCAGGTGTGATGGCACACACCTGTAGTCCCAACTACTCAGGAGGCTGAGGTAGGAGGATGGCTTGAGCCTAGAGGTGGAGGCTGCAGTGAGCTGTGATCACAACACTGCACTCCAGCCTGGGCAACAGGGAGAGATCCTGTCTCAAAAAAAAAAAAAAAAAAAAAAAAAAAAAAATCATGGTTCCAAGTTACTGCCCAAAAAAGCCATCATTCTCTTTCAAGTATGTATATGTTGAAATCCAATTTTCAACACGTAAGCTTTCCTTCCTCCACTTACGGAGAAAACAAAATAAAGCTTTACAGTGATAATTTCATATCTACCTGAAACCAGTTTCATTATTTCTTCCTCTGCTTCTTCTTTGTTCCTCTTACTCTCCATTTCTCTCTTGGAAAGCTAAACATTTATTGATTTTTTAGAAAATTGGCTTGTCAGAGTCCAATTTCTCATGTTGTAATCATTCTAAAATGCCTACATTGGCTTTATGAATAAGTTACCGCTGTTTTTAAAACTTCTTTAAAATTTATATGTAAAAAATTATATTCAACTAAAAAGAATGATGATAAAGGATATCTTTAAGGGTTCTTTGCCAATATTTTTCTAGGTTTTTTTTTTAGAAAAATGTTTTTGCTGTCACCATGTATACCTTGAATTTCCATATGTGCAGTTTAAAAATGTAAAGGGTAAAAATGCATTTCGATTCCAATTCCATTAGTAACATGAGCCAGCTTGTCACCATTTCATATGTGTGGAAAAAAGTAATAACTTTTAAAGACCAGTTTCTAGTTATATGGCAAAGTATAAGCAAGCAGGGGGTATGAAGAAGCACAGCGATCCAAATTGTGGAAAAATCTCTACTGACACTTTCTCTCCTGGTGCCCTTCCGGCTGCATCCTCTCCTCTCTTTAGTGATGCTTCTTCCTCTGCCAATTGATTAAATCTCACAGATCCTCAAATTCTGTTGTGGCAATTTTTGATATCGGTCTATACTCTATACATGTATATGTTCTTTCTGGATGATTTGATCTACTCTGGCTATTTTTAGTTATGACTCCCAAATAATTATCTCCAATCCAGATTTTTTCCCCTAGATTCAGACCCAAATCCAGTTGCAGGAGTTACCTTTTGACCCCCATGTCTTCGTGCATGCTGCCTCTCAGCCCAGCTTACACCTCCCACCAGCCAGTGTGCCCACGCAGCTGAGTGACACAGGTACCCATATTCCCTGTTCCTGTTAACACCCTGAGCATCTCCTTTTCTCTACATGTACCCTGTTATTATCTTCCTTTTGAGTGTGTGTCCTATGAGAGTTTCTTGGCAGCTGGTTACCAATCACAGGTGTAACACATAATATTGTTCAATAAATTATTGAACAAACAGGGTCCATTTTTAATGTGTGTGGGTGGACTTAACAAGCCATAAATTCTAAACTAGGTTGTCTTCAGGGGCAAAACCAAAAAACAAAACACACACACAAAAAACAACGAAAATGCAAATTCAGATTCACAAGCTTTAATCATTACTTTTTCTGTTATACATTGAATTGTGGATGTCCTTTAATTAGTAAAACAGCCACTAAAATTGTTTTTATGGTTTGCTATCACAAAAGTCGAAGGATTGCTAGAATGCTGTTTACCTGTTTCAACAGCTCCCATCAACTACCGCTACTCACTTTACATAGAAATAAAAACAGCTACTATTCATTGAGCCTATTTCTATATGGGAATCTTAGTGTCCTCACACACATTAATTCACTCAATTCTCCCCAAACTCTATGAGGTAAACTATTATGCCCATTTTAGAGATGAAACTGAGGTTTAAAGAGATTAAGTTTCCAAAAATCAGATAACTAATAAGGAGTAGAGTGAATCTGAATTTAAGTCTCATTGCAGAGAGCTAAAGTTCTTACACAGCATGGTATGCGACCTTTCAACCACTGGAAGGGGCATTGTGAAGTTTGCATATAGTATGCCAGTCATCACCAATTATGGGGCCTGACTAAGCCTTTTGATTCCAGGCAGGCACAACTAAACAGACCAGTCCTCGGGGACACAAAGACAAGACTGGCCCTGCAGGAAAAACAAAGATCAAACAAATCCTGGCCAAGCCACAGCCACACTGAACGGCTTGCTTATCTCTGCAGGAAAGAGTGTGTGTGTGTGTGTTTGTGTGTAAATAAAACTATGGATTATAACTCTATTAAAAACTGGAATTCAGTTCCCATCAGATTTTGTCTTAGGCCTTTTTCCATATGGTCTTATGCTTAAAGAAATACTGGCCTTTTAAATTCATAATCACACATCAGCAAGAACTACTGTTTGTTCATCATGGATCATGGGCTGAGCTGATTTTGTAGGAGTATGCATTTTAAACAGCCCGTAAACTATTCGGGTTAAAAAAAAAACTCTCAAAAACAAAAATGGTGAGGGGCTGACTGAACGTTGAGGCAGGCAGAGTATGTGAGGGGATGCTAAGAATCCTTTGGGTAGTGGTGGGAGAGGCGGGTGGCGACAGGGCAGTTACAATGCCTCGTATCTTGTCTATGTTGCTCATCATGTAACAAGAGCTGGACAGATTCCTGTGAATCTTCCCAGGGGAAGGCAAAGGTGCTTTTTCTTATGAATGTCTTGATGTCCCTTGTCCTTATTTCTTCATCATTTTGGTAACAATCCCTCAGATGCCTCATCCCTTTAAGAAATTTAGACTCAAATGTCAAAACCATATATGCATTTTGTTCCACTGACCCCAAGTGGTAACTGTGAGTAGTAGTTCTAACAATGAGGCATTTTTTAAAAAGTCCTATTAATGTTTACCTATAATTTAACCTATAAGGATAAACCCATACCCCCATTGAACATGGTACTTTTTTCCATTTATTGTCTAATATGTGGCACACAGTAAATGAACAATCTCAATCCTTAAAACAGGTGTTATGACTTTTACATATGACAAAACCACAGAGTAAATAGCAGAACATCTCGAACCTGCCCAATAATTTGCCTCCTAACAGAGGTGTGTACGGCCTGACCTTTGTACACCTCAAAAATGGCAACATGGGAGAAGTAATTCCATCATTCATCCACACACAGCAGAGAGGTACAAGTACTAACAGAAGCTGATCTCTCATATTAACGTATGTATTTGTTCCTTGTCCCGTCTTCAGGAACCAATAAAAATAAAGTGAGCTCCGAGAGAGTGGAAATCTGGTTGGCCTCATTCACAGCTCTACTCCTATCACTTTGTACAGAGCCTGGCATAGACAGCTGTTCAATAAATACTGGGGACAAAATAAAGTCCATGTGGGAAAATGGGCCAGCCGCTACCAAGGATGAAGACATACAATATATACATATATTTTTGGGGAAGACTTCAATTCCGACTCACAGGAAAGATGAATCCAAAGATGTGAAATCTGTACTGGGATCTTTTTTGTGGGGTCTGTGAGCCAGGATGAAATTTGCTGAGGATGAAATAAATAGGAGTGTCAATTAAGGGCAGAAGATGATTACTAGTGTTAACTTTTCAATGTGGATTCCTGGTCTGAAATGTGTTTCCCCCTGCACTTACATATTTGGTCCTATCTTTCCTTACATGTTTATTAAAGCAATATTGTGCCATTAGGCAATGCAACTCCCAAAGACATTACTGGAATGAGGTCATTGCTTCAGGCTAGTGGGAGAATATAAGAGAGTTCAAACAGGTTATTTGTTGGGTAAGAACCCCTAAAAGCAAGAGGTTTTTGTTTTGTTTGAAAGCAAAGTCAAACCGATTCTCAAAGTGAATATGATATGATGAAGACAGGATCATTATGAAGCTAGAAACTTGACAACATCACTTTAAAAGCTCAAGCATATGTAACCCACGACTAAAGGCGCTGCAATGTTATGCAATATGACTGTCAGGGGAACGAATTTCCAACCTCATGACTCACTTATTGAACGTTTCCTTCATTAAAAAAAAAATATGAACATAAAAGTGCTATATAAAGATATCTGATATCCAAAGCATGAAAGCACAGCAGCTACTAGGCTAGGAAGAATCTCAAGTTGACATCGTGCCATCAGAGCCACCCTTCCAAGACGGAAAGTTACTCCACTTTTTGAAAAATATGGCCGCAGACACTTCCTGCCCCGAGCTCAGCTCGATCCGACGGTATCTTCCCAGAACTTGGTCCTGAGTGCTCACAAACTGGCAGGAGAGCGAAGGCTCTGTGAAAGGGAAGTAAAAATAATTCCGAAGGAGGCCTCACCGCACCGACTCTGCCTCCCCTTTGCCCTACTGACAGCGAGGTGGCTTCCACCCTGCCCACCTCCAGGCCACCCTCCCCTGACGCCTCGAGGGTGACCTGCGGACTAAAGCCGTCCAGAGTGGCTCAAGCCCACCCACCAGTGCCTGCTCCAGGGGTTTCCCGGTCGCCCCCCTCCCCTGGGGCCATCCGACATGTCCCCGCGACTACACAGCTCTCTCGACCAAACGATTTTCACCAACTTTATTGGCTCCCGCCGGGACCCTCGCCGCCCACCTCCCCGCTAGATGTCACCGGCCCTCCATGACATCCAGCACATTCAAAAGCATTGCGGGACGACCATGAAAAGGGCCTTTGCTGGGGGAGCCAGCTCCCTGAGGGCGGCGTCAGGGTCATTTGCTCTTCGTCTTCTGACTCTCCGTCTTCTTGGGCAGCAGCACGGCCTGGATGTTGGGCAGGACGCCGCCCTGAGCGATGGTCACTTTGCCCAGCAGCTTGTTTAACTCCTCGTCGTTGCGGATGGCGAGCTGCAGGTGGCGGGGAATTATCCTGGTCTTCTTGTTGTCACGCGCGGCGTTGCCAGCCAGCTCCAGGATCTCCGCCGTAAGGTACTCCAACACCGCCGCCAGGTACACCGGCGCCCCGGCGCCCACTCGCTCCGCGTAGTTCCCTTTGCGCAGCAGTCTGTGCACTCGGCCCACCGGGAACTGCAGGCCCGCGCGGGAGGAGCGGGATTTGGCCTTTGCTCGCACTTTGCCGCCCTGTTTCCCGCGACCGGACATGATCACCTCTCGCCTACAACTCCAGAGACGGAGACAAACCGCTCTCGGCGTCCGGTACCGGAATGCAACGTACCGCACCCGAACTGCCTCTACAAACTCTTTACGGCCGCGCGGCAGCCCCTTTCCATTGGCTCTGGTGACCAATGACAGGCAGGCTCCGCTCCCAACTAGCGCTCTGGAAGAGAGACCGCCTCCTCCAGCTCTCTCCAATCAATAGAGCAATCTCCGAATCCTCATTTACATAGCCGCTCACATAAATAACGAGGCCAGCCGGCTCAGTCTTTGGGGACCCAGATGAATTTAGCGGTTACGGGTTTTCCACGACCACGCTCGCTTCCAAGCACATAAACTCGTAGGAAATAAGAAAACATGGTTGGAAACAGAAAACAATCCAGAAGAAGAGCTACAGGGGTTGTCCGTAGACGTTGCTATGCTAAGTGGATGTTCTCATATAATACACCGTACTACTCAGGTAGGTTTCTGTCTCCGCAGCCCGTGCTGCTTAGGCGAAACAACAGCCTGTCCGCGGAATTCTGCCTGCCCAGGACAGGGTCCGTGGACTGTTTCTTATACAAGCGCCTTGCCTCCAGCTAGCTACCCAACAGTGTAGAGACCACCCTGGTCTCCCCGCAGGGTCCTGCGGCTCACAGCCAGCCAATCGTTCACTTTTGAGTCTGAAGCTAGAGTGATGACCAGACGTGAATGCTTCCTGTGCTGACGGGAGGAACAAGCTCGCCTAGCCAAAATATCTTTTGTCTTTGAGGCTATGGGCCTGCAAAGAGCCACTAGGTTTTATTGGAGAGGCCAAAGTCTTGGCCTTGGCTTGCTCCCCGCAAGCCAGGGCGCCACAGATCAGCGGATCGGGTCCTCTGCGAAGACGTGGAGGTCCCCCGGGTCTCTTTGTAAATGAGTCCAGAGACTAAAGTCAGAATGGCAGCTTATTCTTATATACCTGAATTGTGGACCCATGCTTTTTGAAACAAAAAGAGTGTTTCAAGTGTTTTGTTTTAATTAAAAATTACTTTCTCCTAATTCATCGAGGTCATTTCATTTTTACCTGAACATTTTCAGTAACACAGTTAACACCGATACGTGATGTAATGTTGAACGCTTGCTTTTTAAAATAAACATTTTATGTGGATTCATTTACATTTAAAGTAAAGCAAATTTACCTTCTCACTATCCGAATAAAGATTTGACTTCATTGAAATAACATTTTCAAATATTTATGTATATGTCATTACTGCCTAGAACAATGATGAACCCATACTGGGGACTCAATAAATGTCTTCAGAGCTATTGTCATGGTTTAGGCGGTCTTTCCGGAGCCAGTCTGCCTCAGCCTAAATCCTGGCTTTACCACTGAGCAGTGACCTTTGATAAGTTATTTGACTCCTCTACCTGTATCAAAGTGTTTTGAAAATTAAATACGTTAGTAAGCATCCAATAACTCTTAGATATACCAAATAAATGGGCATACAAATCTCTGATGCAGTTTTTAACGAGATGTTCCTGGAATGAGTTCTGTAAACTAGCTTAAATTTTTGCCTGTATCTTGGGGAATTTTCAAGAGTTTTTAAAAGTATTACTATTTTAGACACGATTTTTTTTCTTTTATTCCAATAAGCAAGAGATTTCTAATTTGAAAATGTTCTAGTCTTGATTTCTTAGAAAGCTTAACTATAAGTAAGTCAACCGATTTTACCATTACAATAATTTTTTTTTTTTTTTTTTGAGACGGAGTCTCGCTCTGTCGCCCAGGCTGGAGTGCAGTGGCGCGATCTCGGCTCACTGCAAGCTCCGTCTCCCGGGTTCACGCCATTCTCCTGCCTCAGCCTCCCGAGTAGCTGGGACTACAGGCGCCCGCCACCACGCCCGGCTAATTTTTATGTATTTTTAGTAGAGATGGGGTTTCACCATGTTAGTCAGGATGGTCTCGATCTCCTGACCTCGTAATCCGCCCTCCTCGGCCTCCCAGAGCGCTGGGATTACAGGCGTGAGCCACCGCGCCCGGCCCCATTACAATAATTCTTATCTCTTCAAGATCTGATAGACTTTTCCTCTTCCCTCTGAGTCAAATATTAAAATCATGAGTGAAGTTCGACCATTCAGGACTTTTTCCAGCCATTCAAGACAGTGTTCCAACTCTTTTATCTTTAACAAAAAGTAAAAGAAAAATAAATACCTTTTGGGTTATGAAGATGGGCATGGATTGAAACAAATGTAAACTATAGGCATTTATAAATATAACAAAATTTTACCATAAAGTCTTCCTGCTGTAAAGGCTTATCTTCAAGACCAGGGACAAAGAAGCCCCACTTACTAAAATTCATTGCTCAGAATCCTAATTAACTACCTGGGAAAGACTTATGACTCATCCTCTAAATAACAGCTGCTTTTTAACACAGTAAAACCTTTAGAGAAGACAGGGTCCTGACACCTTTGAAGAGCGGTGACACCTTACAGAAACTTTCGTTTTTGTTCAGGGATTCTCTTGAGAAAGGAAGGGATTCAGAACCTCCTGAGGGGATTTGCAGTAGAAATCATTATTCCAAGTCATGATTGTGGCATCCATTGTTTTACAAGAACTTTGAATTTTTAAGTGGAAAATGTGAGATGAGAACCTGAGATTTGAATGACATAAGACATTGACAATATTTCAACTAAATAACCACAGGAAGTTACTTGGTTGAAAAGCACACAGGCTCTTGCAGGGCAGGAAAACCTGCAAATTGCGCAGAAGCAGCTGAAAGGGGAATGGCGGGGGTCGGGGGGAGGTGGGGGTGGAGTGTAGGTGGGGGACGGGAAGCTGCACTTTCTTTTTTCAATTGAAAGAATTTTAATTATCTGCAGGGCCGTAAAAGAGAAAAAAGTCCTCTCCCCCTACTATGTCTTCAGAAGACCCACGTGTGAAAAATTTTAAATTTTAAGTAATTGCTTTGAAATCTCGGATGTAAAGCTTTTCAGGTTTTTATAGAGTTTCATAGTAAGTCAGGAATTCCGTTTGAAAAAACAGAAGGAGGGAGGGACAGAACAAGGAACGTGCATAGGATCTGGCCTACTTTTATTTAAGCGCTGAGAAAAGGCAATATAAATTCTTTTAGCTCATACTGTTTTAACTTTAAAACGTATCACCATGAACCTTTCTCCAAACATCAGAAAAAATTTTCCCAAAAGAGCAAACAACAAAAAAATCAGGCTGGTTTCGCTGACTGCTTCCTGGACTTAACAACTATAGCATGTCTCCAGAGGTGGGGCCTAGAGCTCCGCCCACTTTTTTGATGTTTTCAAACAGGTCCGCATCGAGAGACTATAAGCCCTGGTCTGCGACTGGCAATCACAGTGGGCAGCCCGATTTTCTGCTGAGTAGGCGCTGTGATTTCAGAATGTCTGGGCGAGGTAAAGGTGGCAAGGGGCTGGGTAAGGGAGGCGCCAAGCGCCACCGGAAGGTGCTGCGGGACAATATCCAAGGCATTACAAAGCCGGCGATTCGCCGTCTCGCCCGACGTGGGGGCGTCAAGCGCATTTCTGGTCTCATCTACGAGGAGACCCGGGGAGTCCTCAAAGTCTTCCTGGAGAACGTGATCCGTGACGCGGTGACTTACACGGAGCACGCCAAGCGCAAGACCGTCACGGCCATGGATGTGGTGTACGCGCTGAAACGCCAGGGTCGCACCCTTTATGGTTTCGGCGGTTGAGCTGTCCCCACAGCTTCTCTACAGACTCCAAAAGGCCCTTTTCAGGGCCCCCAAACTGTCACAGAAAGAGCTGTTAACACTTCCTAGATAACGGGTAAATATCAACCCTTTGATGTCGCCTTCCGGATACCGGAAATGGGATATTCGCGGCCCGAGCATCTGCTCGGGATTAGACTTGGCGGGCACGGGGAGAACTAGACCTCAAGGAGGGGGTTCCGCCTGTGCTTAGGTACGACCCTGGAGGTGCCGCGCAACGCAGTAGTGACCTCCCAAAATCCAGACACCGGATTTTGTTTAGAAGAGTGCTTGTACAAAGCCCTAGTGTTAGAACTGGTCATGGTCTTCTAAGCGGCCGAGTCGTTGGCCCATAAGCACGTATCGGATGGCTTCCATGTAAATCAGGGCTTAGGTGACTTCCTGCTGGCCTTCAGGGGTGAGCGTCACGCGTCAAGGGCGGTTCGTGCGTGTGCAGGGCTTGCTAAGTCGCAGGAAATGGGAGGTCGCAGCACGCCGCTACCTGCAAGCCCGAAAGCTGAATGCAGCTCTAGTGTGGCGCGTAGTCTTACTGGGTACTATTTTACTTAATCGCTGACGTTGAGTGAGAGGTGACCAAGCTCAGATGCTGAGATTAAGGCGGCCGGGCGAAACTCGCGACACCCTGCGATTCCCTCTTAGCCAGCTGCGTAAAGTTGCCTACGCCAAGCGGGTAGCGTCCTGCTCGGCCACCTGGCGGCGGGCGTGGAGTTGGCAGGCAGGCAGTGGGGGTCACGCCGGCATGAAAGGCCAGATCACCTGCAGGTCGCCAAGTTGCCGGGAATCCCCCGCTCCGAGCAGTGTCATGCCCATCACAAATAACCCTATCGCAGCCGGGAGGTAAGCCCTGGCTTCCGAGTAAAGGCCCTGTTCAGAGCAGCCTGGGGGTCTAGAAGGGAAACGGGTGGCGGGTTAGGTTCTAATAAGTTCAGTGAGAATGTAAGAGAGACAGCTGTGGGATTACCAAGCGCGTGGTCCTACCCGGTACTCCCGGGGTGTAGTGAGGGTCTTGGAGAAAGGTGGGGCTGGTGCTACCAGTTAAGCGCACTTTCCAGTAGGCGAGGGTAGGGGGCGGAAGACCTGGTGATCAGCCTGCGTCCAGGCCGTAGGGGTCGCCCCGGCCTCCGGTAAAGCTCCGTATAACAGCCTCGCTCTACTCCTGGCTCTGTCCTTCCTAACTTCTCATTAGGCTTGGCACCCCAGGATGCGGTGTGATCCATGCCGCGTTAACTAATCTGCCCCTTCTCTACCTTTTCTTTTTTCCTTTCTTTTCGAGACCAAGTCTAGCTCTGCCACCGAGGCTGGAGTGCAGTGGCACGATCTCGCCTCCGCCTCCCGGGTTCAAGCGATTCACCTGCCTCAGCTTCCGGAGTAGCTGGGATTACAGGCCTGCGCCACCACGCCTGGCTAATTTTTGTATTTTTTTTTTTTTTGGTAGATACGGGGTTTCACCATGTTGGCCAGGCTGGTCTTGAACTCCTGGCCTCAAGTGATTCACCCGCCTCCGCCTCCCAAAGTGCTGGCATTTCAGGCGTGAGCCACCACGCTTGGTCTTGCTCTAGCTATTCTAAACATGAAGAAGTCATATAGCTTCCTTGGTGCGGTGGGCTGAAGTCACTCTAAGGGAGTTTCCCAGCCCCAGGGGTTAAAGAACTGGAGTCAAGATTGGAACCCAGCTGGCGAAGGATTCCGCACCGCTAGATCTTGACATTTGCCTCTTCTTCTGCCAGGAAGGCTCCCCTGTTCCTTTTTGCTGACGTGTCATTTCTAAGTACTTTCTCCTACTCCATAAAGACTTCAAGTGAGTACACAATACTGGTGTTAGTTTAATTTCTAAGACAGTGAGACACTCGGAGAAGTTCAATTTTCTTTAATGCAAGTGAAAAATTGAGTTACTTAAAAGAAATAGAGTCTGGCATACTTTCGTGCCCTCGATATTTGTTGCATGACCAAATGAGTGATTTTGGGTTTCACATAAATTAAGGATGAAAGTTAGGGCCCCGATGGAGGATAGAAATACTGTAGATATTTGTATGACAATTAAAACTCTTCCTTAAGTATTTAACTTATATGGAATTGTTTAAATATTTCATGGTTTTGGGGTTTTTTTTTATTTTTGTAGTGGTCTCAATTCTTTGATTAGAATAGAACTTATATTTTCCCTTGTAGCATAGTTATTTTTTTGTTTGTGTTTTGTTCTTTATAAAATATAACCTAATTATCTAAACCCAAGAAATATTTATTTTTGTCTGTGACTCTGAGTCCTATGGTATAGTAAGTACCCAGTCCTGACAGTAATCATATCTTCCAAACCAAAACTGGGTCACACGGTTCAATAACTGAACAGAATATCTCAAACTGAAAACGATCAAGATTTTCTGAAGTTTACTATTAATAGTAAAATTGCTTACTAAAAATGTTAAAGAACTTGATTTAAAACTCTGTAATGCCTCACTTAAAATGTGAATGAGGGGGGCGGGGTGGGGGTGGCTATAATGCCAGCACTTTGGGAAGGCTGAGGCAGTAGGATTGCTGGAGGCCAGGAGTTTGAGACCAGCATGGCCAACATAGTGAGACCCCATCTCTACATAAAATAAGAATTATAAAATGTAAAGTGAATGGAATGCATTGAAATTTGATCCTGTAGCAAAGTCATCCCTTTTGAATTTTGAACATTTGTTTAATGCCTCTTTTCCAAGCATATTTTGAATATTCAGAGATAAATGAGCAAGTTACTGCCATCAAGAAACTCCTATTTTTCTAGGAGAGAAAGGGGAAAGACGTGTAGTTGTACACATATGGTTTGCTCTAATAGAGTGGTATAAATCAAATGCTATTGGTATACAAAAGGACAAATTTTGTCAGCCAAGTGTATGGGTATCTTCAAAGAGCACAGGTGCCATCTGTTCTGAGCTAATGACCCATTGAAGAAGGCCACACCAAATTTGGGGGAAAAGCAGCATAAACAAATGCCAGAGTATTTTCCAGGCAGGTTGTATTTGGAGAATCTCCTAATGTTGTATATTTAATTTGTCCTTTGTCCAAGAATAATGCAATGAACTAGGCAACTAGTTGAATAAAAATTGAAACCAAGTTCAAACAAGCCTATTGAAAAATGGGCAAAAGACTGGAAAAACATGGCCAATAAGCGTAAGAAGAGATGTTCAGCTTGATCAGTCATCAAGAAACTACAAATCAAGACCACACTGAGGCTGGGTGTGGTGGCTCATGCCTGTAATCCCAGCACTTTGGGAGGCTGAAGTGGGCAAATCACTTGGACAGGAGTTCAAGACCAGCCTGGGCAACATGGTGAAACCCTGTCTCTACTAAAAATACAAAAAGTTAGCTGGGCATGGTGGTACACACCTGTAATCCCTGTTACTCGGGGGCTGAGGCACAAGAATCACTTGAACTCTGGAGAGAGAGGTTGCAGTGAGCCGACATCAGCCACTGCACTCAAGACTCTCGATCTCTCTCTCTCAAAAAAAAAAAAAAAAGACCACAATGAAATACAACTTTGGACTCAGTAGACTGACAAAAATTAACAAATGTTACACAGAATCTCTTATATTGCTGGTAGGAGTATAAATTGTTTCAATTATTTTTGAAACTAAGGGTTTGCATTATCTTGTGAAGTTTAAGATAGATTCACATATATGCTCAAGCAGCAATTCCACCTCTGGGTATTTACCTAAAGGAAATGATAGCATGAATGCCCCAGGAGACATGGTCATTAAAGTTCTTAGTAGAACTGCTCACAATAGCAACAACAAACCAAATGCCCATTGACGAGAGTGGATGAATAAATTACAGTGAAATATTTTGCAGTCAAAATTAACAGATAAATCCAATATGACTTAACAGTGGTTTACAGCGAATGTTTTGTTTCTCTGCTGACACATCAATACTTGTGTCTTCATATGTTTAGCATTTTTATTCTGAACTTATATGTGGTTGAAGGTCATCTGTGGGAGTCAGAAACTAAATTGAGCATGCTGCCTCCAGAGAGAATTAGCATTTGCTTGTTTTTTTCGGGTAACATACTGCTATGGACTGGGGCCACTTTAGCCCTGTTTGAGTATCCTAGGCTATTAGTAGAGTCAACTTTTACTTCTTACAGCTTATTCCCAAGGCTTATTCTCCAGTGTAACCCTAGATTTATTTTTTATTATTTTTATCTTTTTTAAGATTCAAGGGATACACATGCAGGTTTGTTACATGAGTATTGCATAATGCTGAGGTTCAGGCTTCTGATGACCCCATCACCCAAGTAGCAAACATAGTACCCGATAGGTAGTTTTTTAGTTTTTCAACCCTTGCCCCACTCCCTCCCTTCCCATGAATCCCCAGTGTTAGAAATGCTTGTTCCCCAGTGCCGTAAAGAAATAGCACTTGAACATAAATTTAATTTCTTCAGCAAGGCCATTTTTACTTTCTGCAGAAAGGGTACACTCACTAGCAGTTTTGTCACCAGAGTACACAGAACAAAGGAGACAGGGTCATTTATAACCTGATGCGTCCACACTACTGCTGTGTCTGATTTCCACTGGCTGGAACGGGACCTCACATTCTGTATTTGTCCTGATTGGCTAGCAACTTAGAACCTTTTAAAAGAGGCAAAGGCAGAGGAGAACAAAGGAAGGAGGAAGTAACTTGTGGAATGCTGAGAAAGGTAAAAACACCTTCAAATAAGGAAGAGGAACAGGCTATGACCTAATGCTTGCTTGGACCAGTATAAGCATGCCAGGGCAAATATTTAGGCTAAATTGTGGGAGATAACATAAAGTACATTGATTTCTTTATTACAGATAGCAGATATTTAAGAATGTTGGCACAGGTCTTTGAATAAATTTTGCTTCTAAGGAAAGTTACTGTTTATTCCTAATTAGATGGGGAAGAAAGTCTTTGAAGAGGAACGTCTACTTTTTTTTTTTACACCAGTGTCTATTGTTCCTATCTTTGTGTCCATGTGTACACAATGTTGAGTTCCAACTTACAAGTGAGGACATGCAGTATTTGTTTTTCTATTTCTGCATTAATTTGATTAGGCTAATGGCCTCCAGCTACATCCATGTTGCTGCAAAGGACAGGATTTCATTCTTTTTAATGGCTGTATAGTATTCCGTGGTGTATATGTACCACATTTTCTTTATCTAGTCCACCATTGATGGGTACCTGGGTTGATTCCATGCCTTTGCTATTGTGAATGGTGTTGTGGTAAACATGAGTGCAGGTGTCTTTTTGGTAGAACGATTTATTTTCCTCTGAGTATATACCCAGTATGGGATTGCTGGGTAAATAATAATTCCATTTTTAGCTCTTTGAGAAATCTCCAAACAGCTTTCCACATAGGCTGAACTAATTTGCATTCCCACCAACAGTGTGTAATTGTTCCCATTTCTCAACCCTGGAAGGGTTATTCAGATAGTGTTTGCCAGACTGCTGGAAGTGTATTTCACTAACTATAGTTTGATTCATATGTCTTCCGTGACTTATCTGTAAATTCCTTGAAAGAAGGAACTTCTGACCTAAAATTTTGAATAAAACATTAAAGTTTTAGGGAAATTTGGCTGGGTGCAGTAGCTCATGCCTGTAATCTCAGCACTTTGGGAGGCCAAGGTGGGAGGATTGCTTGAGCCCAGAAGTTCAAGAACAGCATGGGCAACATAGTGAGACCGCCATCTCAAAAATAACAAATAAAATAAAGTTTTGGGGAAAATTCTTATATATTTAGATACTATGGTAACGTTTTAATAAAATAAACTGAGTTGCTTTTCATGTATTTCTGTTTTCTAAAAATTATGTGCTATATTAATTACCTGTTCCTGCCCTGGAGATGATGTTTGGTTATATTTTCAGGTTCTTTCACTATTTTTATTTTTGTCTGTTTGGACTTACAACTTTTATCTATGTTAAATCTGGTATTTATACTTCCCTTTAAAGCCATATATTTTATCAAAAAATTATTAGAGAAAATTTATACTCACATGGTATTTTCTAATATTAAAAACTCCTTAAAAAAACTCATGTCTGTCACCTTGCTCATTTCCTTTTTTTATTTTTTGAGACAGAGTTTCCCTATTGTCACCCAGGATGGAGTACAGTGGCACGATCTCGGCTCACTGCAACCTCCACCTCCCGGGTTCAAGCTATTCTCCTGCCTCAGCCTCCTGAGTAGCTGGGCTGGCAGGCGCCCACCACCATGCCCGGCTAATTTTTGTACTTTTAGTAGAGACGAGGTTTCGCCATGTTGGCCAGGCTGGTCTCAAACTCCTGACCTCTGGTGATCCGCCCACCTGTTGAGTGCTGGGATACAGGCATGAGCCACCACGCCCGGCCCACCTTGCTCATTTCTAATTTTGTTTTATCTTCTGATTATATTTTTTCAGAAATTTGTCTGTTAGTTTCTTCAAGAAATTATCAATTTATCCTTTTAGAAATGTTTAATAATTTCTATTGTTATTTCTTATATTCTAACCTTTTTTAATTTTTATGTTTTTGTTTTTGTTTTTTTGCATTTCTTCTTTTCTCCTCAGTTCATTTTCGATTCTTTGTTTTTAAAATAACACCATTGGCCTGGCGTGGTGGCGCCACCTGAAATCCCAGCATTTTGAGAGTTTGAGATGGGTGGATCACTTGAGCCCAGGAGTTCGAGACTAGCTTGGGCAACATGGTGAAACCCTGTCTCTACCAAAAAAATACAAAAACTAGCAGGACATGGTGGCATGTGCCTGTAGTCCCAGCTACTTGGGAGGCTGAGGTAGGATAATGACTTGAGCCCGGGAGGTCAAGGCTGCAGTGAGCCACTGCACTCTAGCCTGGGTGACAAGGCAAGACCCTGTCTCAAAAATTAAATTAATTAAATAACACCATAATTTATGGGTGTGTATTTATTTATAGCTTTAGCCACATATAAACTCTTAAAATGTTATAGTGTATTTTATTACTTCTAAGTAACCTATGATTTTATTTTTACTTCATCTTAACTCACTTATTGAAGAGGTTAATATTTTAGGTAGTTGAAATGTTTTCCTGTTTTAATTGTCAGTATTAATTTCTAGTTATAAATTTGGACTAAAGAATGTGACCTGAGCAATTTCTTCATTTTGGATATTACTGAAGTTTTATTTGTGACCAATATTTGAAACCATTTCATGGTTCCTGAACAAGAAAGCATGGTATGTGCTTCAAAATACAACATTCAACTTATAGCTGTATTCAGTGTTGTTAATTGTATTTTGAAAGTAAAAACTAACCATTGGTTTTTGTCTACCTGATATATATGTGCCTGATAGTATCTTGTTGTCCCCTGCTATGTTTTTGTTTCTGTCAATGTATCATATTTTAAATCATAGTTATTTTATAAAATGTGATTGTGAGTTATTATTTAAACCATGCCTTCTTTAGAGGTTGGACCTTTTATCAGTGTGAATAACTCTTTTTGTCCCTTGGATATCAATTAAATTGAATTCTAATTTTTTTTTTTAACCTTACCTCAGGTGCTGTTTGGCTCCTGCAGCCAAATACACTGATGATTTAATTAAAATGTTTATCTCCCCCAAATTTTAAGAACTTTATTTGGGTTATTTGGAATAATGTATAAAATATCTATATAGATTATTATATAATTCAGGGGGAAGCAAATTATCAGAACAATTTCATGTTATACAAATAACATCAGAAAAATATCTTAAATTATATGGCATATTCTATTGATTCATCCACAAATTTATAAGTCCTTACCACCTTTCATTATATTGGTACTAGGCATTATAGTAGTGCTAGGCACTATAGTAATGCTGGGGTATAAACAAGAATAAAACAAAATAAGTTCCTTATTTCAGGTAACTTACAGTATAGGTCAGTGGTTCTTAGCTTGCTTTTTAATTATGAATTCCTTTGAAAGTCTAGTAAAATAATCCAACACCATTATTCCCCATTGCACATACCCCCAGATGTTTTAGACATATTTTCAATTGCTCCATGGACCTTAAGAAAACTTGGTTGGTGTGCAGTTTGGTGTATTATGGGTAAGACTGGACCTGGTGTTAGAAAATCTGCATTTGAGGCTTTGTTCTGACAGTGTCTAGTGTAAACATGGGCAGACCACTTAAACCTCTCTTTAGTCTTCTCTGTAGAATGATGATAATACCATCTAATTAGCAGGATTGTTGTTTTATTCAGTGAGACAGCATATGTAAATAACTTAGTAAAATAAAAAGCAACGTGTTTATAATGGTCTAAGTTATCTTCGTGCTTTATTTATGATTAGTGAAAAGACTAAATTCAAATCTCTTTTATGTGTCATAACTTTTATGCAACGAATACAGATATAGTTCTTCCACTTCCTTGTATCAAGATTTACTAGTGAAACTGACATTTTTTCCTTTGGTATAGTCAGATTGAGTATTAAGTTTATCTTTCATGTCTATCATTATTCTAAGTTAGCTGAACATTGACTAGTATATTCTATTTTTCAAGGTCTGTGAATAGTTAGAGCCACATTACAAAGTCAGTACAAGATGTAACTTACTCATGCAACCAAAGGTCAAACCAGGACTATTAAGGGTATCACTGGAGTTACAGTGACTTGACACAGTTGTGGCAAATGGAAAACCAAGAGTTTGCAATCTGGTTTGGAGGTCCTTGGTAAAATTTCCAAGTGTGACAGATGTGTCCTTGACATTTCTCTCTTTCTGTACCTATTCTCTTCCATCCTTCAAGCACCCAACACTTTCACACTTTGTATTGGTCTGTTCTCATGCTGTTAATAAAGACATACCCAAGTTTGGGTAATTTATAAAGAAAAGATGTTTAATTGACTCACAGCTCCACATAGCTGGGGAGACCTCACATCATGGTGGAAGGTGAAGAAGGAGCAAAGTCACATCTTATATGGCAGCAGGCAAAGAGAGCTTGTGCAGGGGAGCTCCCATTTTTAAAACCATCAAATCTCATGAGACTTATTCACTGCCACAAGAACAGTATGGGGGAAACCACCCCCATGATTAAATTATCTCCCCCTGGCCTCAACCTTAACGTGGGGATTATTACAATTCAAGGTGAGATTTGGGTGGGGACACAGCCAAACCATATCATTCCACCCTGGCCCCTTCCAAATCTCATGCCCTCACATTTCAAAGCCAATCATGCCTTCCCAACAGTCACCCAAAGTCTTAACTGATTTCAGCATTAACTCAAAAGTCCACAGTCCAAAGTCTCATCTGAGACAAGGCAATTTCCTTCCACCTATGAGCCTGTAAAATCCAAAGCAAGTTAGTTACTTCCTAGATACAATGAGGGTACAGGCAATGGGTAAATATACCCATTCCATGGGATAAATTGTCCAAAACAAAAGGGCTACAGGCCTCATGCAAATCCAAAACCCAGCGGGTGGTCAAATCTTAAAACTCCAAAATGATCTCCTTTGACCACATCTCACATCCAGGTCATGTTGATGCAAAGGTGGGTTCCCATGGTCTTGGGCAACTCTGCCCCTGTGGTTTTGCAGGGCACAGCCCCCTTCATGGCTGCCTTCCCATCTAGCGTTTTTGAGTGTCTGCAGCTTTTTCAGGTATGTGGTGCAAGCTGTTGGTGGATCTACCATTCTGGGGTCTGGAGGATGGTGACCCTCTTCTTACAGGTCCACTAGGCAGTGCCCCAGTGGGGACTCTGTGTCAGGGCTCCCACCACACATTTCCCTTCTATCCTGCCCTAGCAGAGGTTCTCCATGAGGGCTGTGCTGCTGCAGCATGCCTTTCCCTGGACATCCAGGCATTTCCACACATCCTCTGAAAACTAGGCAGAGGTTCCCAAACCTCAATTCTGTGCACCCGTAGGCCCAACACCACATGTAAGCCTCCAAGACTTGGGGCTTGCACCCTCTGAAGCAATGGCCTGAGCTGTATGTTGGCTCCTTTTAGCCATGGCTGGGATGCAGGGCACTAAGCCCTGAGAAAGGACAAAGCAACAAGGCTCAGGGTCCAGCCCACGAAACCACTTTTTCCTCCTAGGTCTCCAGGCCTGTGATGGGAGAGGCTGCCTGAAGACCTCTGACATGCCCTGGAAACATTTTCCCCATTGTCTTGGTGATTAACATTTGGCTCCTCATTGCTTATGAAAATTTCTGCAGCTGGCTTGAATTTCTTCTTAGAAAATAGGTTTTTCTTTTCCATCACATTGTCAGGCTGCAAATTTTCTACTTTTATGCTCTGCTTCCTTTCGAAACATAAGTTCCAGTTACAAACCATATCTTTGTGAATACATAAAACTGAATGCTTTTAACAGGATTCAAATAATCTCTTGAATGCTTTGCTGCTTAGAAATTTCTTCACTAGAAACCCTAAATCATCTCTCAAGTTCAGAGTTCCACAGATCTCTAGGGCAGGGGCAAAGTGCCACTGCTTGTTATGCTAAAGCATAACAAGAGTCACCTTTGCTCCAGTTCCCAACAAGTTCCTCATCTCCATCTGAGACCACCTCAGCCTGGACTTTATTGTCCATATCACTATCAGCATTTTGGCCAAAGCTATTCAACAAGTCTCTAGGAGGTTGCAAACTTTTCTACACCTTTCTGTCTTTTTCTGAGCCCTCCAAACTGTTCCAACCTCTGCCTGTTACCTAATTCCAAAGTTGCTTCCACATTTTCGGGTATCTTTATGCAGCACCCCACTCCCAGTACCAATTTATTGTATTAGTCCATTCTGACGCTGCTAATAAAGACATACTCAACACTGGGTAATTTGCAAAGGAAAGAGGTTTAACTGACTCATTGTTCCACATGGCTGTGGGGGGGGGTGGGGCTTACAATTATGACAGAAGGTGAAGGAGGAGCAGTCACGTCTTAATGGCAGCAGGCAAAGAGAGTTTGTGCAGGGAAACTCCCATTTATACAGCCATTAGATCTCGTGAAACTTATTTGCTACCATGAGAACAGTATGGGGGAAACCGCCCCCGTGATTCAATTATCTCCACCTGGCCCTGCCCTTGATACATGGGGATTATTACAATTCAAGGTGAGATTTGGGTGGGGACACAGAAAAACCATATCACACTTCCTTCTGACAACTCAAAGCCTCTCATTACATACTTTATTTTAAATGTAGATTATGTGTTTTTCCTATAATTCCTTTGCAACATTTATAAGCTGATGTTTTAATTACCCATAGGTAGTTTTTGTTTGTTTTTTTGAGGCGGAGTCTCACTCTGTCACCCAGGCTGGAGTGCAGTGGCACGATCTCGGCTCTCTGCAACCTCCACCTTCCAGGTTCAAACAGTTCTCTGCTTCAGCCTCCTGAGTAGCTGGGACTACAGGCACCCACCACCATGCCCCACTAATTTTTGTATTTTTAGTAGAGTCAGGGTTTCACCATCTTGGCCATGCTGGTCTTGAACTCCTGACCTCATGATCCACTCACCTTGGGCTCCCAAAGTGCTGGGATTACAGGCTTGAACCACCACACCCAGCCCGCCCAATAAGTAGTTTCTTAATAATTGGCATTGAATTAATCATGATTATGATCATTGTCTGATAATAAATTTATTCATTATGAAATCTAAAATCCTATGTACATATTTTTGTAATTATAAAATAATTTACCACTAAATTCCTCCCTATAAACTCAATCAAATCATAATATCCCAAAATACAAACAGCACTCTTACAATCTTAAAAGTTATAATAGTGTGCTATGGTTTTAATATTTGTCTCTTCCAAAACTCCTGTTGAAATTTAATAACTCCATAACTGTAAGAAATAAGTTCCTAGACCAGGCACAGAAGCTCATGCCTGTAATCCCAGCAGTTTGGGACGCCTAGACAGACGGATCACCTGAGGTCAGGAGTTTGAGACAAGCCTGGCCAACATGGTGAAACCCCATCTCTACTAAAAATATAAAAATTAGCTGGGCATGGTGGCAGGTGCCTGTCATCCTAACTACTCGGGAGGCTGAGGCAGGAGAATCGCTTGAATCCGGGAGGTGGAGGTTGCAGTGAGCCGAGATTGCGCCATTGCACCCCAGCCTGGGTGACAGAGTGAGAGTGAGACTTTGTCTCATAAAAAAAAAAAAAAAAAAAAAAAAATCTTTTCTTTATAAATCACCCAGTTTCAGTTATTCTGTTATAATCAACAGAGAACAGACCAAGACATAATGCATATCAATAAGTTTTCCACAATATTTATTGTGCTGTCTTACATTTTTAAATGGGATTTGTGCAATTTGATGAAAAGCAAATTGTCTTAGAGATAAATTATATATTAATCTTGTAATTTGAAAAACCATTGAATTAGCTGCTCTAGATATATGAAAAGGAAATACTTAATATTTTTCAATTAAATATCTACATTTTTGTGTTGTCTTTATTCATTGTCATCATCATCAGCTCTGAACTCTTGTTTACCCTTTGAAGAATAAGATGAAGAAACTGGGGAAGGTGCTTCCTGTGTTCAGCCTTTTTATAAAACAATTTCGTTACAATTGTATTTCTAAGCAACTTAAGTGGTTTTGTATTTTTCATTTAATCTGGTGGTCTTTATCTTTTAATAAGAGAATTCAGTTCGTTCACATTTAAAAACTGTAAATATGATTTTTCCTTCCTTCTTGTGTTTTTCTATTGTTTCTTTTGCTTTTATTTATTTTTTGAGACAGGGTCTCACTCTGTCGTCCAGGCTTGAATGCAGTGGCACCATCATGGCTCATTGCAGCCTCGACTTTCTGGGTTCAGGTGATCCTCTCACCTCAGTGTCCTGAGTGGCTGGGACTACAAGCACGTCCCACCATGCTGGCTAATTTTTTGTATATTTTTGTAGAGACAGGGTTTCGCCATGTTGCCCAGGCTGGTCTGGAACTCCTGGGCTCAAGCAATCTGCCCACCTCGGTCTCCCAAAGTGCTGATATTACAGGCATGAGCCACCACACCTCACCTTATTGTTAAGGTTTTTTCAAGATACTATTTGTAATGAAAACTGCTAGTGATCCCTTCATTGTCCATTCTCTCCTTTGTTCTCAGTATCAGAACCTAAGTTCCACTGAGAGTGGTAAAGCACTCAGTGGGAAATGTGGGTTTTCCAGTCCAACTGCAAACTCCTTGCAGAGGGTGACACAGACGAGAGAAGCTTTGTGCTTCAGTCTTCCTCCTTTTTCCTGCTTGGAATATGGAAGTAATAATGGCCATATAGCATTCATAAGATGACACTGAAGATGGAAACTGAATATTAATGATATCGGAACAAAAAAGATAAAAGGAAACTGGACATTGATGAAATCATGAGGCCACTGCATCAGTCTTAGGTAGTTCTACCTTCAGATATATTGTACATGAGGGAAGAGTAAACTTTTATGTTTAAGCCCCTGTTATTTCAGCTCTCTGTTACTAATTTCCCCGAAGTGATACCAAAATGGTAGAATATGTATTCCTCTTTTTTTCTTGGTTAATTTAGAAGTAATACTGTATTTTTCTATTTCATTGGTTGTTACATTCTCTTTCGCGGCATGCATAGTCAAACTACATTTCTTTGGTCTTTTATGAAATACCAGTTATTGTACATCCAGCCACATCACTACTTCTCCCACCTCAGAAAGTAGAGACTTCCAGAATATTTACTTCCCCACCTTCCATCTTTACTCTCAAGTTGACATCTTTTCATCACTTCCGTTTCCTTTCTCTGTATCCCCTGTATCAACTTCAAAGATTTAGGGAGATTAGCACTTCAATTCTAGACTGTTATTATGATTTCTCTTGCCGAGTACCTCTATTATTTCAAGCATCTTTATTTAGCATTTACATTACGAATTCCCAGTCACTATATCATTATCTACTCAGACTTAATTATATATACAACAGATGAATCATTGCTCACTATTTGTTCTCTTCATCTTCTCTGATTTTGAAGTCTGTGTTCTGATTTATTTTTCGATTGAATAGTCCTTTTAAAAGAGTTTTCCTTAGATGAGTTATGTGGGTAATAGAAGCCGTGGGAGTGCACGGCAACTTATTAAAGCTTATGTACATGACATGTGAGGTTGGGGCATGGAAAAATACCGAGGCACTGTGTGTATGTTCTTTGTGCATGAGAATGAAACTCCTTGACCTTGAAAACAGGACAGGGAGTGGAGTCCGTGGTGTGATAAGGAATACTGAAAACACCCTGCTGAGCATGCAGTTTGAGCGCTTTTACAAGGCCACAGGTGTCTCACGACCCCACCTCAAAAAAGCCATCTAGTGGATGTTTGTGGTTTAACAAGCCCTTTCAATAAATCCTTGGCGGACGGACGCTGGGGCGGACTCTCTCAGAAGAGCTGCCCCACGGCCCCACTCAGCTGGAATTGTCTGAGAAGTTGGCGTTCACTGCAAGCTATAAGCTCTGCAGAAGCTAAGAAATTTTGCACGCTATGACTATCTTTTCTTCATGCTATCTATTAAATGCTATCTTAATGATATTTCAGTCTCTTTTTTTTTTTCTCAGAAGTCTAGTGTTCCATGGTACTGTAGATTCTGAGGTCAGCTAAGAGTCCCATGCTAAGAGAATATTTGAAATGTGCTTAGCACAAGGAAATGGTAAATGCTTGAGGTGATGCATATTCTAATTTCCCTGAGTTTATCATTACACATTGTTTCTTTTTATTTTTGGTTTTATCACGATGTTATTTGTGACAAACACTGCTTGTGACGCCCTCCATTCTCTCTTTTGTTCTCAATATCAAAATCTAAACACGCATATACCAAAACATCATATGTACCCCCTAAATATGTACAATTATTATGTATCAGTAAATATTTAAACATAAGGGAAGAGTATGATAACAAATAAAGAAGACCCCCCACGATAGTTCTTTGGCCTTTATCTTATTGATTCCACGTCTCTGGAGAACCCTAATGCAACCTTCTAACACTTCATCATGTTTATACACGTTTTATTATGTATTAAGAGCACAGTAGTTTGCATTTTTCATTTCCTTTGAACCTATATACAAAGGTACGTGGCTAAGGAAAAGATATTATATCTCTAGATAACCTTAATCTATGTACAAATGTTTTTCCCCATTGTCTTTTTCCCATTATCCTCCAAATATATTCATATCCCATCGTCTTTTATTTTTTTATTATTATTATTTTTTTTTGAGACAGAGTCTCAACTGTCACCTGGGCTGGAGTGCAGGGGCACGTTCTTGGCTCACTGCAACCTCCGCCTCCTGGGTTCAAGTGATTCTTCTGCCTCAGTCTTCCGAGTAGCTGGGACTTCAGGCACCCGCCACCACGCTAATTTTTTGTATTTTTAGTAGAGACGGGGTTTCATCATGTTGGCCATGCTGGTCTTGAACTCCTGACCTCGTGATCTGCCCGCCTCGGCCTCCCGAAGTGCTGGGATTACAGGTGTGAGCCATCACGCCTGGTCCCCATCTTCTTTTCCCTCAATCTGACCTCCCCAAAACTTACCCTTGTTTCTCACTAGTGCTCCTTACTGCCAGATGCTCTGAAGCGCAGTCTCTATTCATTGCCTCCGCTTCCAGTCACACTCACTACTCAAACAAATTTAAAAATCTTCCACACTTATAACATACTGAAATTACTCTAAGGTTATCAATGACCTAATTTTAAAAACCCAATTTTGTAGCTATTTTCTCATTACAAAAGCAGTGGTTATTTAATGGGGGAAATGGCAAAATATATAGAAAAAGCACACACAAAAAAACAAATTTTAAAAGCCTCCTAAATACAGCACTCAGAGGTCATCACTGATGAGCATATAATATATGCTAATAATGTGTTAGCATATATTATATGCAAATATATTCACATGGAACGGCATATTTGTTTATATTTGGGAGAATTTTCAAACATATTTATAAGCAATGGATAATCAGAATAATAGTATACATATTATTTAAAATTTTTCTTTTTAACTTAGCATCTCAAGAATATTTCCATGTCAAAAAATACGTTTCCACAATGTAACTTTTATTAAACATCATATAAATACACCATGACTTATTTAACCAATTTCCTATTGTTTGACATTTTGTTTGTCTCCTTTTGAGAGCTATTATGAATTATGCAAATGTTATTGTATATAAATCAATGTGAACCTCTGTGATCATTTACTTAGATATATATCCACAGGTAGAATATCTACATCAAGGGAAACGCATGGCTTTTGAAATATGGGCCTAACTTGCCCTTTTGAAGTTCTGCAATTAATGTATTGAAATCCCCATTTCTTCACACTTTCATCAATCCTGAATATCACAGTTTTAAAGCTACCATTTTTATCTGAAAAATGATATTTTGCCTTTTCATCTGAAAAAATGAAAAATAATATGGCTCAATAGTTATTTGTTGAATGAATGATTATAAAAAAGATTGATCACTCATTCATATAATATACATAAGTCATTTAGATTTTCTTTTTTAAGAATTGTCAAGCCAGGCATGGTGGCTCATTCCTATAATCCCAGCATTTTGGGAGGCCAAGGCGGGCAGATCGCTTGAGGTCAGGAGTTGGAGACCAGACTGGTCAATATGGTGAAACCCCGTCCTTACCAAAAATATAAAAAATTAGCCAGGTGTGGTGGCACATGCCTATAATCCCAGCTACTCAGGAGGCTGAGGCAGGAGAATCGCTTGAACCTGGGAGGTGGAGGTTGCAGTCAGCCGAGATTGTGCCACTGCACTCCAGCCTGGGTGACACAGCGAGACTCCATCTCAAAAAAAAAAAAAAAGAAAAAAAAGAATTGTCAGTTTCTGTTCTTTACCATCTTATTTTCAATACAAATGTTAGTCTTTGAAAATTTGCTTTAAAGAATCATTTTATATATTATGACTATAAACTGGCATGTCATATTTTTCAGATATATTTTCCCAATTTCTCCTGACATTTCATTTTAGTTTTTGAACTATCAGAAACTTGAAAATACTTATTAAATGACTTGAAGTTTTCCTAGTAAATAAAAGGAGCATTTAAAAAATTACATAGGTTTTAACTAAAAAGTTATAAAATCTGAAACATGATATTGGGTTATGTGAACATAGTAAAGCAAATATTGGTTAACGTTTTGAACTTATACTTCAGTAATAATATTTACTCCTCCAAATAGCAGGGTATGTGCCTTTGATTGGTGTGGGGGTAAGTAAGGTTTTTGAACATTTAATCTTTAGAAACAAAGGGAAAGGTAGAACATTTTCGGGGGGTCACAACAAAGTCTCACTTTTTCATTTGGCCATGTAATCTTGAAGAAAGATAGAGTATACATGACCGAGAGGCAGAGAATGGAATGTTTTTCTATTTGCCTCTCCGTCGCATGCTGCACAGGTAGCAATTTTTTCTAAACACCATGTTTGGATTCTCTTAGCTCTGTTTGTAAGCACTGTTCTTTGCTCTGTTTGCTTGCTCACCCCTTAAAATTGCCAGTGCTTATTTGTAAGGGATTTCATTCATCTTCTCTACATCCGATTTTATCTGGTTTAACTGGGCAATAAAATTCACAAATGCACCTTCTTTTTTCAAACGTTTTTTGCTTTGTTTTGTTTTTTGTTTTTTTGTTTTTTTTTGAGACAGGGTCTCGCTCTGTCGCCCAGGCTGGAGTGCAGTGGCACGATCTCCACTCACCGCAACCTCTGCCTCCCGGGTTCAATCAATTTTCATGTCTCAACCTCCTGAGTAGCTGGGACTACAGGCGAGCGCCACCACACTCGGCTTATTTTTGTGTTTTTTGTAGAGACAGGGTTTCACCATGTTGGCCAGGCTGGTCTCAAACTCCTGACCTCAGGTGATCCACCCACCTCAGCCTCCCAAAGTGCTGGGATTACAGGTGTGAGCCACTACGCCCGGCTGAGACCAACTTTTTTTTGTTTTTTTTTTTGAGACTGAGTCTCGCTGTCTCCCAGGCTGGAGTGCAGCGGCGCCATCTCGGCTCACTGCAAGCTCCGCCCCCCGGGGTTCATGCCATTCTCCTGCCTCAGCCTCCTGAGTAGCTGGAACTACAGGCACCTGCCACCACGGCCGGCTAATTTTTTTTTTTTTTTTTTTGTAGAGACAGGGTTTCACCATGTTCGCCAGGATGGTCTCAATCTCCTGACCTCGTGATCCTCCTGCCTCGGCCTCCCAAAGTGCTGGGATTACAGGCTTAAGCCACCGCGCCCGGCCAGCTTTTTTTTTTTTTTAACTCCCATATGTCCTTATGAAATGCACCTTCTTTCTAAATTAATTATCTTTTTCCTCCAAACTGTTCCTTATAACTATAAATAATGTTATCTATTACAAATATTGATAGAGATTTATAGATGCTGAACAAACAAATCCCAAACTTTCAGAGGCTTAATGCAATACAAATTAATTTCTCACTAAAATAACAGTTCAGTGAAGGTGGGTATTTGTAGTCAGAAAATAGTGTTCCTTCTGGATTTGATTCAAGTGTGCCTAGTTGTTTTAATCAAGTGAAGTTATAAGAATATGATGAGTGTTCTCTAACACTGATCTTCTATCTTCTACCTGGAACCACAGGTATGCCACCACACCCAGCTATTTACAGGAAATCTTAAAAGATGTCACACATGCTGAAGTCAGTGGAGGTGTGGTGTGTGGCCATTCAATGGTGTTCAGGTGACTACACTAATGCCATAAAAGCTTTACACAGTCTGGGATAAGGGTGCTCAATACATCATAGTTTTGTTCTTTATAGAAGATATATTCTCAGGAAACAAAATCAACACTTGCTTACAATTAGAGGCTTACAGAAAAAAAGTAAACCAGCAGGCATGATAAGAGTTCTATGACTGCTCTCCAATTTATTAAATTTGTATTCCTCTAGGGAATTCAACCCTACCATTCCCAACACATCCAAGTATTTATTCTAAGTACAAATCTCCCGTGCTGCCTTAGAGGATTCGGAAAAGAAGATGGGGCAATAGTTTCTTCAATGCATTCTTGTTTACCATAATCATATGTATTATATATGACAAGCATTTTCTTATACCCTAGTGAAACAAATAATAGGACTCAGGGTCTGTGCAATTACATATAGTAAAAACAAGTATTTGCAAAACTGTTTTATAAGTGTAACACTAGAAATAAGGAAAAGAATACTGGTATAAAAAACCAGGAAGAGTACTTTTTTAAGAGGAGTCAGGAAATTTATACCAGAATTTATGCACTACACCTCTGACCTAGTCTCTAATAGAGGGAAGGGAGAAATGGTGCCAGGGGCATAGGAAATGACTATACCACTGTTAAGGAATTTAGATTTTCATCTGAACGAATGTGAAGTTATTTAAGAATAATCACAGGAGTTGTATAAACCAAATTTCTGTTTTAGAAAGACTGAGCGCAGTGGCTCATGCCTGTAATCTGAGCATTTGGGGGAGGCGAAGACGGGCAGATCACTTGAGGTCGGGAGTTCAAGACCAGCCTGGCCAACATGGTGAAACCCCATGTCCACTAAAAAAAATACAAAAATTAGCTGGGTGTGGTGGCGCACACCTGTAATCCCAGCTACTCAGGAGGCTGAGGCAGGAGAATTGCTTGAACCCGGAAGGCAGAAGTTGCAGTGAGCCGGGATCGTGGCACTGCACTTCCGCCTGGGCGACAGAGCAACACTCCATCTCAAAAAAAAAAAAAAAAAGGAAAACAGCTAGGAATGGCAGTATGCATCTATAGTCCCAGCTACTCAGGAGACTGAGGACGGAGGGTCACTTGAGCCCCGGAGTCCAAGTCTAGCCTGAACAACAAAGTGAGATCCCATTTCAAGAATAAGGAAAACAGAAAAATGAATTAATTTATAGAAAGAATGAAAGAAAAATAAAAGAGATCAGTAAAATAAAAACCTTAAGAAAACAAACAAAAAAAAAAAAAAAATAGGAGAACCAAAGCCAAAAGCAGACTTTTTGTAAACAATAATAAATTAGAAAAATGTCTAAGAGTAATTTTATTTTATTTTATATATTTATTTATTTATTTTTGAGATGGAGTCTCACGCTGTTGCCCAGGCTGCAATGCAATGGCGCCATCTCAGCTCACTGCAACCTCTGCCTCCCAGGTTCAAATTATCCTCGTGCCTCAGCCACCCATGCAGCTGGGATTACAGGTATGTGCCACCACACATGGCTAATTGGTTTTCTTTCTTTTTTTTTTTTTGTATTTTTAGTAGAGACAGAGTTTCACATGTTGGCCAGGCTGGTCTCAAACTCCTGACCTCAAGTGATCTGCTCACCCTGGCCTTCTAAAATGCTGGGATTACAGGCGTGACCACAGTGCCCAGCCTGCTAAGAATAATTTTAAACAGCACACATAAAGAAAGAATATAAAAACAATTTAAGAAAACGCTATGAGTAACTACAAGCTAAGTTTTTTACAATCAATAGCTAATTGCATTTACCAGTATTTTTCCTGACATCTGATTCACAGTTGTTTCTTGCATCCTGTTCCCTCTCCTGGACTCACTTGACATCTTTCTGAACCAGGGCCCTTTAGTATTTCTTTTAGCAAGAATGTGTGGGTTGCAAACTTTATCTTTGTATGTTTGAAAATGTCTATATTTGGTCTTTATTTTTTAATGTTAGTTTAGCTATTTATGAAATTCTAGATTGAGGGAAATTTTCTCTTAGCACTTTGGAACTATTTAATTATGGCAACTGTTATCGTAGCATGAAAAAGTAGCATGCTTTCCATCAGACTCTCAGTCTTTGAGGTGTTTTGCCTCTAGTACACTTAAAGATATGTGGGTTTGGCCAGGCGCGGTGGCTCACGCTTGTAATCCAGCACTTTGGGAGGCCGAGGCTGGTGGATCACGAGGTCAGGAGTGCAAAACCAGCCTGGCCAACATGGTGAAACTCCATCTCTACTAAAAATACAAAAAAATTAGCCAGGCATGGTGGCAGGTGCCTGTAATCCCAGCTACTTGGGAGGTGAGGCAGAGAATTGCTTGAACCCGGGAGGCAGGTTGCAGTGAGCCGAGATCACACCACTGCACTCCAGCCTGGGCAACAGAGTGAGACTCTATCTCAAAAAAAAAAAAAAAAAAAGATATGTGGGTTTCGATTTGGGAAAATTCGCGGCCACTTTCTTTTTAAATATTGCTTGTTTTTAATTTTCTTCATTTTTTACTTCTGGAACTCATAAAATACTAACATAACAAAATAATTATTAATAGTATAAACAGTATGCATAAGTATACTTATAGTTAATATTTTCTGAGTGCTTACTCTTTTTAAAGGGTGATTCACAAAAATTCTATGAAACAGGTGCTGTGTTTCCACCTGTTTTACGGATGAGAAAGCTAAGAACATTGGCTGATAAGTAAAAATAGCTAGCATCATACTGTCAGTAAACAATGGATTCAAGATTTAAATTATTATAATGTAGCTCCAGGGTCCGCACTATTAACCCCTTACCAAAGTACCTGGGTCAATCGCTCATGACCCAGCCACTTGGTTTTGCATCTTCTCTCTCTATGGCATTCTGGGTCGGGGCTCCATATACTCTTTAATTTTACTGTGTCTCTGATTACTTAAAGATTGTGTCCACATGACTGACTGGACTTCTCAGCTCCGTTCCAGGCTTAAATTGATAGCTTATATTTAATGCTCTTTGGGCTCTTGTGCACCTAGCAAAGGTTGGCATGGCCCTGGTCCTGGTATGGAGGCTGCCAGTCTTCTCTCTTCCCACTCTGAGCAGCAGCTTGATACAGGCCACACTTCCCAGCAGGGATTATACTTTGTTTTAAGCCATTGCTTCGGAGGTGTGAGGGCCCCCATTTAAGTTCCGTTCCTAGTTTCTCCCCAGATGGTGGGCATTAATGGATCATGTCACCTGCCCACCCACCACACCGCACCCTAAAATTTGAGTTTCTGGATCTTCAGTCTGTTTCTAGCAGGAAGGCTCATTCTCTCCTCACTCATTATTTATCCTAAAATGAGTTTATTCAAATTAATGTATTAATTTACCACCTAACTAAAGATGATGCTCGAATTTATGTTTCTTACCTAAACCTCTTTTGAAAGCATCAGACCCGTGTTTTCAATTACCAACATTTTCTGGCTATTTGGTTTTTAGCTCTTTGTAAATTGTTGTTTATCTTTACGTTTATTTTTTATTTTTTGTTAGGAGTCTTGGAGATTAGTGGGAATATGTGAACTCAACACACTCTCACAAGAAATTCTCCATTTAATCTTAGTGCTTCTTTCTTTTTTTTTTTTTTTTTTTGAGACGAGTCTCACTGTGTCACCCAGGCTGGAGTGCAGTGGCGCAGTCTCAGCTCACTGCAAGCTCCACCTCCCGGGTTCACACCATTCTGCCTCAGCCTCCCGAGTAGCTGAGACTGCCACCATGCCTGGCTAACTTTTTGTATTTTTAGTAGAGATGGGGTTTCACCGTGTTAGCCAGGATGGTCTCGATCTCCTGACCTCATGATCCACCTGCCTCGGCCTCCCAAAGTGCTAGGATTACAGGCGTGAGCCACCGCACCTGGCCTCTTTTTATAATTTAATCTTGATTTTTTTAATCAAAATAAAACATGTATTTAGTCTTAAAAATCCAATTGTTTTACAAAGTGTATAACGAATGACAAAAATGCTGCACCTATCCCTACACCCAGTTTCTGCTCTCCAGATATCAACCAGCTTTTTCTTCTGGTAATTATCACTATATTTCTAAATAACATGTAACAACTGCTACATCTAAACTTTTTAGTTTTGGGTTTCATCTATAAACTTCCTACCACGAAGGAGGAAAAATTATCTCTCTTACATATCCCTCCCTTCTACCTACTCATGAACTTTTCCAACCCCCATCCGTCAAGTCTATTTCAGTTTTTGGTTAAATCAGTATTCAAGTATTTATATTATTATAACTACATGAATATTATTCATAACTGAGCCATATATTTTATGATTAAATTTCTTGTAAAAATTTTTGTTTTCCCTGGAGTTAAAAATTATCGATCATGGTTGATCCTTTAATTCCCCCTACAGAAGTGAAAAATGTTTAATTTTTTTCTGAAGCCTTCTGATTCAGTCTGTATGGGTTGGTCTCTAGGTCTTTCAGAACTTGCATGTCTGAAAGAATTTTTATTCTCCTCTTACAATTGACTGATACTTTGAGTATAAAACATCATTTTTCCTTTGAATTTGAAAACATTTTTCTATTGTCTGCTAGTGTGTTAGTCCATATGCATCACTATAAAGCAATACTTGAGACTGCGTAATTTATAAAGAAAAGACGTTTCATTGCCTCATGGTTTCGCAGACTGTACAGGAAGCATAGTGTTGGTATCTGCTTCTGGTGAGGCCCTCAAGAAGCTTTCAATCATGGCAGAAGGCAAAGGGAAGCAAGCACATCACAGGGGGAGAGAGAGAGCAAGAGAGACAGGGGAAGTGCCACACCCTTTTAAACAACCAGATCTTACCTGAATTGATTACTGCAGGGACAGCACCAAACTATTCATGAGGGATCCACCCACACGACCCAAACATCTCCCACCAGGCCCCACCTCCAACATTGGGGATTACAGTTCAACATGAGATTTAGAGGGGATAAAGGTCTAAACCATATCAGCTAGTTTCCATCAAGCTATTGAGAAATTTAAAGACATTCTGATTTCTAATCCCATGTATTTGACTTTTTACGTCTAAAAGCTTTTAGAATTGTATCTTTCTAGCTGCGCTTTGAAATGCTTCATTGTTTGGTGTAGGTCTTCATTTGTTGTGCAGGGTACTTAGTAGGCCTGTTATTTCTTATTATTTATTTGATAATTTTCTCTGTTTCCTTTCTTCCCTCTTAATAGAAATCTATTATTTATTATTATATTTTATTCATTCTCTGCATTTTTTGCTGTACTATTGGAAGTTTCTTAAGCTTTATCTTTCATCCTAATGGAATTTTTTAATGGCTTTTTATTTTTTTGTGAGATGTTGTTTTGCTCTTTGAATATTGCTTTTTAAATAAACACATAGTTTTTCTTGTTTCAGGGTTGCAATATTATCTCATATCTTTGGGGCTGCTTAGATTTCTTTTTTCAATGCTTCATTGTTGCGGAAAGTCAGGGACCCTGAACGGAGGGACCGGCTGAAGCCATGGCAGAAGAACGTGGATTGTGAAGATTTCATGGACATTTATTAGTTCCCCAAATTAATACTTTTATAATTTCTTACGCCTGTCTTTACTGCAATCTCTAAACATAAATTGTGAAGATTTCATGGACACTTATCACTTCCCCAATCAATACCCTTGTGATTTCCTATGCCTGTCTTTACTTTAATCTCTTAATCCTGTCATCTCGTAAACTGAGGAGGATGTATGTCGCCTCAGGACCCTGTGATGATTGCATTAACTGCACAAATTTTAGAGCATGTGTGTTTGAACAATATGAAATCTGGGCACCTTGAAAAAAGAACAGGATAACAGCAATGTTCAGGGAACAAGAGAGATAACCTTAAACTCTGACTACTGGTGAGCCGGGAGGAACACAGCCATATTTCTCTTCTTTCAAAAGCAAATGGGAGAAATATCATCGCTGAATTCTTTTTCTCAGCAAGGAACATCCCTGAGAAAGAGAATGCACCCCTGAGGGTCGGCCTCTAAAATGGCCCCCTTGGGTGTGGCCGTCTTCTATGGTCAAAACTGTAGGGATGAAATAAGCCCCAGTCTCCCATAGCGCTCCCAGGCTTATTAGGATGAGGAAATTCCCACCTAATAAATTTTGGTCAGACTGGTTGCTCTCAAACCCTATCTCCTGATAAGATGATATCAATGACAATGGTACCCGAAACTTCATTAGCAATTTTAATTTCGCCCCAGTCCTGTGGTCCTGTGATCTCGCCCTGCCTCCATTTGCCTTGTGAGATTCTATTACCTTGTGAAGCACATGATCTCTGTGACCCACACCCTATTCGTACACTCCCTCCCCTTTTGAAAATCACTAATAAAAACTTGCTGGTTTCATGGCTCGGGGGGCATCACGGAACCTACCGATATGTGATGTCTCCCCCAGACACCCAGCTTTAAAATTTCTCTCTTTTGTACTCTGTCCCTTTATTTCTCAACCTGGCTGACGCTTGGGGAAAACAGAAAAGAACCTACGTGACTACAGGGGGCAGGTTCCCCGATACTTCATTATTCTTCTTACACTTTTAATTTTTTGGAGTACTTTTTCTGTATATTTTCTGTATATTTTATATATAGTTTTTTTCTGTGTATTTTATAATGGAGGCTTCCCTCTAATGCCAGATAATATTTAAGCTTCCCATTCATATTTAATAGTGCGGCACTGGAAAGCTGATTGCAAGCTTTGTACTTAAGTTCTACCTGTTGACCAATGACTTTCTCTGTAGGGTAACAGGTAGGGACTTATTTTTAAGTGAATCATTAGCTGCCAGTATCCTTAGGTTTTTTTTTTTTTTTTTTTGCTATGTCAGTTTTCCATGAGAATCCTCTGCCTGTACAATAATAAGTCTACATGTAAACAAACCCAAAGTTGTGGACTGGAGCTTGGGGTCTCATTTTTCAGTGTGTAGGTTTCTAGTCCCTACCCCTTTCAGTTCAGCCTCCTCACCTTTCTGCTGTCCTGAGTGTGAAGGATAGCAGATGTCTATCCTTCACATTGAATCCTCTGATTCAGTGTCTCCAGAGAATAAACCTCCCATCTCTGTTGAGGTAAGGGTGGGCCGCACAGGCTCTAACTGATTCTCAAACCAACTTTAAACCAGACCTTCTGTTTTCAGCCCTATCTGCACAACTACCTTCAGAGGCATCTTGCATTTTTAATTTCTGACACTTTTGGAGTTCCTCAATGCAAGTGGAAGTTGCTTTTTTTGGCTCTCCCCTGAACTTGTAGAGTACATAGTTTTCATCTTTATTCAGTCTTCTAAGTGAATTTTCTCATGTCCATATTCTCTCTAATTTTTCCCAATTTTCTTGCCATCTCTGGTCAGCTGTTATCTTCTCTTTTTTTTCTTTTACAGTTTGTATTTTTTTAATCTATGCATTATCATTTTAGAGAAATAAGGAGAAGCAAAGATAAGCATATACATTTAATCCACTGCACTTAACTAGGAGTTTGTATTTAATAATCCACTTTAATCAGATGTCTACCTAACATTTTATTGAATCTTTTCTGCCTCCTTGCTTTTCAGGTTTTTTTTTTTTCTATTCTTGTATCTACCATGTAGGCTTGCCTATTATCTTCATTTAGCATCCTCAGGCAAAGCTATTTTTTATCATTGCCCTTCCATTGCACTGTGTACAATGCTGCTCTTGCTGCCTTGAGTACATATTGATGTAGTACAAATATGTGGATGGATGGCTGTCTTCTGTTTCTCTGGGTGGGGAATTTTTCTACACCCAGGGTCCAACATGGGGCCCGCTACTGACTCATGTTCCTTAAACTTTATTGAATGAAAAAAAAATGCCTCAGAAAATTTAATGGGAAACTCAATGCAAAGACCTGAATGTCCATGGGCCAGTCAAGCTATATTCAGTATCAGGATTTAGAAGCTTCAGAGATCATCTATTTAAACTACTTTGTTTTACAAATGAGAAAACTAAAGCCTAAATGAGGAAAATAAAACTTATTATATGGTATATAGCAGGGACTTTAATTCACATTTTCTAAGATCCTCACCCACAGATATTTCTTCCACAATCTATTTCTTTAAGCAATGACATTTTGATAACCAGAAGTCAGCATATTAATGGCTCTATTGTAAACAATACATTTTGTTTTTGTTACTGAATCTAATTACGTTTGTGAAACATGATACAGATAGCTGTGTACAAAACAAACTGAGGTTAGGAAACTTCAGCAAACCAGATAAAAGGCTGATGTTGGAAACCATGTGAAATGATAAAGATCTGAACTAAGATGGCATATGGAGAAAAATATTGATGGGATATATCAAAAAGCAGAAGAGAGAGATGCATTAAATAATAGGCAGGATAAGGAGGATGTTTGTACCATTTTCAACAATAGGGTGAGTGACACAACAGGAGAACCGTCATCTCAGACAACCACTGCCATTTTAAGTTCCAGCTCCCTTTCTAGCCTCATGCATTTCAAGGAAATCACTTCCCTTCTAATAAGGAGCAGCCAGAAAGAGCAGACAGTAAAACAAAGATAAGACAGCTCCGGCACAGGAGGAAGTGGGGGGAAAGTCTCTGCCAAACTTCACCCTCATACAATGGGCCCCGGTAAAACAGTGGGCCTTAAAAAGCTCATTCCTTTCCCTTCAGGTGCACTAAGAGGCAAGCTAAAAGCAGACTTGGGGGGTATGCCTGCAGCTGCAGGAAGATGTATGGGAACAGTCATGAAACTCTCCCTCCCAGATAAGCACAATAAAGACACAGAAGCAGTCCAAGCCTCTGATAAACTCTCCCACCCTGAATCCTTAAAAACTCTTACTTAGTCTGTAAGAGAGCAGGCTCTGACCTAACTCAGCCAGAAGCCCCTCTCAGGTTTGTTTTCTCTAAAATAAACCTGTCCTTGGCTGTCGAGCCACCTTTCATGTTTCTTTCCTCTTTAATTCTTACAGAGAGGATTTTATATAATATTATTGCAAAATAATTGGCCTTTTTTCCATGGAACCACATATACTGATTCAGAATTCATTCTCTAACAAAAATAAATCAGTGGATAATAATGAAAGTTCAGCACTACACTTAGTTAAAATGTTTCTCTAGAAGAAATAGCCTTTTTGAAAAGTATAAGCCCTGATTCCTCAGTGTGGATTCTTTGCGATATCTCATTTTAACCTCTTAACTAGTAATCTGGTTTCAAATAAGATGTGCTACAGTCCCTACCTTGGGCTCATAAGACCACAGACTTTTCCATAAAAAGAGATGAAAGGGAGATATGTGGCCATCACCACTTACAGGTGTACAAAATGTTTAACTCTCTGCAAAGGTCAGTCTTCAGTAAAACGTTACCAGGTGGTGCACTTGTAGAAGTTCCTGATTCCTCTGCTTCCAGATTTGGGCAGGGACTTTAATTCACGTTTTCTAAGATACCCACAGATCTTTCTTCCACACTGTATTTCTTTATTTTAAGCAATGACATTTCAATAAGCAGAATTCAGCAAATTCATGGCCATATTGTAAACAATACATTTTGTTTTTGTTATTGAATCTAATTACATTTGTGAAAAGTGATACAGATATCTGTGTACAAAACAAACTGGGGTTAGGAGACTTTAGCAAACCAGACAAATGGCTGCTAGGCTCATAAAACGTTAGACTTTTCCATATCAAGGGATGAAAAGGAGATATGAGGCCATCACCACTTCCAGGTGTACAAAATGTTTAACTCTCTGCAAAGGTCAGTCTTTGGTAAAATGTTACCAGGTAATGAAAATTTTGGTGAGTATATCTCTTATATTCCCTTTTCTTCCACATATTCGAGGGCATGCTGAGAAATTCATCCTTTCTTGGTTTTCATTTTGTATCTTTTCTATTTTTCCTCCTACCTCCCAGGTTATTCCTCTTCAGTCTCTTCTACAAGATCCTTGTCCTCTGCCCTACTTTAATTTTATTTATTTTGTTTTGTTTTGTTTTGAGACAGAGTCTCTCTCTGTCGCCCAGGCTGGAGTTCAGTGGCATGATACTGACTCACTGCAACATCCACCTCTCTGGCTCAAGCAATTCTCCTGCCTCAGCCTGCCAAGTAGCTGGGACTACAAGGACCTACTACCATACCTGGCTAATTTTTTTGTATTTTTAATAGAGATGGGGTTTCACCATGTTTGCAAGGCTGGTCTTGAACTCCTAACCCCAGGTGATCTGCCCGCCTTGGCCTCCCAAAGTTCTAGGATTACAGGCTTGCCTTCCTTTTAGATGCCAGGGTGTCCTGATTGTCTTTCTCAGTGAGCTGTCTCTTTATTATATTGTGTCTCAACACATTCCCTGGGTAATCTCACACCTTTCCATGGCTCCACCTACTACTACCTCTTACCTATGGACTCCAAGTCTCTGTTGAGAATTCAGACCAATCTCCTTAGCTCCAAACCTGGATTTTCTACCAAATATTATCTCCTCTAAAATTTCCACGGTCACCTACTCCTCAACATGTTTAAAATTGAATAATTTTCTCACAGATTTAATTTTCCTTTTTTGTGGCCTGGGAGTTTTCCTATTCTTGTCCCGCCCTCTGTTGCCCTCTGTTGTCCACCCTGACATCTAGTCTCCATTTGAACGTTCTAAAAATCCATTCCTTCTTTTTCTGATCACTTTTTAGTTTAGTTCCTCACTGATTTACAGTTCTATTTTTATTTTAAATTTTTTTAGATTTGGAGTCTCATTCTGTCACCCAAGCTGGAATGCAATGGCATGATCATAGCTCACTGCAGCCTTGAACTCCTGGGCTCAAGCGATCACCCTGCCCTGGCCTCCAAAAGTGTGATTACAGGCATGAGCGACCATGCCCGGCACTGATTTCCAGGTTTAGTCATTAACCACAGATGTGGGGCTAACTATGTACCCAGCACTGTGCTAAGTACATTATCTGCTTTACTTAGTTTGATCCTCATGACATTCCTATGAAATAAACGTATTGCCCTCATTTATACTGAAGATGTTAATAAACTTGACAAAAGACATAATGCTAATAAATAAAGGAGCCTCAGTTTGAAATCAGCTTTCTTTCTTTCTTTAGTTAGTTAGTTCCTCTTCGTAACAGGAGAAAACTGGGTTTTCAAAAGAATCAACTGTTAAATTAGACAATTGTCTTTTTAAAATAGTTCATGTTTTGTGTGGAGCCAGCCATGAACTAATCTAGAACAGAGCTGCTCAATAAAAATGTAGTGCTGTTATGTGAGCCACACGTGTAATTTAAAACTTTCTAGTACCCATTTTAAAAAAGAAAAAAGAAATTGGTAAAATTAATTTTTCAAATATATTTTACTTGACTCAATATGTCCAAAATATCATTTCAACAGCAAACCAAAAAAAAAAAAAAATTGTTGAGGTCAATTGTTGGCTCACGCCTGTAATCCCAGCACTTTGGGAGCCCAAGGCGGGAGGATCACTTGAGGTCAGGAGTTCAAGACCAGCCTGGCCAACATGATAAAACCCCATCTCTGCTAAAAACACAAAAATTAGCCGAGTGTGGTGGCACATGCCTGTAATTCCAGCTACTCGGGAGGCTGAGGCACAAGAATTGCTTGAACCCCAGAGGCGGAGGTTGCAGTGAGCCAAGACTGCACTACTGCACTCCAGCCTGGGTGACAGAGTGAGATTGTCACAAAAACAAAAACAAAAATTTGAGGCATTATACATTCTTTTATTGCACTAAGCTTTTGAAATCTAGTGTGTATTTTACACATACATCTCAATCAGGAGACTTTTCAATTTACTGGATTTCATAAAGTTTACAGTTGAAAATGTTTCACATATCCAAGTTATTTCAAACATACTTTAGAATGTTTCAATAGTTGAATCAAGTACAAAAAAAATTTTTTTTCTTTACTATGGACATTTATATTGACAAAACTTGTTTATCATTTTAAAGAATTGATCTAACTTTGAAGTAAAAACATATAAGATTCAAAACTAGTTCCATCCAGGTTAAGTAAATTCACTAACTGTTGTGTTAAATTGGTATTATTAACATTGATTTCAAAGAAGTATTGCATAAATTGAAAATCAACTCGAAATTTACCAATATCAAAACAGGATTCTTCAAATTTTTCTTGCAGCTTTTATGGCCAATTTGCATAATGCTGTGATTGATTCCCAAGCTTTTTTTGATAAAAGCTTCTTTATATTTGTTTCGCAAGGTGTCAGAGCCCCGGCAATGGAAGGTGGTAGGCTCGGAGGTAGAAAGAAGAATTTACCCACAGCAGTATAGGTTTGAAAGGGAAAGTTTTATTAGATAGAAAGAACACTGCAGCAGAGTGCAGTGGGGCACTTCAGCAAGAGAGGACTGAGCACACCACGATGTATTTTTCCTTAGGGGCATTTATGGACCTTGAAGAGGGAGCTTAAGGGTAATTTGGGCCATATTACCCACCTAGGCCATAATAAATAATTACATTTGTAGACATTTTGGTGCCTTGATGTCAGCAAGGGTTGCACAACGAGTTTCGACATGTGTGCATTCCAGAGATGTATAGAAATTTTTGTTACTTATAAATTTTTGGGAAAGAAGTCAGGTACTCAATGCCAGCTTTAGATAATAGGGACATGTAATTACTTCTAAATTCCTCAGAGAAGGAGTTTTGCCTCTGGATGGTCTGCTTAATGGCCACCACCAGGTGGTCTTTGCTCTCCTCATTTTCCCCTAATAAATATCTTGGTCAAATCTTTGACCCTTTGTATACCCTCATGCTCCTGTCTACCTGCTGCCTATTAGGGTCTCCAGAAAGGGAAAACAGCACGGTGAAGGGGAGCATCAAATCTGTCTGGCTACTTCTGCATGAAGGAAATGAAGGGTCATGAAAAACTTGTCCATGGGCCAGGGTGGAAGGAATGGTGGGGGACCAGATTCCATCAAGAGGCCCCATGTAAATGGAAGTTGCTGTTGCAGGCTGGTATTGGGCTTGCAAGGTCATCTATAGGTGAAATCATTATAATCTAGAAGATATAAACTTAATGAGAGTGGTAAAAAGGCAGGGACCAAATAGTAAAAGAAGAATGATGAGGAATAAAGGTCCAAGGAATGGGAGAAGCCAAGTGATTTTTGGAAACCAACCAGTAAAGGTTTTGGCCCAGTTTTGATTACTTTGAGAAAGTATATGCTAGCTCACTTTGGCTATCACTTATTTTTGCATTTCATGTCCAATATAATCTCACGGGAAAACATCCACCCAGTCCAGTCTCCGTGATCCTTTGATGTCTTCTGACAGAGCAAGTGATGGCTCTCTAGTGAGTGACTTTGATAAAAGCCTGTCTAGTCAAACCCCAGAAGAAACTGAACATTGGTGGATGATGGATTTGGGTTCCAAATGGACTATGAATGTTGTGTCAGTCACCAACTGAAGAGAATGTATTCATGGACAAATAAAGACACTTGCGATTTTAATTGGGTACTCACTTGCTCAGAGTGGCAAGACAAATTCCAGGTAAGGGTTGAAATTTTAAGTGTTAAAAATATCAAGTTAACAACTCATTAAGCTTTCATATCATTTTATGCCCATTCAGCAGTAGTTCTTATTTCCACTTATAGTTTGAAGAATTAACTGCAGACAGCGTTCTTAACATTTGTATAATCTAGCTATATGGAAATACACTATTCTCAAGTGAATATTTAATATATTCATCAAGTTGGTCTTTCAGCTTGCTAAAATGAAACTCATTTCTTGCAGGTAAAATGGGCATTTAATAACATTTACCAGTAATTTGCTTACAACAATTAATTCAGTCAAAATCACCCAAGCAGTTGATACATATTATTATATACTACATCTTTTTCTAGAATTAAAAAATTAATGTGTAGTGCCAGCCCTAGATGTAAGTTACATATATCAACTCTATCCAATTTTGTCAGCCATAAAACTTACCTTTTTCACATACTTCTAACTCTAACAATGTGAGAAATGTAGATCATTGCAATTATACCCACAAGGCAGATGGCTACATGCAGAATGGATAGCAGAATCTAGCTACTTACGCTAGCCACATGGTAGACGTTTTTTCCTTTGTTTTTGCAAAATTGCAATATAAGTTGCATATCGTTAGAGTGAAAGATGTAAAGAACCCATAGAAGCAGTGATGAAGGACATTTATATTTTCAACTTACAAAAGACCTTAAAATTGCCTATGTGGAGCAGAACTGAGGAGGGCAAACATCGTAAAAATTTTGTTCTATTTGATTTGGCACATATACTCACAGTACTTTGTTAACTTCTTAAAAATATCTATTTGGAAAAACAGTTTATAAATATGAGAATAATGTAATGATTACCCAGAAGCCTACAAAATTTCCTTTTTATTGTTATCTGTAAACTGTTTGCAAGGTATTTTAATTTCCTGTTGGTCATTAATTATTGCTACAACTGCATAGTTAATGTAGTTAATATTTCAATATTATCTCTAATGTTGTCTCACAGGAAACATATAACTCAGTCTATCACCTTCAATCAATCCAGATCACTTGAGAAAGCCATTGTATTAGAAAAAATTACATATATTCAAAAACCAATGAGAGGCAGATCCCTGGTATATGGTGGATTTGGGCTTTTCAGAAAAATTTGCTTCAGTCACCAACCAAAGAAATTGTTGCCACGAATAAACAAATGAAGCTATAATTCTAGTTGGAGATTTATTTGAAAATGGTACCACATTAAATCCCAGGTACGAATCCAAGTTTTGAGTTCTAGAAGGATCATGGCATGCTTATCCTTTTTGTTTTCACCAACCCTGAGAGGTAGTCTACATTCCAAGATTAGAACATAATGAAGTTAGAAGGGCTGCATTCTATGAGGCAGGGAGAATTAGACATGGAATTACAGAGCTTTTCATTGCAATTTCCATGACTGTTATTTATGTGAACTTACACAAATCTAAGGATCACTCTGAGCCACAGTTTCTTTATCCTATTCTGAAATCTCTTTAAAGGACTTGAGTCCAAGCTCTCTCCCACACTGCAAGACCCCACTGCAATGGCTCCTATAGCTGCTGCCATGGCCTCCTCCAATCAAGTCAGCCTTACTATCTTAAAAAAAGTAAATAAGGGCAGCTAAACGCCATGGCAAATGTATACCTATGTAACAAACCTGCACGTTCTGCACATGTATCCCAGAACTTAAAGTAAAATTTAAAAAAAAGAAAAAATAAATAAATAATAACATCTCTTTAAAAATAACTGTCTTTCCATTTTTGTGCCATCACCAATTTAGTTACTGGGACTACACCAGCAGACACAATAGGTAAAAATCCCTGCTGTCATGGACATAACATTCAACTGGGAATAAACAGAAAAAAATCAGATATGTGTGTGTGTGTGTGTGTGTGTGTGTGTGCGCGTGCGTGCGCGCGCGCACGCGCATGTGCCAAATAGCTCTAAATACAGTACAGTCAGACAGGGTGGGGGAAGGGGTTGCAATTTTTTTTTTTTTTTGAGACAGAGTTTCACTCTTGTTGCCCAGCCTGGAGTGCAATGGCGCAATCTCGGCTCACTGCAACCTCTGCCCTCTGGGTTCAAGTAATTATCCTGCCGCAGCCTTCCGCGTAGCTGGGATTACAGGCATGCGCCACCATGCCCGGCTAACTTTGTATTTTTAGTAGAGACAGGGTTTCACCATGTTGGTCAGGCTGGTCTGGAACTCCTGACCTCAGGTGATCCACCTGTCTCAGCCTCCCAAAGTACTGGGATTACAGGTGTGAGCCACCGCACCTGGCAGGGGTTGCAATTTTTAATAGAGCGGTCAGAGAAGACTTTACTAAAGCAACATTGAGTAAAGCCTGAAGGAGGTGAGAAAATGAGCAATGAAGTATATGAGAGAGGAGTATTCAAGGTAGGAGAGTGGCAAGTGCAAAAGCTATGAAATGGGACCATTCTGTACTACTTAGTTCAGGCTGCCATCACAGAGCACCATCAACTGGGTGGCTTAAACAACATAAATTTATTTCTCATAGTTCTGAAAGCTTGGAAGTCCAAGATCAAGGTGCTGGCATGGTAGGTTTTATTCTGAGGCCTGGTCTCTTGGCTTATAGGTGGCTGTCATCTCATTGTGCTCACATAACCTTCTTAGTGCATGCATGAGCAGGAGAAAAAGAGAAAGCAAGCTCTCCGGTGTCTCCTCTTACAAAGGCCCTAATCCCATTATGAAAGTCCCACCCTTATGATCTCATCTAACCCTAATTACCTCCCAAAGGCCTCATCTTCACATATCATCACATTGGAGAAAGGGGCTTCAACATATTAATTTAGGGAGACACAAACATTCAGTTCATAACACGTCTAGTGTGTTGAAGAAATATCCAGAAGGCCAGTGAAGCTAAAGCAGACTTGGTGAAGGAAACAATGGTAGGACATGAGATCAGAGGGTCTGTTAGCTTGAAATATTGGGAACTACTGGAAAAGCATTACCCTTATTGTAAATGAGATGGGAGCCACTGAAGGGTTTTGAACTAAGAGGTAATATAATCTGAATTATGATTTAAAAGGGGCATTTTATCTGTTGTAAGGAGCATAACCTATAGGGTGCAAGAATGCAAGAGATGATGGTCATTTGAACCAGAGTGGTAGCAATAGCAATGGTGAGAAGCAGTTGGATTCTGGATGTATTTTGAAGGTAAAGCCAACCTATTGGAAATTAGAGAGGGATTAGATGTACAGTATAAAAGAGAAAGAAGAGTTAACTGTAGCTTGAGAAACTAGAGTTGTGAAGGGATGTACTTGTCATTATTGATGTGGGGAAGACTAGGGGAGGAGCAGGATTAAGAAGGGGGCAGAGAAAAACAGGAGTGTGGTTTTGGACATGTTAAACTGAAAATTTGTATTAGACATCCAGGTGGAAATGTCAGGTAGGCAGTTGTACATAAAATTCTTGAGGTTAGGGGAAAGGTCAAAGCTGGAAATATATATATATATATATCAGTGTCACCAGCATATAGATCGTATTTGAGGCTTTGAGCTCTACGAGATCATCAAGGAAGTGAGCATACCTAAAAAATAGAAGACGGCTAGGTATGAGCTGACAGGTGAAAGAAAAAAAAAGAAAAATAAATAAAAATAAATAAATAGATGATCCCTGAGCCACCTCAACATCTAGAGACCATAAATGTAAAGAAAACATTTATAAGAAAAAAATGTTTCAACTGTGAACTGAGTATCAGTATGGGTGTTAATACACGTCATTGGCCACATTAACAAGAGTAATTTTCAAGAAGTGGAGGGTCTGAAAGATTGGTCAGTGTGAGTTTAAAGAGAATGTGAGTTGAGAAAAGGAAGGCAATAAATATAGGCAGTGATTTAAAGAGTCCATAAAGAGAGGCATCTGGAGAGTATTTTGTTTATTTTGCTTAAAATAGGAAGCCATGGCAGCATGTCCGTATGCTGGTGGAATCATCAAGTAGAGAGAGAAGAATTGATGCTGCATTAGAGAGAGGGAGCAATTGCAGGAACAATGTGTTGAGTGGGAGAGATGGGATGCCATCCAGATGCAGATGGAGGCGTTGATCTTAAACAAGCAGGGATGGATCCATCACTGAAGCAAGAGGAAAGGAGAAGACAGAAGTATAGATGCACAAAGTAAGTAACTGGAATGTCTCAATAAAATGATTCTTGGACTGGGTGTAAAATCGTCTGAAAATTTTGCTAACAACACAGATGCTTAGGCTCACTTTAAACTTACTAACAAGAATTCATGGGGATAGAGAGAACATGTCCCAAAGAGGGAAGGCCCAGGGGAAAGAGAAAAATCTCAGTGTGACTGAAGCAGAGAATTTGAGAATAGTGATCAGAGATGCGTTAAAGCAGGTAAGATTTTTATAACTTGGATATGGGGGAAGAAAGAAAGTCTCTGGGTTGGCTAACACAGATGGCAGAGCTATATATCCAAGAAAAAAATTGCTGAAGAAATAGCAGAATAAGGGATGAAAGTTGTTAAATTATGGACATGTTGAGCTTAGGCATCTGTGTGACCTCCATGAGCTGCTCATTTAGTTTTTTTAACATTGTTTTTGTACTTGGAGGATTACAATTTTCATTATTGGGTGAACTAGTCTAATAACAAATGGGCTAAATATTCTTTATTAGAATTTACTATCTACCCCCTGACTGACACACACACACACACACACACACACACACACACACACACACACGACAGTCATTTAACAGATCTACTGATTCTCAGCCAATCTACTGACTGGCTGACCTAACTGACTCATTTCTTCTGACAAATTTTGTCTATAGACATCATCATTCTCTTTTCTACACATTTCTAGGGAATATTTTCTAAGGTACGTCATAAGCCACCTTTTCCATTTGTCATTCATTACACATTAAGCTTAATTTCTTCTTCAGCATATTTTGTTTAGCATATTTAGATATTAAACTTTTACACAATTCAAGATGGTAACATTATGAGACATTAAGGATTCTAAAAAACTTAAGTGCCTGTACCATAAGCAAATGAATATGATTAAAAGAATATGCTGGGGCTGGGTGTAATCCCAGCACTTTGGGAGGCCAAGGAGGGAGGATCACTTGAGGTCAGGAGTTTGAGACTAGCCTGGCCAACATGTGAAACCCCATCTCTACTGAAAATACAAAACTCGCTGGGTGTGGTGGTGCATGCCTGCAGTCCCAGCTACTCGGGAGGCTGAAGCAGGAGAATTGCTTGAAACCTGGAGGTGGAGTTTGCAGCGAGCAGAGGTCATGCTACTGCACTGCAGCCTGGGCAACAGAACAAGACTCCATCTGAAAAAAGAAAAAAAAAAAAGAATATTCTGGGACCCTAGAATAAATATATTAACCATGGTATAAACTTCTTTCTTCCTATGTATGCATCTACTGGTAGTGTGAGAGCAGAGCGTTTAATTGAATTATTATGGGAATATAGAAAATCAAGATAAAATATAATAAGTAACATGGTTTATATTGATTCTACTGAGTATCACATGCCTAATGAATCCTCTTTGATATGATTTGCAATGTCTTTCAAAATTATTTAAATAACTTCACACAAGATACTGTGCTGTGAAATCAAAGCTTCCATTACTTACATTAATTTGATACTGGAAACACAGAATCTTAGGTACCTAAGTCTGAAGTTGTCATATTTTTCTTTTTACCTTCTAGTTGTCACACTATTATTACAAAATTCACTTTGTATGTCAAAATAAATTTTGTGTTTTATATATAAAGAAGACTAAATAATATATTGACAAAATAAGAGTCTTGCTTGCATTATTTACAATTTAAGTACTCGTCCATTATTGTAGATAAGTCATACAGGTAAATATTCTTTGCCCACTTTCCTTGTTACCTCCTTTCTTCTCTTTAACCCTCATATCCATAGATGAGCTTTGCACTTAGCCAGTAATGCCACTCACAGCTAACCTCCTTTCCTCCATCCTCTCAAAACTGGAGAAGAGCTCTTGCAATCTCTGTTCTTTAACTGTTTATTTATCAGTTAATTGAATGCCATAGAAAAATTTCTTGGCCTCCCCACCTAAGCTATCTGCAAGCTAAGGATCTAGAAATGAAGTCATGGTGTAAAGGAAGAAAATTATAGCAAAATTCAATGGTAGACTTCCACTTCCACAAAAATAGAGTTGATGTACTTTTTCCTATTCTTCATGCTAAGTACACCAGAAACCTTGGATATTATATATAAAACAAACATAAGAAGACTCTGAGAGGTGGAGAGAAAAACACAGACAAATGAGGAGACTTAGAATGCAGTGAATAACATAGTCGTGAGTTTCCTAGGTCTTCCTCTGGCCTCATATATCCCAGATGTGGAACTGAAGAAAGTGGCAGTCTGGAAACACTACAGGTGCAGACAAAACAATTCCCAACAAAAGCCTGCTGTCTCTATCCAGAGGACTAGGAAAGGGCAGCTTAGTAAGAAAACTTTTAGATAAGAACTGCTGTATTCCAGCCAAATATCACGGAAAAAAATTAGCTCTACCACCACCACCAGCAGCAAAAGCTGAGTGGAATCCCAGATTTACATCCTTGCCAGGCTGTCAGAAGGTCCTCCAAAGGCCCCCACCCCGGGATGGTATCAGAGAGGGCCAAGTGGAGAGTCAGAAATTTTATCTTCACTGGGTGATAAGCACCTGCTCCCCCCGCCACAACACACACACACTCACCCAGGTTGTTAGTGGAGACTAGATGGGAACCTGAACTTTTACTCCCACATGACAGTAACTAGGCACCCCTACCACTACCCGCTGGGGTCGTGACAACAGAGTCCTACTAGAGAATCAGGACTTCCCCAACCACCCAGTCAGTAATATTAAAGCCGTGAAAACATACTCTCACCACAGCATCAGGGGAAGCCACCCAGGGTGCAGGTACTCCAATTCCTCCCAGCTAAGGAGTTATCAGTGAAGACCTCATGGGCAGCTAGAATTTCCACTCTTACACAGCAGGAATGAGGAGCATCTACACTGGATGCCAGCAGAGGCTGAGTGGGAGACCTAGATTTCTTCTACCTGGCAGCAATGAGACAGTGCTCCTCCCTTTCTCTGCCAGAGTGATGTTCAAGGACAAAAGAGAAGGTTAAAATAAAATCTACAGTCTCATTGCATAATACTCAAATGTCCAGATTTCAATAGAAAATCACAGTATTTCAAGGAACATACAGAACTCAAACTGAATGAAAAAGACAATCAATAGATGCCAACATTGAGGTATGGAGATGTTAGAATGATCTTTTTCAAGCAGCTGTCAAAAAAATATTTCAATGAGAAATTATAAACACATTTGAAACAAAAAATTAAAAGTCTCAGCAAAATAATAGAAGATACAAAAAGCTATACAGGGGATTTTAAGGGCAGCGAAATTATTCTGTATGATACTACAATGGTAGATACATATCATTACACATTTTTCAAAACCCATGGAATGTACATCAAGAATGAGCCCTAATGTAAACTATAGACATTTGTTGATAAAGATGTGTCGATGTAGATTCATCAATCGTAACAAATGTATGACTCTGGTGTGGAATGTTGATAGTAGGAGAGGCTGTGCATGTGTGGGAGCAAGAGATGTATGGGAATTCTCTGTATTTTCTGCTTAATTTTGCTGTGAACCCCAAACAACTCTAAAAAATAACATATATTTAAAAATAGAAAACTTATAACTAGAAAATCATTTTATTAAAAATTTTAAAAACTGTGTATAGGTATAATGCAAAATGTAGAAGACAAAAGAAAAAAACAGTAAACTTAAAAATAGAATAAAAATTACTCAATCTGAACAATAGAAAAAAATAGACCACAAAAAGTAAATAGAGCCTCAGGGACTCATGAGAATGTAACAGAACATCCAACATTTTTGTCATTTGAATCCTGAAAGGAGAAAGAGAGCTGAATATGTACTCAAAGAAATAATACCTGAAACTTTGCAAATTTGCCAAAATACATAAACCAACAGAATCAATAAGCTAAATGAACTCCAAAGAGGAAAACCCCACAAAAATTTACATCAAGACACATCAGAGTCAAACTTCTGAAGACTAAAGAGAAAGGAAAAGTCTTCAAAGCAATGAGAGGTAAACACCTTATATAGAGGAGAAAACAATTCCAAGAAGAGTGTATTTCTCATCAGAGACCATGAAAGCCAGAAAAATATGGCACAACAATTTTCTAGTGCTGAAGGAAAATAACTGACATCCCAGAATTTTATATACAGCAAAAATATCCTTTATGAATCAAGGTGAAATTGAGATATTCTCAAATCATAGAAAACGAATATAATTTTTCCCAGCAAACCCCTTTAAGATAATGGCTCAAGGACATTCTCTAACCAGAAAGGCGGGGGTGGAAAAGAGAAGCCCTGAAACATTACCAAGGAAGAAAGAATATGGTAAGCAAAAACGTAAGTAATTACAATGCACTTTTCTTTTCCTCTTGAGTTTCCATACTTCTATTTGATGGTTAAAACAAAAATTACAACACTATCTGATGTGGTTCTAAATTTTCACAGAGACAATTACTGGGAATGATAGTAAGAGGAAAACAAATAATTTTTTGAAAAGACAATTATAAATTGGGGAGGATAAAGGAATATAAACGGAAGTAACATTTCTGTACTTTGCTTGAATTGGTAAAATGATGACTCCAGTAGACCATAATAAGTTATGTATATATAACACCTACAGCAATAATTTTAAAAGCTATTACATAGGGATACACTACAAATACAGTAGATAAACCAAAACAGAATTCTACAAAACTTTCAAGTAACCCACAGGAAGGCAAAACATAAAAATAAAAAATAAAACACAAAAATGAAAAACAGAACAAACAGAAAACAAAATAAAACAAGAAGGCAAACTTAAGACTTAACATATTATTGATTACATTAAATGTAAATGGGCCAAATAAAATAATTAAAAGAAATCTTGGCAGAGTCGACTTAAAAACATGACCCAAATATATGATGTCTATAAGAAATTCATTTCAAATATAAAGATATAGGCAGGTAGAAAGTAAATGGATGCAAAAATTTACATCATGCAAACATTAATCAAAGACAAATGCTGCATGATCTCACTTATATGTGGAATCTAAAAAAGTCAAACTCATAAAAACAGAGAGCAGAATAGTGACTGATGGGAGATGCCCATCAAAGGGTATGAAATTTCAGTTAGACAGGAGGATTTACGTTCTGGAGATCTATTGTACAGCATGGTGACTATAAAATTTATAATATAATGTATACTTGAAAACTTCTAAGAGAGTAGATCTTAAATTATTCTCATCATAAAAAAAGATAAGCATATGAAATCATGGATATGTTAATTAGCTTGATTTAATTATTGCACAATGTATACATGCAGTAAAACATTATGTTTCATGCCATAAATATATACTATCAACCCATAAATGTATACTAACTATTAAGGTTTAATTTGTTATTATAGGCTTTTGTCAATTAAACCTTAATAAAGCTGAAAATATAAAATAAATTTTAAAAACTCTATCACATGATTTTCCAACCATTCTCCCTTCCAATTCTAATTTCCAGTGCCTTGATATGGGTTTACATAAATCCCTGTTCTTCCTTTAAAACATACTGTGGGCCAGGCATGGTGGCTCATGCCTGTAATGCCAGGACTCTGGGAGGCCAAGGTGGGCGGATCACGAGGTCAGGAGTTAAAGACCAGCCTGACCAACATGGTTAACCCGCCTCTACTAAAAATACAAAAATTAGCCAGGCGCAGTGGCTTGCACCTATAATTCCAGCTACTCAGGAGGCTGAGGCAGGAGAATCCTTGAACCTGGGAGGCGGAGGTTGCAGTGAGCCGAGATCACGCCATTGCACTCCAGCCTGGGCAACAGAGCAAGATGCCGTCTCAAAAAAAAAAAAAACACATATTGTGTATATTTATTTCTCTATTTAAGTAAATTACTATAATTTAATTTAAAGTGTCTGTCTTGGCTGGGCATGGTGGCTCACACCTGTAATCCCAGCACTTTGGGAGGCCGAGGTGGGTGGATCACGAGGCCAGCTGTTCAAGACCAGCCTGGCCAACATAGTGAAACCCCATCTCTACTAAAAATACAAAAAATTAGCTGGGCATGGTGGCAGTTGCCTGTAATCCCAGCTACTCAGGAGGCTGAGGCAGGAGAATCGCTTTAACCCTGGAGGCAGAGATTGCAGTGAGCCGAGATCACACCACTACACTCCAGCCTGGGCGACAGAACAAGACTCTGTCTCAAAAATAATAATAATAATAATAATAATAATAATAAAATAAAGTATCTGCCTTTTCCAGTAAAAACTCTACATCTAGTAAAAGTATTATTTGCCAATCACTAACATAGCAACCTAAACCCTACAGGCTTTTAACATACACTGTATTTGATAATTAATGAACAATCTTACTGGTTGATATAAGTGTATCTGTGTTCTTTCTCACATGCGTATTTATTGTAAATGCTTGAGAATAAGTAAGGCAACCAAATGTAAAATTATTTCAGCACAGTTTTGGAAACCATACAATAGCGAGCCATCAAGAATAGCATTCCTTAATACCACACACCATACATCCCCTTGACATATTTCCCACTTGTGTCATATGCTAAAGAATGAAAATGATAGAAGAGCATAATCTGGCTTAGAAATGATAGATTCTAGGATATTTGAAGGTATTAGTTTATATCTTCACACAAATATTCCAAGTTAATTAAATGTATTATATTAGTTTCTGTCCTCACATGAAAATTTCAATAAAGAGCCACCATGTTTCACTTAAAAAAAGAAGCATCAGTGACTGTATTAATATCAGACAAAGTGGACTTCAGAACATAAAAAAAAACCCCAGAGACAAAGAGGGACACTATGTAATGATAAAGGTCAATCAACCAAGGAGACATATCTATCCTAAATGTGTATGTACCAAATAGCAGAGTTGAAAAATATGTGCAGCAAAGACAAATAGAAATAAAATAAAAAATTGACAAATCCGCAGTTGTAATTGGAAATGTCAATACCTCTCCTTCAATAATTGATAGAACTAGACAGAAAATCGGCAAGGTGATAGATGAATTCAACACCATCAACCAACAGGATTTTATCAACGTTTATAGAACACTCCATCCAACAACAGCAGAAAACATATTCTTTGCAAGTGCTCAAGGAATATGTAATAAGATAGATCATATCCCAGGCCATAAAACAAACCTAAAAATGTTTTTTTTTTAATTTAAATCATACAGAATGTGTTCTCTAACCACTGAGGAATTAAACTAACAATCAATAACAGAAAGATAACAGGAAAACCTCCAAACACTTGGAGACCAAACAACACATTTTATATTGTTCTCTTTCAAAGAAAAAGTTTCAAGGGCAATAAAAATGCATTTAATTGAATGAACACACAACATGCCAAATTTGTAGGCTAAAACCAAAGCATTGCTAAAAAGGAACTTTATACCACTAAATTACATACATTAGAAAAGAGGAATCTCAAAGTATTAATCTAAGCTGTCTTCTCAGAAACACAGAAAAGAAACAGCAAAGTAAACCCAAAGCTAGCAGATGGAAGAAAATAATAAGGATGGGCTGGGAGCAGTGGCCCACACCTGTAATCTCAGTTGTTTGGGGGGCCAAGGTGGGAAGATCACTTGAGACCAGAAGATCAAGACCCGTCCAGGTAACATAGCAAGACCCTACCTCTACAAAAAAGTACAAAAAATTAGCTGGGAAGGGTGGTGCATGCCTGTAGTCCCAGCTACTTGGGAGGCTGAGGTGGGAGGACTGCTTGAGCCTAAGGGTTCAAGGTTGCAATGAGCCATGATTCTACCACTGTACTCCAGCCTGGGCAACAGAGCAAGACCCTGTCTCAAAAAATAACAATAAATAAATAAAATGTATAATTTTTAAAAAAGAAAATAATAAGGATAAGAGCAGAAATAAATGAAAACAGGCAATACAGAAAAATCAATGTGAAAATCATTCTTTGAAAAGGTCAATAAAATTGACAAACCTCTTGAAAAGTTGTTTTAAAAAAGAGAAAAGACACAAATTACCAACATCAAGAATAAAATAGGAGATAGTGCTTCAGACCCTACACACATTAAAAGCATAATAAGGAAACCAATCCATACACATAAATTTGGCAACTTAGATAAAATAGATGAATTTTTATTTTATTCTATTTTATCAAAGATAGAATTATCTTAGATATCAAAATTATCTTAGATAAAATAGAACACAAACTACCAGAACTCACCAAAATGAAATATATGCTGATAGACTGATAAGTATTAAGAAAATTGACTTCGAATTTTTTAAAACTCTCCAAGAAGAAATCTCTTCAGGCTTAGATGGTTTCATTCAAGAATTCTACCAAACATTAAAGAAGAATTAATGCCAACTCTACACAATCTCTTCCAGAAAACAGAAAGGGAGAAAATTTTTTCTCAATTAATTTTATAAATCTAGAATTATCTTGATATCCATACAAGACAAAAACAGCACAAGAAAGAGAGAAATAAAAAAGAAAGAATGAGGAAAAGATATTAACTACAGACCAATATTTCATGAACACAGATAAAAAATCTTTAATAAAATACTAGCAAGTAGAATTTAGCAATATATAAAAAGAATGATAAACAACTACCAAGTGGGGTTTATTTCAGGATACAAGGATGGTTCAATATTGAAAAATCAATTAATATCATTTATCACATCAACAGAAAATTACACAATATTATCAACTGATGCAGAAAAAGCATTTGTTAATATTCACAATTCATTAATGATAAAAATTCTCATAAAATGAGAAAGATGGGGGAAATTTTTTAACTTGACAAATATCATCTACAAAGAAACTACAGCAAACATGATATTTAATGGTGAAAGACTGAATCTTGTGGACCCCAAGATTGAAAATAATGTCTGCTCTCACCAGTTGACTATGTTAGTCAACATAGTCCTGGACATTACAGCCACTGAATAAGGGAAGAAGAAAAATGAAAGGCATATATCTCAGTGAAAACGATATTAAACTGTCCTTACTTACAGATTACATGATCGTTTGTGTAGAAAATTTTAAAGCATCTATGAAAAGGGTCTTGGAACTAATAAGGGAGTTCAGCATGGTCACTGACCCAAGATCAACATATAAAAATTAATTCTATTTCTGTATACCAGCAATAAATATATGAACATCAAAATTTAAAATACAATATCATTTATAATCACTCAAAAAATGAAATACTTAGGTATACATCTAAGAAAATATGTATATTATTTTAATGCTAAAAATTACAAAACAGTGATAAATAAAATCTAGAGACTGTCAGGCCTCTGAGCCCAAGCTAAGCCATCATATCACCTGTGACCTGCACATATACATCCAGATGACCTGAAGCAACTGAAGAACCACAAAAGAAGTGAAAATAGTCAGTTCCTGCCTTAACTGATGACACACCACCACTGTGATTTGTTCCTGCCCCACTCTAACTGATCAATGGACCTTGTGACATTCCTTCTCCTGGACAATGAATCTCAGGAGCTCCCCAGTGAGCACCTTGTGACCCCCACCCCTGCCCGCAAGAGAAAAACCCCCATTAACTGTAATTTTCCACTACCTACCCAAATCCTATAAAACTGCCCCACCCCTACCTCCCTTTGCTGACTCCTTTTTCACTCAGTCCACCTGCACCCAGGAGATTAAAAAGCTTTATTGCTCACACAAAGCCTGTTTGGTGGTCTCTTCACATGGACACACGTAACAGAAACAAATCAGCAAAATGGTGTAATAGGAAGTCACCCACTCATATCCTCTCAAAATTTGTCTGCATTCATCCACAGACAAGTCTCTGTGGTAGGAAGGTAGGAAGGTAGGAAGGTAGGAAGGTAGGAAGCTATGAATCCCTGGTGGAGCCCAAGAGCCAGAAAGACTGTTTTGAGAGTGCAGACCAACAGCCAGGTGGCAGACCTGCTGATCATGCCCCTGGGATTTAAATCTAGAAACAGCCTTGTTTCCCAAAAGGCTTAGGTACAGTCCTGTTTATCCTTGAACCAAAACAATTTGCCAAGGGGTCCAGGAGGAATCATGCACATTAGTACCTTGGCAGAAAGGCTCGTCTGCCCACTGACAACGGTCTTGGAAGTGAATTTGAAAGTTACCTTGTAACTGGGCTCCAGTCCTCCTCATCTGGGATCCCAGCTTATTACTGTTTGTGCAAGAACTCAAGAGAAAGACTCACCAATATCTCACAGTCTAGGGATTACACATGTCAGTCATGTAAGCCTACATGATGGGCACATCAGCCTCCATCCCAAAGCAGATCCTGAGGGGGCCCAATCAACTCCAGCTCCTCAGTCTGGGAACTGTCCCATTTGTGCAGGAAATGACTGTGGGATGTGCACCCACCTGACCTACTGGGGTGAACTCACTGGCCTTGATCTCACAGTGAATTCTGAGGGGAACTAGTCTCAACTTCAGCATCTCCTGAGAACTGCTGGGAGGCTTGCATATCTGGGCCACCAGCCCCCATCCCACAGCAGGTACAGAGGCGGCCCAGGCTCAGCTCCATCTTCTCCTGCTGCAGTTGGGGAACTGGCCTGGAAGCCTCGCCTGTCTGGGCCTATGGGACAGGCTTCCAGACTTGGGTCCCTGGCCAATATTCTCACTCAACTTGGGTACATGCCTTGGATCTTCACCAGGTCCATCTCTGCCAGAGTGCATGCCAACTATGGAACTTTTGTGAAACTGACAACAAATATGGGCTTAGGGCACCCTCTAGTGTCGGAACAGCTGCACTGGTCAGAGTCTTTCATAACAGTCGGCTTGGATAACTGAACAGGCCCACTGAAGAAGCATGGGAACATTTAAAGCCAGACTGTGAAGATTAAAATAAATACCTAATTTTTCGATGTGCAGACATCGAAGTGCAGCCACAATCACCAAGTACAATCGGAATTATGACCTCACTAAACAGGCAAAATAAGGGGCTAGTGACAAATCCCAAAGAGAAGATGTGTGACCTATTAGACAAGGAATTCAAAATAGCAGTGTAAGAAAAAAAATTGCATGGAACCACAAAAGACCCTGAATAGCCAAAGCAATCTTGAGCAAAGAAAAAGAAAGCTGGAGGCATCACAGTAGCTGACTTCAAAATATACTGCAAAACTATTGTAACCAAAACAGCATGGCACTGGAATAAAAAAAAAGAATCACAATGACCAGTGGAATAGAATAGAGAACATAGAAATAAATGCACATATTTACAGCCAACTAATTTTCAATAAAAGTGCCAAGAACACACAATGGGAAAAGGACAGTCTAATAAATGGTGCTTGAAAAACTGGATATATATGCAGAAGAATGAAACTAGATCCTTATCTCACCAACTGCAAAATCAGCTCAAAATAGATTAAAGACTTAAACGTAGCCAGGTGGTGGTGCACATCCATAGACCCAGTTACTCAGGAGGCTGAGGCAGGAGGATCACTTGAGCCCAAGAGTTCAAGGCCAGCCTGGGCAACACAGTGGACATAGTGAGTTCCTATCTCTTAAAAAAAAAAGACTTAAACAAAAGATCCAAAACTACAAGAATAAAATATAGGGTAAATGGGCTGGGTGCAGTGACTCATGCCTGTAATCCCAGCACTCTGGGAGGTCAAGGTGGGTGGATCACTTGAGGTCAGGAGTTTGAGACCAGCCTGGCCAACATGGTGAAACCCCACCTCTACTAAAAATACAAACATTAGTCAGGTGTGATGGTATGTGCTTGTAATCCCAGCTACTTGGGAGGCTGAGGCATGAGAATCACTTGAACCCAGGAGGCGGAGGTTGCAGTGAGCCAAGATCATGTCACTGCACTCCAGCATGGCAGACTCTGTCTCAAAACATCTATCTATCTATCTGTCTGTCTGTCTGTCTATCTATCTATCTATCTATCTATCTATCTATCTATCTCTGGGAAATGGTTCATGGCATTTGTCTGGAGCAAGAATTTTTTTGATAAGACCTCAAAAACACAGGCAACAAAAGCAAAAATAGGTGAATGCAATTACATCAAACTAAAAAGCTTCTGCACAGCAAAGGAAATAGACCAAAGAGAAAGCCTATAGAGTGGGAGAAAATACCTGCAAACTATGCATCTGACAAGGGGTTAATATCTGGATTATACAAAGAACTCAAACAGCCCTACAGCAACCCAAAAAATCCAAAACCCAACTTAAAAATGGGCAAGAAGCCTGAGTAGACATTTCTCCAAAGAAGACATACAGATGACCAAAGGGATATGGAAAATGCTCAGCATCACTAATCAGGGAAATGCAAATCAAAACCACAATGAGATATATTACCTCATCTCAGTTAAAATGGCTTTCATCAAAGAGATAAAAAAATAACAAATGCTGATGCTGATGAGGATGTGGAAAAAGGGGAACTTTAATACACTGTTGGTGGGAATGTAAATTAGTACCAGACATTAGGGAAAACAGTATGGAGGTTTTCTCAAAAAATTAAAAACAGAGCTACCATATGATCTAACAATACTACTACTGGGTATATATCAAAAAATTTAAAAATAGAATTAATATGTCAAGGAAGGGCTGGGCGCGGTGGCTCACACCTGTAATCCCAGCACTTTGGGAGGCCGAGGCGGGCGGATCACGAGGTCAGGAGATCGAGACCATCCTGGCTAAAACGGTGAAACCCTGTCTCTACTAAAAATACAAAAAATTAGCCGGGCGTAGTGGCGGGCGCCTGTAGTCCCAGCTACTTGGGAGGCTGAGGCAGGAGAATGGCGTGAACCCGGGAGGCGGAGCTTGCAGTGAGCCGAGATCCCGCCACTGCACTCCAGCCTGGGCGACAGAGCGAGACTCCGTCTCAAAAAAAAAAAAAAAAAAAAAAAAAAAATATATATATATATGTCAAGGAGATACCTGCACCCCATGTTTATTGCAGCACTATTCACAGTAGTCAAGATATGGAATCAACCATCAACCTAAGTGTACATCAACAGATAAATAGATTTTTTTTTTGAGATGAAATCTTGCTCTGTAGCCCAGGCTAGAGTGCAGTGGCGCAATCTTGGCTTACTGCAGTCTCCACCTCCTGGGTTCTAGCAATTCTTCTGTCTCAGCCTCCCAATTAGCTGGGACTACAGGCACCTATCACCATGCCTGGCTATTTTTTTTTTTTTTTTTTTTGTATTTTTAGTAGAGACAGGGTTTCACCATGTTGGCCAGACTGGTTTTGAACTTCTAACCTCAAGTGATCTGCCTGCCTTGGCCTCCCAAAGTGCTGGGATTACAGGTGTGAGCCACCACACCTAGCCTGATATATAGTTTTTTTAAAATGTGATATATATAGATATATATATGTATACACACATACACAATGGTATATTATTCAACCATAAAAAACAATGAAATCCTATCATTTGTGGCAACATAATGAACCTAGAGGACATTATGTTAAGTTAAATAAACCAGGTACAGTAAAACAAATTCTCACTCATATGTGGAATATAAAAGAGATGGAGTAGAGAGTAGAATAGTGGTTACCAGAGGCTGGATAGTGTAGAGGATAGGAAAGAATGGGGAGAAGTTGATCGATGGGTAAAAAGGTACAGTTAGACAGGAGGAATAAGTTCTGGTGTTCTATTGCATAGTAGGGTAAAAATAGTTAACAATAATGTATTGTACATTTCAAAATTGCTAGAAGAGAGAATTTTGAATGTTTTAACAACAATAAATGATAAATGTTTGAGGTGATATATATACTAATTACTAGATTTAATCATTTTAAATGTATACACATATCAAAGCATCACATGTACCCCATAACTATGCATAGTTACTATTTGTCAATTTAAAAAATTTTAAAGATCTAAATAAATGGAGAGACATACCATGTTCATGAATTGGGAGATGCACTATAGTAATGATGTCAATCGTCCCCAAATTGTATAGGTTTAATGTAATGTCAGTCAAAATGCCAGTAATATTTTAAAAGGCATAGGCAATATTATTCTAGAATTAATGTGGAATGCCAAAGGACCTAGATTAGCTAAAGCAGTTCTGAAATATTGCATATTTCTCACTTATAAGTGGGAGCTAAACATTGAGTACATACGGACATAAAGATGGGAATAAGAGACACTGAGTACTACTAGAGGGGGAGGATTGGAGGGGAAAGGGCTGGAAAACTGCCTATTGGGTACTATACTCATTACCTGCATGACAAGAGAGGTCATTTATACACCCAACCTCAGTGACATGCAATTTACCCATGTAACAAACCTGCTCATGTATGCCCTGAACCTGAAATAAAAGTTGAGAATAAATATAGAGAACAAAGCAAGAAAGCATACCTCTCTGTCTAATAGAAGTTTCAAAAGGAAAGAATAGAGAGTATGAGAATGAGGCAATATTTGAAGAGCTAGTAGTTGACAATATTCAGAAATGGTGAAAGAAACCAATCCTCATAGTCAAAATTATCAGTGAATCACAAGTAGAATAAATAAAAATAAATATCCACCTAGAAACTCTGTGGTAGAACTGCAGAACCCAAAAGACAAAAAGAAGTCTTTAAAAGCAGCTACAGAAAAAAGATAAAGTAATTATATAAGACAGATAACTTCTTAACAGGAATGATGGATGCCAGAGGACAGCAGTATATATCTTCAAAGTGCAGTCTCACCCTGAAGTTGTATAGCTATTGAGAATTCTTTAAACTTATAACAATTTTTTATTTTATTTTTAATTATTTTCTTTTACCCAACCAAACAAGCAGCATTGAGAAAAGATTCTTGATCTAACTGTTAAGATAAATGTAATAGGAACACCACTGAAATATCATTTCTCACCTATTAAATAACTAAAAGTCAAAAATTTTAACAGCAGATTCTGCATCAGAGGCTATGAAGTAGGCTGGGCACAGTGGTTCACACCTGTAATCCCAGCACTTTGGGAGGCTAAAGTGGAAGGATTGTTTGAGCCCAGGAGTTGAAGACCAGCCTGGGCAACATAGCAAGACCTCGTCTCTACAAATAATAATAATTTAAAAAATGGCTGGGTGTGGTGGCACATGCCCGTGGTCCCAGCTACTTGGGAAGCTGAGATGGAAGAATTGCTTGAGCTCAGGCAATTGAGGTTGTATGAGCAATGACTATACCACTGCACTCCACTCCAGACCCTGTCTCAAAAAAAAAAAAAAAAAAAAAGGCTGTGAAGAGCCAGGTATTGTCATACATTACAGATTGGAATGTCACTAGATATAAAAGGAGGTAAAACATGAGTATATATTCCTCTATGCATTAAAAAAAACTATAATGTTTAAAGTAAAAGTAATAAAAATTACCTACATCAGGTGAGTGGAACAGAGGAGAATGATTCAAATAAGATTATACAGATAATTTTTATATTCAATTGTTTTCTTATTATTTGTAAAAGTTGTATTATATTCTGAACACATTAGTCCTTTGACAATTAGGCATACTGCAATTATTTCTTAGTTGTATTTTCATTCACTTTATAGTGCATTTGGTGAATTTTTTTAGTTCTTAATTCTAATGTAAGAAGAAAAACTTAGCATTTCCTCTATGATTTGTACTGTTTTGTGTTTGTTTAAAAAATCATATCCTCCTTACACATTCAAGAACAGATGATTCCAACCTTATATAAACTCTTCTAATTAACAGAAAAAGAAATAATACTCATCAACTAATTGTATGAGGTTAGTACAACTTTGACACCAAAACCTGACAAAGGCAGTTCTTTCTCATATGAGAAAGGCAAATTGTGGACCAATATTACTCAAGATACAGATGCAAAAATCCAAATAAAATAATAGCAAGCCAAACCTAGCAATATATAAATAAGAAAATAAATATATTTTGACCAAGTTGCATTTGTTTCATGAATGCAACTATTCCATGAATAGTTCAACATGACAAAATAGGCTGATATAATTTTCTTATTAAAAAATAAAAAGTTGACGGGGTTCTGTGGCTCACGCCCATAATCCCAGCACTGTGGAAGGCCAAGAGCGGGAGGATCGCTTGAGGCCAGGAGTTCAAGACCAGCCTGGCCAACATGGCAAAACCCCGTTTCTACTAAAAATACAAAAATAATCTGGACATGGTGATGCACACCTGTAGTCCCAGCTACTCAGGAGGCTGAGGCACAAGAATTACTTGAACCTGGGAGGCAGAGGTTGCAGTGAGCCGAGATCATGCCACTGCACTCCAGCCTGAGCAACAGAGCAAGACTCTTTCTCAAAAAAAAAAGTTGAAAAAACATTTTGATAATCTCAATAGATGCAGAAAAATCAATATAAAGTTTAAATAATAAAGTTTTTATGATTAAAAACTTTAAAAACTAGGGATAGAAAAAAAATCTTTCTATCCTGATAAAAGAATCTAAAACTATAAAATAAAATAAAAGCTAAATGCCTACAGTAAATATCTTACTTGGTAGTGAAATGTTAAAAGCATTACCTTTAAAATCAGAAACATAACAAGATATAAACTGTTAGGTAAAACAGTAGATAAGACAAGAGGGAAAATAAGAATATAAAAACTGTCTTACCTCCCCACCTAGGCAAGCTAAGATGCAGAATCTCGCCGCTCCTATTTGAAACAGTATCATAAAGAGAGAAGAAAGGGAAAAGAATATTTAGCAGATGATATGTTTGCATATATAGAAAACTTCTTTTATCTAGAAATTACTAGAATGTAATGAAAGAGTTTAGCAAGGTTATCAGATACAAGATCAATATTTTGAAATTTAAGTTTCTACCCAGGAATTATTTTAAAAATATACAACATACGCTTTATAGTCAAACAAACATATATATACTAGTTATGAATACTTCTAATAAATAATATATAAAACAGTTGGGAAGATAATTATAAAACTTCATTTAGATACATTAAGAAAGACGTAAATAAAGGGGCAGACATACCATGTTCCTAAATAATAAGATTCAATATACTAAAGATGTCAGTTATCCCCAAATTGATCATGCCCATAGTTTTTAACCTTTACACTATCCTCTAAAGACACTAATGGAAGAAATCTTTTTTTTTACATATAAGGAGGATTATATTGCTGTACCTTAAAATATTTTGCACTCCACCTAAGTGTAATAATAGGAAGGAAAAATAAAAGAATACAAGTTCCATATTGCTATATAGAGAATATTAAAGTCTGAATAACATTTAAAAAATGGAAAATAATCAGCAGAAGGTCATAGTCATCAGGAGATTAATATTGAAAACTACAGTAAACAACTTTGTAATGCTTTATATTATTCAAATTACTGTCATATTCACCTTTTCTTTTTCATTCTTCAATGTCCTTTTAAAATCTGTTTATTCAATAAGTATTTATTGAATTTTGACTATACTGTTCTAAAAGACAGGGATACAGAAATGAACAAGATAGTTCAATTCCTTGAATTCAAAAAGTAAACTAATATCAAATGATAAATTTTTTTCTAAAAAATAAAGCAGGATAATGTAACAGGGAATGACTACGGGTAAGGGGTGCTCTTTAAACTGGGTGATCACAGAAAGTGTCTTTGCAAGGTGCCATTTGAGCTGAGCTGTGATAACAATAAGGACACCAGGGGGCAGAGCTTTCTGGGAACAGCTGATGTAAATGTCCTTTAGTGGGTGGAACTTGGAGAGCCAAGCAGAGAGTGATAGGAGATGAGACCTGCAATGTGAGCAAGATAGTTATCATGCAGAGGAGTGGTTCTCAAAGTGTGGTTCATATTCACCTTGGGTGAGGGTTCCCAAGACACTTAAAGGGATCAATGAGATCAGTATCATAAGAACACTAAAATGTTACTTGCCTTTCCTCTATATTGACATTCATGTTAATAGTGTAAAAGGAAAATATCTTGGGCCCCCAAAATCACTAAGGAAAACTCAAGCTGGAAACTGTTTAGGGCAAACCTGCCTCCCATTCTATTCAGTCACTCCTCTGCTCATTGAGATAGATGCATATCTGATTTGCCTTCTTTGGAAAGGCTAATCCGAACCTCAAAAGAATGCAACCATTTGTGTCTCACCTATCTGTGACCTGGAAGCTCCCTTCCCACTTTGAGTCTTCCTGCCTTTGCTTCAAGTTGTCCCACCTTTCCAGACCAAACCAATGTACTTCTTACATACATTGATTGATGTCTCATGTCTCCCTAAAATATACAAAACCAAGCTGTGCTCTGACCACCTTGGGGACATGTGGTCAGAACTTCCTGAGGCTGTGTCATGGGTACATCCTCAACCTTGGCAACATAAACTTTTTAAATTGAGACCTGTCTCAGATGTCTGGGTTCACATACAAAAGCAATAATGGTAAAACCACTGTAGCCTTGAGAGTAGGTGCCAGTTGGGCTTCCTGGGTCTAGTAGGGGCTCAGAAAGCTGTGAAACGTTTCACTCATTTCCTGCATCAGGACTTCCTTCAGTCCTGGATAAATAATATTGAAGATATATGCTTAAAATATGCCTAACACCAGGATTTGTGCATGTGTTTTCTTCCCCCAAGAAAGCTATAAACAGCGAAAATTGTGCTGTAAGTTTCCCTGTCTTCTCTCCTTTCCCTCTCCCCCAAAACTAAAGTAAAAGAAATGTTAACTGCCCGTTTTTCTGTGACCAGCAGACCTTATCTAGTAATACTCCCAATTCCAATTCCTTGTAAACATACTTTGTAAAGTCCTGTAATATCCTGTCTCCTTTGCCATGCCGCTGCAAGGTCATAAAGTAGATAAAACCTAAGTTGCAATTCCAGTTTTCCTCAAAATCTAAGACATGTCACAAAATAATTTACTGCCTTTGTTTCTCGCTCTGGTAGCATCTTCCCGCTGCACGTTATTTCCCGCCTGAAAGAGTTTAAAAGGCAATCACCCAAAATCAACAGTGGCTACCCCTTCAGGACCTCTTCCACGCTGCAGAAGCTTTATACTTTCTTTTTTCTTTCTTTTTTTTTTTTTTTTTTTTTGAGACGGCGTCTCGCTCTGTTGCCCAGGATGGAGTGCAGTTGCGTGATCTCGGCTCACTGCAAGCCCCGCCTCCCGGGTTCTTGCCATTCTCCTGCCTCAGCCTCCCAAGTAGCTGGGACTACAGGCGCCCGCCACCACGCCCGGCTAATTTTTTGTATTTTTAGTAGAGAGGGGGTTTCACCGTGTTAGCCAGGATAGTCTATCGATCTCCTGACCTCGTGATCCGCCCGCCTCGGCCTCCCAAAGTCCTGGGGATTACAGGCGTGAGCCACTGTGCCTGGCCAGAAGCTTTGTACTTTCACTCTGCTCAATAAAGCCTACCGCTTTTTCTCTCTCTCTCGGTCTGTGTCTCTATCACTGGCCGCAGTTAGCCGCCACCCCAATTCTTTGGCGTGGCTAGGCAAGAACCTTAGGCATTACAACCTCAGCACAAATCAAAGCAGTGACACCAAACTCCACTAGTGGTCATTATATTCTTCATCCACTACAACTTATTTGTATGATTGCTTGAGTCATAAGCTGAAATAGACACTGTTTTATGGAAATGATTTTTACTTGAAACGCAAATTATGGTTACTCAGACTTGGGTGTTTGACACATAATCTGAGTGGTAAGTTCCCACTAGGTGCTCAATGAATGGCAGATGTTAATTCACAGCATTTGAGCTTTCTCCCACTTTCATTTCAGTGGCCTTTTTATGATTCCCTAAATTCTTATTAACAGGAGTTATTAAGAAATTATTTTTAGGCAGCCAGAAAGGGTAAAAGTTCTTGGTGAAATTTTCTTTTAATAAAAAGCAGCCCCAAATAATTTCTTCCCTAACAGAAAGCACCCTGAAAAGTCAGGCATAGATATGCAAACTAGGAGATTTTATATGTAAATGCCGGCAGCTGTACCTGGAAGCCAGGTACATTCAATATGGCACCTCCCGCCCTCTTTTCCTGGCACACCATGTGTGCCAGTGCTTTGGCAGCCTCTAGGTAAAACCACATGTACGGGTATCATGGCAACCAGCCAGGTAGAAGCCACATTTGCATAATAAAAGTCTAGGGTGGGAGGGCCAGTCTTTTCGGGCTATGTAAATGGCACACCTGGTCAAATCAATCCCCTGGGCCCTATTAAAATCAATCACCGCCTCCTCAAGCCTCTGTACAAAATCGATTTCATTCTGCCACAAACCAGAGACCCTCTGTTTGGCAAGCTGCTTTCTCAGCATGAAGAAGCCTTTTCTCTCTCTCTACCTTTTTGGCTATTAAACTTTCCTCTCCTAAACCCACTCCTGATGTGTGTCTGTGTTGTGAATTCTTTCTCGACCGTGACAAAGAACCAGGGTATATTCCTCAGACAACGGAGCCATTTCATTATCTTAGAGCCCAATCATTTCTATTTTAAGTATCGATTTTTGTATGTTGTCTGCCTCACATGCAGACATTTATTAAGCAAACACAAGCAGAGGAGACACAGTCAGATGAAGTCAAACCCTCCGTTCTCTGGGAGGGTCTCAATAGTTTCATACTTTCCTGCGTCGAACTTTCCTGAAGGTCCATTTTAGATCCTCAGCCCTCTCCCCCTTCTCAGCAATCTTCTTCACCATGCTGTTTACATGTTTTGATTTGGGAATTATTTTTTCTTTGTCTGAGCATACCATTTCCAGGAACACTTCAACTTGAAGAGAGGGAATTTGAAATCTGCATCTCAACTACTGTCATCACTTCTTCCGTTTTTAGAATTAGGTTCGAAAACTTTGAGCTGTAAAACTATTATGTTATTGCTAACCATCCTTCTTTTAAGAGCAAATGCCCAACTATTTTTTTGTCTCCAATTTTTCTGTGGGGGTCATGTAAAAAGTCCACATGCCTTCTGCATGGCAGTTACACAGCAAGAAGACACAAGAAAATTGACACCAGAAACTTCATGATCCGACTTCCTCCATGTTCTCATGCTAAAAACCAAACCTCCTGTATCAGTTATCATTCTTGCTAACTTCATGTTTATGTTACAACCTGCTCTTGCAAATTTCTGAATTTTTTCCAAGAATTCTCACTAGCTTCCACATTCACATTTTCTATATAATTGTATTTTTTCCCCACAAATTTACAGCTTTGTATTTTGTTGACTCTTAGCTTCTGCTTCTCTTGCAAATGCCTTAATTTAAATACTGTCCCCTTTTATTTCACAAGGATGTTGTGAGCGCCAGCTGTAAATGGCCTTGGCCTCCATTTATTTTCCATCCTTACTCATCAGGATAGAGTGCTATCACTGTCTTGGTCTCTGAGAATTTTAAAAGCCTACATGATGTTTGAGAGCTAGGGGAAAAAGTATTGGGTCCAAAGTACACAAATATAACTGTCACTGGTGGAGGGTGTCCAGGTTCTTGGCATCTTGAACAAAGAATTGGACAAAATGCACAAACAAAGCAAGGAAGGAATGAAGGAATTTATAGAAAATGAAAGTACACTCCACAGTGTGGGAGCGGGCCTGAGCATAGGGGCTCAAAGACCTTGTTACAGAGTTTTTGTGAGTTTAAATACCCTCTACTTGGGGTACGCCCTATGTAAATGAAGAGGATGAAGTAAAGTTACAAAGTCATTTACTCAGTGTATGCCCTATGGAGAGGATATTTCTTGTCATAGCTGTAGTGTGAATCGGCCTTATGTTCCCTGCCTCCAGACCCTATTTTCTTGCCATATAACTACAAAATCAAAACTAATTTATTATTCCAACAGCAAAACTGTACAACTCCTTTCTATTTTTAACAGAAAAATAATGTGTGTGGAATGTGACTGCATTTAATACATTTGATTTAATGAGTCTTTGGGCAACTGGTTTTGCAATCTTGAAGGATTAAGAAGTCTTTTCTCCTCGTTGATCTTATCACTTTAAATCTGATTCTTTCCATCAGACATTTGTTCATCCTTTGAATAATTTTGCCAAGTTTGAAGCATTAGAGAAATTATTTTTTCCTAATCTCATGCATAACATGAAAAGGAGTATGTACCATTTTATATTTCTTAAATTCTGTTTTTGTTTCAGATATGTTCTGCTGGTTTGCTGTAAACATATTTCAGACAACAAATAGATATATCTAAATACATATAGCTCAAACTTCTGTTCCTGTGATAGATTCTAAAGATTTGTTTTAGAAATAATTTTTAAATCACTTCTAGCCTGTCATTTCTTGAATATCACTAGAATTTCTTCCCACTACCATTCTTTTCTAATATAATAAAATTGGCATATATTTTAAAATTCCAATTAAATTAGTTTCAATTAAATGTTTAATGTTAGGTAAGAAATATCTATAATGCACAAAAGCCTCAAAAAGAAAGGAGTAATCTATTCTGCCGTGTACAGAAAGGCATCGAAGAATAACAATAATTAACATTTGTTGAGCACCTACTCAGCTAGGTGCCAGGAACTTTATGATACCATTTTCTGATGTAATGAACCCAAATTTCCCCACACTGGGATCTGCAAAGTTTATAGCAAGAGTAGTAACTTATTTTCACTTGTTGTTGACCCTGTATTTCTAGAAGTTGCTGGGCATGTTTTGAACATTGTCCAATCTGCCTACGTATGCTGGGTACTGCCATGGACCCGCTGAGCATGAGCATTCATCAGGTGGTGCTCAGGCCTGATGAACAGGGCCCAGGCCAGGAACAACAGCCTCCCCTTTATGTGATGGAGCCTGGTAGAGGGGCCCTAAGCAATGATATCTCTGTCTTAATATTCAGTCAGTGCCCTATTGGGTTGTTCTTCCAGTTTTTTTTTTCCAGGCCTTTTTCTCCCTTAAACTAAGGTATGAATTTATGGGCTGAACTGCAGACAGATTTGAGTAATACGACAGCTAATCTGTACACGTCAATGCTTGCCTGTTTTTCTTAGAATGGATTACTTACTCTTGAACCACAGGTACTTGGATTTTGTTTGAGCAGATCCCATCAATCGCCTTGCACACTTACCCATGTCCAAAATCCAGCAAGGGTCACAGCTTAGGCCTAAGCCGGAAAATTGGTTAGGATAGAAAGTAAATTTATTTTAGAAATGAGAAAACTGAGGATCGGCAAATATAGGTAACCTGCCCAAAGTTCATATGCTTAGCAAAGAGCCAAAACAAGGTTCAAATCCAGCTCCAAGTTGTGTGTGTGTGTGTAAAACTGTCTCCTAGAATTCAAAGAAGCTCCTCTTTGTCTCAAGATATGCCATTCTGTTATTTAAATGCTTTCCCTACCTTTTTAACCACAAGGTAAGGATACGTCAATAAACAAAACTCACCATTTCTCTGTTTACACTTCAGAGAAATAATCACAGTCTTTCTTTCTTTTCTAAGCTATCATTTTAACCTACATAAGGAAGTAATCTTTCAGCTGCCTTAAAGGGCAAAAACAAGAGTGTTAGCTGACTTTTCTATGAATAATACAGAGTTTCTTTATAACTGTTGAAATATCAGCCCAACTAACCACGCTTTGGCATCCTAGGGAGTGAACTGTGTCTGTTCCTTATGTTGTGTTTGATTTAGGAGAAAACAGGAAGTGTTTCCAGCACACAGACAAGTTTATTATAGCTGAGACATATTGCTACTGTCTCCAAACACACTTTCCTTAGTATGTAAACACAACCACCTGGACAGAAGAGCCAATCCAAGAGGCAGAAGAAAATTTAACAGATTTTTCATCTATCCTTGACAAGTGTAACAATCACCTGCTCCAACCTTTCTGGAGCACAGAGAACACGGTATTTAAAAGGTTTGGAAAGGAGGGAGAGGAAGACACTGCTCAAGCATTGAATAGAGTTGGAATGGGGGAGGGGAGAATCCAGGACACTGGTACACCAAGGAAAAGAAACAAGCCTGTCAGTTTGAAGCATCCCAGACACTAGCACTAGGTTTAGATGCGAAACACTAGGAATGATTTTGTGTCATTGGGTTCACTCCACGTTGTTGTCTAGCTAAGACTACTTTGAATCTCTTTTCATACTTGTAGAAGATCCAATAACCCTCCCCAGCTGATATAGTTTGTGTCAGGCCTCTGAGCCCAAGCCAAGCCATCGCATCCCCTGTGACTTGCATGTATACCCCCAGATGGCCTGAAGTAACTGAAGAATCACAAAAGAAGTGAATATGCCTTGCCCCACCTTAACTGATGACATTCCACCACAAAAGAAGTGTAAATGGCCGGTCCTTGCCTTAACTGATGACATTACCTTGTGAAAGTCCTTTTCCTGGCTCATCCTGGCTCAAAAAGCACCCCCACTGAGCACCTTGCGACCCCCACTCCTGCCCACTGAGCACCTTGTGACCCCCACTCCTACCCGCCAGAGAACAAACCCCCTTTGACTGTAATTTTCCTTTACCTACCCAAATCCTATAAAACGGCCCCACCCTTATCTCCCTTTGCTGACTCTCTTTTCGGACTCAGCCTACCTGCACCCAGGTGAAATAAACAGCTTTATTGCTCACACAAAGCCTGTTTGGTGGTCTCTTCACACGGACGCGCATGAAATTTGGTGCCATGACTCGGATCGGGGGACCTCCCTTGGGAGATCAATCCCCTGTCCTCCTGCTCTTTGCTCTGTGAGAAACATCCGCCTACGACCTCAGGTCCTCAGACCGACCAGCCCAAGAAACATCTCACCAATTTCAAATCCGGTAAGCGGCCTCTTTTTACTCTCTTCTCCAACCTCCCTCACTATCCCTCAACCTCTTTCTCCTTTCAATCTTGGCGCCACACTTCAATCTCTCCCTTCTCTTAATTTCAATTCCTTTCATTTTCTGGTAGAGACAAAAGAGACATGTTTTATCCATGAACCCAAAACTCTGGCGCCGGTCACGGACTGGGAAGGCAGCCTTCCCTTGGTGTTTAATCATTGCAGGGACGGCCTCTCTGATCATTCAGCCACATTTCAAGGGTGTCAGACCATGCAGGGATGCCTGCCTTGGTCCTTCACCCTTAGCGGCAAGTCCCGCTTTTCTGGGGAAGGAGCAAGTACCTCAACCTCTTCTCTCCTTGTATCTACCCCTTCTCTGCTTTCCTGGGGCAGGGGCAAGTACCCCTCAACCCCTTCTTCACCCTTAGCGGCAAGTCCCGCTTTCCTAGGGGGCAAGAACCCCCCAATCACTTATTTCCGCACCCCAACCTCTTATCTCTGCGCTCCAATCCCTTATTTCCACACCCTGACCTCTTATCTCTGTGCCCCAATCCCTTATTTCCGTGTCCCAACCCCCTCTCTGCTTTTCTGGAGGGCAAGAACCCCACTCCCCTCCTCCGTGTCTCTATGCTCTCTTTTCTCAGGGTTTGCCTCCTTCACTATGGGCAACCTTCCACCTTCCATTCCTCCTTCTTCTCCCTTAGCCTGTGTTCTCAAAAGCTTAAAACCTCTTCAACTCACACCTGACCTAAAACCTAAATGCCTTATTTTCTTCTGCAATGCCGCTTGACCCCAATACAAACTCGACAGTAGTTCCAAATAGCCAGAAAATGGCACTTTGAATTTTTCCATCCTGCAAAATCTAAATAATTCTTGTCGTAAAATAGGCTAACGGTCTGAGGTGCCTGACGTCCAGGCATTCTTTTACACATCAGTCCCTTCCTAGTCTCTGTGACCAGTGCAACTCGTCCCAAATCTTCCTTCTTTCCCTCCCGCCTGTCCCCTCAGTACCAACCCCAAGCGTCGCTGAGTCTTTCTAAACTTCCTTTTCTACAGACCCATCTGACCTCTCCCTTCCTCCCCAGGCTGCTCCTTGCCAGGCTGAGCTAGGTCCCAATTCTTCCTCAGCCTCTGCTCCTCCACCCTATAATCCTTTTATCACCTCCCCTCCTCACACCCGGTCCGGCTTACAGTTTCGTTCCGTGACTAGCCCTCCCCCTCCTGCCCAGCAATTTACTCTGAAAAAGGTGGCTGGAGCTAAAGACATAGTCAAGGTTAATGCTCCTTTTTCTTTATCCCAAATCAGAAGTGTTTAGGCTCTTTTTCATCAAATATAAAAATCCAGCCCAGTTCATGACTCGTTCGGCAGCAACCCTGAGACACTTTACAGCCCTAGACCCTAAAAGGTCAAAAGGCCGTCTTATTCTCAATATACATTTTATTACCCAATCTGCTCCCGACATTAAATAAAACTCCAAAAATTAAATTCCAGCCCTCAAACCCCACAACAGGATTTAATTAACTTCGCCTTCAAGGTGTACCATAATAGAAAAAAGTTGCAATTCCTTGCCTCCACTGTGAGACAAACCCCAGCCACATCTCCAGCACACAAGAACTCCAAACGCCTGAAACGCAGCCAGGCGTTCCTCCAGAACCTCCTCCCACAGGAGCTTGCTACATGTGCCGGAAATCTGGCCACTGGGCCAAGGAATGCCCGCAGCCTGGGATTCCTCCTAAGCCGCGTCCCATCTGTGTGGGACCCCACTGAAAATCGGACTGTTCAACTCACCTGGCAGCCACTCCCAGAGCCCCTGGAACTCCGGCCCAAGGCTCTCTGACTGACTCCTTCCCAGATCTTCTCGGCTTAGCGGCTGAAGACTGACACTGCCCGATCGCCTCGGAAGCCGCCTAGACCATCACGGACACCGAGCTTCGGGTAACTCTCACAGTGGAAGGTAAGCCCGTCCCCTTCTTAATCAATACGGAGGCTACTCACTCCACATTACCTTCTTTTCAAGGGCCTGTTTCCCTTGCCTCCATAACTGTTGTGGGTATTGACGGCCAGGCTTCTAAACCTCTTAAAACTCCCCAACTCTGGTGCCAACTTAGACAATACTCTTTTAAGCACTCCTTTTTAGTTATCCCCACCTGCCCAGTTCCCTTATTAGACTGAGACACGTTAACTAAATTATCTGCTTCCCTGACTATTCCTGGACTACAGCTATATCTCATTGCCGCCCTTCTTCCCAATCCAAAGCCTCCTTTGCGTCCTCCTCTTGTATTCCCCCACCTTAACCCACAAGTATAAGATACCTCTACTCCCTCCTTGGCGACCGATCATGCACCCCTTACCATCTCATTAAAACCTAATCACCCTTACCCCACTCAACGCCAATATCCCATCCCGCAGCACTCTTTAAAAAGATTAAAGCCTGTTATTACTCGCCTGCTACAGCACGGCCTTTTAAAGCCTATAAACTCTCCTTACAATTCCCCCATTTTACCTGTCCTAAAACCAGACAAGCCTTGCAAGTTAGTTCAGGATCTGCGCCTTAGCAACCAAATTGTTTTGCCTATACACCCCGTGGTGCCAAACCCATATACTCTCCTATCCTCAATACCTGCCTCCACAACCCATTATTCTGTTCTGGATCTCAAACATGCTTTCTTTACTATTCCTTTGCACCCTTAATCCCAGCCTCTCTTCGCTTTCACTTGGACTGACCCTGACACCCATCAAGCTCAGCAAATTACCTGGGCTGTCCTGCCGCAAAGCTTCACAGACAGCCCCCATTACTTCAATCAAGCCCAAATTTCTTCCTCATCTGTTACCTATCTCGGCATAATTCTCAAAAACACACGTGCTCTCCCTGCCAATCGTGTCCGACTGATCTCTCAAACCCAAGCACCTTCTACAAAACAACTCCTTTCCTTCCTAGGCATGGTTAGCGCAGTCAGAATTTTTACACAAGAGCCAGGACCACACCCTGTAGCCTTTCTGTCCAAACAACTTGACCTTACTGTTTTAGCCTAGCCCTCATGTCTGCGTGCAGTGGCTGCCGCTGCTTTAATACTTTTAGAGGCCCTCAAAATAAGTAGAGGCCTTTCCTACAGGGTCGGAGAAGGCCACCGCAGTCATTTCTTCTGTTCTGTCAGACATAATTCCTCAGTTTAGCCTTCCCACCTCAATACAGTCTGATAACAGACGAGCCTTTATTAGTCATATCAGCCAAGCAGTTTTTCAGGTTCTTAGTATTCAGTGAAACCTTTATATCCCTTACGGTCCTCCGTCTTCAAGAAAAGTAGAATGGACTAAAGGTCTTTTAAAAACACACCTCACCAAGCTCAGCCACCAATTTAAAAAGGACTGGACAATACTTTTTACCACTTTCCCTTCTCAGAATTCTGGCCTGTCCTCAGAATGCTACAAGGTACAGCCCATTTAAGGTCCTGTATAGACGCTCCTTTTTATTAGGCCCCAGTCTCATTCCAGACACCAGACCAACTTAGACTGTGCCTCAAAAAAAAAAAAAAAAAACTTGTCATCCCTACTATTTTCTGTCTAGTCATACTCCTATTCACCCTTCTCAACTACTCATACATGCCCTGCTCTTGTTTACACTGCCAGTTTACACTGTTTTTCCAAGCCATCACAGCTGATATCTCCTGGTGCTATCCCCAAACTGCCACTCTTAACTCTTGAAGTAAATAAATAATCTTTGCTGGCAGGACTATGCCAAATCTCCTTAAGCACTCTCTAATCAGACGTCGAGTCGTCCCAATTCGTAGACCTTTTATACCTGTTTTTCTCCTTCTGTTATTCCATTTAGTTTTTCAATTCATACAAAACCATATCCAGGCCATCACCAATCATTCTATACGACAAATGTTTCTTCTAACATCCCCACAATATCACCCCTTACCACAAGACCTCCCTTCAGCTTAATCTCTCCCACTCTAGGTTCCCACGCCGCCCCTAAGCCCGCTTGAAGCAGCCCTGAGAAACATCGCCCACTCTCTCTCCATAGCACCCCCCAAAAAATTTTCACCGCCCCAACACTTCAACACTATTTTGTTTTATTTTTCTTATTAATATAAGAAGGCAGGAATGTCAGGCCTCTGAGCCCAAGCCAAGCCATCGCATCCCCTGTGACTTGCACGTATACGCCCAGATGGCCTGAAGTAACTGAAGCATCACAAAAGAAGTGAATATGCCTTGCCCCACCTTAACTGATGACATTCCACCACAAAAGAAGTGTAAATGGCCGGTCCTTGCCTTAACTGATGACATTACCTTGTGAAAGTCCTTTTCCTGGCTCATCCTGGCTCAAAAAGCACCCCCACTGAGCACCTTGCGACCCCCACTCCTGCCCACTGAGCACCTTGCGACCCCCACTCCTACCCGCCAGAGAACAAACCCCCTTTGACTGTAATTTTCCTTTACCTACCCAAATCCTATAAAACGGCCCCACCCTTATCTCCCTTCGCTGACTCTCTTTTCGGACTCAGCCTACCTGCACCCAGGTGAAATAAACAGCTTTATTGCTCACACAAAGCCTGTTTGGTGGTCTCTTCACACGGACATGCATGAAAATTTGAATGGTTGTCCCCTCCAAATATCACGTTGAAATGTGACCCCTCATGTTGGACGTGGGCCTAGTGAGAGGTGTTTGGGCCCTGGGGGAAGATCCTTCATGAATGGTCTCCCTATGGTAATGGGTGAGTTCTTGCTCTGTTAGTTCATGGAGGATCTGCTTGTTTAAAGGAGCCTGGCACCTCATCCTCTCTCTCTTGCTCCCTATCTTGCCATGTGACACACCTGCTTCCCCTTCACCTTCTGCCATGAGTAAAAGCTTCCTGAGGCCTCCCCAGAAGCTGAGCAGATGCTGATGCCATGCTCGTACAGCCTGCAGAACTATGAACCAAATGAACCTCTTTTCCTTATAAATTACCCAGTCTCAGGTATTCCTTTATACCTGCAATGCAAAATGGACTAATACACGAATGTTTGATCAAGTCCCTGAAGTCCTGAGTTACCCTGATCACCTTTCTGACTTTAAACTCCTGCTTCTGTGAATCATCTTGACATCCTGTTCCTGTTCTTATCCCATCAGTCTAGACATGGATCTGATCACCTTTCCATTGTTCCCACATATTAGGCAAGCTGCATATGGCACAGACTTGAAGGTTTGGGAAAAGTTAACTATATTGTCATGTTTTATCAGTTTTAAATTCCCACTAGAATACAATGATCATGAAGGCAGAAATTTGTTTGTCTGTGCTATAACTTTCATGCTGAGAACAATTAGAAGGCTCTCAATAAATACCTGCTGTATGAATGAAGTAGGCATTATTCCTCATGGAAAATAAAAGCAACTTCATATGTATTTTAGACATCCTTGGTTTTTGCTTTTTTGTTTTTTGTTGTTGTTATTTGAGATGGAGTCTCCCTCTGTCGCCCAGGCTGGAGTGCGGTGGCCCTATCTCGGCTCACTGTAAGCTCCACCTCATGTGTTCACGCCATTCTCCTGCCTCAGCCTCCCGAATAGCTGGGACTACAGGCGCCCGCCATCACGCCCGGCTAATTTTTTGTATTTTTAGTAGAGACAGGGTTTCACCGTGTTAGCCAGGATGGTCTGGATCTCCTGACCTCGTGATCCACGCGTCTCCGCCTCCCAAAGTGCTGGGATTACAGGCGTGAGCCACCACACCCGGCTGACATCCTTGTTATTAAAAGTCTTCAACCCACTTCCCATTATGTCTTTTTCACTGGCCATTTATTTCTTTGTAGCTCTTCACCTCTTGCCATTTTGTTGTTTTATCTCTTCCTTTTCCTCCATCTTTCCCCTTAACCTCCTTCTTCTTGGATTGCTCATATTTATTTATGCCTAACTCAGAAAGTTTGCATATCTAAATCCATTTAGTCTCAAACTCCTTCCCTCAAGTGAACCTCCTGCCTTGGCCTTTGAAAGTGCTGGTATTATAGGCATGAGCCACCGTGCCTATCCAAATCCATGTGAGACCTCTGCAAAATCATATATCCTTTTTGCTGCCTGACTTATCTGACATTATTTTACCCTATGTGAAGAGGACCAGTAAGTATTCCTTTCACAGGAAAAAAAAAATCAGTTAAAACAGGAATCATTAAAAATTATAAATTTATTCCTGAAAAGTTTTGTCTCAAAACATATTCATGTGCATTTATTCATCTATTGAAGTCAGGCCAAGGAATTTTCTTTGAGCACGGATGCCCTGATTGGATCTCTGAATCAGCTTTTGTAAGTAAACCACACCCATAGTGCATCATCTATTTCAGTATTTGATGTTTTTTGTTGTTGTTTTTGTTTTTGTTTTTAAGACGGAGTTTCGCTCTTGTTGCCCATGCTGGAGTGCAATGGTGCGATCTCGGCTCACTGCAACCTCTGCCTCCTGGGTTCAAGCGATTCTCCTGCCTCAGCCTCCCGAGTAGCTGGAATTACAGACAACCGCCACCACGTCCAGCTAATTTTTTGTATATTTTTTAGTAGAGATGGGGTTTCACCATGTTGGCCAGCTGGTCTCGAACTCCTAACCTCAGGTGATCCACCCGCCTCGGCCGCCCAAATGCTGGGATTACAGGTGTGAGCCACCACCCCTGGCCTCAGTGTTTGATGTTTTAAAACAATTGACAAGCACTCTAAGGACAGAATCTTTTTAGATTTTATATAGTATTCTCCAGCGTTTTACACAGTCTTGCCACGGTAATTTTCTTAGTAATTTGACTTTGTTTAAGATTTCCAACAATTTACGTATGCATTTTATTAGATCACCATTTAATTACATTCATTAAGGACATGATGAAATAATAAATAAAATTGTCAAATTTGGGTGCAAACAGAAGGGAGCTTTAGTAAGCATACGACTTAACTGGACTAAGCAAAAGTGCACATGTCCACTGACTGCAAGCATACAGTGCCTATTTCTGTTAAACTGGTGAAGTCTATTAAATCATCTGTTAAGAAATACTTTACTGCAGTCATTGTGCTTTAATACATTTCGATCAGAATTTCCACCACTGTGTTTAGCACAGAACTTTCATGTTCTAGTTCAATTAGTTCCTTGGTAAAATTCCTTTTGAAAAATCATCTTTGTTTCTCCAGTGAGATAAGGAGACAAGGGAAGACTAGGATTGCAATAGACTGAGGAGATGCATGTGTTCGCACAGGCCAAAGGGAGGGAAGGGCACTGTAGTGGAAAGGCTACAAAAGAGACCCAAACTGTTGCTAGAAACTAAAGAGTGGCAAACACAGGTGACTTGCTTAGCTGCCCCTTCCCATGTGGAGTAATTTCTTTTCCTTTTTTTTTTTTTTTTAGACCAGAGTCTTGCTCTGTCGCCCAGGCTGGAGTGCAGTGGCATGATCTTTGCTCACTGCAACCTCTGCCTCTTGGGTTCATGCGATTCTCATGCCTTAGCCTCCCAAGTAGCTGGGATCACAGGCACATGCCACCATGCCTAGATAATTTTTGTACTTTTAGTAGAGATGGAGTTTCACCATGTTGGCCAGGCTGGTCTCAAACTCCTGACCTCAAGTGATCTGCCTGCCTCGGCCTCTCAAAGTGCTAGGATTACAGGTGTGAACCACCGCGCCCAGCCTCTTTCTTTTCCCTTATCTTTAAAGGATCTTGTTCTGTATTGAAGAGTGTCTTAATCTGTTTGGGTTGCTATAACAAAATACCATAAACTGGGTGACTTATAAACTTCAGAAAGTGTTTTATGTTTTAAAGTTAAAATCGTAAAAAATAAGTGTGTTAACTAGTACTACAACTCTTCCCCAGAAGCAGCTGTATTTGCAGTTACCTCACCAAACGAAAGATACAAACTGTTGGTAAGTTCAACCAATCCAAATGGAGGTAACCCATTAAAAAAAAAATCTATAAAATTTAGACTGCAGCCACTCATCAGTTCACTTTAGTGGCCTTTCAGGGACCTTCTGTTTCTCAGCTGATAACACTTTGGCCCTGGGAGCTGCATCCCGCATCACAGGGCCTACATGGAGGAAGTCCAAGATCAAGGCACTGGCAGATTCAGTGTCTGGTGAGGGCCTGCTTTCCAGCTCAGAGACAGCTGCCTTTTTTATGTGTCCTCAAATGGTAGGGGGAGGAGAGGTCTCTCTGGGGCCTGTTTTATAAGACCTCTGGGGCTCTTATAAAAGAGGCCCCAGATTTTATAATCTCATTCATGAGGGCTCTCCTCTTATGACTTAATCACTTCCCAAAGGCCCTACCTTCTAATAGCATCACTTTGGGGGTTAGGATTTCAACACATGGATTTGAGGGAGACCTAAACATTCAGACCATAGCCAAGAATATGTCTCCTAAAGCTGCCAACTCAAATGTTCTATTATTTGGTTTTGACTCTTGAAACTCTCCCAGCAGAACCTGCCTACATTTAATTATGATCTGCATGTTTATAGTTTTATGACACAAAGAAGACACACTATTTGTCTTAAGGGATTCAGGAAGGACTGCTATTTTGATCCTTCACATTTGGAATTATGATCCTGGTTACATGCTATAATCAGAGGATTCCCAGAACTGCACCTACCTACTGTCTTTATAGCTGAATCAAAGCACCTGGCAGTTTTATCTATCTCATCAACTCCCTCCACATGGCTTTCTTTTATACTTGTAATTTCTGGACCACATTTTTTAAAAATAAAAACAGTGTATTCTATTCCTTCTCCTGCCCCAGGAAGTGGAAAGAGCAACAAATTAATAGTTAGAAAACCGTGTTTGAGTTCAAACTTGGCCACCAATGTGCCACACAGAAAATCGTTACCTGTAGCAAAGGCTGAGCATCCTTGTGATGGCCATGTGCCTGTCTTCAGCCTGGTACTGACATCCATTACAAATCCCCATGCAGCACCCAGTCCTGTCAATCACCCACAACAACCTATCCTGCCCCATAAAATAATCACAGCACTTTTCTTCTGTATCAAAGCTGAATCCTGTGAAGGTCCCGTCCTCTCTCTGGGAGACCCGGGATTGAACCCATCCTGTTCCACATCAACCATCTCCAAAACAACAGCCCTTGGCATCGTGTCTCCTCCAGTATTCTTTCACCCTCATACTGTTTTCTCTCCCCCTGATCTTTCTTCCTTCCCATTCTTTATCTCAAACATTTAACAGTGCCTTCTGAAATACCCATGCTATGGTCAACAAATGCCTCAATATTCTTTATCTCTTGATTAACTCTTCCCTACACCTCTTGGCTACATTGGGAGCAGAAAAGGATGATGTTTCGGGGATAGAGGACATAGGAGTGCGAAGGTCCTAGGTTCTAACTTGGATATATGAGTGTTCATTTTCTTATTCTTTTAATGTGTACATATTCATTACATATAGCCTTTACATGCATTATCTGCTTCCTCATTTTAAAATATTTTATAAAAACACAATCTCTGTTCTTTTGAGGCACATATCATTTAACCATAACGCTCAGTCCCTTTTCATCAGTCACTGTCAATTATTGGTCCTGATTGTTCTCCCTCATCTATTGCTGCATTGATAGATCGTCTTCTCCAGCAAGCACCTACTATCAATCTGGTTGATTTCAATACTCAACACGTGACCTGTCCAACAAACTAGATTCTGAGTTCCTTGAGCTCCTTGGTTCAAAGTCATTTTCTTCTTCCCTCTCTCAGCCTCCCTGAACTGTTCAAATCAGTAATGTAGAAAATCTACCCTCTAACTCCAACACTACCTTCCAAGTGTTTGCTTCAGTAATCCGCTTTTTACCTGGGCTGGACTGTGAGACCAGCTAAGCTGAGTTAAGGGAACTTGTGTTATATCAAGCAATCCCTGTCCTGCCCTAGGAGGCAGAATCCCACAATCCTCACTCATACAGTCAGTTCCAGCCGAGGCCTGAGGAGTCCATCCTCCTGCAATGGGAGATGCAGCTCCCAGTGCCAAGGTGATATCAGCTGAGAAACAGAAGGTCCCTGAAAGGCCACTCAAGTGACCTCATGAGTGGCTGCAGTCTAAATGTTAAAGAATTTTTTTTTTTTTTTTTGCTGGGTTACTTCTATTTGGATTGGTTGAACTTATCAACAATTGATATATTTTGTTTGGTGAGGTAACTGCAAATGCAGCTGCTTCCAGGGAAGAGTTATAGTACTAGTTAACACACTTATTTTTCACAATTTTAACTTCAAAACATAAATTTTGCCATAAGTGGTCAAGTCAGTGTTGTAAACAATGGCGTTATCTGATCAATCACACGTCTCTGATTTTAATTCCCAACTCCCATTTAAGTTCAGATTCTCTTCTCAAAATTCCATGGGGACTGTTTTCACAACTGCACAGACACCTTAAGATCCCTATGTCCCAAGACAGAGGTCATTATCTTCTCCCTCAAACCTGCTCCCCTTCCAGAATTCTAGAGCTCAGTAACCAGCTGAGCATATCAGGGTCATCTTTGATTCCTCCTTCTTCCTAATGTCCCAAATCCAGTCAAATACCAAGTCCCATCCATTTTACCTTTTTTTGTAATTTAATTTATTTATTTAGAGACAGGTTCTTGCCTGGTCATCTAGGCTGGGGTGCAGTGGCATGATCACAGCTCATTGCAGCCTTGAACTCCTGGCCTCAAGCAATCCTCCTCCTGCTTTAGCCTCCTGAGTAGCTGGGTATACAGGCATGGGCCACCATACCTGGCTAATTTTTAAAAAATTTTTCTTTATAGAGACGGGGCCTCTCCATGTTGCCCAGGTTGGCCTTGAAATCCTGATCTCAAATGATTCTCCTGCCTTGGCCTCCCAAAGTGCTAGGATGACAGGCATGAGCCACCATACCCAGCTAATTTTTTTTTTTTTTTTAGTACAGATGGGATCTCACTATATTGCCCAGGCTGGTCCCACATTTTACCTTTTAGATATTTTTTTAACACATCTCCAATGCCACCATCCTTATCCAGGCATTCTTTAGCTCTCACTTGTCTATAGCAACAGCCTCCCCATCAGTTCCCTGTTCCTATGCCTGCCTCTCTCCAGGACAGTTCTTCCATGGAAGTCTAAGCAGTCTGTTCAAAATTCATGTCCCTTTCTTGACTCTTAGGATATAGTCCCAAATCCCTATTGGCTTACAGGAAAGTCCATGCCCTCTCCCACCTACTCTTCTGGCATCCTCTACTGCCTCTTGACCCCCTAGTTCTCTCCACTCCAACCAGGCTGTAGCTCTTCAGTTTCTCAAACATGCTATGCCCCTTCTCACATCTGGTTCTTTGCACAAGCTGTCCCCCTGCCTGGTATGCCCTCCTTCCCTTTCATTCAGCTAATGCATTTATCCTCTTGTCTTAGCTAGTGGACACTGTCTCAGGGATGCTTCCTTGACTTTCTAGAAAAGGTTATGTTAATTTGCAATATGCTCTCATAGCACTCTGAATTTTTTTCATTGCTGAATTTAGTTATTCATATATTTGTTTATCCCATAAAAATATACAACTACTACATACCCTTAAAAATTAAAATTAATGCCAGGCGCGGTGGCTCACACCTGTAATCCCAGCACTTTGAGAGGCTGAGGTGGGCGGATCACAAGGTCAGGAGATCGAGACCATCCAGGCTAACATGGTGAAACCCCATCTCTACTAAAAATACAAAAACAAAATTAGCCAGGCGTGGTGGCGGGCGCCTGTAGTCCCAGCTACTTGGGAGGCTAAGGCAGGAGAATGGCGTGAACCCAGGAGGTGGAGCTTGCAGTGAGCCGAGATTGCGCCACTGCACTCCAGCCTGGGCGACAGAGCAAGACTCCATCTCAAAAAAAAAATTAAATAAAAATTAAAAAAATATTAAAATTAAAAAATAAAAATAGAAAATAAACATAATTATTTAATGTTTGCCTTCTCCCATTAGAATGCATGTTCCATGAGGACATTAATGTATCTATGTTGTTCATGGCTATATCTTCAGTGCCTTGCCAATGCTCAACACATAGTCAAATCTTAATAAGTAGTTGCTGCTTAACCTACAGAATGGGAGAAAACTTTTGCAATCTATCCATCTGGCAAAGGGCTAATATTCAGAATCTACAAAGAACTTAATCAAATTTACAAGAAGAAAACAAATAACCCCATCAAGAAGTGGGCAAAGGATATGAACAGACAATTCTCAAAAGAAGACATTTACGCAGCCAAGAAACATGAAAAAAAGCTCATCATCACTGGTCATTAGAGAAACGCAAATCAAAATCACAATGAGATACCATCTCATGCCAGTTAGAATGGCAATCATTAAAAAAGTCAGGAAACAACAGATGCTGGAGAGGATGTGGAGAAATAGAAACGCTTCTACCCTGTTGGTGGGAGTGTAAATTAGTCCAACTATTGTGAAAGACAGTGTGGCAATTCCTCAAGGATCTAAAACCAGAAATACCATTTGACCCAGCAATCCTATCACTGGGTATATACCCAAAGGATTATAAATCACTCTACTATAAAGACACATGCACACATATGTTTATTGCAGCACTGTTCACAATAGTAAAGACTTGGAACCAACCCAAATGCCCATCAATAATAGACTGGATAAAGAAAATGTGGCACATATACACCATAGAATACTATGCAGCCATAAAAAGGATGAGTGCATGTCCTTTGCAGGGACATGGATGAAGCTGGAAACCATCATTCTCAGCAAACTAACACAAGAACAGAAAACCAAATACCGCATGTTCTCACTTGTAAGTGGGAGTTGAACAATGAGAACACATGGACACAGGGAGGGGAAAATCATACACCAGGGCCTGTTGGGGGGTGGGGGGCTAGGGGAGGGATAGCATTAGGAGAAATGCCTAACGTAGATGGCGGGTTGATGGGTGCAGCAAACCACCATGGCATGTGCATACCTACGTAACAAACCTGCACGTTCTGCACATGTATCCCAGAACTTAAAGTATATATATATATACACTTTATATATATATATATATATATATATATATATACACTTTATATATATATATATATATATATATATATACACTTTATATATATATATATATATATATATATACACTTTATATATATATATATATATACTTTATATATATATATAAAGTTAAGGATTTCGTTTCAATGTGCAGCTAAAACTTAAGCACTAATAGTCAATTGTAGCTGTGTTTTCCTAAAGCCCTTTGACCTTTATTTTCCACTTCACAAAGTTTGTTACATATATGATGTATTGCCCTCTTTCTCTTTTCCCTCTTCCCAGTGATGCATCACAAATTATTGCATTTTTATTGGGTGAGGCCCAGCTAATCTCTCTGTTTATAGCTCTGACCTTTCTGGGTGCAAACACAAAGTGAACTTTGGTTTATCTCCTGCCATAACGTAGCTGCTAATTACTGGCAAGCAGGCTGTGTTCCACGGCCCATGTGACCAGTTGGGCATGACCAGAGAGAAGCGTGGGGAAGAGTGGGCTGAGGGACTCCACTAGAGGCTGTCCATCTGGATTCCCTGCCTCCCTAGGAGCCCAACAGAGCAAAGCAAGTGGGCACAAGGAGTATGGTTCTAACGTGATTGGGGTCATGAAGACGTTGCTGTTGGACTTGGCTTTGTGGTCACTGCTCTTCCAGCCCGGGTGGCTGTCCTTTAGTTCCCAGGTGAGTCAGAACTGCCACAATGGCAGCTATGAAATCAGCGTCCTGATGATGGGCAACTCAGCCTTTGCAGAGCCCCTGAAAAACTTGGAAGATGCGGTGAATGAGGGGCTGGAAATAGTGAGAGGACGTCTGCAAAATGCTGGTAAGAAAATGTTAATAGAATCTTCCTCCACTCTGTTACTACCTCTGGGGACAAAATGTTGCTAAGCAAAGACCTTGTGTTCTTTGATCACACAACTTTCTCTAAGGACTGTCCCTAAACCCCTTTCTATTTCATGACAGTAGCTCCTTAGAGAGAAGAATTTGAACCCTATTATGCTGTGCTCACTCACACTTCACCTTGCTCTGGGACTAGCCCTGACTCAGGAAATGTAAAGTGTTCACGGCAGTGAAACGTCCCAGTTAAAACTGGGTTTAGGCCAGATGTGGTGGCTCACGTCTGTAATCTCAGCAATTTAGGAGGCCAAGGAAGGAGGGACACTGAGCCCGGGAGTTCAAGACCAGCCTGGGCAACATAGCAAGACTCCATCTCTTCAAAAAGAAAATAAATAAAAATAAACTCAGTTTATTGCCCGGTTCCAGGAAGGCATTATGTTTCCTTCTGTACTCAGAGGTAAGATTTGGTCTAGACCTAAGATTTCACAGGGATACTAATCAAGAAGATGAATTAAGACAGTCAATTTCACATAGACACCAAATCTTTCTCTGGGCCTTTTATCCAGAGAAAGACATTTGTCTCTGGCCTGTTCACTCTTTTTTTTTTTTTTTTTTTTGAGATGGAGTCTCACTCTGTCACCCAGGCTGGAGTGCAGTGGCACGATCTCGGCTCACTGCAAGCTCTGCCTCCCAGGTTCACGCCATTCTCCTGCCTCAGCCCCCCGAGTAGCTGGGACTACAGGTGCCCACCACCATGCCTGGCTAATTTTTTGTATTTTTAGTAGAGAGGGGGTGGTCTGTTCACTCTTTACATTTCCTGTGGCTGTGATTACTAGACATAGTTAATATAAAACATTTGCAATCAAATTCATTGTTGCAGTTCTTCATTGTACCTTTTAGTTATAAAAATAAATTTTATAACATTACATGAAATGTGTAAAATAAAGGGGGAAAAAAAGCAGCCATGATTCCCAGCCACCTGGATGTTTCCAGTCTGTTTTCATGTGCTTCTTAGCTTCCTGTTTTTAAGAACGTGGTTGGTGATCACTATGGCATAGAAACAGTTTTGGATCCTTCTGGTTCACTTCACATTATTGCACAAGTGACTTTCCTAGAGCGTCATGGCCTTTCTAGTCATCATGTGAATTGATATATAATATCCGCCAGATATTATAATATCCAGTATGTATTATATCCACTGGATATAAATTACCTAATTTGGGGGATATATATGATAAGATATATATAAAATAATTCTCTGATGTAGGATATTTCATTTGTTTTAAATTTCTCATTACTATTTTCATAATACTTCAATGAACATTTTCATTTTCTGCATTCCCTGAGATTAGATTACCAGAAATAGACTTATTGAGTCAATGAGTATTTAATGCATCTTAATGGTTATTTGTGGTTTTAAGGATGGTATGTCTTAATTTTCTCTATTTAAAATTCTGTGGAAGTAGGGCAGCTGTTCAGATATGAATAATAAGTTACTTCTGTGCACACACAACATCTCTCCAATTCTGAAACTAGATTCACACATAAGTGAACGGATTTGATCTAGAGCCATAATGGAACAAGGAGGTTATTTAGTGAAGTCCCCTTATTTACCGAGGCAGTGTGGTACAATGGAAAGAACACTTGATTTGTCCTTTGAGGACCTGGACTGGGATCCCTGCCCCAAAGTTTTCTCTCTCTGTGATCCTGGGTTAGTCTCCCTGAGCCTTGGTTTCTTCAGTTACTAAGTACCTATCATGGGGTAGCTAAGTTCTAGGTACTTCAATTACATCACCTCTTTAATCACCACAGCTCTGTGAGGTTAGCATGGTTGACACTGGTTTCACAGCAGGGGTTTAACAACTTTGCTAAGGTCATATAGGTTGTCTGTTTGCGGGTCACTCTTTGGAATCCATTGTAATATCTTTACCCAGTGTGAACTAAGTTTCTAATTAAAACAAGGCAGTGGAACATTATGGTTAGAAGCAGATATTTGGAACCTGACAGATCTTGATTTATTTTCCAGCCAGACCATTCACAACAGGTATGACCTTAAGCAGCTAGTTAAATTTTCGGAACCTCAGTTCCCACACCTATAAATTAGAATAAGTGGTAGTTACCCGATATGAATAGCATGTGGATTCAATCAGAAAACTCATATAAAGTACCTCCTTCACTGACTGAAACATAGTAAGAACTCAATAAATGGTAGTTGTTGCTGTTGTTGTTATTGACATTAATGTAGTTGTTCTTATTGTTTCTGTGCTGTTGCTACTGCTAGAACACATTACCAAGCACCTAAAATAATTAAATAGTATGTTAGTTAGAGCCTTGGTCCCTGATGCATACAATCTGAATTTGAATTCCTGCTCCATTATTTACAGTTGAGTGACATTAGGTGAGTTATTTATCATCTCCGAGTTTCACTCAAGTCATTTGTAAAATAGTTATTAGTGGGCAGGTTGTTAAATGGATCATTTAAGTGGAGAGCTCTATGGAGATGAAGGAATAAGCTGTGATGCCCAGACTTTTACATTTGTTAGTGCATTTTGTTGGATGAATATGCATGCATAGTAAACACAAAAGGTACAGGTTTTTGGGGAAGAGATAGCTCATGTTCTAAACATGTTGAGCATCATTATTTGGGAAAAATTATAAGACAATATATCTCAGGGTTACATTGAGGAAAAGTAAAAGTTCAAGCGTTATATGTGATGTTCAAAGGGAAATGATCAATATTTTTTTTAGGAATCAGGAAAGCTTTGAGGGTCTTGAAGAACATTCAGGATCTAGTGGGAAAGAACATGAAAAAAAGAGATTCCTTCGACTTCATGACATCACCTCCCTGAGGCTGTATGGTTCCAAGGCTAATCACATGACCCATACCCTGTGTGTGCTCCCTTGTGCTGAGCTGGTCCCACTCCTAGACCCTAGCACCAAGGTTTTAGCTTCATGTTGGTCCACGTTGGTCCAACCCCATCCTTAAACCCTTAGATAGGAAGAGAGAGTTCTGAGCTCGCCCCATATTGTTCAGCTTTCCATCCATCCTCCCAGGAATGAGATATCATTGTGGGGTAGAGAGTGCCGGTAGGAAAGGATGAAAAGTAGCATGGGGGAAATGGCTTATTTTAAAAGTAAACCTTTGATTTGAAGTTATGTCATTGTCTGAAAAATGTTTAGTATTTTCTAGAAAAATCACTTGAGTTCTGGAGTGATAAAAGGGAAGACATTACCCCCACCAAATTAAAAATAAGAGAAAGCAGTACACATAAAAGTAAAATATTGAGAGGCAGCATATTATACTATGCTCCATAGAAGCCATTCTCAAATATTTTGGTATTAGGACCTCTTTATTTATTTATTTATTCGGGACAGAGTATCGTTCTTGTTGCCCAGGCTGGAGTGCAATGGCATGATCTCAGTTCACCACAACCTCCGCCTCCCAGGTTCAAGCGATTCTCCTGCCTCAGCCTCCCAAGTAGCTGGGATTACAGGTATGCATCACCACATCCAGCTAATGTTTTGTATTTTTAGTAGAGACGGGGTTTCTTCATGTTGGTCAGGCTGATCTCGAACTCCTGACCTCAGGTGATCTGCCCGCCTCGGCCTCCCAAAGTGCTGGGATTATAGGCGTGAGCCACCGCACCTGGCCTAGGACCTCTTTAAACTCTTTAAAATTAATGAGGGTGCTGAAGAGTTATGTTTATGTGGCTACATATATCAGTATTGATTGTATTGAAAACTAAACTGAGAAACATTTTAAACATTTTTTATAAATTCATCAAAAAAAATAAATATCTGTTAGCATAAATAATATTTTTATTAAAGAAAACCTATATTTCTCAAGCCAAAAAAGAAAAAAAACAAAGCGAGTGAGAAGACTGGTTTACACTTTTGCAAATGTCTTTAATGTCAAGCTTAATGGAAGATAGCTATATTCTCATATTGGCTTCTACATTCAATCTGTTGCAAGAATATATGTGATATAGCCTCTGGAGAACTTATCATATGCTCATGAGAGAAGGAGAGTAGAAAAAAATAAGGAATGTCTTAGTATAATTATAAAAATGACTTTGACCTCATGGATCCCCTGAAAGGGACTAAAGGGTACCTCAGTGGCTCATACTTTGAGAACTGCTGTTCTACAGCATATCAAAGTTCTAGAATTAGACTTCCCTAGGTTCAAATCCCTGCGCTACTACTTGCAAGCTGTGTAGCCTTAAACAAGTTAATCTACCTCTCCAGACCTCCATTTTCTCATGTTTAAATGAGGATGACAAAATATTACCTTGAAGGATTCAGAGAGGATTAAGTGAAATAATACCTGTAAAAAATCACAGCCCAAAGCTAGGCATATAGTGAAAGAGATCAACTGGCTCTATTCTATTAACAAGTGGATGAGGAACTGGGGCCCAGTAGGGAAGTCACTTGTCTGAGGTCACACTCAACAGATGTTGGTTCCCTTTTTCCCAGGCACTGTGCCAGGGTTTCTACTTGAGTTTAGCTGTATCAGTCATGGGCTGCCAGGAGCACTGGATTTTTAAGTGTCATTTTCACTGTCCCTCATGGTGGTAGGACAGAACAAAGCCCTCATAGAGGCAGGAGGTCAAGAGAGAGGAGCTGCAAGTGTGGCCATCTTCATGTGACTGTGTGCTACCCTCCACGTCACTTTCTGACTCCTCTTGCAGTGTTCCAAGACCCTCTCTAACCCTATTTTCTACAGTTCCTCACATGCCCTCTCTCATTCCCCCAGGTCCACTGTAGCCTCATTCATTCTGTTCTCCTGGTTTCAAATTCTCTATATCCTTTCTATTGTCATGAAAATTAAATAAAAGGCATATGGGGCTTAGTACTGAAGCTGACTCGCGGTTACACTCAATTAAGTGTGAACTGCTATTAAACCCATCACTCCCCACTTCTCTTCCATTAGATATCTCTGACTGGTCTAATTACATTGAAGTCTCCTATTTGGCTAGTCCTACCAAAGTACTGACATCTCTCAATCAGCTATCTTACTGAATAAAGTATCAGTGTTTTCGAACTTAAAAAAGCAAAGTTGGTAGACATCTCTCAAGTGGCTGTAGAAGTGCAAAGACTCCTCCATTCTTTGAAAGAACAAGTCTCTACCTTTAAAAACATTCTTATTTGTTCAGAAGAACAACTTCTATTATAGACATGCTTTGCTCTTTTAAAGGTGCTATTAAAAATTATCCCATTTTACAAACTTGGTTTTAACCTCATTTTACATGCGAGAAACTAAGTGAGAGAAATTAAAATGGCTTGTACAAGAACACATAAGAAATCACTCATAATGCCGGACTGTGGACTGAGGTTTCCAGACTCCCTCTAGACTTGGCAAACTTAAGAACATCCCTGCAGCTGGGCACAGTGGCTCACGCCTGTAATCCCAGCACTTTGGGAGGCCGAGGCGGGCGGATCATGAGGTCAGGAGATCGAGACCATCCTGGCTAACACGATGAAACCCTGTCTCTACTAAAACTACAAAAAATTAGCCGGGTGTGGTGGTGGGCACCTGTAGTCCCAGCTACTCAGGAGGCTGAGGCAGGAGAATGGCATGAACATGGGAGGTGGAGCTTGCAGTAAGCAGAGATCGCGCCACTGCACTCCAGCCAGAGCAACAGTGCAGACTCTGTCTCAAAGAAGAAAAAGAAAAAGAAAAAAAAAGAACATCCCTGCTTAGGAATCAGACATTTGTCCTGATTATTTTTTACTGGAAGGAACCAAAATTTAATAGATTGTGGTCAAATGGTTCTGCTATTCCCTTCTAAAACGTGGTGCCTAGCAGTCCCCAGGGATATCGCCAGCAAGACCCTTGCTTTCATCTAAATATGGGAGTTCTCCATTATACAAAGACCTCAAGCCAGGATGAACATAATTCACTTTGGCTTTGGGAGTAGCCCATAGAGGAAATGCCTAACACCAGGAGTGGTGTTCTGGTCAGTAAGGCCAGCCATCCTTGTGACCAAACAGATATTTTGAAGAGAAACTTGTTTTCAATTCTTGTATTGCTTTCTAAGAGGAGAAATGTGTGAGTCAGAGTGAAATCCAAACAAAACTCTCATCTAATTTAGGACACTAATGAACACATTTTTGTTTTCTTTATCCTTGATTAGAAACATTTTAAAGTAAGAGGATGTATTTTAAAGACAAAGGGGTTTTCTGGCAATTTTGTAATGTTACACAATCTCCTTCCCTGTCTACTAAGAAAGAAAACAGAATTCTGCAGCACCTTCTTTAGGAAAAATAGATGATAATTAACTGTTAACCATTTTCATTTCATGTGAGAAGTGTGGGTACAGCTGCAGGGAACTTCCTGAGGGTATGCAGGTATTTTTCTCATAGACTATTTACTCAGTATCTTGAATGCTCCAGGAGAGACAGGGTCTAAAAATTGTAATACAGCAAGATTCATTGAGAACAAACAATCATACCCATTGATAAATTTTGGATTTAACATTTTGGTGCATCACTAAGCTGGTAAAAGGCCATTCCCTCATGCGTGAGTTTTCATTTGAGATATCAAAAATGTACAATTGGTTTGGGATGAGATAATCACGGCTTCCATTTCAGATCCCACTATTTACTGCATATGGGACTCTGGTAAGACAAACTCAATAAAGCTTTTGTCTCAGGCTTTGATTTCTAGAAAACTGACCAAGACACCCCTTTTGAGCAAGAATGATAAATCTGAGCCACAGATGTGACAGCTTTTTATCAATAAGAATGATTGCATTAATAACTATTTCTGATGGGTGTATTTCAACTGCTTAGTGTCCTCTCTATCTAGAAGTGTGACAGGCATCTCACACCTGACATGTCCACCTCCATCACCACACACACCACATTAGCAAACCTGCTCCACCCACACTCTTTCTCATCTTGGTCAATAGGAGTTCCCTTCACCCACTTGCTCAGGCCAAAAATATTGGCGTTATTCTGAGTCCTCTTTTCTCATACTTCATATTGCATTTATCAATTTCCTACCTTCAAAATACATCCTAAATGCAACCATTTTTCTCTACTTTTGCTCCAACTACTGTAGTCCAATCTAACCTAGGTTATGAATCGTGTCTTCACTAGTCTCCCTGCATTTGTTTCTGTTCCCCACAATCTATTCTCTGCATCAGGATCCAGAGATATCCTTTAAAAATAATAGTCAGACAATATCATTTCTCTGCTCAAAGTCCTCCAAAACATCTTATCCTGGAATAAATTGAAAGCACTTACTAACGTCCACATGGTCATGCACGGTGTGGCCTCACTCTGACCTCACATCTCACCCATACTACCTCTCACTTACTCTGTCAGGACTACGCTGGCCTCCCTGTTCTTTCTGAAATGCCAAGAAGGGTCCTGCCTGGGATTTTTGCCCTTGCTGTTCCCTCTGACCAGAGAAACCATGTGTCGCATGGCTAAGTCTTCACGCAGGTCCCAGCTCCCCCTAGGGCTTCCATGACCACCCTATCAGAAATGCATTATTCTGTGTAACACACAAAGAAAATGTAAGCCTATTGAAAGGGGGAACTTTTGTTCAATGCTGTATCATGAGCGCAAAGAAGAGCGCCTGGCACATAGCAGGAACTTAATAACTGTTTGTTGACTGGATAGATAAAGATCAGAGACCAAGGAAGACTGCAGCCTCCTGCAAGTTGGCAACAAATAGCACCTGGGGACCATGAAAGAACAGGTTATCATAATGTTTATGTCTTTGCTTCCCAACACTCTCCAGTCCATACAGGAGACCTGCTGCATCTAGGGTTGTGAAAAGATGAAGAGGTCAGTGAACACAATGAAAATGTTCTAAAACTGGACCATGTGGATGGTTGCACAACTATATATATATTTACTAAAAGTCATTGAATCGTAAACTCAACATGGATGATTTTTATGATAGATAAATTATACCTCAATAAAACTGTTGAGAGAGAGAGAGAGAAACAGAGATGAAAAGATACAGAGAGACAGAGACACACAGAGGAAAAAAGTGACCAGGAGTAAAACAAGGGCTCAGGATGTAAATATTCCTAGGCCTGAAAATGGATATCCATTTTTTCCCAGAATCAATCTCATGGCTGATATAAATTACTGAAAAATAACACTAGTGTTCTATTTTCCCTCATCTCTGGGCGACAGGCCTAAATGTGACTGTGAACGCTACTTTCATGTATTCGGATGGTCTGATTCATAACTCAGGCGACTGCCGGAGTAGCACCTGTGAAGGCCTCGACCTACTCAGGAAAATTTCAGTAAGTATTTGCTTTTGTGGATGCAGCTCATGGCCTCTGGGCACAGGATAATCCCAGTGTGAAATGTAGGCACATGACCATGAAGCAGCTCTCCCATCATCTCTAGCCACATAGCTGAATGAGTGGCCGAGTACCAGGCAGGAGACTCTGGCTTTACCCCTACAGATTACCTAAATGACAGGGGCCCTCCATGAATCCAGAAAAGTGAGGAAAGCCTTGGCTATGTACTGTGTGTACACTTTCATTTGTAAGGAGAGGAATTCTTTTGCTTTAAATTGTTTTAAAAATTTTGTTTTGTTTTGTTTCTTGGGTGTTTGTTTGTTTGTTTTTTGAGACAGGGTCTCCCTCTGTTGCCCAGGCTGGAGTGCAGTGGCATAATCATGGCTCACTGCAGGTTGAGCTCCTGGGCTCAGGTGATTGTCCCATCTCAGCCTCCCAAGTAGCTGGGACTACAGGCATGTGCTACCATGCTCAGCAAATTTCTTATATTATTTGTAGAGACAGGGTTTCACCACGTTGCTCAGGCTGGTCTCAAACTCCTGAGCTTAAGTGATCTGCCCCCATTGGCCTCCCAAAGTGCTGGAATTACAGGCATGAGCCACTGCGCCCAGCCAGTTTTTAAGTTTCTTTATTTAAATGTTAGTATAAACTGGTTTGCCTTTGTATCCCTCAAGAAATACCTGAGAAATCATGTTTAAAAACATATTTCAAGGCCCCACACCAGAAATCTCTGTTTCAAGTCATCACCATATATCAGGTCATAGTTAATTGCTTAAGCGTTGAATCTGCCACCTAACTTAAAGTAGTAACTTCAATGTCAAAGGATGAAAATGGGAAGAGGGAGATTCTTGCCTAGTTCCTCCTCCTAATCCCCAAACCCCAATCCCAACCAGAGCTTTAAGGAAATAAAGAGGGTTAAAAGCTCTCTAGAGACAAGCAGATGTGCAATGCACCCCCTTAATACAGAAACTAAAGAAAAGGCTGTCTTAGCAGCAGAGCACTGGGAGTAGAGCCACGGCTCTAAACTTTAATCAATAACATCACACCAACCAGGCAGGCCACACTCCCATCAGGAACAATGGCTACCACAGCAGTGATTCTCAATCTTGGGAAGGTAAGGTGTGCACAAGCATAGTTCAATAAACTCCACATCACAATTTCAGAAATATATGCTGCTTTTCTCTGCCTCTACAGAGAGAGGTATAACCTGGTTCTCCAAAACCAGGGATGAGATGGTCCCAACCAGATTCCCCTTAAGAAATAGGAGAAAATAAGATCAATAATCACCCAATCAATTGCATAGCATTTTACTCACTTCAGCCCTGTTTTATAGTTCTCTCTACAACTGAAACTTGCCCTCTCCCTTCAAAGCACCTCCAAATCTCATCTCACCACTATCTGGCCTACAGACACTACTAATGCTACAGCCTCCCAGTCCCTCTTCTGCCTCTTCCCATCCTGCATTGAGAAGGAAGCCAGGTTCACCTCCAGTCAGCTCACCTTTGTAAAATACCTTTCCTCCCTGTAGTGTGTTTTCCCTCTCGAACCTCTCCATGCCTCAGTTGATCCTTGTCCAGACCAAGGCACCCTATGTTGCTCTGAGTTTGAGCATTTTGGGAGGCCCAACTTTCTAAACCTCTGGGAGCCTTCCCCTTGCTACTTCTTTCCTGTCCACTGAGTATTTTTCTTAGTTCTAGGAATTCATTGTTGTTTTCTCTCCTACAGAATGCACAACGGATGGGCTGTGTCCTCATAGGGCCCTCATGTACATACTCCACCTTCCAGATGTAGTAAGTAATACTACTGTGAACTGAAGTCAGGACATGATATTGCAACTTAAAGGACTCATCAAACAACAGTCTAGTCAAGCCAACACAATCAGAGGTGTTGAGGTCTAGTATTTTGCCATCTCCCCATAACTGTCATTCTCTTATCCAGGTAACTTCCCTTGCTCAGCATGGAGTGAATGTCTGTAGCCATTCAGGTTGAGTCATTAACATCTGACCTTGAGAGAAAACATGGTATGGGTAAAAAGTCAGAGTTTTGAGAGAAAGCAGGAAAGACAGTGAAATTGGATAATTTGAGGCGTTTAATAAATAAAATATTCACAAAAGTATGGGTAGAGGGTTGGGAAACACAAAAGAAAGTGCAACACCCCAGGGTACTAGTAGGGTTCTGTTCTATCCTGTAGGTCTGGTAAAAGTGGGGAAAATAACAATATATTTAGTTCATGTTATTTGAGAATTATATAAATGACATGTTAAAGTCCTTTGTACAGTGCCCTTACTATCTTAGAACAAAGCTCTCAGTATATTCTAGAATGAATATATTTTTCTGGCTCTGGGAAAATCACCCTCATCTCTTCCATTCATTTTACACAATGTAATTATCACCAAAAAATACTTTGTTCTGCTAATTACACCTTCCCTAATCAAAATCCTGCTCAAGTTCCTTTTTTGTACCTGTTCAATCTGACCCTGAATCAAGAATCACGCTTCATCGACACAGAGAAAACTGTGCAGAATATCACTTGCAATGGATTTTGGAGAGTAAACATTAGACCTCTGAAAATTCTGTTGCAAAGTTTGCTTTTGTCACCTCACACCCACCATTACAAACAGCCTCAGATGCTCAGGTTCACTGAGCACTTTTTCAGCTTCTCTTCCATACCAAAATGCGGACAGATCCAGAATCTTACTCTTCCTTGTATTTGTTCCCAACTGTCATCTAACCTGATCACTTACTAATATTGCTACAGAGTATGCTCAAAAGGAAAGGAGGATTGGAAAAATTGATTCACCATTTATGAAGACCTTCTACGTGCAAAGCATTTTAGCTGTGGCAGAGTAGAGAGAATTAAGTAAAACACAGCCCCTGTCCACCCAAATAGAGAAGGTGACAAGGACTCTCCTGACCAATACAAGGCACAGTGAGATCAATGCCATCAGGGAAATGGAAACAGGAAACTGCAGAGGGCAGGGATCAGTGGCACCAGCCTGTAATGCCAGGGCTTTGGGAGGCCGAAGCAGGAGGATCCCTTGAGCCCAGGAGTTTGAGACTAGCCTAGGCAACATAGTGAGACTCTGCTCTCCAGAAAGTTTAAAAATAAAAAAATTAGCCAGGTGTAGTCATGCACGCCTGTAGTCCCAGCAATGTGGGAGGCCAAGATGGGAGGATCACTTGAACCGAGGAGGTCAAGGCTCCAGTGATCCAGGATCACACCACTGCACTCCAGCCTGAGTGTCAGAGTGAGATACTATTAAAAAGAGAGAAAGAGAGAAAGAAAAGGAAGGAAAGGAAAGGAAAGGAAAGGAAAGGAAAGGAAGGAAGGAAGGAAGGAAGGAAGGAAGGAAGGAAGGAAGGAAGGAAGGAAGGAAGGAAGGAAGGGAAAGAAAGAAAGAGAGAGAGGAGAAAAAGAGGAAGGGAGAGAGAAGAGAAAAGAAAAGAGAAGCTATAGAGTGCACAGAAGGGAAGGGTCACCTCTGCTTGAGGGGACTAAGCTTCAATGGAGGAAAAAACTCTTATGAAGGAGATGCGATTGTTTGCATGTTGAAGAATGGGTAAAATTTTAATGAGTAGAGAGATGAGGAGATGAGCTTTCTAGCCAGGCAGAGGGAGAGAAGTACATGTAAAAGCAAACAAGCAGGGAAATGAAGAACTCTGTATTAACCAGAGTTCAGGAAATGTATAGGGGAATAATAGAGATAAGACTAGGAAAATTAAGTAGGACCATATTTGGAAGTTCATGGGAGGAAAGTCCAGGTGAAGGAAGTTGCATTTAATGAGACTCACATCAGAAATCACTAAGGTTTTAAGCTTGGGAATGCCATGAGAAGCAGCCAACTTTCAGAAGAATGATTGACCACAGTGTATAGGAAAGACACAGGCAGACTGATGACAGGAAAGTCAGCAGAGAAGGAGGGCCTGGATTAGGAAGAAGGAAGTGGACATAGAAAGGGAGGATAACTGCAAAGATATTTGAAGGTAGAATCAATCAATGGTATGATGCTGGGGTGAGAGATGGAAAGTAGTCAAAGAAGCCTTTGCAATCTCAAAACACTAAAATAAATGAAAAAATCTCAAAACACTAAAATAAATGAAAAACAGTTTGGAGGAACAGAAATGAAAGAGAATTCTGACTGTGAACATTGTAGTTTGAGATGCAAGCAGGAAGCCCACTAAAACCTTTTGATGGAGCACTGAAGATGTAAGGGGATGCTGTTTTCCTTCCTTCGTTAAATACATACTAAGCATCTACATACAAGCCTAGATGACTGGAGATACCGAGGTGAACAAGCTGGGGAGAAGGCAATGCATGGCAAAGTGTAGATGGCATCTTTTTGGCTTTACAACAACTATGGTGGCTGTGGTGGTCCATCCTTTTTCTTAGCCCGACTTCCCCTGTATCCCAGCCCAGATATCATGATGACTCACTTTAGAATAAATCGAAGTAACCAAGCCACATATTCACAAAATTGCTTAGAGTGTGCTTAGAACATAGCATGTGCTCAATAAATGTTTTTAAATTTAGCTGTATGAGAAAGACACCTATATACATGAGAAACCTGCTTTAATGATCCGATTTCATTCTTACCATTTATACATACATGCTGAAACAGGTTAAAGAGGGATCTTATTTGTGCTACTTAAGTTAATACTGATAATGGCTTTTTTCCTCAACCTCTTGACATAGCCTTGACACAGAATTGAGCTACCCCATGATCTCAGCTGGAAGTTTTGGATTGTCATGTGACTATAAAGAAACCTTAACCAGGCTGATGTCTCCAGCTAGAAAGTTGATGTACTTCTTGGTTAACTTTTGGAAAACCAACGATCTGCCCTTCAAAACTTATTCCTGGAGCACTTCGTATGTTTACAAGAATGGTACAGAAACTGAGGACTGTTTCTGGTAAGCAGGATCATTAATATTTCACTAGCACTTGCCATGGAGAGAAGCCATAGGATCATGCAGGCCACCTAGTTATTACCAGATGCACCTTCCACTGGTAACAGCATTGGGTATAGACATCAGTTCATTTTCTCACACATAAATAAAAGCAAAGGGGACCAAGTAAATATAGAGTTGTAAAAATAATCAGTATAGTTTGCATCTGCAACACTCTTTACTGTTTTGAAAGTACGTTCACATCAGTTTTATTGATTTCCTGCAGTACGTTATCTGAAGAAAATAAAACAAGTAATAGGATCCCTATTTTATAGACAAGGAAAATGAAAGCCAGGAGTTAATGTTTTCACATTCCTGTGTAAGAAACAATACCAGAGAACATGTATCTTGCCTATACCTACAATTAGTTAGAAAAAATGATCTCACACTTCTTCAGAGAAACAAGAGGTAGGGGAGAAACAGGAATAATGGGTATTGTATTAATAATAGTTTGTTTTCATACTGCTATAAAGAACTGCTCGAGACTGGGTAACTTATAAAGGAAAGAGGTTTAATTGACTCACAGTTTCGCATAGCTGGGGAGGCCCCAGGAAACTTACAATCATGGCAGAAGGCGAAGGACAAGCAAGGCACTTTCTTCAAAAGGTGGCAGGAAGGAAAAGTGCTAAGCAAAAAGGGAAGAGCCCCTTATAAAACCATCAGATCTCATGAGAACTTACTCACTATCATGAGAACAGCATGGGGGAAACCACCCCCATGGTTCAATTACCTCCACCTGGTCTCTCCCTTGACACGTGGGGATTATTGGGATTATGGGGATAACAATTCAAGATGATATTTGGGTGGGGACACAAAGCCTAACCATATCAGGTATCATTACTAAAATAAAATGGAAAGATTCATTCAACTCCAACAAAGGTGGTAGAAGAAATCTTCTGGCTGGGTTGCTGCCTGTACTTCCAGGATGCTGCTTAATTCTGCATTCTTTCTCCATCTAAGTAAGCAAAAGACTAAGATGGGATACCACCAGGGATGCACGTCTAGAGACCCACAGGAATCAACCCACAGTATCTAATGTGAGGTTTAAACAGAAGCAGAAAATTATTCCTATCAACTCTGCATTTTTGTACTGTAGATTCAAGGGTTTCAACTTATCTATAATGGGACTAGTTTATAGAGCAGAGCAGAACCCTCTTCCTGCAAGCAGCCAGAAACCATCACAAATGACTCACCAAATGTCAGATATCATGACAACTCACTTTAAATCAAAGTAACCAAGCCACATATTCACAAAATTGCTTAGAGTGTGTTTAGAACATACACTGTGATTATGGGGATAACAATTTACATGTACACATGAAGATCCCTAAAAGTTCCCCCATCCTTTCACGAATTTAGATCTTACAATCTAAACTAGTGGTATCATGGTGTGTGCTGTCTATTGTGTTAATAGCAGAAATGAATTTTAGATGAACAAATCCCAGGATAGATCTGCAAATAAGAAGTGAAAGGCATGAAAGGCCATGAGGGAAGTAAGCTGTTTTAGTTTCTCTTTTTCCTATTCCAGGTACCTTAATGCTCTGGAGGCTAGCGTTTCCTATTTCTCCCACGAACTCGGCTTTAAGGTGGTGTTAAGACAAGATAAGGAGTTTCAGGATATCTTAATGGACCACAACAGGAAAAGCAATGGTAAGAAGACATGAAGATAATTGTTTTTTGCTAACTTCTTCTTTATGACTACCACCTCCTTATAAGTCATTTCAACAAATCCTCCACTGCAGAGCTATCATCCTTACTCATACATATTTTGTATATTTTGGGAGATCTATAATTGCATGCAACTTCATTATATTGTTCCTTTCATTGACTAAAAACCTTATCCTCTGAGAGAAAATACCTAAGTATTATTGAGTAATTATATTAACATAATAACGATAATGCTAAAATCCGGCTTTTATAAACCCAAATGATATTATGACCCACCCTCAGCAGACTGTTTTTTTAAATTCACCTCAATCCAACATATTATTGGATTTGTGACCAATCTTCACACATTCTGAGCCCCAGTCCTCCTGGTGACCAAGAGGATGAATTTATTGATTACATAGCTTCATGCAAAATTACAACGTAAGCAAAGATTATCTCACTTTCCTATTCCTTCTGTATCTCACCTGCCCAGTGATCTACCAGCTAGAGACCAAGTAGGAAAGCCTAATTGGATATAAAATTATCCTCAGATAAATGACCACACATTGGGTACAGCGTACACTGCCTAGGAGATGGGTGCACCAAAATTTTAGAAATCACCACTAAAGAACTTATTCATGTAACCAAACACCACCTGTTCCCGCAAAAATCTATTCAAATAAAAAGAAGTCATCCTCACTAAGATATTAGGGGATTTGTTGCACTTTCCACAGAATTCTCTTGACAAACAAGAATGTATCAGGGGCAAAGGAATCCATTGTGAGAATTTTCTACAAGGAAAGATACTTGCTTGGTGGATTTCCTGATATTCAAATCATCATTTATTGCCATTATCAAGCATTTGTTATATTAATGGCCTACCAGTTGCAAAAACATTAACCAAGATATGGTGGGAAAGAAATATATAAGTATTTATGTCCCTAAAGAGTTTACAATTCAACAGGGCAGCATAATGGCACAGCATCTAAAAAGATCTAATGAAGTCTCCCCCAACTCCTCTCACTCATAAAACTGCATTCAGGATAGCTAGCAGAAATTAGTGGTAGACTTCAGACTGGACTCTGGCATTGGAGTTACTAAGATGAAGTTTTGAGTTAAGAGGCTACAGATAAAGCCCAAGTTGCTTAGGGAGACTTTATAAATTCTTCTCAGTTCTCACTTTTATAATATCTTTTTCAACCACTTTTACAAATGGTGAGGTATACTTCACTTATCTATGACAATATATTCTGTAATTACTCCAGCCTGGCATAATGGAATAAGCACTGAACTTGACTGTCAGAGCTGTCTTTGTCATCTACTAGTTCTTTGACCCTTTGACATCTTGGCTTCAGCCTCCTTAAATCTATAAAATTAAAAGAATGATGGACGAGATGATTTTTTTAAAAAAGATCCCATTCAGCTCTATTCTGACTCTATAATTGTAAATGAAAAAAAAAAAGGAAGGAGGAATTTAAGGAATTGGAGTTTATCTTTAAAAAATTTAACATTAACATACTGGATTCAAATTCAGGCAACTGGTTCCCTGCCTGTTTGTCTGTAGACTGTCATATATTTCTCTCCTTGTCTTACCTTCTCCTCCAGTGATTATTATGTGTGGTGGTCCAGAGTTCCTCTACAAGCTGAAGGGTGACCGAGCAGTGGCTGAAGACATTGTCATTATTCTAGTGGATCTTTTCAAGTAGGTATAACATTTGGAAAAACCCTCCTCCTTTCAAAAAGGAAGTATTCCAAGGATTTCCAGAAGGCACATTCTCTTTTCTCTTGCTTTGTACAACCCCTTATGGGGTTAAGTATGATGATAATATTTGAACTCTGTCACACTGTCATTCTTATTTAGCTAATTGTGGCTTTAGCAGAGATGCATTCCTTTGACACCTTCACCATTTGTAAATATAAAAGGTTTATTATAGCCCCATTGAACCCACATGTCCATTTATGACTGAGGCCTGCTCAGTCAACATAGAATCCTGGCTGGCTATGGTCACTCACACCTGTAATCCCAGCACTTTGGGAGACCCAGGCAAGAGGATTGCTTGAGTCCAGGAGTTTCAGACTAGCCTGGGCAACACAGTGAGACCCCATCTCTATTAAAAGAAAAAAAGAAAGAAAGGAAAAACATACGATCCTGATCTCTAGCCTGATTTTAAAGTCTTTGTCCAGAAAATGATAAATCAACTAAAGACTCAATAATACTGTTCCTGGTAATGTCAGCCCCATTTTTCTCCTTCAGTTGCTAATGGCCTTTGGTCCTAGATTACTTTTCCTTCAACCACCTCTGATAAGCTTGAAGTTTCACTTGTATGAGTCTGATATACACAATTATTCCTCACCCTCTGTGGCGTAGTCACTAGGTGGTGATCTTTTCCTCCACATTTCTCTGAGCCAAAGAGAAAAAATGCTGGAGCGTAGAGAGCACCTTTGTTCACATCCCATCTTTTTTTTAATCGCTAATTATCTGAAATGGTTGGAGACCCCACTGACAAGCTGTGCCAAAGTAATATTTGAGTCAAGTTAGGCTTGAAGAAGGTGTCACTGCCATGCCCATGCCCCTTGCCCCCAGAAGCCAGATCACGTGACTTCACTTATCTGACTGGGCCATTAATCATTACCTGTCTGTATTCAGACAAGAGGCTGCTCCTGTCTAGATCTTTCCCATATTTGCCTGATCATTTCACCCACACTAACGATACTTCTCACAGCATGAATGGAAATGAAGTATAGGAACTGCAGGCCTGTTTGATGGCTACACGTTCATGAAGGTAATTTAATTAACCAACTAGACTCTAAACTACAGAAGTACAGGAAAGAGGGCAGAGTTACTGATATTTCACTCCAAGAACCTCATTGATTTCAATAGCTGCTTTACCCCTGGAAGGAGTCCTTACTGTAGCCAGGTTGGTATAATTTTACTTTCAGAAATCCTCAATAAACCACCAAAGTGCTGGCATTCCTTTGTCACTATTCCCAAAGGACACCTGGCTATGTTTTGGAAAGCTAATGAGACTAAATTAGACATAATGTGTTCACATTCTAATTCTGACACTTCTGGTTGTTTTGACTCTTGGATTTTTTTAGCATTTTAAGATTAAATCTTCCCATTTGTAAAATGAGAATTAAAATGTCCTCTTCATAAGGGTACTTCTAGGATTAATGTGATAATAGGAGTAAAATATCCAATACAGTTCTCAGCACATAGTAGATGTGTTCAAATATTAAATATGCTGGGCACAGCAGTGCATGCCTGTTGTCCCAGCTGCTTGGGAAGCTGAGGCGGGAGGATAGCTTGAATCTAGGAGTTCAAGACCAGCCTAGGTAATGTAGCAAGACCTTGTCTCCTAAAAAAAGTTTTTAAATAAAAACATTAAATAATGGTCAGCCTAATTGCAGCAGTTCAAACATACCAGATTCTTTTCAAATCTCCAAATAATAGGAAGCTTAGAAACCACAGCATTTGAGGCTGGGTGTGGTGGCTCACACCTGTAATCCCAGCACTTTGGGAGGCCAAGACAGGCGGATCACCTGAGGTCAGGAGTTCAAGACCTGCCTGGCCAACATGCTGAAAACCCGTCTCTACTAAAAATACAAAAAAAAAAAAAAATAGCTGGGCGTGGTGGTGGGCGCCTGTAATCCCAGCTACTCAGGAGGCTGAGGCAGGAGAATTGCTTGAACCTGGGAGGCGGAGGTTGCAGTGAGCCGAGATCATGCCATTGTACTCCAGCCTGGGAAATGAGAGTGAAACTCTGTCTAAAAATAAAATAAAACAAAATAAAAATAAAAGTAAAAATAAAAATAAACCATAGCATTTGCAGAGCAATCTTAGACAGTACTGAGAGTCTACAATGTGCCAGGCATTGTCTAGGAGTTGAGGATACAAGAATCAATAAGCTAATGTTCCATATATCAAGAAGCTTACCATGTTAGAGAAGACGTTTAGTCTTTTTATGCTTATGTTTCACCATCTAAAACATAAGTTTAGTGATAAAATTTCTCTCTACCATGTCTCAATATCTCTAAATTGTTAAAAGCACTTAAAGAAAGTTTCTACCTATAAACCAAGCCTTAAAAGCAAGCATGAGCTCACATGTCCATAGCCCCCCCAAATCTCAAAGAAATCAAGAAATATCTGTATTCTGATTTTCTTTTCCTTTTGTGTATGTTAACCACAATTGCTTAAATTCTCTTATTTAACCTAACAAGCACAGAAGAAAACAATTCTATCTGGGGAAAGTAGAAAGTTTTGCAGATTAATGAAAAAAAATGTTTTAAACTATTTTCAATGATGATGGTATAGTTTGTGTGAACTATAGAAGATGCATCTCTATTTTTCCTAATTTTCATGAGGAACCTGTGCTTTTTATTACAGTGACCAGTACTTTGAGGACAATGTCACAGCCCCTGACTATATGAAAAATGTCCTTGTTCTGACGCTGTCTCCTGGGAATTCCCTTCTAAATAGCTCTTTCTCCAGGAATCTATCACCAGTAAGCTATTATTTTATGTTATAGTATAAATTATATATTATTATTTTATTTGTCAAGGGTAAGATAATTTTTCTCCATTTAGGACCCAAATTCTAAAATGAGCAATTATTTTTACTTGCTCTAATTCATTCAACAAATGTTAACTGAAACCAACTACATGTACAGCATTTTGAAACAGCAGGATCCCTATCAAAGCTCTTAACTATAGGTCACTCTGCTAGACTATAGAACAGTACAACAGTGGACACATCCACCACATTGGCATGAAAGTAACAATATGGAAAGACAGGAAGAAGCCCTGCTATTGAGGGTCAATCTTACACTTAAAATAGGTAGAAATTAAATAATGTAAAATAAAGCAAGGGTTACTGGAAAGTTCCCTATGTCCTAAAGCAAAATTTTCCTGTCACTGATATTAAAATCCTACCTTTAGAAATGTATATTCCTAGGTTAAGACATTGTCTTCCATTATAATTAAGTTGACCATTGTCCAAATTTGCCCAGGAGAGTTTTGGTGTATTCCTGTTATTCCATTATGCCATCTGGTTTAGCATTTGTGCAGGAAAAAGAGCCTCCATTTGGACACTAAATCATGGCCACCTTATTATAATGCAGGGCTCCTGATTCTAATAGTATATTGGGCTTTGTCAGTCCCTGTACTTTCATATGATTAAATCTATTAGATGCATTCTTCCCACAGAGACAAACCATTGAGAGCAGGCTGGGATGGGAGGAGGAGGAAGAGGCAATGCTGATGACCTTAAACAACTTTGGGATGGCAAGTCAAGGGCCAGGCCCAAAAAGCTGCAAAGAAAGATGGATACCTCTGGGGTGTCACAGTTTTTCCCAGCTAGAAGTTCTAAGTCCTCTCATTTACGACCGTGCCAAAATTAGGGACTGCATCCTCTTTTGGAGCTGGGTCTTAACTGGATTCTTTTTACCTCATGAAATGTTTTCAGCAAAAGAAACTGAAACCAATGAAAGTTTTATTTTTCCAGCAAATATAATTCTGAGTGTAATATCTGGATATTACTTGACCATCTTCATGGTTCTAGCAAAAATACGATTCTTTGCAAATGGGCAGTCCAACATGCCGGAGGTAATAGAACCCACTTGGTCTCAGTTCAGCAAGGGCTTTTAATTCATCACTCAGCCCTGTGAAGGTCACCATTCTCCAGCTGCTGAGGCACAGCAGTTCTGACCCTCTCCATTATTTTTCCCAGGACAGGCATTTGGGGCATGAAGTAATATCCAATCAGAACTCTATTCAAAGCAATTTCAGTGGCATCATCCAATCAAAACTGCTCATGTTCCACTCAGAATACTTAAACGCAGGGATTGTTTTTGGTTTTTGATTTTTGGGTTTCTCTTTTGCACTTTAATAAAAACAATCAACTAGAAACTAACATTATTTCTATATAAAATCTTATAAGAATTATGAAAATGCTTCATGTTGCCTTTCCTGGTTGCATTTGTATGTTTTTCATCATGGGAATGAAGTATAACTGCTTATAGTTGCTTCCCTCATTTTATTGATTCCAAGAGAAGACAGAATTGTGACATGGGATCATAAAGAACACTGACCCAAGGAAGAGTTTTTTTTCTTTCTTTCTTTCTTTTTTTCTTTTTTTTTTTTTTTTTTTTTTGAGATGGAGTTTCACTCTGTCACCCAGGCTGGAGTGCAGTGGAATCTTGGCTCACTGCAACCTCCACCTCCTGGGTTCAAGTGATTCTCCTGCCTCAGCCTCCTGAGTAGCTGGAATTACAGGCATGTGCCACCACAGCAGGCTAATTTTTTTGTATTTTTATAGAGATGGGGTTTCTGCATGTTGGACAGGCTGGTCTCAAACTCCTGAACTCAGGTGCTCCGCCCTCCTCAGCCTCCCAAAATGCTGGGTTTACAGACATGATCCACCTCACCCGGCCTCCAAGGAAGAGTTTTCTAAAAGTCTCCTTTAATAACATCCCTTCAATTCCCCTGATATCCCTTTAACTTTCCAGTAACCCTGCTGATCCCAACAACCTTTTGTTCTAGGCTCAAGACAAGATTCTTTTTTGAAGGACCCGTTTTAATATTTTCCTTTTTTATTTAGACAAAACGAGACTTTGCTCTTGCCTATTTGAATGGAATCCTGCTCTTTGGACATATGCTGAAGATATTTCTTGAAAATGGAGAAAATATTACCACCCCCAAATTTGCTCATGCTTTCAGGAATCTCACTTTTGAAGGTACTGGTCTACTAAGAGCAAATAACCCCAAGGTGAAGAAATGTAGGCTTTCTGAGTGGATTTGGGGCAACAAAGAAGGTTTAGCAATAGATGATTCCACAGCTAAATCCCTTTGAACTCAACTGGATGCAAACATCATTACATAAACTTTGAGGGTGCTGTTATTGATAACTGAACTCCGGTTTATGTTTCAGTCTTTTAGAATCTTTGGATGTCACAGAAAAGGGCAGGTAGCGCAGGTTCTGTACTTATGAACAAGCTCATCATAAGGCATTTTGAGCAGTAATGTCCTGACTGTGCTTGGAGACTAACAAGAGGATAAACATTTGCAGTTTGATTTGGGTCCTTCCATATCTCCTTTTCTATCCTTCAAGGATCTGGGACCCTGTGTTAAAACCTTTAGCTATCAAAACTCCACAAAATAATACCCTCCAAAACAACACAAACCTCCTGAGCTGCATGGATCAATGTTGCCCTTTCCTACAAGCCCCTAGTGAAACTCCCATCTTTCGTTTCCCAGATCTCATCCTGAGACTATGAAGAAATTTTCCTCTAAATGTAATGTATACTAAGTCAAAGATAAATGACAGTGGCCTTTTCTAACTTGCCTCAGAGTCTTACTCTATGAAACCTTTGTTTTACTGCAGTGTAAGTGACTTTCTCTGTAGGCTTCGGAGGGCAGCAGGTGCCCAGCATTAGGACTGAGGGCTGCACCAGGGGCTATGGTGTATGACAATGGCAGGAAGAGATCACTTCTGCTTCACTGAAGATGCAGGGAGGGAGACACAGTAATTTGTTGGTCATCCCATGTGTCCCAAGTTCTACCAGGCACTTTATATGCACTCTTAATTTCCTCACTTCCATGACCACGGTTGAGCATTTTAATGGATTAGCACAGGCTTAACATTTGGCTTAACATTTAACTAGGAAACAAACAAATGTTTGTTCCCGCCACCTACCAGCCGTACGACCCTTAATATCTCTGACTAAATAAATTATTTCTCACCAATATAACGGAGATAATAATAGTTTCTATATCATGATATTTCAGGAAGAATAATATGATAATGCATATAAATCACTTAGCACAGAGCCTGGTATATTGTAAACAGGAAATAAATGTTCATTGTTATGTCGAAACATGTGAAGTTACTAATTTGATCACTTTTTTTTACCTAAATAGTTTTATCTTATATTGCTATTTAATAGATGACAAAACTGAAACTCAGAAAACTTAAGTAATTTTATTCAATGTCTTCAGCAAATGAGTGACAGTGAAAAAATTTTGATCTTCCTACAATCTATGTTAAGATTGTGCAGTGACCCTATACACTATGCTAGGAGTTCAGGAAATATTCTTAGCAAAAATGTGTCACTAATAATCGAGGGACTTATTGACTCATTACATTTAGTGCCACCCTAAATGCAATGAAAAGGTTTTTTGCTTTTTCTAAATAAATACATCTCCCATAAAAATGCCCTCCAGAGATCTCTGGGCTAAGAAGCCAATCCAGGTGCCATCTGATTAGACTATTAATGTCAACAATGTTTTCAGTAAATTTGAAACAGAGCTATTTGAACCCATTTTACACTCTCTGTCATGATCCAACTTATCTGTCAGGCAAAAATCAAGAATGGCCTCTAACATACTCTGATCTTGCCCTAGGGTATGACGGTCCAGTGACCTTGGATGACTGGGGGGATGTTGACAGTACCATGGTGCTTCTGTATACCTCTGTGGACACCAAGAAAGTATGTCTCACTGCTTATCAGAAAATTCAGGGTGCTGTGACTGGGTGAGGAGGGGTAACTTGGAAGAGGAGCACTAGCAAAAGAATTAGAGAAATTATGTTTAGGATCTGAAGACAGTTCATTTCAACTTCACAATTACGCCCCACTTAGGGTAGTATTCCTTAAGCATTTTGACCCATAAAACTTCTTACTCAGAATATCCACTGTATTTACTATTAATATATCTATACCTCTATATCAATATCCATATAGATAGGTATAGATATTTTAAATATCCACCCAGAATAAATTACATAATATAACAAAAAGACTATTGATGGGATACCAATGAGAGGATCACAAGTCTTTCCTAAGAATTGTTTACTCATTTTCACAACTAAAGATTTCAATGAAATATTCCCTGTTATCTCCATTTGAACTCTCAGGAAAATCATTAAATGTGTAAACCTGAGCCCCACATAAACAGCCCTGTAATGCTATGCTTTTATTCATATTATATTCACTTTTTTTTCCTCACCCAATAGTAGGTTCTTTAAAGAAAATAAGTGGTCTACTCACCTCTCCATCTTTTCAGTGCATAGCTTCTTATCTGGCACACCATTGACGGCTGGTCAGCATTTAATCACAAACAAACAAAAACAAAACAAAAAAAACACCTGTCTTCATGTCATCCAATGTTGTATCCATCCAAACTATAAAAGCCACTGTTCCAGCCAACCAAGTGGTCAGTAAAAAGGTTTATATAGGAGGTCAGGTCCTGACATAACATAAAATTTATTCATTTTTTTTTCATTTTCCAATGTGAGTGTTATGACAGTCTAAGTCATATACTAAATGTGTACATCAACCCAGCTTTGTAAAAGATATCTGCAATGGAAAATGTGAAAAGCTAGAGAAAAGATGTCCACGTTGAGAAAGCTAAACCAGAAATTTGCTAGCAGCATTCCATAAATGTAATTCGTAGTTTCTAGATACTATATTGAACCTTCAATATAATGTTATGTTTCGCATACATTCCGTAAGAATACCTTAACATAAGATCCCATCAATACTTCAGTTACTAATAGCGATTACAAAGGTACATGCATTCCTCTCTGAGTTATTTGCATCTGGGATGATGCCCATGATCTTCACAGAGAGAGGCAGAAACGTGTGAGATCTAATGTCAGTCTCATAACTATACTTCAAAATGGAAAATGTTGCTCTGTGCATTTATTCTCTCTATAAGCAAATTCGGGTGAATTTTTCAATAATGTAGTACCATCGGTTGTGCTATATAACATGTATATTTGGGAAAATCAGAGATCTTCTCAAAATGTAAGGTTAAAGGGATGATAATCTATATCCAGGATAGGTCTCAACAGAGATTCAATATGCCACATCCTAACATAAAGGAAAAAGAAAGAAAGAGTAAAGTTATGAAAATGTAACATTGGGCAGGGTGCAGTGGCTCACCCCTGTATTCCCAGCACTTTTGGAGGCCGAGGCAGGCGGATCACTTGAGGTCAAGAGTTTGAGACCAGCCTGGCCAACGCGGTAAAACCCTGTCTCTACTAAAAATACAAAAATTAGCCGGGCATGGTGGTGCATGCCTGTAATTCCAGCTACTTGGGAGGCTGAGACAGGAGAGTCATTTGAACCTGGGAGGCAGAGGTTGCAGAAAGAAAATATAACTTTGCTGTCCAGAACATTTTGAGGGTACACTGGTAAATTTAAAAGGATGGTCACTGATATAGTTTGGCTGTGTCCCCACCGAAATCTCAACTTGAATTGTATCTCCCAGAATTCCCACGTGTTGTGGGAGGGACCAGGGGAGGTAATTGAATCACGGGGGCTGGTCTTTCCCATGCTAGTCTCGTGATAGTGAATAAGTATCACGAGATCTTACGGGTTTATCAGGGGTTTCCACTTTTGCTTCTTTCTCATTCTCTCTTGCTGCCACCATGTAAGAAGTGCCTTTCACCCTCCACCATGATTATGAGACCTCCCCAGTCATGTGGAACTGTAAGTCAAATTAAACCTCCTTTTCTTCCCCAAAAAAAAGAGAAAAAAAAAATTTTTTTCAGAGGTTTCATGGACTCCCCAGCGAGGCTGGGGAGGCCTCGCAATCATGGTGGAAGGTGAAAGGCACATCTTACATGGTAGCAGGCAAGAGAGAATGAGAGCCAAGTGAAAGGGGAAACCTCTTATAAAACCATCAGATCTCGTGAGACTTATTCACTACCACGAGAATAGCAGGGGAAAGACCGGTCCCATGATTCAATTACCTCTCCTGGGTCCCTCCTACAACACGTGGGAAGTCTGGGAGATACAATTCAAGTTGAGATTTTGGTGGGGACACAGCCAAACCATATCAGTCATCTTTCAGATCTCCCTTACAAAATTGACTCAATATATGCAGCAGTAATTTAAGGATATATTAATATTTCCATTGGCAAATGACTTGAAAATGAAATCTTTTATTTTAGAAACTAATTAATGTCATGTACAAGAAAAGCATATTAGAGCCAAGGAATAGAAGAGATTAGAAAATTAAGTAATGGATAGAAGTTAAGAAATGTAGTTATTTCAGGGCCCCTTGATATGTATCAAAATGACATAATGGATTTTAGCTCTGCTGCATTTTCTTGAGAGCTTTTTTCAAAAGCAACTTAATATTGTGGAAAACACTAGTCTTTCATTTATCATGTGACTTGGAGCTAGCCATTTAATATTTCTTAGCCTCTAGTTTAACATTTGAAAAATGAAATACTTGAACTGATTCACTAAAGGCCCACAGAATCTGTGCTGGACAGACAGGAGTTAATGGTGTAGTGTATGAGCATAAAGAAATAGGAAACTAATCGGTCCATCTGAAGTTATATCTGTGTTCATGCTGGGAATCAATAAATGATCCTAACTAGCTGGTTAACAGTTGCCTTTTTTCACTGAGAATTGTTATGGAAATCAAGCGTCATTGTGTAGAATCATTAATCTCACCATAATTTGTTCTATAATGTTTTACTGTTCATCCTTTTTCTTTTTTGTGCCCTGACACAGTACAAGGTTCTTTTGACCTATGATACCCACGTAAATAAGACCTATCCTGTGGATATGAGCCCCACATTCACTTGGAAGAACTCTAAACTTCCTAATGATATTACAGGCCGGGGTAAGATATCCCTAATGAATTTTCTCTCCCTGACACTGTTTTCCTGGTAAGAAAAGTAAAGTCTATTGTTTATGTAATTAGCCTGTGCTTTTTGCTGTGTTTTGTCTGCTGTCCCAGTTTGATTTCCTGCTGTCCAGTTTGTAAATGTGGTCCTTACTTCCCTGCACAATGAATGATATTATAGTTCTGATTCAACAGTGATTTCTGGCCAGGCATGGTGGCTTATGCCTGTAATCCCAGCACTTTGGGAGGCCAAGGCAGGAAGACTGCTTAAGCCTAAAAGTTTCAGACCAGCCTGGGCAACATGGTGAAACTCTGTCTCTACCAAAAATACTAAAAAAAAAAAAAAATTACCCAGGCATAGTGGCACACAGCCGTGTTCCCAGCTACTTGGGAGGCTGAGGTAGGAGGACCAGTTGAGCCCAGGAAGTTGAGGCTGCAATGAGCTATCTTTGTTCTACTGCACTCCAGCTGGGCAACAGAGTGAGATCCTGTCTCAAAAAAAAAAAAAGAAAAAGAAAAAAAAGGAAAGAAAGAAAACATTCTTATTCTAATTTAGCTATACCTATCTTTAAAATATGTCCTACCATTTGACATAAATTATTCCACAGAAAACCGGGTTTGACAACTGGCAAAAATGAGCACAGAGACATATATTCTTACTCCATTTACATTTTACTGCAATAAGCTAAAAGGTTGTGTATTTCAGCAAGAAATACTTGACATATCAGGCTGAGGGGTGACCAGTGATCCTGGCCTTTACAGTCTCCCCTGTTCCCATACTGGACACATATTTGGGTTGCAATGATAGTTACCCACCTACTTAAGATTAGGTCCTATCATGTCATGAATAGCCCTAACATGACTTGGCCAGCTTTCACCCGTGCAAGCTGCACACTCACCATCAGCAGCAGGCAGGGCCACTCAGGATCTCCTGGGCAACGAGGCCTCAGGACAATCTGTCCATGACTGGCTTGGCCAGGGCTTGCCATAATGAGTGGTAATTCCATGTGACTAGGAAAAATCTTTAAGAAAAAGTCTTAAATCTGGACAGATATTTAGCCCAAAGATTTAAAAAAAAAAAAAAAAGTAGAAATACCATCAATAAAATTATTTAGAGCCAAGCGTGGTGGCTCATGCCTGTAATCCCAGCACTTTGGGAGACTGAGGTGGGAGGATTGCTTGAGGCCAGAAGTTCAAGATAGCCTGGGCAACACAGTGAGATCCCATCTCTACAAACATTTATAAATTAAGGCTGGGAGTGGTGGCTCACGCCTGTAATCCCAGCACTTTGGGAGGCTGAAGTGGGTGGATAACGAGGTCAGCAGTTCGAGACCAGCCTGACCAACATGGTGAAACTCCGTTTCTACTAAAAATACAAAAATTAGCTGGGCATGATGGTGCGTGCCTATAATCCTAGCTACTCAGGAGGCTGAGGCAGGAGAATCGCTTGAACCCAGGAGGCAGAGGTTGTTGTAAGCCAAGATCACGCCACTGCACTCCAGCCTGGGGAACAGAGCAAGACTCCGTCTCAAAAATATATATATATAAATTAGTGGACATAGAGGTGCATACCTGTGGTCCCAGCTACTCAGGAGGCTGAGGTGGGAGGATCACTTGAGCCCAGTAAGTTGGGGCTGCAGTGAGCCATGATTGTGCCACTGCACTCCAGCCTGGATGACAGAGCAAGACCCTGCCTCAAAAAAAAAAAAAAAAAAAAAAGAAAATTATTATATATTCACAAATGGAGCATCAGGCAACCAATTAAAAATAATTATTTATGAAGAATGTTAAATGACATGGGAAAACTTATGATGTAAAGTAATAGAAAAGTACAGCTTCTTATTTAATGAGATTCTAACTTTGTAAAACAATGCATAGAAATAAGACTGGAAAGAAATATGTTAAACTGTTAAGAGTGGTGTCCTCTGACTGATGGGATCCTGCAAGATTTTTTTTGCTTTATTCTATTTTTCTGAATTTTCCAAAATTTCCACAATGACTCTGTATTAGTTTCTTATTTTCAAAAAGTATTAAAAATTATAAGCTACAAATATTTTTATACCAGCCCCGCTCTACAGCCAGAAACTCTGAAAATTTGATCTGATATAAAGGGAACATTTCTGGTTTGAAGGGCTTGCTTGTGTCAGAGCTATACCTGCGTTTCTAGTTTTCTTTCACTCCATGAGTCAAATTAAGTCCAAAATGATTCCTGTACTTTTATCCAACAGGTATTAGCAGCTGATTAACGAAATGAGGGAGGGGGGAATGAAGATGGCATTCTTCTAGACAATAAGCAATCCTGAGCTGACTTCAGATTTATTGCTATGATTGCTTTTTAAAGTCGAGTTTTATTTAATAAGCTTTTAAAACTTTCTGGAACCATCTTCAAGCTTTCTAGTTTTAAACCAAACTTGACTTCTGAAATATATCTCTTTTCTCATGGGCTTCTGCAACTCTCAACTTCTTTTGTAACTTTTTGAGTTCAAATTATTTTTTCTTTCTTCTTAATTATAACTGTCAGTGACAAAGTTAGGTTTGTGTTTTTAATGTATTTCCTTCAAGTTTTTTGGTATTTTGGTTATTCAATAGGTCTGTGATTTCTAAAGTGCTGAACTTCTCAAAAAGTACTTTTTGAGAGAGTTCTCTTTACTTAAAGAGAACTGACTTCCTCAATGGTTGAACTAGTTTACAGTCCCACCAACAGTGTAAAAGTGTTCCTAAAGTGAACATTAAATATTCATACTATATCCTACAGGGACGTTATATTATCCTGAGCAACTTTACTTCAGCCTCAGTTAACTAACAACCTCAGTTAGCCAGAGCTTTTCAATACTTAACTGTTACTTACTACATTTAGCTCTAAACTTTACCAATGAAGCAATAATATAGGAGTTAAAAAGAAATTATTTAGGCAGGTAGCGAGGGTACAGGAGTCCTCAGTAAGGCTTTTTCTTTTCTTTTCTTACTCTTTTTTTTTTTTTTTGGAGACATTGTCTGGCTGTATCACCCAGGCTGGAGTACAGTGGTGCAATCTTGGCTCACTGCAACCTCTGCCTCCCGGATTCAAGCGATTCTCCTGCCTCAGCCTCCCGAGTAGCTGGAATTACAGGTGTTTGCCGCCACGCCCGGCTAATTTTTGTATTTTTAGTAGAGACGGGGTTTCGCCATGTTGGGCTGGCTGGTCTGGAACTCCTGACCTCACGTGATCCGCCTGCCTCGGCCTCCCAAAGTTCTGAGATTACAGGCATGAGCCACGGCGCCCAGCCAGGCATTTTCTTTTAATTGAAAACAGTCTCCAAACCATTTCTTTTCTAGCAAAAAGCAGCCTGAAAAGCTGAACTGCAAGCATAAATAAGCAAGCTGGAAGCTTGCGTAGATGAATGCCCGCAGCTGTACTAAAAGCCAGGTCCACCCAATATAGCGATTTCCCCTCCCTTTTCTTTGTAGCCATGTGTGGGGGTGTCATTGTGCCGGCCGGGTAAAGCCACATGTGTGGGTGTCATGGCGCCAGCCAGGTAGAGGCCGCATTTGCATAATAAAAGATTAGGGTGAGAGGGCCAGTTTCTTCAGGGCTATGTAAATGGCACACTGGTCAAACCAATCCCCTGGGCCCTATATAAATCAGACACCGCCTCCTGAAGCCTCCCTATATAACCTACTGCTTCCCACCACAAGCATGGTTTTTTCCCTTCAGAGCCCTCCTACCTCTCTACCGGTGAGCTGTTCTCTTCTTTCCTGCCTATTAAACTTTCCGCTACTTGACCCGCTCCGTGTTTGCGTCTGTGTCCTTAATCTTCTCGTCACGCGATGACGAACCTTGGGTATGTCCCCAGACAATGAAGCCGCTTCAGCAACTCAACCTTTGAAATAGTATAGAAATACGATATGCATGACTGGAACTTGCATCTGTGTGTACACAGCTACTAAGTAACAAAACATTTCACCAAGAGATTACACCATCCCTGTTCTTTCATTTATTTAACAAAGATATTTATTTAATGCCAGACAATGTTCTGAGCACCTGGGAAATAGCAATGGACAATGCAGATTTGGTGCCCGTCCTCATCCAAGTCCTCAGCATCTGCTTCCTGTATCACAAAAATGACGTCAAACTGACTTCCTGCATTAGTCCTGCCCACTTCCATCCAACCCATCCTGCTATCAGAAAGAAAGCACAAGTCCAATCATGTCACTGCACTGTTGCTAACATGTCAATTGGCAACTCTGCTTTACCTACAGAATACAGTCCAAGTTACTTAATACAGCACAAAGTGCCCGTAATCTCCCTACTTATCTTTTACTCACCTATCCCTTCCCCATGCTCTCAGCTTCCTCCCTACTTCCTTAAAGCGTCATGCAAATTTATGCCGCTGTGTCCTTATTTATGCTACTCCCTCGGAATAGAATTTATCACTTCTCCATAGAGGTGGGAAACATCTACTCATCCTCAAGATTTAACCGGAATCTCAACTTTCCTTAGCTTTTTTTTTTTTTTTTTTTCCTGAGACGGAGCCTCGCAGTGTTGCCCGGCCTGGAGTGCAGTGGCCCAATCTCGGCTCACTGCAACTTCCGCCTCCCAGGTTCAAGAGATTCTCCTGCCTCAGCCTTCCAAGTAGCTGGAACTGATTACAGGCACCTGCCACCGCGGCCGGCTAATTTTTATGTTTTTAGTGGAGACGGGGTTTCACCATGTTGGCCAGGCTGGTCTCGAACTCCTGACCTCGTGATCCACCCGCCTTGGCTTCCCAAAGTGCTGGGATTACAGGTGTGAGACACCGCGCCCCCTCAGGGCTTATTCTTATTCATATTTCCTTGCCCCAACACAGTGCCTTGGAATGAATAAATGAATGAATGAATGAATGAATGAATGACAACATGAGATAACTGAATATATTTCTACTCTGGACTCCAGCACTCATCTATACTCTGTTAATTTCAGTCAATTTATTTCTCTTTTCTAAGTGTGAGTTTCTTCCCCTGTTAAATCAAGAAGTTTATCAGGTTCCTTCCAACCGTAATATCATATGACCTTGAGGTTATAAACTCTCATTCATTGTGAGATGAGTTAAATAGAATGTGATAACTACAGCAGCCACCAGAAGGCAGCAGAAGCTTAACCTTGGAATTTAGAACTTGATACTGCGTTTATCTAAAAGGCAAAACTGAAAAGCATGTTTAATTAAAAATGACTACATTTAAATAGTATATTTAAATACTATATATAAATATTATAATTATATCTAATACAGTGAGATGTTCATACTGTAGGAGGCAGAGAATTGAGGTGGGCTGAGGAGTCCCCATATTCCCTCCAGTTTATACTCTAGTCTAGGGGATGTGCAATTTTGATAGACCAGTGAGTGGGATTATCTACACTGTTGAAAATGTATTTCTTGTACTCACTTTCGTTTTCTGGGGTTTAGGGCGTGAGAATGGTGGGAGTGGCAATAGTGGTGATAGTGATGGAAGTGGTGATTGTAGTAACAAACAGAATTCACCAGTTAAATGTGCCCATAATGCAAGTTCAACTCCAAAGTATGAATTTATTTCTGCCCCGATGAGAGTAGAAATCCAAAGTTCACATTTTCACCATTGAAAATTTCCCATGAACACAAAACAAGGTAATAGAGGCAAAGTCACATGTCTGCAAAGCATAAACCCTTCAAATTCAGCCCTTATACAAAGGAGCTGTAGTGTTTACCCCAAGCTAAACCATCTACTTCAGAAGGACATAATATGATTAAACAAAAACAGTTTTAAAATACATATGACATGAGACCCCTAATGGCACAGGAGTCTTTCTATATGAATTTATTTATGTATTTTAATGTCCAAGCACCTTCTCCTTGCCTCTTCTCAGGCAATAAGATGACCAGGGCCAGGTTTTTCTTCTATTATTTTTTATTAGCCATTTTTATTGATACTTTACCAGGTCTTGTGCTGGGTGCCAAAGGTGTAAGGATGAACAGGAATGAATAAGTAGGACATGGACTGTGCCCCCAGGAGTTTAGATTATGGTGTCATGATAGAGAATACAGTGTGAAGGTTTAGGATTCTGCTTTCATAAAGAAGTCCTAAAACCTCATTTTCGGGGCACCTACATCAATTATATTTTAGCACAGAAAAATTCACACATGGCTGGGCACAGTGGCTCACGCCTGTAATCCCAGCACTTTGGGAGACCAAGGTGGGCTGATCACCTGAGGTCAGGAGTTCGAGACCAGCCTGGCCAACGTGATGAAACCCCACCTCTACTAAAAATACAAAAAATTAGCTGGACATGGTGGCGTGCGCCTGTAATCCCAGATACTTGGGAGGCTGAGGCAGGAGAATCTTTGAACCTGGAGGGTGGAGGTTGCGGTGAGCCGAGATCGTGCCATTGCATGCCAGCCTGGGCAAAAAGAGCAAAACTCTGTCTCAGAAAAATAAAAAGAAAAATTCACACACATGATTTTAAAATCCAGTAGCAGATGTGTTCATAATGGAAAGTGAATGCACCTGATCCCACCTCTGTGCATCTCTGCTCTCTCAGTCACTTCTGCTTTTACTGTTTTGCATATCTAAATAATATGCTTCTATTTCTTGATTTATAAGCTTTAGCAGTTATCTATTAATTTTTTGTATTGATACATGAAGATTTAGCTCATCTTCGCTAGCCCTCTTTCTCACTTCTTCCCATATAGTTATATCTTTTTTGTCGGTACAATTATTGAACACCTTTTTCATTTTAATTAATATGCATGAGCTTCTAGTGTTGTCCTATCAATTGTATATAAAATATCTTGCCTCCCACTTTGTAAGATGAAGATGTTAGTGCCACAATTCTTTCTTCTACCTCCTTCCCATCTCCAAAATTCTCCTATATTTTTCTTTGCCAGGGTTGATAATATTTATTTGGTAACCAAAATAAAGACCTCTGTTCTTTACCTATAACTTGATTCTATAAGTTGAAAACAAGGAAACATTTTCATTATGTGAATATTATTTATATAAAGCTAAATTGTATACCGTGATAACATCTTTCTTTTTTTTTTTTTTTTTTTGAGACGGAGTCTCATTGTGTCGCCCAGGCTGGAGAGCAGTGGTGCAATCTTGGCTCACTACAACCTCCACCTCCCGGGTTCAAGCGATTCTCCTGCTTCAGCCTCCCGAATAGCTGGGATTACAGGCACCCACCACCACGGCCAGATAATTTTTTGTATTTTTAGTAGAGATGGGGTTTTGCCATGTTGGCTAGGCTGGTCTTGATCTCCTGACCTCAGGTGATCGGCCCCTCAGCCCCCCCAAAGTGCTGGGATTACAGGTATGAGCCACCGCACCCGGCCAACATCTTTCTATATAGCCCCAATGTCTCCCTTTTGTACCACAAAGGAAAATTGATTTTCTCTCCTTTTTTAATACCTAATTCTCAAAGTCAGGGCACATTTTACTTTGTTTCATTTTTGGATTATGCCTTCCTTGAACATTTTTTCCTTAGAATTCCTGATTGGATTTCTCTTTTCTTTCCTTGCTGTATAAAGAAACATGTCTTCTTCACCATACTCCTATCACTTCCCAGCTTCTTACACATTCTGTCTATTGCTTGGAATCTATTCCATTTTTTCTTCTTGAACCTACTGACTTCCTAATAGGGAATTCATTGCGGCATATATGAACCACGACTTTCCCGTGCAGTCTTCTTGTTGCTGTCCTTCTCTGTGTAGGAGTATTCCTTTGTATACTCAGACACTGCTTCAGTGCTTCCTTGGGTTGGATCCACATTTTCCTGGATTCCACTTACTCTTCTGAGAGTCTTTCCACTTACTCCATCTATACAACTCCACCCACCCACTAGTGTTCTAGTAAATAAAATCCCATTCTTCATTGACTTCCCTCACTAACCCAGGAGAGCTTGGAAAGAACCAGCATGCAACACTGTCACTTAATATTCTATACTGACTTACTTTTCTTCCGGCATGTGCTCTGTATTTAAAAACAAGTTGTCTTAGTTGGGTATGGTGGCTCATGCCTGTAATCCCAGCACTTTGGGAGACTGAGGTTGGCGGATCGCTTGAGGCCGGGAGTTCATGGCCAGCAACATGGCGAAACCCCATTTCTACAAAAAATACAAAAATTATCCGGGCATGGTGGCGCACACCTGTAATCCCAGCTTCTCGGGAGGCTAAAGCAGGAGAATCACTTGAACCAGGGAGGCAGAGGTTGCAGTGAGCCAAGACTGCGCCACTGCACTCCAGCCTGGATGACAGAGTGAAACTCTGTCTCAAAAAGAAAAAAAAATACATGTCTCATCCTCTATGAACCCTTCTTAGGTATATTGGTTTCAAGGACACCAGGTAGACTTCTACCACCAACTTTTTTGTACGTGCTCTAAACTATTTTATGTTTGTGTAACATTTGGTGATTCTTATTAGAAAGAATAGAGATGTATATGCTGTCAGAATAGCCAAAATTAAGCCACTTTCCCTGGGTACAATGCCAGACAAGGCTGTCAGAGAGTAGGGACACAGGACTTATATTACCAGAGAGAAATTAATAAAAAATAAATTTTTTTAAAGGGTTCTCTTTTCCCTTCCCCAAATTACATTGTACAGCTAGAATCTTGGAAATGCTTTTGCTCTCTTGTCTAAGGTCCTTCCTAACGCATTTTCCGCCACAGGCCCTCAGATCCTGATGATTGCAGTCTTCACCCTCACTGGAGCTGTGGTGCTGCTCCTGCTCGTCGCTCTCCTGATGCTCAGGTACAGCCGCCTCTATCATGCCTGTGTTCGGTATCCAGAGAGGCAGGAAGGGAAAGTGGGAGAGGTCTGTTGTCTGTTGATGATGATGAATATTCACAAAGAAGCCTGCAGACTGACCTAAGATAATGAAGACATTCTGCATCAAAGACTAACTGAAGGGCAGAATATTATTGAGTGAATAGATTAGGGCTTTGAAGCCAAAGATGCCTGAACTCAAATCCCAGTTCTTTGAGTTACTAGTTCTGTGGTCTTAAGCGTGTTACTTAGCAACTTAAACAGGTAACTTAGCTTCAGTTTCTTCATCTGAGCTGTTGTAAGGATTAGAAATGGAACATGTATACAAACTACCATATAATAAGCATATATAGATAAAATAGTTATTTTTATTATGCTGTTATATTGTGGGAGACATCAAACTCATTAAATTACATATTTAGACTGGGAGAGGTTTTAGAAACAATTTATTCCAAATCTCCTATTTTAGCCTGAGGAAAGAGAACCCAGAAAGTCAAATGGCTTCTCTAGAGTCTTATCACCAGGTAGTGGGTGGGGCCAGAACTAGAACTCAAGCCTTCTCACCATCAGTTCCATGATTTTTCTGCTCAACTTGGGTCTGCCAAATGCCTAGCCAGAGACATTGTGTGTACTAAGAAATATTTATTGAATACATAAATGAGTGAGTAAATACCACACTACATCCTAATCTGCATATGTTAAATGCCAAACTTATAATACTGTATTATATTACCAGGTTCACTTGCACTTCCTAGCTAAACAAGACAACAGTTTTATCTGTGTATTACACACTTTGGTCTGTGTGTCATTATACTTTCTCATGTGAATGTCCAGCCTGCCATATACTGGTTGATGTTTTCTCCAGAAAAGGAAGTAGACTATTTTCTTCAATCTGACAACACCGCTTGGCTCCTGTAACTGTGTTGCTCAGAAATACAGGTGATGGTCTACAATGTGTGGTGACCATTTAGTGAAGAGTGAGAAGAAACCAAAATTTTCCCCCAAAAGCAAATCTAAATGGGAATCACTTTAAGATAGGGTAAATCACAAGATCAAAGATAATAACAGGTGTTTCTCATTGTCTCTAAACATGGCAGGCAGAGATGGGGCTTCCTAATGACCAGTGCAATGCTATGCCCATGAGGGGGCCTGGCAGACAGGTGGTACACATGCAGTTTGCCATTACAACAGCCTATGCAAGAAAACTAGCAAACCATTTAAGAAATCCCCTAATTCAGTATGAATGACAGTTGGCTCTGCTGGGTCCCAAGAGTCTCCTGGGGTACAGAGCTGAGAACCCAAGAGCCTTTAAGGTCTTGATATTCATCCTACTTGCCTCCAGGTCTTAGGGTCAGTAATATGCTATTTTACATGCATTTACTTGAAGAATACTCAGACTTAGATGGAAGCATACAAAGAGAATAATCATTTCTGCTTAGGGGACATTAAGGAAGGCATGGCCTTGAGAAGGTGAGAATGAGTTTGTCAAATAACCAAAAAGCAAAGGCAAACAGGGACAAAACAGGTCAATAGAAAAGAATATCAGTTCCAGAATCAGATACAAGCAAGAACTTATAATATGACAAAGATGACAGTATGTGACAGCTAAGAAATAATGTTGGTGGCCGAACACAGTGGCTCACACCTGTAATCCCAGCACTTTGGAAGGCCGAGGTGGCTGAATCATGAGGTCAGGAGTTCAAGACCAGCCTGGCCAACATGGTGAAACTCCATCTCTACTAAAAATACAAAAAATTAGCTGGGCATGGTGGCAGGTGCCTGTAATCCCAGCTACTCAGGAGGCTGAGGCAGGAAGATCTTGAACCCGGGAGGCGGAGGTTGCAGTGAGCAGAGATCGCACCACTGCACTCCAGCCTGGGCAACAGAGCAAGACTCCGTCTCAAAAAAAAAAAAAGAAAGAAATGATGTTGGTAAGGTAGGCTTTCCACATGTAAAAAACAAAATTAAAACAGGTAACTTAGCTTCAATTTCTTCATCTGAGCTGTTGTAGGGATTAGAAATGGAACATGCACACAAACTACCATATACTAAGCATTATATAAATGAAAATAGTTATTTTTATTATTATATTGTATTATGTTGTATTTTATTATTATTATATATCTAAAATAATACACAAAGACATAGTTTACTCTGTGGAGTTTTAAATGTTAATGCATAGTTTATGTGGAGTTTTAAATGTTTTAAATGTTTGATTATGTGAAAATCAAGCTTCAAAACTTAGAATAAATTAATAAAAATGACTTTTTAAAATTATTTTTATTTTTTTGAGACCGAGTCTCACTCTGTCACTCAGGCTGGAGTGCAGTGGCGCCATCTTGGCTCACTGCAACCTCCACCTCCTGGGTTCAAGCAATTCTCGTGCCTTGGCCTCACTAGTAGGTACAATTACAGGCGTGTACCACCACACCTGGCTAACTTTTGTATTTTTAGTAGAGATAGGGTTTCGCCACGTTGGCCAGCCTGGTCTCAACTCCTGACCTCTAGTGATCCACCCACCTTGGCCTCCCAATGTACTGGGATTATAGGTGTGAGCCACTGTGCCTGTCCAATAAAAATGACTTTATGATCTCAGTTTAGGAAAGTAGTTCTCAGTCAAGATAAAAAAGGAAAAGTCAAAGAAAAAATACATAAATATGACGATAATAAAATCAAAACTTTCTGTAAAACAAAGTTAAAGGAAGTCATAAACTAGGAAAAGGTATTTGAAAACTAAAGGGACAAAGGATTTATTTCTCAAAATATATTAAGAACTTATGTAAGTTAACAAGGATAAGAAAAATATACACACTAGGAAAAAATGAGCAAAATTATAAATACATAATTCTATATAATTCTGAGTCTATATACTCTATTAAATAGCTAGAAAATATTTGAAAGGATAATATCACTTGTAATCAAGAAAATGCAAAGTAATGCAATAATGAAACACTGTTTCACCTTCATCATAAAGGTTAAAAAAAAGTTTATCAATACCAAATGTTGACAAGAATATAGAAAATGGGAATTCTCAAGATAAGAAGGTAAATTAATTGATAACTACTGCTTTGGGAAGCAATTTGGTGATATCTGCAAAGTCGAAAGTGTACATCGTCTATAGCCCAAGAATTCTGCTTCATCTATACCAGCAGTCCCCGACCTTTTGACACCAGGGACTGGTTTCATGGAAAACAATTTTTGGGGGTGGGGAGAGTTTTGAGATGAAACTGTTCCACCTCAGATCATCAGGCATTAGTTAGATTCTCATAAGGATAAGGAGTGCACAACCTGGATCCCTCACATGTGCAGTTCTCAATAGGGTTCGCGGTCCTGTGAGAATCTAACGCCACCACTGATGTGACAGGAGGTGGAGCTCAGGTGGTAATACTGACCTCTCACCTCCTGCTGTGCAGCTTGGTTCCTAACAGGCTACGGACCAGTACCAGTCCATGGCCCAGGGGTTGGGGGCCTAATCCCCAACCTACACTATCTGGGGACCGATACTATCTGAAGGAAACTATACATTTTTAACATTTTGTAGTTGAGATAGGTGTTGTTACATTTTCTCTGTACTTTTCCATTTTCTTTAAACATATTTTTTGAAAAGGCACAGATGGGTAAGAGGAACTGGCTTATTTAGGGATCTGGTGTATTCTCTCTGGATTAAAAATTAACATTTTTGCCTCTCAATGTCACCAACTTTACATTTTTTTCCTGTATTTTTTCCTCACTCCTTCTATGTCATCAGTTTAAATCCTTTAGTATTGTGAAGGACTGCCTTAGTGAAAAACCTAGGAAAGTGAAGTGAAAAGAAAAGAAAGACTAGGAAACAGGGGTCCCCAAACCCCAGTCCATGGCCTGTTAGGAACCAACCGCACAGCAGGAGGTGAGCAGCGGGTGAGCGAGCGGTACCGCCTGAGCTCCCCCTGCTGTCGGATCAGTCAGGGCATTAGATTGTCATAGGAGCGTGAACCCTACTGTGAACTGCGCATGCAGGGGATCTATGTTGCACACTCCTTATGAGAATCTAATGCCTGATCTGAGGTGGAACAGTTTCATCCTGAAACCACTCCCTGCCACCTCCATGGAAACATTGTCTTCCAGGAAACCAGTCCGTGGTGTCAAAAACGTTGAGGGCCACCGCTATAAAAGCCCATCAGAAATCCTTGCAGGTCCACTGGCAGTAAGCGCTTTTCAGTTTGGAGGACATGGTGTTCTGTCATTGGGCTACCTTCCCTCACACATATCTACCTGAGCATACCAGGGTTCTAAACTTCACCCAGTCTTCAGAAGCTGAATGACATGGATATTAATAAAAACCTATTGACCAGTTTTATTCCTTTCACAGAAAATATAGAAAAGATTATGAACTTCGTCAGAAAAAATGGTCCCACATTCCTCCTGAAAATATCTTTCCTCTGGAGACCAATGAGACCAATCATGTTAGCCTCAAGGTAAAGCCTACCTTACCTGTTGAAGAATGGGTTCAATTTGGCAGGTATTTGACAAGACTTAAGTAGCATTGCAGGATATGTGCCAAGTAGGGATAGTTGTTCTAGAAAGCAAGACTTAGATGCTTTCTAATTTTCAGCTCTCTCCCTTCCCCTTGATTCTCCATTCTCCTACATGTCAACTAGTTAATCCAATGAGCACTTCCCTGGAGGCTGAGATATGGTGTGTTCTCGTTCTTTGCATCTTATCCAGAATAGAAATACACATATTGGGAATTTGCCATGGAAGGGATGTAGGAATGGGCAGAGCATTTGAGTTCCCCTAAACCTTGGATGCTAATCTATCCATACTAAGGGCCTATGACTTGTCTTACTCATTCCTGAAGAAAGAGGCCTCTGCTTATATTTGCTCACATTTACCTTCAACCAGGAAATAGCAGCAGCCAATAATAACTTACTCCATTTACCACAGTCAATGCAGGACCTATGCTGTCTCATCTATTCCTCACAGGAACCCAAAATTAAGCTTTATTATCATAATTTTGCTGATGAGGAAACTGAAGGACAAAAGATTAAGAAACAGTGCAGGGACACATACAACTAATGAGTAAGATAACTATAAGTAATAATAGCTAACACTTACTGAGCACTTATAATGCACCACATGCATTAACCCATTTCATCTTCTCCTGAGCACTGTGAAGTAGCAGGGTGGAAATTCCAGGAACACAGCTACAATTTAAACCCAGTCTGTCTAACTGTAAAGCCAGAGATTGTAACACCTTCCATACACCATATAATTATCCTAGTTTTTATACCAAAGCGTATTAAGAGAATATGGAGACCCAAGACCTCCACAGATGGGAATTCGTGGACTCCTTCAGAGTAGGGCCAAACTGATAGTGTAGTGTGATTTGAGATGCTTCCTTGCTTAAAATCAGCAGGAATAAAATTGCATTTGGCTTAAGTTTGTCTCTGGAACCTCTCTACCAGCTCTTGACCCTCCTCCCCAAGTCCTGTGTGCTGCCCTCTAATGGCTCCAATCCCCTCATGTCTATCCAAAGACCAGGTCTTCCCTTCTTTCAGAAATATGACATGCTCCAATGTGACCCTCCTGGTGCATTCTGAACCTCAACAGAAAAATTCTATTCACAAAGACCAATCTGTCTCAGCTAAGTGTCAGGATGAAATCAATTTAACAGTAATTCACAGTCAGGTGTAAATGACCTTAAGGCTACTGAATTTCCAAAGAGAGAATTTGTTGACCTAAATGACAAACTGGAAGTACCTAGTGTTAAAAGAAAAACACTGGACAGACAAAATAGAATTTATTTGAGCAAAAAGTGATTCATGAATTGTGAAGCACTCAAAACCAAAAGAGGTTCAGAAAGCTCCACTCTGCAGCATGGGCAGTGAGCTTTCATAGGTTGTACAAGGAAGTAAAGTACACAAATAACTTGATTGGTTACAGCTAGGCATTTGCTTTATTTGGGCATGGTCTGTTCAGTTAGCTTCCTGTGATTGGCTGAAACCCAGCCATTTGTTACAAAAATAGACTCCTAAATTAGTTTTCAGTTTGTCTGTATACTAAGTTAGGTTGCAGTTTATAGGAACTCATAATACAAAGACAGCCTCATGCCAATGGTCTCCTGCTTATTTAATATAACACTAGGAAGAGGAGAGGGGACTTTCAGAAGGAGCGTGTGCACCTCTGTCTCTCATCTTCTCCCAGATGGGCTCCCACACGCTCCACCTCTGCACAAGTCCAGCCTTGGTGTCATTCCTCAAGCACCTCCCCACTGCCTCAAAACCCCATATTTCATATTTTCTCTTTTGGAGTAAGCCCAAAACATGTGTCACCGTATGTTTTCTTAAAATATAAATATTCCTAGAAGTATAATTCATCCATTTCTTGTCAGTTTCTTTACAAAATTTTTATGAGTACAGATTAGTTCATCGGAATGAATGAGTCACCTGACCAAGGAAATAGGTCTTTGGGACAGTAAACTCAAAGGAGGGAAGTTCAAAATTATTTTGATCATGTGATCATTGTTACTCTGAGTTTTAGACAGGCTGGGAAGCAGGTGGATCAGAAATTGGCTGTACAGAGAGCTCATCAGGTGCTAAGAGTCAGGTAGACATGGAGAAAACCCAAGGTCACCCGAAGTCAGCAAGGGTGGAAAATACCTACAACCAGACAGGTAGTGGTTCAAGTTTGGATACTCACTGAATGCAGAAATAAGGAAGCAAGACTAAGAGATGAGATAATAGAGAGTCAAACATCCCACTGCTAGAACAGGAAGGGTCAGAATATCAGACCAAAGATTCCAGACAAAAGAAATCAGGCAAGTCAAAGGGATAGAGTAACACAGAAAAAAATAATCAAGATGATCATTCATTTGAGGGTAAAAAGAGAAGTATTTTAGCTAGCAAGAGAATTTCACAAACCTTGTCTCATTTAACCCCCAGCTATTTCTATGAGTTGGAATTGTGCAGTAAGGAACTGAGGTCCAAATAGTTTAAATGATGTCATCAAGGTCTGAAATAATAAAAAGAGCATTAGGCAAGAAGACAAGCCTAGGTTCTGCCATTCTCTTTTTATGTGACATTTAATGTTATTTAACCCTTCTATACTTAATTTGTTAAATGAGAAGAAAATGAAATGATGATAACTGACATTTGTTAGTCTGCAATGTGCCAGGCATCATGCTTGGACCTTCAGAGAGTCATTTCACTCGCATTTCAAAATGGCCTTGTAAGGTACATTTTAACAAAGATAATAACACATCTCAGGTTTTTATGAGAATCACATCAAAAGATGCAATTGTTCCCAACCTTTTCTCTGTCTTTGGACCAGAAGTCATTAACTGGAAGGCCAAGAGCCATATGTGGCCTGCAGTTGTGAGTGCCTATGTGTGTGCGTGTGTTTTGTTCAATATTTGACATTTTAAAAATTAATTGCCAACATACAAATGTCACGAGATAGCATATAAGAATTCTTATTACCAGCTCCTTTTGATAAATAAGATGATTTAGCAACTTCGGGCTGAACCCAGAGCTGACAGTACTGCTTCCCTTAGACACCTGGCCCAGTTTTATCATTTGCATTGCTACTTGGGCCTTTAGGCATGAGTGTGCAACTCAAATGTACAGCATCCTTCCCCAAGAGCATCTATCTGTAGCTACAGGCAATAATTCCCACAAAAACAGGGTTGGGGTGAAGGGAGCAAAGGAAATCCCTGGTTGAAGTAGGGCCACAAGAGGAAGGGAGGAAACCCATAGCTAAGCATGAGCGCAGTAGATACCTGGAAACACGTTGCTGGAGTCCAATTAGTGAGAGGGAGCAAGTCAATTACAACAGTTTTTCTGGAAGCCTGCTTGCCCAGCATGTTATTGAGGAAACAGATGCAGCCCACCTGGAAGAGCCTCTCAGCCTTTGACAGGCAGTGAGTAGGATGAGATATGGAGCTTCTGGAATAATTAGCCTTTTCTTGTGCCAGATCGATGATGACAAAAGACGAGATACAATCCAGAGACTACGACAGTGCAAATACGACAAAAAGGTGACCTCTCCCACTTCTCTGAACTCTCCACTGGGGTATGCTCTGGGCCTTTTGACCCCTCATTGCCCTGGCCCCTGATGTCAGTATCACAATGGTGGGAGTCCCCAGTCTGTTCCTAGGGGCTATTCTTAGAGCTTCACAGGGATGGGCAGGGCCCTGCTTCAAGGGTTACAAAACTCACAATCCTGGGGAAAATGGAAGACAAATAGAATGTTGGGGAAGGGTGGAGTGTAGGAAGAAAAATTAAATATCAAAGATATTCAGAGTAGTCCAGGGCAACCCTAGTATTATATTTTGGCTCATTGCTGAGAAATACAACGATCTCATATGAGAGCTTTGCATCTTATTTCCATCCTTCTTTCTTCCCTCCCTCCCTTCTGCCTGCCTTCCTTCCATTTAGTCATTCTTAAAGAAACATTCGAGACTGAACTTACCATATGCCAGGTACTAGGCACCAGGGATATAAACATCAGTCAAGGCTGGGCACAATGGCTCATGTCTGTAATCCCAGGACTTTGGGAGGCTGAGGCGGGTGGATCATTTGAGGCCAGAAGTTTGAGACCAGGCCGGCCAACATGGCAAAACCCCGTTTCTCCTAAAAATACAAAAATTAGCCGGGCATGGTGGTGCATGCCTGTAGTCCCAGCTACTGGGGAGGCTGAGGCAGGAGAATTGCTTGAACCCAGGAGGCAGAGATTGAAGTGAGCTGAGATTGCACCACTGCACTCCAGCCTGGGCAACAGAGCAAGGCTCTGTCTTTAAAAAATAAATAAATAAATAAATAAATATAAAAAATCAATCAAATACTGTCACTGCTCTCAAAAGTTTATAGTCTAGTGAGACACACAAACAAACTGTTATAATATGCATGTAAAGAGTTACACCACAACACTGTCTCCTAAATTTCATTGATTTTTGCAGCGAGTGATTCTCAAAGATCTCAAGCACAATGATGGTAATTTCACTGAAAAACAGAAGATAGAATTGAACAAGGTATGTAGCCCTTACTTCAAACCCTTGAGAAATAACTTCACTTCATTTCCTCTAATCACTGAGGTTGCTGGTGGAGTAAGAGGCTGACAGAAAAGCCCTCAGGCCAAGAAATGGTGACTATATTTCTTGTTGAAAATTCTACCAAGAGATATTGGAAAGTGAGGTTGACGGTGTAAAAAATTCTGGAAATCTACTAGTCTTTCCTGGAAAGTGGACCTGATATTATTTGAAAGTAAAGTTTATATTCAAGGCCTCTTACTGACAAAGGAAAGTTTGTTGAATGAGATTGATATAATGTGTGATAAGCAATGGGTACTGACATTCAATTTGTTAAGACAACACATCTTCTCAAAGATCTGAAACAAAACACATTTTATTGGCATATTAATTTTTACTTTGGCACCCCATTCTGCCTAATTTGCTTTGTAAACAAACACGTTCTTCTAGTTGCTTCAGATTGACTATTACAACCTGACCAAGTTCTACGGCACAGTGAAACTTGATACCATGATCTTCGGGGTGATAGAATACTGTGAGAGAGGATCCCTCCGGGTAAGAAACCATGGTCATTTCCAATTTTCTAATCATATAAAAATATTCAGCAGGCCTTTTAAAATATTTACCGAGTAAAATAATATTAGAGAAAATCAGGGAAAGTTGGTGGGGTCACATGCTTTCCAAACTAGATCCCCGAGATTTTTTCAGTCTTATTATGTTTTTATAAACAAGCAAAAAAAATTTCAGGAAAAAGATAATAGATTTGGGGAGGGGAGTAAACAGAGAATGGAAGTGGAAAAATGAGTGATTACCTCCAAATACATTTTATTTTCCATGAATACTTGCTTTTGTATTAAAAGAGAAATGGATAATCATTATGATAGCGCCAAATAAGCATTAGAAGACTTGGTCATCATTCTTGGTTCTGCTGCTGTCCAAATTATTACTCCACTCTTGGACTGAGGATCATCTGGGAGTTGCCAGATGAGGTCAGGTATTTGGACTGAGCAAGTCCAAAGCAAACAGAGGAACTAAGAAAAAAAGCAAGAATATTAGCTTTCATACTATGCGGTATAAACTCAAATCTACCCTCCAAGAAAAAAACATAGCCCTATATGTTACTATCTCTTTTAAAAGTTATTTCATGCTTGTTATTCTAACATCTGAGGGCTCTTTCTTTGGATTAATCCCTATGAAATTCAACAGTGGTACAAGGAAAAAGTGACACATTAAGCCATTAACTATATTTAACACTTTGAGAATTCATTTGCTGTATTGCAGAAGGGAAAGCAAGCCCGTGAGGGACTAATGTAATGGAATGTGGTAGAGAAATCTTGAGCAGGGGGCTGGCCAGGAGAATTAAGATCACAGAGGAAAATGGTGCTAAGGTAAAAGTTCTTAAAAAATAATAAACAAGGCTGGGCACGGTGGCTCACGCCTGTAATGCCAGCACTTTAGGAGGCCGAGGCAGGCGGATCATGAGGTCAGGAGATCGAGACCATCTTGGCCAACACGGTGAAACCCCATCTCTACTAAAATTACAAAAATTAGCTGGGCATGGTGGTGCATGCCTGTAATTCCAGCTACTTGGGAGGCTGAGGCAGGAGAATCCTTTGAACCAGGGAGTCAGAGGTTGCAGTGAGCCGAGATCACGCCACTGCACTCCAACCTGGCAACAGAGCGAGACTCCGTCTCAAAAATAAATAAATGAATAATAATAATAATAAACAATTGAAGTATCTAATGCAAACTTTAGAAGAATAACTATAACATAAGGAAAGGAAACTATTAAATATCAATCATTTTAAATCAAATAAAATAGGATAGAATTTTAAAATGCACTTGCTACTTAAAAAACAAAATTATTAAAGCATACAAGCCTTTCACTTCTAGTTATTATTTTTAAAACAAACATGCAAATACACGAAATTGGGAATAAAAAAGCAGTGAAAAGATGTTTTAATTGTGAAAGAATACTTCATGACTATTAAATTGTAATCTTTAAAAAGGGAAAGTTTCAGAAGCAATATAATCATGAAATCTGTTTCAAAAAAATAAATATTTAATTAGGCCAATTCTGAATCAGTTTCAGGGAATAATAAGCCATGTGAAACCCTTTGACTAGGCTCTATTAATTGGTATTCTAAAATTTCTGTCTCATTGAAATTAAATGAGGTCTAGACCTCATGTGAAAAACGTTTCTAATTTTGAAAGACCTGAAATAGTTATTATTATTCCTAGAAATTTGTATTTATTTTATCAGTATCAATTAAAATGATCACTTTAATCATCCATTAAAATGCTCATGTGGTTTTTCTCCTATGACCTTTTGATTTGGTACATTATAATAATATTGTTCCATTCATAGAATTAACCATATCCAATTATTTGTGTTATGCTTTTTGTGTATACAACTGGCTTAGCATTTCTAGTATTTTAGTACGTTTCTTCATCTATATTCACAACTATAGATTTTAGTTTCAATCCTATGCTGACTTTGTTCAATGTTAAATGAATTTGGAGTATGTTCATGTTTTTGTTTAAGTTTAAAATAGTTTTTATATAGATAATGAGAACTACTGTTACTAAACTTCAACGTTAGAAGAATTAAGCTGAATCTGGTATTCTTTCTATGGGAATTATAATTTCTTCTATTGTTACTAATGTAATATTATGATATAGTAAGAAATATATTTTGTCTTCATTCTTGGCTCCTAAAACACCTGTTTTTACTGGGTGGTGGGGGTGAGAAAAGCTCTTTTGTTATTTATAGTAACCCCCTTTCAAACATACCTGAGTCATGCTACTTAAGATATGATAGCCATGGAAGACTTCTCTGGCAAGATGACATTAGAGTAAGACCCACATGAAATGAAGCTGTGAAACCATAGCTCAGGGAAGAGGAAACCAGGTTTAGTATTTGCAACCTGTTCTCAACAAGGAAAACAGCAATTAAAGGGTGATATGTCAGAGAAGTCTCAGACCTCATTTCAGAAATATTCCTAGGCTCCCCCATAATAACAACTCTTGTAGAGTTAAAAATAAAACAATACTTCCTTAACATTGCAAAGACTGTCTATCATAAAATAACAACTGACTTCATCTGTATTAATGCAAAGACTCCCTAGTCCCACCCCTGTACTACTATTAGTTAACTTCTGAAAGTTCTAACCAAAGCACTAATGCGTGAAACAGAAATAAGATATACAGTTATTGGAAGGTATCAACATAAATAACAAATAGAGAGTGGCTCTCTGAAAGAAAGATATTTATTCGGAAAAGAACATTGTAATGGGAATACATATGCCATCGTAAATTATGTGCACATTCAGAGAGATAAAGGAAGACAAAGGATTTTAAGGGGAAAAAAAACAAAGAGGATTACATAATTGTTGTGTTACAAAGATCAGTAGCAAGGATGATGCCAGTCAGAGGTTGGACAGGCAGTTGTTGGGCAGATGTCCTTGTATAAGTACTTTTTGTGTGTGAGGTTGTGATGGCCTTTGTGGAAGGTTGAGGTTTCTGTAGAGTCTTTTCTGATAGTTTTTGTAATGAAGGAAGGATACAAGCATGACAACCCTCTTTTTCATGGCCTTTTCTGGCTGTATGTGTCAGGATTTTTTCAACATTTGTGACTCCATTCTGATTTTGACAACTTTCACAAAAGGAATAGATTTTTTTTTTTTTTTAATTTAAAGATGAGGCTAGGTGCGGTGGCTCATGCCTGTAATCCCATCACTTTGGGAGGCAGAGGCGGGTGGGACACGAGGTCAGGAGTTCGAGACCAGCCTGGCCAACATAGTGAAACCCCGTCTCTAATAAAAATACAAAAAATTAGCCGGGCATGATGGCGGGCACCTGTAATCCCAGCTACTTGGGAGGCTGAGGTGGGAGAATTGCTTGAACCCGGGAGGTGGAGGTTGCAATGAGCTGAGATCCCGCCATTGCACTTCAGCCCGGGCAACAATGCGAGTCTTCATCTCAAAATAAATAAATAAATAAATAAATAAATAAGTAAAAAGATGATATGATTGTTTTCCTAGAAAATGCAAAAGCCTCAAATACTAAAAATTATAAGAAATTTGTATGATGACTAGAAACAAAATAAGTGTATAGAAAATAATTTACATATATAATGTATATATCATATATATTAGCCAAATTGGTCAGAAAATACAACTCAAAAAATCCTCCTTAATATTTTTAACAAAAATATTTATTTGAAAATACTCAACGTGAAATGCAAAGAATCAGTTAAGAACACTGAAAGTTTTCTAAGACATTAAATAAATCTTAACAGAACTTAGTCAAGTTCTTAGATAGGAATCAATGATGTGCTGGAACTGGCTGGTACTAGCTCAGAGCTGATTGTTAAGTTATTCAAGAATTTGCCAGCCAGTCAGTGTTAAACTTTTGGAAGCTGAAATCATTCAGGGTGGAAATATTTCACATCGTACTCAGCAAGCATATTATAAATCAGGGCTGTTGCTAACAGAGAGCCGATTTACCGACACCCTATACCGACAAATTCACATTGAAAATGTATAAATTCTTCTGAAAACCACAAACTTGCAATCAAAGGCAAAGACTTTGCTTAATTAACAGAGATCATCAGGAAAAACATATACATACACACATATATATATGAGCAATAATAACTAAAACAGTTTTGAAAAAGAGAATGAAGAGGCCACTTGTCAGAAAGTTATTATAATCAAGGCGGTGTAGTGACAGCTCATGAACAAGCAGATGATTTATGGAAGAAAAACACATGGGCTAAGAATACCATTAAGTATATGACAAATATGACTAAAGAAGGGTAATTTTAAAAATGGTGCTCAGATAATAGGACCTTTTCATTCTCTCTTCCACAAAAGGTTCTTTTCCCATGCTGTTCCCTCTTCCCAAAACTCTTGCCTCCCTTCATTTGATCTCAGCTCAACAGCCATTTCCTGAAGGAAGCCATCTTTAATCTTCATAACAAACCCCAGATTTTAGGGGTCAAATCCCCAGATTGTAGGCAATTTTTCTTCGTACTTATCACAGTTATAATCTTATGTTTATTTGTCTGATTATTTTATGAGTGTCAGTTTCCTTCACCAGACTGTGCACCCTATAACAGGTCCCTTATAATCCCAGCACTAACACAGTCCCTGCTCTAGAGATAAGACTCAATAATTTTAAAGAATAAATATGCAGGTCACCTATTAAAATTGCTCAGAAAAAAACATATAAATCTGCATATACATTATGATCCCACTTTTATAATATTTATTACATATACTTTCCATATCTACATTAAAGAAGACTAAAAGAAAATACCAGAATGAGAATAAATTAGATGGTGCAATTAGCAATAATTTTATATTCTTCTTTTTTATATTGTGCAATTTTTTCACATTTTTTATAGTAAACTTGTATTCCTTTTATCATCAAAACAGAATAATATGCTTTTTACAATTTGGCAGATGAGAACAGGGTAGGATGGGTGAATGGTGCGCTAAAGGGAGAGAAGGCATAGAAAAGAATTAGTCTGTCTGCCCATAACTCCCCTCTGTCAACTTGGCCTGGTACCCACAGCCCAACCAGCCTTATCTGAAATGATTAAGGACTTTAGACCCCTCCTTGGAAATTCTTAGTACAGTGCCTGAGTTAAAACTAAAAATCAAACTGGGCTTTTTCCTAAAATAAGAAACTATTGTTATCAGTTAGAGTCCTGTTTAGAGTTCTACCGTGAAGAACAGTTATGTATTAGCTTAATTAAAATCCTGCAACTTGGTAGAACCATCATCATATTAAAATAGTGACTTGAAAATTCCAGATATAGGCGGGGCGCGGTGGCTTGTGCCTGTAATCCCAGCACTTTGGGAGGCTGAGGCGGGCAGATTGCTTGAGGCCAGGAGTTCGAGATCAGCCTGGCCAACGTAGCGAAACCCCGTCTCTAGTAAAAATACAAAAGTTAGCTGGGCATAGTGGCATGCGCCTGTAATCCCAGCTACTCAGCAGGCTGAGGCAGGAGAATGGCTGGAACCCCGGAGGCACAGGTTGCAATGAGCTGAGATTGTGCCACTGCATGCCAGCCTGGGCAACAGAGCAAGATTCTGTCTCAAAAACAAAACAAAACAAAAAAAAACAAAGAAAATTCCAGGTCATACAATTCACAAAAAAATCCAAGATCTCTCTTATTGACAGAGGACTTAGTAAACTCAAAAAAAAAAGAGCAATTAAGCTAATTTATATAACTGATTATGTGAGTAAAAACACAAGCCTAATGAAGGAATTTTCTTATAGCAATTGCCTGTTTTAAAACATGGGTCCAATTTAGATGAGACAGAACATGCAGGGCAGTCACTTGTTAAGCAGTCTCCCCGCCTGCTGCTTATTCCTCTACACCTGTCTGATGGAAGAACTGAAATTTGGGATGCTATGGGTACCTCCTGCTCATATCCAGGTGGCAAAAACCACCCAATGCTTCTTATGCAGAAAAGGAAAAAACACAGGTTCATGAAATCCCAGACAATGGAATTCCAATTTGTTCCTGATCCTAAGGTTTCATAATTTGAAGATCATTATTTGTTTCATAATAGTCTCTCCACAATATCCTTTCTTGCAACAACTTTTCTTCTTCTTCTTTTTTCCTATTCAGGAAGTTTTAAATGACACAATTTCCTACCCTGATGGCACATTCATGGATTGGGAGTTTAAGATCTCTGTCTTGTATGACATTGCTAAGGTAAGAGAAACACACACACAGAAAATATGAAAATTAAATATAAGAAAACAGATCTAACAAGTTATTCAACCTTCTGTGCATTGGTTTCTTCATCTGTAAAATGATAATAATAGCTATGTCATAGGGTTGTAGGATTTTAGGTTATGAGGATTTTGTGAAATAATGCACGTGCTTATAACAAGACCAGGTACAAGTACATGTTCAATATATATCTATCAGTTATTATTATTTTATTATATTCTTTGTAGTCTGGGTGTGAGGCATGCAGTTTCACAGATTTTCCAGAAATCAAAATCATATAAAACTACAAGAAAGACAACTGGGCTGGGCGCAGTGGCTCAAGCCTGTAATCCCAGCACTTTCGGAGGCTGAGGCAGGAGAATTGCTTGAACCCACGAGATGGAGGTTGCTGTGAGCCGAGATTGAGCCATTGCACTCCAGCCTGGGTGACAGAGTGAGACTCCATTAAAAAAAAAAAAAAAAAAAAAGACAACTGAATCCTCAACTTTACAAGAGAAAATCTTAAGTACAGGAAACCATCTTGCAGGAATCAATAATAAATGTGGACATGCATATTTTGAGACGTGATAGGAAAACAGAGTGGACACCAGTAACCAGGGCCTCATTCAAGAATGAAGACAAGTTGGTTGTGAGAGGGAGCTGTTTGATACAGTCTTAACTCACCTGAAAGTTATATGGGTTCAGAATCAGTTTGAAAAATGTGTTATGAAAATCGATTTGCCACACACGTCACTCCTGTGATCCAGGCTGAAAATCAGCTTCAGCTGAGACACCCTCTAACCACAAGAGAGAAGCACATCAGCCAAAAACAGGCTTCCTCTTTTTTTATTTTTTTATTTTTTGAGACGGAGTCTCACTGTGTCACCCAGGCTGGAGTACAGTGGCGCGATCTCAGCTCACTGCAACCTCGGCCTTCCAAATTCAAGCGATTATCCTGCCTCAGCTTCCTGAGTAGCTCGGCCTCCCAAAGTGCTGGGATTACAGGCATGAGCCATCACGGGGGCCAGGCTTCCCCTTTTGAAACAGAATGAATGAAACATTGCTTCAAAATAGGATGAAACCACTTCCACTTTAGGAAATAATCTAGCCTGGCACCCTGCCCCTTTGGAAAAGCAAGGCACTATTATTCATATTTTTATTTTAAATTCATGTAAAACAGGACCAGAGACCTACCCAGGGTCACAGACCAAATAAGTGGTAAGCAGAAACACTTAAAAAAAATCAACCCTTTGCCTCATATTATACACAACTACTTAAGCAGATATTTTAGACAATTCCCTTTTACTCTGTCATTTAAACAGACTTTGAAACTAGATATAAAGTGTAGGCAAATATTAGGGCTTCAGTAATATTGTTAAGGTAAAAATAGTGGGACTAAAATTAAAATCTGATGGTGTGACCATCTGCTGAAATGGTTTCCAAATGTCACTTTTTTCTTTAAAATAATCAAGCAGCTGAAGTGTGTCACATTTCTGTTTTTCTATCATCTAAAAAATTACAGGGAATGTCATATCTGCACTCCAGTAAGACAGAAGTCCATGGTCGTCTGAAATCTACCAACTGCGTAGTGGACAGTAGAATGGTGGTGAAGATCACTGATTTTGGCTGCAATTCCATTTTACCTCCAAAAAAGGGTCTGTAATGAATGAAATGTTCACTAGTTTCCTAACTGATTTTTTTTTCAAACCCATGTAGCGTGGTCAGGAAATTGTAATACTGATCAGAAGATAAGCACTTAAAGCCACAAGAGACAACAGCTGGCTCATTCTCCAGAACTTCACACTTGTCAGTCAACGAGTATTTCCTGAGTTAAACAAATGTCCTCTGTGGATTTCCTTCATCCATGCGTCCCTTGCTACACTGAGAAATCATGAATAACTTAATGGCTTGTGGGAGCAGAACTAGCTGAAAAAAATATAGAAGGTTAGAGCAGGAAGAGACCTTAGACATCGTCTAATTTAAGCTTTTTCCTTTATAGAGGACAGCACTGAGACTCAGATTTGTCCAAGAAGGTAGAGTACAAACCAGAAGACCCATTTCCCATTCAAGACATCATTCATTTATGTGTGGTAATAAGAAATGTTAAGGAAAAAACTCTAACCAGTAAAATATATTCTTACCTCTTTCAGGATTGTGGTGAGAGTCAAAAAAGATAACATAAAGAAAACGGATTTGTAAAGTATAAAGGGCTTTTCGTGTTGAACATTTACCCTTTCTTGACTATGACTCACAGTTAAACAGACTCAGATATCTAGAACTCATGTTGCCTTAAAATACTACCTAGATCCAAACACCAAATTATATTTCTAATTCAACTTTGCAATCCTTTCGTTTTTCCTTAATAAAAGGAAAATTGCGATTCTGTCCCTACATCCACAGCCATTTCAAGCATAATATGATATTGAACTCAATCTAATAATTTCTTATTGAAGACCTGTGCCAAGCCTGGTTCATGACATAGTAGTACAAATCGTCATCAGATAACCTAGCATGACACAAATCAGATAAATTACAGGTCAAATCCTATCATCTTAAACAGCACTCGCTTATACCTACCTACCTATGGCATCAGTTACCTAAAATTTTAGCATAAGTAGATTTACTTACCTTTTCTACAACCCCTAACCTTTATGATCAACTATGCATGAATCACAATTCACAAAAATTCACAAGACACAAATTCAAAAAGGTGATGTACATTTGGACAGAGAACCAAATAAGGAAAGTGTGCATCATCATAAACATATTATTGCACCTAACAACATGAAACTATACATGTTTCATTGAAACTGGTGAAGGTAAGTCTTAAAAAGTTTATAAGGAGCTAGGTGATCCTGAAAAACTTACGAAGCATGTTGAAGAAAAATTAATTGCATGCCCGTTATTACTAAATAAGGTGTGTAATAAGGATTCAAAACTCGAGTATCTATAGGAGCTAAATACAGCATTGCACTCATGTGAAGTGAGTGAACTAGATGTAAGCACTAGGGAGTGGCAGGGACAGGAGTAAACTGTGAGTAAATTACATGCGATACTTTTTTAAGAATACTGTGGGAACCAGCAAAAACACCACTGTGGACCCTAGCTGAGTTGCAGGCTGCCAGTATGTTATGCCTTGAAAATATCAGCCATAGTCTCTTTGTCTTAATGTACTGTCTTTATCTTCTTTTGGTAAATTTATATTTAAATATGCATATACACATTAACTAATAAATTATAATAATTTAAATAAAATAAATTTAGTACACATAAAATTTGTATTTTTTTTTTTGAGATGGAGTCTCGCTCTGTCACCCAGGCTGGAGTGCAGTGGTGTGATCTCGTCTCACTGCAACCTCCACCTCCCAGGTTCAAGCAATTCTCCTGCCTCAGCCTCCTGAGAAGCTGGGACTACAGGCACCCACCACCACGCCTGGCTAATTTTTGTATTTTTAGTAGAGACAGGGTTTCACCATATTGGCCAGGCTGGTCTCAATCTCCTGACCTTGTGATCCACCTGCCTTGGCCTCCCAAAGTACTGGGATTACCAGCGTAAGCCACTACGCCTGGCCAAAATTTGTATTTTGAAGGCTTTCATAGGTTCATTCCATATGTCCCATAAACTACTAAATTCCTCAGCCTCTCATATTCTACTGTATTCATTCAACATATATTTACTGAGCATTTACCACAATCAGACCCCATTCCAGGTAAACTTTGAGAGTTTTCAAGACTATGATCCTAGCAGTTTTAAATAACATATTGCCATATGACCTCACCCAAATCCTAACATTTCATAGTTAGTCTAAAAGGTGTGTGTTCTACCTTTGATCACCAGGATTAGCAAAAATTTTTCAAAAATTTGGAATCATATCAATTCAAGGCCACTTATAAGCTATCACCCATATTTAGAGTGGATGGTGTAGGGAATTAGAGAGCAAAAGCAGGTTGGAGGCCTATGAACCACTCACCCCCCTCAACTTTGTAATCTCAATGTCTACATTTACAGACCTGTGGACAGCTCCAGAGCACCTCCGCCAAGCCAACATCTCTCAGAAAGGAGATGTGTACAGCTATGGGATCATCGCACAGGAGATCATCCTGCGGAAAGAAACCTTCTACACTTTGAGCTGTCGGGACCGGAATGGTACATCTAAACCCATTCATGTGTCCCCTCTGGGAGTGAGCCAACCTGCTTTCTAGGCTTACTGAGACCCTAATCTGTCTGTAACCACATCACAATTCCTTCAAATGCAAAATTAATGATTTCCCATCTGCATTATGCATTTTATAAGAATATAAGGAAGATTCAATATTAGGGTGCACTGAAAAGCATAAGACAACATACACTGCCAGGTGTTATTATTGTCAGTATCATTGTTAACAATCTTCGTTTACAATTGTCCTCTTTCCTTTTGATTCCAATAAGAGAATGTACCTGCTTAACATCTAAACTAGATCACTCTAACAGGATGACATACATATTTTAGTTCTTACTAAGGGTAGATGTATAGTTTTTGGCCACACGTCCTCTCAAGGGAAAATGCTTCATTCCATTCATTCAATCCTCACTTACTGAGCATTTATTACGTGCTAACCGTTAACTGTTTGGTGGGGAGTAGGGTGACTAAGGGACGTGGAGAGGGTGGGTCAAAGTATGGACAGAAGAAGCCTACTGAAGGCAGTGGTGCCTGAGCTGAGTTTTACAGCGACAGTAGCATTTTTTCTTTTTTTCTTTTCTTTTCTTTCTTTTTTTTTTTTTTTTTGAGACAGTGTCTTGCTCTGTCACCCCCAGGCTGGAGTAAGTACAGTGGTGTGATCTTGGCTCATTGCAACCTCTGCCTCCCGGGCTGAAGCAATCCTCATGGCTCAGCCTTCCAAGTAGCTGGGACGACAGGTGCACACCACCACACCTGGCTAATTTTTGTACTTTATGTAGAGACGGGGTTTCACCATGTTGCCCAGACTGAGCTCCTGAGCTCGAGTGATCCCCCAACCTCAGCCTCCCGAAGTGCTGGGATTACAGCTTTGAGGCACTGTGCCCCACCTGGTAGCCTATCCTTAAGGTAACCTTCTGGTTATAAGTGGGATGAGACCCTTTCACTGGGTGCCTCATTGAATCAACACCTGTCTACTGAGTGCTGGTCTAGGCTCTGCAGCACTCTCACTGAGCTAAGAGCCATCCAGGGGAGTGAATCAACTGGATTTCTGTTGAAATTCCTTCCATTTCTTCATGCTGTATTCTTCTTTGTAATTTATATTTTTCTCACCCAACCAGAGAAGATTTTCAGAGTGGAAAATTCCAATGGAATGAAACCCTTCCGCCCAGATTTATTCTTGGAAACAGCAGAGGAAAAAGAGCTAGAAGTGAGTATATCTTCCCGTATTCATTTCCTTGGCCTGCTATAAAATTACCATAAATGTAATGGATTAAAACAACAAAAATTTATTCACTTACGGTTCTGGAGACTAGAAGTCTGAAATCAAGTGTTCAGCAAGGCCACACTTCCTCCAGAAGAGCTAAGGGGCTAATCCATTCCTTACTTCTTCCAGAAGCTTCTGATGGCTGTTGACATTTCTTATCTTATGGCCACACAATTCAATCTCTGCCTCTTGATCACAGTTTCTCTTCTGTCTATTCTCCCTCTGTCACCTTTCTATTAGGACATATGTGATTGCATTTGGGTCCACCCAGAAAATACAGAATAATCACCTCATCTCAAGAATTGTAACTTAATTATATCTGCAAAGGCTCTTTTTCCAAATAAGGTAGCATTCATAGGTTCCAGGTATTAGGACGCAGCATGTCTTTGGGAGCCAGCCTCAGCCTACCGCATTCTCCGTGCCTTTCCACCACTCCCCAACTCAGGAATGAGCTGGCTTCTAAAGCACACATCTCATTCTCTATTTTTTTTTTTTTTTTTTTTTTGAGACGGAGTCTTGCTCTGTCACTCTGTCACTAGAGTGCAGTGGCAGGATCTTGGCTCACTGCAACTCCGGCCTCCCGTCTTCAAGCAATTCTCCTGCCTCGGCCTCCTGAGTAGCTGGGACTACAGGCGCCTGCCACCACACCCAGCTAATTTTTGTATTTTTAGTAGAGATGGGGTTTCACCATGTTGGCCAGGCTGGTCTCGATCTCCTGACCTCAAGCGATCCCACCTGCCTTGGCCTCCCAAAGCGCTGGGATTACATAATAGGTGTAAGCCACCGCGCCTGGCCTCATTCTCTATTTTTAAATTGATATTTGTACATATTTGTGGGGTATATGTGATATTTTGTCATATGCGCAGAATGTGTAATGATCAAGTCATGTATTTAGGGGATCCATCACCTTAAGTAGTTATCATTTCTATGTGTTGGGAACATTTCAAGTCCTCTCTTCTAGCTGCTTTGAAATGTACAATACATTGTTGTTAACTGTAGTCACCCTACTCTGCTATCAAACATTATAACTTATTCCTTCTAACTGTATGTTTGTACCCATTAACCTACCTCTCTTCATTCATCCCCTGCCCTACCTACACCCTTCCCAGTCTCTGGCTATCATTATTCTCTCCACCTCCATGAGATCAACTTTTTCAGCCCCTGCATGAGTGAGAACATGTGATATTTGTCTTTCTGTGCCTTTCACTTTACATAGTGACCTCCAGTTCCATATGTGTTGCTGCAAATGACATGATTTCATTATTTTTATGGCTAAATGGTATTCTATTGTGTACACATCCTGCATTTTATTTTTCCATTCATCCACTGATGGACATTTAAGTTGATTCTGTATCTTTGCTATTGTGAATAGTGTTGCAATAAATGTAAGTGTGCAGGCATCCTTTGATACACTGATTTCTCTTCCTTTGGATAAATACTCAGCAGGGGGATTGGTGGATCATATGGTAGTTCTATTTTTAGTGTCTTGAGAAATCTCTATCCTATTTTCCATAGTGGCTATACTAATTTACATTCCCATCAACAGTGTGTAAGGGTTCCCTTTTCTCTGCATCCTTGCCAGCATCTGTTATTATTTGGCTTTTTAGTAATAGCCATTCTAACTGGGGTAAGATGATAGCTCATTGTGGTTTTGACTTGCATTTCCCTGATGATTAGTTATGTTGAGCATTTTTTCATATTCCTGTTAGCCATTTATAAATCTTCTTTTGAGAAATGTTTATTCATGAGTTTTGCCCACTTTTTAATGGAATTTTTTTAATTGCTGAGTTGTTTGAGCTCCTTGTATATTCTGGAATATCATCCTTGTCAGATTAATAGTTTGCAAATACTTTCTCCCATTCAACAGGTTGTCTCTTCACTCTGTTGTTTCCCTTGCTGTGCAGAAGCCTTTTAGTCTAATATAGTCCCATTTGTCTATTTTTGGTTTGGTTGCCTGTGCTTTTGAGGTCTTAGCCATAAAATCTTTGCCTAAACCAATGTCCTAAAGTCTTTTCTCTATGTTTTCTTCTAATAGTTTCATAGTTTCAGGTCCTCTGTTTAAGTCTTAAATCTATCTTGAGTTGATTTTTGTATATGGGAAGAGATGGGGTGTCCTTTCCCCATTGTATGTTCTTGGAGCCGTTGTTGAAAATCAGTTGTCTGTAAGTGTGTGGATTTATTTCTGGGTTCTCTATTCTGTTCCATTTGTTTATGTGTCTGTTCCTGTGCCAGTAACAGGTTGTTTTGGTTACTGCAACTTTATAGAACATTTTGAAATCAGGTAATGTTATGCCTCCAGCTTTGTTCTTTTTGCTTGGGATTGCTTTGGCTATTTGGGCTCTTTTTTGGTTTCGTATGGATTTTAGGATTGTTTTTTCCATTTCTGTGGGAAAATGACAGTGGTATTTTGATAGGATTACATTGAATCTATAGATTGCTTTGGGCAGTATAATCATTTTAGTGATATTAACTCTTCCAATCCATGAGCATGGGATATCATTCCATTTGTTTTTGTCCTCTTCATTTTCATCAGTGTTTGTAGTTTTCCTTATAGAGGTCTTTTACCTTCTTTGTTAAATATATTCCTAGGTGGTTTTTTTTTTTTTTTGGTAGCTATTGTAAATGGGATTGTCTTCTTGATTTCTTTCCTGCTGAGTTTATTATTGGTGGTATATAAAAACACTACCGATTTTTGTATGTTAATTTTTTTTTGAGACAGAGTCTCACTGTGTTGCCCAGGCTGGAGTGCAGTGGAGTGATCTCGGCTCACTGCAACCTCCGCCTCCCAGGTTCAAGCAATTCTCCTGCCTCAGCCTCCCAAGTAGCAGGGATTACAGGCAGCTGCCACCAAGCCCAGCTAATTTTTTTTTTATATTTTAGTAGAGACGGGGTTTCACCATGTTGCCCAGGCTTGTCTCGAACTCCTGAGCTCAGGCAATCCACCGTCCTTGGCCTCCCAAAGTGCTAGGATTACAGGTGTGAGTCACCGCACCCAGCCTGTATGTTAATTTTATATCCTTCAACTGTACTGAATTTATCATATCTAAGAGCTTTTTGGTGAAGCTTTAGGTTTTCTAGACGTAAGATCATATCATCTGCAAAGAGGGACAATTTGACTCCCTGTTTTCCAATTTGGATGCCTTTTATTTTTCTTGCCTAATTGCTCTGGCTAGTACTTTCAGTACTATGTTGAATAGGAGAGGTGAAATTGGGCATCCTTGTCTAGTTCCAGTTCTTAGAGGGAAAGCTTTCAGCTTTTCCTCATTCTGTGTGATATTGGCAGGTTTGTAGTATATGGCTTTTATTATTTTGTGGGTGTGTGATATATGGCTGGCCTTTATTATGTTGAGATATATTCCTTCTATGGCTAGTTTTTTGAGAGTTTTTATCAAGAAGAGATGTTGAATATTATCAAATGCTTTTTCTGCATCGATTGAGATGATCATATGGCTTTTGTTCTTCATTCTGTTGACGTAATGTATCATGTTTATTGATTTGCATATGTTAAATCATCCTTGCTTCCTGGGGATAAATCCCACTTGATCATGGCGTATTATCTTTTTGATGTACTGTTAGATTCAGTTTGCTAGTATTTTTTTTCTTGGAGGATTTTTGCATCTATGTTCCTCAGGGATATTGACCCATAGTTTTCCTTTTTTGTTGTATCCTTGTCTGGTTTTGGTATGAGGGTACTGCTGGCCTTGTAGAATGAAGGAGAATTCCCTATTCAATTTTTTTGAATAGTTTGAAGAGAATTAGTGTTAGTTCTTCTTTGGAAGTTTGGCATAATTCAGCAGTAAAGTCATCCAGTTCTGGACTTTTCTTTGTTGGGAGACTAGTGATTCAGTCTCATTACTCATTGTTGGTCTGTTCATGTATTCTATGGTATTCTATTTTTTTCTGATTCAATCTATGTAGATTGCATTTATCCAGGAATTTCTCCACTTCCTCTATATTTTTCAGTTTGCTGGTATATAGTTGTTCATAATAGTCTCTGATAATCTTTCACATTTTTGTGCAATTGGTTTTTATGTCTTTTTCTAATTTCTGATTTTGTTTATTTGGATCTTCTCTCATTTTTTTCTTGGTTAGTCTAGCTAATGGTTTATTGACTTTGTTTACCTTTTCATAAAAACAACTTTTTATTTCAATGATCCTTTGTATTATTTTTTCAACCTCTATTTTGTCTAGTTCTACTCTGACCTTTATTATTTCTTTCCCTCTACGAACTTTGGGTTTGGTTTATTCTTGCTTTTCTAATTCCTTGAGGTGCCTTGTTAGATTTGAATTTTTTCTGATTTTTTGATGCAGGCATTTATTCCTATAAACTACTCTCTTAGCAGTACTTTCGCTGTATCCCATAAGTTGTGGTATGCTGTGTTTAAATTTTCATTTGTTTTAATTTTTTATAATTTCTCCTAATTTCTTTATCGACTCAATGGTTATTCAGAAGCATGTTGTTTAGTTTTTATGTATTTGTGTAGTTTCCAAAGTTCCTCCTGGTATTGAGTTCTACTTTTATTCCATTGTGGCCTGAGAAGATATTTGATATAATTCTGGTTCTTTATAAATATGTTGAGACTGGTTTTGTGTCGTAACATATGGTCTATCCTGGAGAATGTTCCATGTGCTGATCACAGGAATGTTTATTCTTTAGCTATTGAATGAAATGTTCTGTAAATGTTAGGTTCACTTGTTCTAACGTGCAGTTTAAATCCAATGTTTCTTGGTTAATTTTCTGTCTTTATGATCTGTTTAATGCTGAGAGTGGAGTGTTGAAGTCCCCAACTATTATTAGATTGGAATCTACTTCTTCCTTTAGATCTAATAGTATTTGCTTTAAATGTCTGTATGCTTCAATGTTGGGTGTGTATATGTTTAGAATTGTTATATCCTCTTGCTGAATTGAGTCCTTTATCATTATATAATGACCTATGACCTTTGTCTCTTTTTACAGTTTTTTACTTAAAGTCTGTTTTACCTAATATAAGTATAGCTACTCTTGCTTGCTTTTGGTTTTCATTTGCATGGAATATCTTTCCATCCCTTTACTTTCAGTCTACATATTTCTTTACAGATAAGATGAGTTTCTTGTAGGCAGCCTACAGTTGGGTCATTTTTAAAAATCCATTGAACCAGTCTATATCTTTTAAGTGAAAAATTTTGATCCATTTACATTCAAAGTTATTATTATGTAAGGGCTTATTCCTTTCATTTGATTAATTGATTTCTGGTTGTTTATACATCCTTTGTTCCTTTCTTTCCCTTGTTTTTCATTATGGTTTGTGGTTTTCTGCAGTGGTAACCTTTGAGACCCTTCTCTTCCCTCTTTGTGTGATTGCTTTACTAGTGGGTTTCATACTTTCATGTGTTTTCATGGTGGTAGATGACATCCTTTCACTTCCAGGCGTAGGACGCCCTGAAGCATTTCTTGTAGGGGAGGTCTAGGGGTGATGAATTTCCCTAGCATTCACTTGCCTGGGACAGCCTTTATTTCTTCTTCATTTATGAAAGATAAGTTTGCTGGATATAGTATCCTTAACTGGAATTTGGTTTTTCTTTCAGCACTTTGACTACCTCATCCCTTTTCTCCTGGCCTGTAATGTTTCTGCTGAGAAATTCACTGTTAATCTGATGGGGGTTTCCTTATAAGTAACCAGATGCTTTTTTCTTGCTATTTTTAGAATTTTCTCTTTAACTTTTGACAATTTGACTATAATGTGCCACGGAGAAGATCTTTTTTAATTATATGTATTTGGGGATCTCTGAGTTTCCTGTATCTGAATGTCTAAATCTCTTGCTATTATTTTGTTAAATGGGTTTTGTATTCCTTTTGTTTTCTCTTCGCCTTTTGGGACACCAAAAATTTTAAGTATTTAGCCACTTTATGGTGTCTATATCATGTAGGCTTTGCTCATTCATTTTTGTTCTTTTTTCTTTATTTTTGTCTTATTGGATTATTTCAAAAGACCTGTCTTCAAGTTCTGAAATTCTTCTGCTTGATCTAGCATATTGTTGAAGCTTTCCAATATATCTTGTGTTTTATTGAATGACTTCTTCAGTTCCAGAGTTTGTTTTATTCTTTTTTATGGTATCTATTTCTTTGGTAAATTTCTCATTCATATCCTGAATTTTTTTTATTTCTTTGTATTATTTTTCTGTATTCTCCCATATCTCACTGAGCTCCTTTAATATTATTTTTAATTATTTTTCCAGAATTTTATTAATTTCCTTTTCATTGGAAATTGTTGCTGCAGAACTACTGTGTTTCTTTGGAGGTATCATATTTCCTTGCTTTTTCATGCTTCTTGTGTCTTTATGTTGATATCTGTGCATCTGGTGTAACAATTACTTCTTCCAAATTTTAACATTTGCTTTCATAGGGGAGGACTTTTTTCCTGAAGATGTATCTATAGTATTGGTTGGGTGAGGCACTTTGGCTTTGATTCTGGGTGCATGCAGTAGTGTAGTCTCTACATAATTTACTCATCTGTGAGTGGGTCTGTTATTTCCCTAATGGGTTAGGATGTCATTGTTAGTGGAGGCAGTAGTGACGTTTTGTTGAAGACTGGAATGCCAGGTGGGCTGGTCCTCAGGGCCCCTTGGAGGCACTGGTGCCAGCATAAGCTGTCCTTGGGCCCCAGGACAGCTTATCTGGTACCAGCGTTAGTGGGTCTAGGCAGATCAATTCTTTGGCCTCCAAGTAACTTCCTCAGGTGCCAGCAGTAGCAGCAGTGGCCTAGGCTGGTGGGTGGATTCCCGGGTTCCTGGGCAGCAGGCATGGCATGAGTAGTGGAAGTAGCCATGATAGGACAAGCTTCTGGTTCCCAAGCAGTCTGCACTGGTGTTGGTAGTGGCTGTGACAGGCTGGGCAGGCCAGTCTGCAGGTCCACAAGTGGTATATGCTGGTGGGTACCAGCTGTGGTGGTAGCAGCAGGTTATGTGGCCCCCAGAAGATGTACTCAGGTGCCAACAGTGGTGGACTGGGCTAGGAGATCTCTAGGGCCCCTACACGGTAGGCTGAAGCACTGGGAGGGTGCAAGTGAGCCAGGTGGACCTGTCCTGAGACCTGTCTTCAGTCCCCACCCTGTGGTGTGTACAGGCACTGGCTTCAGTAGGCAGGGGTCATTCTCAATTTTTATAAGCTCAATGAACAAGGTGTCCATGCGGTATACTTACTAGACTTATAAATACCATCTAATGATTTAAAAGGAAATATGCCAACATCTAAAAAGAATAGAGAAATGTACTTCCACTCATTTTATCCTTCCTCTGAAGGAAATGGAGCAAAAGCTCTTTACATTTGCTTTTGTAATTGTCCCTCAAAAAGGCCTTGAAGCCCTGTGAAAAATTTCTAATTATTTTTCCTTTTAGCATTTTACCTGAGCCTTAATAATCCAAGAAGATAGTGAGTAAAGTATTTTAAGATATTTATGATCTTTACCTAAAACCATAAAAACCCTAGAAGAAAACCTAGGCATTACCATTCAGGACATAGGCATGGGCAAGGACTTCATGTCTAAAACACCAAAAGCAACGGCAACAAAAGCCAAAATTGACAAATGGGATCTAATTAAACTAAAGAGCTTCTGCACAGCAAAAGAAACTACCATCAGAGTGAACAGGCAACCTACAAAATGGGAGAAAATTTTCGCAACCTACTCATCTGAGAAAGGGCTAATATCCAGAATCTACAATGACCTCAAACAAATTTACAAGAAAAAAACAACCCTGTCAAAAAGTGGGTGAAGGACATAAACAGACACTTCTCAAAAGAAGACATTTATGCAGCCAAAAAACACATGAAAAAATGCTCACCATCACTGGCCATCAGAGAAATGCAAATCAAAACCACAATGAGATACCATCTCACACCAGTTAGAATGGCAATCATTAAAAAGTCAGGAAACAACAGGTGCTGGAGAGGATGTGAAGAAATAGGAACACTTTTACACTGTTGGTGGGACTGTAAACTAGTTCAACCATTGTGGAAGTCAGTGTGGCAATTCCTCAGGGATCTAGAACTAGAAATACCATTTGACCCAGCCATCCCATTACTGGGTATATACCCAAAGGACTATAAATCATGCTGCTATAAAGACACATGCACACGTATGTTTATTGCGGCACTATTCACAATAGCAAAGACTTGGAACCAACCCAAATGTCCAACAATGATAGACTGGATTAAGAAAATGTGGCACATATACACCATGGAATACTATGCAGCCATAAAAAATGATGAGCTCGTGTCCTTTGTAGGGACATGGATGAAATTGGAAATCATCATTCTCAGTAAACTATTGCAAGGACAAAAAACCAAACACCGCATGTTCTCATTCATAGGTGGAATTGAACAATGAGAACACATGGACACAGGAAGGGGAACATCACACTCTGGGGACTGTTATGGGGTAGGGGGAGGGGGGAGGGATAGCATTAGGAGATATACCTAATGCTAAATGACGAGTTAATTGGTGCAGCACACCAGCATGGCACATGTATACATATGTAACTAACCTGCACATTGTGCACATGTACCCTAAAACTTAAAGTATAATAAAAATAAAAAAAATTTTAAAAAAGACATTTATAATCTTTAAACAAAAACATCTTTTGTTCCTTGTGGGATAAAAATAGAAACATTTTCCTTCCATTTACAAAGACACTGCCAGATGAGTTTTATGGCCAGACTCTGCAGGGCATGAGTGGGTCATTTTTACCTCTCCCCTTCCCTTTCTTTTTCAATAGTAATAGTATGTTGAAATACAGCTTTCCGAAGTACAGCTGCTCCTAGCCCTGCCTTCTCCTCATTCCTTTCTTTCGTCCTGCTTTTCCGAATTCCAGGATTCCTCCACACAATCAGCATATCCTTTCTCAAGCCCTTTTTTTCTAATCTGAGTATATCCAAATATTAAAACCTTATTCACTAAAACAGCATCATCTTTAATTCATTTGTGTAGTTGGACAGTTCTGGAATTAGAAATGAGGAATAAAATTTCATGTCAAGTAACTGATTCCAACAGAATACAGAGTCGAAACTAGATCACTCAGCAATGCCCCAGAAACACCCAGTAGAGTCGTCTCTCCATCCATAGGGAATTGGTCCCAGGAACCCCTGTGGATACCAAAATCCACAGCGGCTCAAGGATCTGATATAAAATGGCATATCATGTGCATATAACCTGCATACATTATCCTATGTACTTTAAATTATCTCTAGATTGCTTATAATCCCTAACATGATGTAAATACTATGTAAATATTTGTGGTACTGTATTGTTTAGGGAATAATGACAAGAAAAAAAAGGTCGGTACATGTTCAACACAGACAAAACCATCCTGTTTTTTCCAAACATTTTCCATTCCCATTTGGTTGAATCCACGAATGCAGAACCCATGGAGACAGAGGGCTGACAGTATTTCACTCTGTGGCACAGGATCGGCCCAGTTTGCTGTTTCTGCCTATTCTGCTCTAAGGTAGTCAGCAGATGACTTACCAAGGCAGGAGCATCATCTAGTGGTGAATATTGGCACCACAGGCTATACCGCGGCTCTAGTTCCTTCCCAGGGAATTGTTCAGACAAAGTACAGGGACAGGGATTGCATCTAGTATCACTTATGATCTTGTTTTTAGCCGGAGTGAAAAACAAAGTTTATTTAAAACAAATGGTTTTCACCACACATTTTGATTTAAAAAAAAAAAAGCTGCAAACAGGTGGTAGCAGATGAGCAGTTGGGCTTCCTCCTGTCTCCCTACCTCTTCCTCCATACCTCCCTTTTTTCCATGTCACTTCTCTACTGCAGCTGTGCATTATAATCACCAAAGAGCTTAAAAATCTACCACTGCCCTTTGCCCATACAATATTTGCGACATACTTATACTAAGGAATTACTTATTGTTTATCTGAAATCCAAGTTTAACTTGATGTCCTTTATTTTTCTTGCTAAATCTGGGAACCCTACTAAGACCACTTCAAAATATATTAAATCAGAATGACTTAGGGTGGTGCCTGGGCATAAGAAATTGTGCAGATGCTCCCCAGGTGATACTATTGTTTGCTATAAGTTAGAACCATGGACAGTACGGCTTTTATTCCATTTGGAGCCATTTGCCTCATATTCACTGAGCCTTTGTTCCCCCACCAAACTGAGGGTTGGGCTGATATTTCTCGTGGCCCAATAACAAGATGCAGATGAACTGAGGAGGAAGAGAGTTTTTATTTCTGTAACCAGTTACAGGGAGAAGGCCTGAAAATTACATTTTTTTTCAGAGCTTATATACCTTCGAAGCTATATGTCTACATGTAAGTATGCATTCATTTAAAGACATACGTGATTAACTTCTTTTAATCTACAACTAAGGTCTGAGTCCTGAAGACCTTCTCCTGGAGCCTCAGTAAGTTTACTTAATCGAAGTGAGTCCAGGTGCTGGAGTGATTACCCTTATCTTGTCTCCTGCTAAATTACAGAGGTTTAGGGAGTTCCTTCAGACCCCCAATAAACTTCTTTGTGGAGGCCTGGGGAGTTTCTTCAGACCCCCAATAAAAGTTGTTTAATCCTAAATGGGTCCGGTTAAGAAGAATTCCTTCGTTATTTTGTCATGTTTTAAGGCCCAGGAAAGGCCTAGGCAAAACTCTTGGTGGGCTTTTGTTACATTCCAGCCTTTGTATAAGGGCACTGGCTTTTAATATTTAACTTAACCACTCAGTCAGTACTAAAACGGTTGTTATGGAGGCCTGCCACACCTTCACTATTTTTTTCTCTCTCCAACGTAAAACTTGCAAGCTCTTGTAAATTCACTTAGTCTCCCGTATCAACCCGGCCTCATCTAAATTGGTATCACATATTTCATTAATTTCACCCAAGGGAATAACTGGATAAGATAATGCAGGTGGTCATGCCTGAGACAGAAACCAGAGAGCTGGGGATCTCTTGTCCGCACTGAGTTGAAGATATTTTTAAACTATTCCTTGCCTTAATCACTCCCATCAATGAGAATAAGAATTCTCTCTTGATTTAGTTTACTATCCCCTTAGCTAATTTGCCCGTTTTTTTTTCTTCCAGGTGTACCTACTTGTAAAAAACTGTTGGGAGGAAGATCCAGAAAAGAGACCAGATTTCAAAAAAATTGAGACTACACTTGCCAAGATATTTGGGTATTGCTGAAATGTTTACTTTTATTCACTAATTGCAGGGTTTTAAAAAAATTATAGTTGACATTCAGTGGCACCTTAGAATGAGAATGTCTATTCCAGTGAAAAATCCCAGGTGGCAACCAACAACTGCCTCATAACATTAAAATGATATGGAGACTATTAGACCGTTTTCCCAGGGAAATAATCACTTGAAAAGTTACATACTCAAGGTCAAAACTTTTCTGATTAAAAAACAAACTTTAGCTGATTATAAATTTGTCTGTTAAAAATAGAGCTTCTGGGTCCTTCTGTGGGTAATTAGGATTTAGAAGTGTAGCGTGAGTCCTGAGAATCTGTAAAGCTCCTAGACAATTATTAACATCAGCATGTTCTTAGGATCTTAAAGTCTTAAAATCTCCAGCTTTGGCCCTAGGTACTTAAGACATGTCATGAATCAGAGCATAATTCAAGTTGGGGGAGAAAAGTACACAATTATCTGGTTGAGATTAATTTCTAGATACCCCATGTTTTCAGTTAATACACTGCAGAATGAGAAAAATAACACTGAATTAAGAGTTAGGAAATCCAATTTCTAGACTAAGATCTGATAAGAGTTTGCTGTGGGGCATTGGGCAAAACACTTACCCTCACTGGGTATCAATTTTCTTGTTAGAAAAATTGGATTGAACAAGATGATTCTTATGATTTTTTCCAGGTCTTTCTGTAGTTCTCATTAGGTCAAAAGACTCAGATACTTAATGAGACTAAAAGTCTAGAGCTGGAGGAGATGAGGTGGAGTGAAGTTAATGAACGTGTGGTCATTAATTAGTAGAACTAAGCTGTCAGTTGTGGGAATGGAGCAGGAAATAATAATTAATTCTAGCCCTTTTTTTTTCTCCTCGCTGTCCTGTCCGGATGAGACTTTATATGTGACTGATAAAATGTATGCTCATGAAGAAACTGGGTCCTTGATACTCAGCCTTTAATGTGTGTGATGGTTCTCAAACTTGGCTGCAGCTTGGAATCACCTGAGGAACTTTAAAAATACTGATACTGGGGTTTTACCCTAGAGAGGCTGATGTAATTGGTCTGGGGTACATACAGGTGTCAGGATTTTTAATAGCTCCCAGGTGATTAAAATATGCAGTCAAAGGTGAGCAACTGTTTTAATTGAATCAATTCATCCTAGAGTAAGATTATCCAACTTCATCTCTTACACCTGCTCCCACATCCATTCTACCCAACTAGACTCTGTACTGGCAGTTTCAAGTAAAAATTCCCTGGGGAACTTGTTAAACAATTCTGTTTCTTCATTCCAAGCCTAGCAATTTTCAGTCACATAGGTCTCGGGTAGGGCACAAAAATGTACTGGATTTTTAACAAACATCTCTCCCCATCCCAGGGGATGATGATGCAGGCCATCTTCTCCTGAGACCAGAAGTGATTGTTATTCTTGTAATAGTAAAATGACTGTGATTTATTCAGCACCTTCAATTGTGCCTTAGATGTTATGAACATTATCTCTGATCCTCACAATGCTAGGAGAACTCAATGTGTCTCCTCCCTGACCTCTGCACCAAGGCTTGTCATACCTCCCAGTGTCACACAAAGCTGTCATCTCACTAAGTCTCCTTGATCTGACAAAATAATCCAGAGTTAGGACCCTGGCTCTCTGTAATGAGGAGATAATTTAAGGCTCAGCTTGGCTTTTCTCAGTCCTTCTCCTTTCATTTATCACTTTCTTGACCAGCTTTTAAAAGATTTTCCTTCATTGCAAATTGTTTCTTTTGTATTTTAGAAAATACAAATAAGAAAGCAAGAAAGTAAAACGTCACCTGTTTCCCAATAGGTGACCACCAGTCTTCAAAAAATAAAATTGAGATTATAATTTTTGCTATTTTATAAACTGACTTTTTCGCTTAATAATACAGAGGGAGTGTCTTTCTGAGTATTCAACTATACTAATTTGTATTTTATGATACAAATTAGAATGTTAATGTTCCATTGTCCCATCATATTTTAACCACACTTTTGTTATACATTTAGATTATTTTCAAATGTTTGCTGTTGTAAAGAATACTGTGACTTTTTCTGTTGTTAACTCTAAACACATTCATGATTGTTTCCTTAGGATAATTCTCAGAAGTAGAGTTATAAGCTGATTGGTATATGCATTCTTAAAGCTTGTGACATATTTTTACCAAATTGCTCTTCAGGAAGGTTTTGTACTATATGTATTTCCTCCTTCTCCTACGTTGATTACCATCATTTTAACATTTGTTTTCCCTTTTTTAATCTTATTCTTGTCCTGAGGTTAAGTTGGGCTTTTTGTTTGTTTGTTTGTTTAAGACAGAGTCTCACTCTGTCACCCAGGCTGGAGTGCAGTGGCATGATCTCGACTCACTGCAACCTCCACCTCCCAGTCAAGCAATTCTCCTGCCTCGGCCTCTGGAGTAGTGCCACCATGCCCGGCTAATTTCTGTATTTCTAGTAGAGAAAGGGTTTCACCATGTTGGTCAGGCTGGTCTCAAACTCCTGACCTCAAGTGATCCTCCCGCCTCGGACTCCCAAAGTTCTGGGATTACAGGCATGAGCCACTGTGCCCGGATGAGGTTGAGTTTTTTTGTTATGTTTGTTGGCTTTTATTTTTCTTTGTTTAATTATCTGTTCATCATATTTGTCCATTGTTTTATTGGATGTTCATGTTTTCTTAATAATATATAAGAGCTCTTTATCTATTACTACCTACAGACTTTTTCATGACCAAAAAAATGAAAGCTATATGGATACCTTGATCCGACGTCTACAGCTATATTCTCGAAACCTGGAACATCTGGTAGAGGAAAGGACACAGCTGTACAAGGCAGAGAGGGACAGGGCTGACAGACTTAACTTTATGTTGCTTCCAAGGTAAGGCAAGCCTTGCTGATGTGGAGGCTGAAATCCCTCTAGCATTGCTTTTCATTGTATCTATATAGGATTTGTTTCCTTTTATATATTCTTCAGTAGATTATTGGTTTTAAAATGCACGTACTGCCAGGCACGGAGGCTCACGCCTGTAATCCTAGCACTTTGAGAGGCTGAGGCAGGTGGATCATGAGGTCAGGAGATCAAGACCATCCTGGCTAACATGGTGAAACCCCACCTCTACTAAAAATAATAATAAAAAAAATTAGCCAGGTGTGGTGGCGCGCACCTTTAGTCCCAGCTACTCGGGAGGCTGAGGCAGGAGAATGGAGTGAACCCAAGATGCGGAGGTTGCAGTGAGCCAAGATCGCGCCACTGCACTCCAGCCTGGGTGACAGAGCAAGACTCCGTCTCAAAAAAAAAAAAAAAAAATGCATGTACTTTGCTAAGCCTTGTTCCAGTTTGTACTCTACTAAGTAATGTTCTGAAGGTCACCCAGTGAATGGCAGAGCTGGGATTCTACCCAAGAAGCCCGAGCTGGAGCCCCTGATCTCCTTTAGTAACTCTGACCTCAAAATCTCAAACCTCTGAAAGTCAAATCACCTGCAAGAAAACTAGGAGGCGGATCACAGCTTGGGGGAAAGGAGTTGGAACACATTTGGCAAGTGGTGTCTTGCAACCTTGTGATAGAAGGGCAGAACCCATGAGCCCTCAGAGTGCCTGGGAACAGTAGGGAACCCTTCATATTCACTTCAAGGATGATAATTTCTATCACAGCTCCATAAATATTAGGTACATAATGCATAACTCCTTGCCTGATCTTTAATGCTGAGTTGTGACAAAAACAATATCCTGGTTATCTGGCTGCCTTCCCAGGGTTTCATTGGCGGTGGTTTTAACCATTAATGTCACTCAAGTGGTTTGAATCAGCTGGCTCACCATTTCAGCTTTTTTCCTAGCCTTAGTTCAATATGCCACTTGGACTACTAGTTGGTAGATGTTTTTATTGGATTTCCAAAGGTTATATCACACAAGTCTCTTGAAGAGCTACAATACACCATGGCTTCAGCACAACTCACTTTGGTTATTTATGTAAAAATTTTATGCGCAAGATAAAACTAAAACATGCATGAGCAATAACTAGAAGAATCAAAAAGAAATATGTGTAGCAAAGGGCAAATAAACTTAAGATTGCATGTAGGAACCAGATATCACTTAGACATTTATTTGAATAGTACCCCTTGGGGTAAATACATTAAAATAGAAGTTTCTTCTTTTTTATTTTTATTTTATTTAATTAATTAATTTATTTATTTTTGAGATGGAGTTTCACTCTTGTTGCCCAGGCTGGAGTGCAACGACATGAGCTCAGCTCACTGCAACCTCTGCCTCCTGGGTTCAAGCAATTCTCCTGCCTCAGCCTCCCAAGTAGCTGGGATTACAGGCGCCTGCCACCACACCCAGCTAATTTTTGCATTTTTAGTAGAGAGGGGGTTTCACCATGTTGGCCAGACTGGTCTCGAACTCCTGACCTCAGGTGATTCACCCACCTCGGCCTCCCAAAGTGCTGGGATTACAGGTGTGAGCCACTGTGCCTGGCCAGAAGTTTTTTCTTCTGGGAAGACTTTCTAAGAGATCTACTCTGTATACTAATTTTATCTATGTCAGCAACAACCTGTTATCAAAGCTCATCATGTTAACTCCCAGCCCTTCCTTCGTTTATTTACAACATGAGTTTCTCTCTCTGGATAACACACTATTTTCCAAGTGTAATAGTCCATTCTCACCCTATTATAAAGAACTACCCGAGACTAGGTAATTTATGAGGAAAGGAGGTTTAAATAACTCACAGTTCCACAGGGTGTTCAAGAAGCATGGCTGGGGAGGCCTCAGGAAATGTACAACCATGGTGGAAGAGTGAAGGGGAAGCAAGCACCTTCTTCGCATGGCAGGAAGAGAGAGAGAGAGCAAAGGGGGAGGTGCCACACACGTTCAAACAACTAGATCTCATGAGAACTCACTAACACAGGAACAGCAATGGGGAAATCTGCACCCATGATCCCATCACCTCCCACCAGGTCCCTCCCTTAACATTGGGGATTACAATTCAGCATGAGATTTGGGTGGGGACACGGAGCCAAACCATATCACCAAACTCATGTGACTTTTCAGATATAAGCAGTACAATGAATTGCAAATATGGCAGAATATCCAATTTTGTCATTGCATCTATGCAGCCTCCAAAATACTATGCACTTTATACAGGGCATGTCAAGAACAACCACTCCAGTCGTGTACCTAGGAATCCAAGCCACACCAAAGGAATGTTTTTCAAAGGTTCCAAGTTTTGTCATTGCACCAATTAAAAAGGTTTCTCCGGATACTCTGGAGGTTCTCCAAATGAGTGTTAGAAATCTTTGTGGTTGATTGGTTGTTTTCTTTCCGGGAGAGCCCACCTCCTTTGTTGCAGTCAGCATACCTCCAAATCTTCCCCATCTTCCTGAATATCCAAGGCCTGGGTTGTGCAGGGAGTGTAATGCAAAAAAAGACTGATGGGTGGGACTGAAGGCTTCCTGAATTCTAGCCCTGGCTCTGTCCCTAATCGGCTGTGGGAACTTAGGGAAGTCATACTTTTTTAGACCTCAACTTTCTCATCTGTAAAAATAAAGATTTCTTTTCAATGACTTCCGTGGAACCTCCCAGCTTCCAGTTTCTGATTCTAGTGGTTCCATACTGAGGGCCACTACAAAGTGATGCCAAGGACAGACAGGGACCATCCCACTTCATGTCAGCCCTCACTTCCTTTTCTCAATGAAGAGGTAACTTGGCACACCAAGTATGGAGTCCCTTCTTCTGGTTCTCTTCCTTCAATCTTGAATCTGATATGCTGCTCCTCATTCAGCAAAGATATTCTAAAAGTTGCTTTAATTTGACTTCTACAGTTTTAGCATGATTTAATTTATTTACATGATTGATTCTGCTTTACAAAGGACCCAAATCTGGTTCAAAATATCAAATGAACTCTGGTTCAGAATATATCAAAATTTATATTTAAATGCATCATTATTTCATAGTAATATTAAGCAATGCCATATTACATATGCCAGGAAAGTAAAACTATCAACTTTGTTGAGAAATTCAGATCTGATACCTGTGGTGATTTAAGTAATACCACACTCTCCTCAGCTTCTGCATGTAGAGCCACATCTGTAAGAGGTTGATTATCAATAGAGAAGCAAAAAGTGGACAAGTATGTATATGTATGAGAGTTTTGAGGATATTAAAGTTATCTATTTATGTGTATTAGGATTAATAATCAAACACTAAGTTAATGTTGAACCTGCTTGTATTCATCTGTGTTCACAACATGCATTATATGTGTATTTGTGTAATATGTTCATGTATATGATATACACAACCTCTGTTTCCGATTCACTCAATTCACTGGAAGTCTCAAATTCTAGAATTCTTGGTAGACAATCACTACTACCTGAAAGATTTATGTGAAACAAGAAGAAATTTGCTGAAGTTGAAGGCATTTTTTTTCCCTTCGTTCATCTAGGCTAGTGGTAAAGTCTCTGAAGGAGAAAGGCTTTGTGGAGCCGGAACTATATGAGGAAGTTACAATCTACTTCAGTGACATTGTAGGTTTCACTACTATCTGCAAATACAGCACCCCCATGGAAGTGGTGGACATGCTTAATGACATCTATAAGAGTTTTGACCACATTGTTGATCATCATGATGTCTACAAGGTAACCACATCACCTAACAGGCTGAAACCATTAATTGTACAACTCAAGGTCATCAGAGCCTGAATTGGTTGTTTCTGTTACTACTCTTGACCGCTCTAGTTTCACATTTAGTGAATTGGTGGTTGAATCTGAGCTAAAAGTGAAGAGAAGTAGAAGGATTAGAGGAGTGAGAAGTCAAAATTACCATTCAACTTTAAGAAGCAGCAAAAAAGATACAACAGGAAGTTCAGCAGGAATTAATTTGAAGTATTAAATTTAGACAAAATGGCATACTCTTAAATCACCTCCAAAAAATGGGCAGTGTTTAGGCTGACTGCAAATGAAGCAGAGAAGACACTGGGGTTATAATAAATAGAAAATCATACTACAAGAATGTATACAATTACATATTACAAAGTACAATATTCTGTTAAATAGTATGTTGACATTTGCTAAAGGATTAATTTTCAGGAAACTAAGGGTGTTCCTCAAATTACATAAAACCATTCAGATTATTTATTTGAACATTTCTAGAACTGTCACCACATCTGGACAATTTATATAATTATGAAGTACTTTTAAATGGCTAAATTCCTTTATAGCTATTTTATCACCCATTAACTGGACTATAAAAACCCTGAAGAAATCAGCATAGAACTGATCCAACTGGCCCCAGAAAAAGTGTAAAGGGCTATGCTCATACTGTGTTCCCAAATCACTTTTTGTGTTTGACATGTGATTAACTGCTTCTGTTTACTTTCTATACTTTTCAAAGGGGCAGAGGCACTCATGAGAAACTGTTTCCACAGGTGGAAACCATCGGTGATGCGTACATGGTGGCTAGTGGTTTGCCTAAGAGAAATGGCAATCGGCATGCAATAGACATTGCCAAGATGGCCTTGGAAATCCTCAGCTTCATGGGGACCTTTGAGCTGGAGCATCTTCCTGGCCTCCCAATATGGATTCGCATTGGAGTTCACTCTGGTATGGAGTTGAGCATCTTAGCAAATTGGGAACCATATGTACTGCTGTGCACCAACTAAATCAGAAAGGATAAAAGGTCTTCAAGTGTGATCGACCTCACATAATTTTTACTCTTAATTCTTTTTGCCAAATGTGAGGTCCCACTATGCATCCTGAGATATTTAGACCCAGTTCCTAGAGAACTCTAAGAACAAGACCTTTGAGGGCACCACTGACTGCTGACATGATAAACACCAAACATGTACGAAAACAAGAAGCTTTGGACTCCTATTTAAATCACCATACCTATGATTTCATTTATTTCCTCCCCATTCCCTTTCTCCCCACCCCCAACTTCAATATATTTTCCCACTAAAATATTATAGTATCTTAAGTGGATTAGATTATCTACAAGGGGAAATAAAGAACAGATGGTGAAATTTCTATAATATTTATACCCCCTCCCTTCCCTGCCACTGCAGTTATACAGAAAGTACATGAGTCACTTTCAAAGACCATGAAAGTTACATAGCCTTGTTAAAAGAAAAGCTTATGCATATTAAATTTAACACAGTTTGATTGAGCAAAGAATAATTTTCAAATCAGATGGCCCTTAAAACCAGAAGAGGTTCAGAGAGCTTCAATGGGCAAGGTGGGCGGGCAATGTTTATAGACAGAAAACAGAAGTGAGGGACAGAAACAACTTGATTGGTCAAACCTCTGTGTTCCCCTGATTTGGTCAAAGTCCCATCAGTTGACAGCCTGTGACTGGCTGAAGCTCAGCTACTGCGATTGGCTGAGACTCAGCTATCTATAACGTAAGTATACCCTAGTTAGGCTTTTAGTTTGTTTATGTACCAAGCTAGGTTGCAGTTTGTTTTGTAGGGACCCCTAAGAGGCAGCCTCAGGCCAAACTTAGTTTAATTCAACAGCCTTGAACATCAAGGTTTGAGATGAGTTACAGGTGTTATAGAAAAAACACCTGTAAGAGAGGAACTCAGAAGTCATCTAGATGAATCTTTAGCCAGGCATTGCTTAAAACTCAGCTTTGCAGTTTTTGAGTTAATCTTTAACTTCTGAAACTGTTAACACCTTGCACTCAGTCATTCTATGCAAATACATGACTGAATAACCCTTATTTCCTACCTAATATGCCACAGCGCATAGTCTAGCCTGGGCTTTTGTTCTGCTTGTTGGAACCTCCTTGTGCCACAGGCTTCCCCATCCAGCTGCATTCGCCTGGTCCATGAAATGCTTACGGAAAGTTATGCCTTTGTCTTGTCTTCTGTCTTCCATTGTCATGGCACCAATCCCAGAAATGCCACCTTAAAATAAAAATAAAACAAACTTGAGCCATTGAAGCTTCAAATCTACAGTGCCCTCCAGCAGTGTGAAATTCAGGGTTGTGTGGTTTGGCACAGTAAGCAAGCAGTGGGGCTCATCTTCATCCTTCCTGAGAGCCTTCTATTTAAAATCACCTTTGTGATCTGGATCTCTGAATGCCTTCCTATTTGCTACAAATGTCGTTTTCTTTGCGAGAGCAAAATACTTTATGATCGCATGCATTGAATAATGATGCTTCATTGGATTCATCCATTTAAACCAAAAGTCCCAGCTCACATTTCACATCCTCAGCTACTTCTCCATGACAGGAAGTATTCAGGATTGTGACCATACAGAGAGGCTTACCTGTCTTCACTCTACTCTGCAATTTCTATTGCCTCCACTTCCTGCTTTCTGTCCTTCATTTCAGGTCCCTGTGCTGCTGGAGTTGTGGGAATCAAGATGCCTCGTTATTGTCTATTTGGAGATACGGTCAACACAGCCTCTAGGATGGAATCCACTGGCCTCCGTAAGAAGGGAGACTGTTTTTCTCAGAGGACAAAGATGCTGTTTTCCAGCAGAGGGCAACTGTGAGATAAAATGCACAATAAGGAGATACAAAGTGCCAGTGAGATGTAGAATAATTCTTCACATTAGCTGAACACAAACCCGTGTCAATCCACCTTTTGCTACATTTGCTTTCATTGTTGTTTACTGATAATTATTTTATTCTTCCACTTTTGCTCAGTTTTAGACTATTTCTATATTTTTGGCTCATATACAATGAATCTGGGGATATTCTACTTAGAATAGTCCTGGCATTTACCATAGATTCATGAAAGTTAAAAAAAAATCAGTAGGCAAGGTAAGAACTACACACTCTGGTTCACATTCCTGTTTCCCTCTTATTTGGTTTTGCTTTTTTGTTGTTGTTTTTTAGAGACAGGCTCTCGTTCTGTCACCCAGGCTGGAGTGCAGTGACACGATCATAGCTCCCTGTAAACTTGAACTCCTGGGCTCAAGTGATCCTCCCACCTCATCCTCCCAAGTACCTGGGACTACAGGAACATACCAGCACATCCAGATAATTTTTAAATTTTTAATAGAGACTGGGTCTCACTATGTTGCCCAGGCTGGTCTCAAACTCCTGACCTCAAGGAGTCCTTCCACCTTGGCCTCCCAAAGCATATTCGTTTTTTCTGGAAATTGATTTTTGTTTATTTGTTTGAGATGGGGTCTCACTCTGTCGCCTAGGCTTTGGCACAGTGGCACAATCACAGCTCACTGCATCCTTGAACTCCTCAGCTCTAGTGATCCTCCCACCTCAGCCTCCTAAGTAGCTGGGACTACAGGCATGCCACCATGCACAGCTAATTTTTTAATTTTTTCTGTAGAGGTGTGGTCTCTCTATGTTGTCTAGGCTGGTCACAGATTCCTGGGCTCAAGCAAGTCTCCTGCCTTGGTCCCCCAAAGCCCCAAAGTGTTGGAATTACAGGCAAGAGCCATCATACCCAACCAAGAATTGATTTTAGTAAAGAAAAATCTAAGCATTTGTTATATACGAAGGAATATATTGCATTTGCTTGGCAAGGTAGAGGCACAATGTGCTGCATGAAGTAGATGCTCAATAAATATTGATGACAGTGGTAGCAGTAGAAATATATAGAAGAGAGAAAATAAGCACTGGGAGACATGGCTGGGGCTTACGAAACCACAGGAGGCAGGATGGTATTTTGGTAGTGTACTGACAATGTGATACTAGTTTGTCCTGGCAAATCATGCTGGCAAGGAAAAGGATAAGGTTGGGGTCAGACAGACTTGGGTTACAATTGAAATTATGTTAATCATTCTCAGTATAAGTTGAGTAGAAAGCTACCTGATCCTTCTAGCCCTCAGAAAGATAAAGATACAAATTGAAAATGGAATACCAACCGTGCCAAGAGGGTTTCTGAAATAATTTGGGATGATGTCATGTTAAGCGTTTAGCAATCATGGTACATGGTAGGTATACAATTTGGGATTGTCATTATTCTTACTGTGTAATTGTTTGTGGTATTGCTATTAGGCCCCTATATTGGGAAAGGTGATACACATCAATGGACTTGTGAATGGGCGTGCCCTCACCACTTCTTTTGTCAAAGGATAACAATGTTCCAGAAGAAGGAAATTTGAGAAAATCAAGACCCCTCAACTCTCCCGAATCTTCACCTTGCCCACAAGGCTTTAGCTATTTATTGGAACTTTTCCACAGGGACCCAAAACCAAACTCCAACACCCAAGCTTGGCACTACAAGCCAAATCTAAAACTAGGTCCCGCAGGCTACTACTCTGAGCTGGAATGAGAATCTATGGAGAAAAACCTAGGGATCCCCATCACATCACGCAGGGCCCTGAAAACTGATGCCAGGCCTTCTTTCTTCCCACGTGAGATTATATTTCTTGTGTGAGGGCATTCTTGCATTGCTATAAAGAAAAACCTGAGACTGGGTTATTTATAAGAAAAGAGGTTTAATTGGCTCATGGTTCTGCAGGCTGTAAGGGAAGAATAGCACCTGCATCTGCTTCTGGGGAGGCCTCAGGAAGCTTTCACTCATGGCAGAAGACAAAGCAGGAGCAGGCACTTCATACAGCAAAAGCAGGAGTAAGAAAGAGAGTGGCAGGGGCAGGTGCCACACCTTTTTAAATGACCAGATCTTGTGACAACTCAGTATCGCAAAGACAGCACCAAGCCATGAGGGATCCACCCCTGTGACCCAGACACCTGGTCGGGGGCCAGGACTCCAGCACTGGGGATTAAAATTCAACATGAGATTTGGGTGGGGACAAATATCCAAACTATACCATTTCTTATCTCTCTGATGTTATTTTTAAGTGTTCTTTCATTAAAATAGCCACAATTGTTTCTTCTTGATTTAGGATTCTTGTCTCAGGTGTTGTTGATATCCTGAATCAACGGGAAACAAATAGGCTGTGTACTAGCTGGGATTTTTATTTGTCAATTTGCATTTCCAGCTTTGAGAATTCACGTGAGTGGCTCCACCATAGCCATCCTGAAGAGAACTGAGTGCCAGTTCCTTTATGAAGTGAGAGGAGAAACATACTTAAAGGTAAGGAGTCCACAGAGACAATGCATAGGAAAAGCTCTCAGACACGCTTGGGCCACCTCCTTTGAGACTTGGCCAGGAAAGTTGAGCATGCTAATCCTCTTCTGTACTCATCACGATGAGCACCCTCCATCCTCTGCAAGAGAAATGACCACCAAAAAATGTGAACTCAAAACTTGCCTTTACTCCAAAGAGCCCTTTTGAGATTTTGAACTCTGCCAGCATTTCCTCTGCCATATCCAGGTTTTGTATCCAGTTCCTCCTCCAAACACAAGAGCTACATACAGTCTGGTCCAGGACTTATTTAATTTGAATCAAAACCCTTGTCCCCCCACTTACTTCCCTACTCTTACTACACACTGCTGCTATGATCTGAGGTCACCTCTCTTGCCAGTTGCTTTACTATTCGGAAGCTCTAGAATCACAAGGAGTGAATGACAAGGTGTGGCCCCATTCTCCTCCTCTTCCTCATCTGGAAGCTTGTTAAAATGCAGATGTGTGGACACTCTACCAGGCCTACTATGCAAGATTCTCTGTGGGCGTAGATCAGAAATCTATATTTTTAACAAGATAATGTGTTTGTGACCACACTAATATTTGAGAATCGCTATTCCAGATTCTTCATGCAGTTCCTCACATTTAAAACAGCTGCCCTCCATAGCCATCAGTTGTCTCCAAATGCTTCTCAGGCTGCTTTTCCAAAGTTATTGGAATCTTTTCACAACTGGCAAAGCCAGCTATTAACTGTAAGTTACCTGTCTCCGGTAGCCATAATGCTTCTGGCCTTTACATTTGGATTGCACCTTGGAAAAGTCTCCTTTTACGTAAAAGTGTCCTAACATCACACTTGCTTTTTGAGTCCTCCATAAGTACATTTTTTACAAAGAACACTTACCCCAAAATAGAACCAGTTTATGGATTGCTATGGTCCAAACACAGCCAGTGAACCACTACTTTTTTAAATGAGTTTAACAATATATATCAATTATATATATATATATATCAATCACTCATTTTTAAATTATTGATATATATTATAGATATATATTATTAAACTCATTTTTTAAAAATAGTGGTTCACTGGCTGTGTTTGGGCCATATGTATTTTGTATCTCTTTTTCAAATACCAGCTTTAGCAAAAACAGGGTTTCCAGTATTCCAGTAAATTTCCATACATTCCGTAGCCTCCAGATGGGCCCCAGAAATGCCACTTAATGAGTTCTTAATTGTGATGTACATGTGTTTGTAATAAGATAGGGAAACTGTAGCAAAAGTTTTGTAGCAAAACTTTATTGCAAAAAGGGCTAGAAGGAAATATGGACAATGACAACCAGTTGGATTTGTTGACGTAGCAGAATTGTAGATGAATTTTCTTCCTTTTTAAGTTAGAGTTCTTGTGATGTTGCTAGAGTGATATTTTAAAATGTCTTTTGGGGAAAAAAAAGAAAACTCTACTTTGAGAAAAGGATGTCTGCTGAATGAGAAACTTATTTTTAAAAAGGCACTTGGAAATAAAAATCTGTCTAGAGATAATGCAAATCATAACAGGAATGTGTGATGTGCTTAAATATTGGCACTGATGAGAAATGCGGAAGTGAAACATGTCACAGAAACAGATCATTATGGAAACAGTGGTCTACAACTGAACTGACTCCTTGGACTCCGTGGTACGTAACTCTTTTGTCTTACCAGGGAAGAGGAAATGAGACTACCTACTGGCTGACTGGGATGAAGGACCAGAAATTCAACCTGCCAACCCCTCCTACTGTGTAAGCTTCTGGGTGTGGCAGGGACAGGGAGGAAATTAGAGATCTTGGCTTTGTTAGTTACAGCCAATTTAAATTGGCAAATGCCTTACAAGTGGCATATATTGCATAAGAAGTAAGGGACTATACATGAGAAGGTTTAGAAACCTCCCTTCCTAGACTGCAAGAAGGGGATTATCCTGAAACCCTGCATTTTCCTGAGACCTCAATGAAACAGAAAAGTATTTAGCCTTGGCTTCCCTGTCTGGAACACAGACTTGCTTCCCTGAATCAGATGTGGGGGCTCAGTATAAAACTACCTTTTTTTTTTTCCACTGTGGATCCTTTATCCCAAGAGGGAGCTTCCACCTGGAAAAGAGGAAGAATGAACAGACTATTTAGAACTTGAGGAGATTTTGTTATTTCATTTATTTCATTTTATTTACTGGCTCTGTATTCATGATATTTTTAACTGTCAAAATTATGTTTTAAATGCCTTATCTGCATTAAAGTATACTTAACTTATAGTTTATGCAGAAAATATACTATATATTAGACAAGAATGAGTTAAAAGTTTCCTGAGTCTGGGTATGAGCTTCTACCTATTCTGTCCACTTTCTTAGACTGTACCAGTCATCATCTTGTTCTTGCTGAAAAACTGACTATATTGCCCTGCAATAAAGCATGGCAAAGCTAGCGTTGTGTTCCAGGCTTGCTCGGGAGAACAGAAGACACTTTAGAGTTCACTTCATGCATGTCTTGTTCTGACAAGAGTGGAGCATACTGGGGGCAAAGAGGCTCTCTGCATTCCACTCCTGTCTTCATCTTTCTGTTGAGTTGCCTGATGAAAACAGGACCTGCCCCAACCCCAAGACTGCGGTTCTGGGTCTTAACATGAAGTCTGTGTTCTCCCTGAGATGAGGAAGACAAAGTTTCAGGGTTAACTGACAGGTTTCACTTCTCCTAAAGGTGACTCAAGCTGTCACCCAGTTGCCTGTCAATACATGTTACTGCAGCCATATGGCCATTTCCTTGGCTTTTGCTATGGTTGAGAAACTCTGTCTTGCAGAGGCCTAGATGTCAGACCCAGAGAGATGGCAACCTTCTAGAAAAGCCAAAACAACCCAAATCTTCCCTGGGGCATGAGAAACCTGGCTCCTTACTTGGAGTGTTCCAGGTCCATTCTAAACTCGTGGTCCCCTCCACCATTCTAAGCCTTCCCCAAACAAGACTCACACTGTTAAGTATGTGTGGGACCAATGAGTTTTCAGGGTTGTGTGGCAGGGGCCTAGCATCCTCCCAGCTTCTTTTCCCCTTCCTGCAGTGGCATATGTAAACCTAGATCCTCCCAACCATGCCTCCAAATTCCAGCAGCATATTGTTTCACTTTGAAATTGAAGCCTAATTTCCTAGCAGAGATAACAGTTTTTTAAGCTCATCAAAGGCAGGGATCATTTTGTATTCTTTGGATTTCCTGTGTCTAGCACAGAATAGGCATTCAAAGAGTAACTGACTAACTGAACTGATTATTCTGGAGCTAAGGAATATTCTGTATGAATTGCTGAGAAGTTCTATTTTCTCTTCCCACTCTGTTTCCAGGGAGAATCAACAGCGTTTGCAAGCAGAATTTTCAGACATGATTGCCAACTCTTTACAGAAAAGACAGGCAGCAGGGATAAGAAGCCAAAAACCCAGACGGGTAGCCAGCTATAAAAAAGGCACTCTGGAATACTTGCAGCTGAATACCACAGACAAGGAGAGCACCTATTTTTAAACCTAAATGAGGTATAAGGACTCACACAAATTAAAATACAGCTGCACTGAGGCAGCGACCTCAAGTGTCCTGAAAGCTTACATTTTCCTGAGACCTCAATGAAGCAGAAATGTACTTAGGCTTGGCTGCCCTGTCTGGAACATGGACTTTCTTGCATGAATCAGATGTGTGTTCTCAGTGAAATAACTACCTTCCACTCTGGAACCTTATTCCAGCAGTTGTTCCAGGGAGCTTCTACCTGGAAAAGAAAAGAAATGAATAGACTATCTAGAACTTGAGAAGATTTTATTCTTATTTCATTTATTTTTTGTTTGTTTATTTTTATCGTTTTTGTTTACTGGCTTTCCTTCTGTATTCATAAGATTTTTTAAATTGTCATAATTATATTTTAAATACCCATCTTCATTAAAGTATATTTAACTCATAATTTTTGCAGAAAATATGCTATATATTAGGCAAGAATAAAAGCTAAAGGTTTCCCAAAACTGTGTATGCGTTTCTACCTATTTTGCCCATTTTCCTGGAATACATCAGTCACATCATCTTGTGCTTACTGAAAAACTGACTACATTCACTCACACTGAAGTACGGCAAAGCTAGCATTGTTGCTCAAGGGTGAGAACCTTGAAGGTTAGTATCACTTGCTACACATGAGGGAATTTTTGACCTTTATACAGAGGTGTTGCTTCAGCTTGTCCAATTAACAATGTGGATGGCAGTGATCCAAGTATGGGACCCAGGCAAAAGTCAAGTTCCTGTACTGCACTTTTCTAACTACAAAGTAATCCATGTCTCCAGGCTCCTGATCTTTCATCAGTAAATTATGAATTATAATACTCACTTCATTTTAGACTGCGCCACCCCTTCCCCCAAGCTGGCATAACACCACTCACAGATAATTTCCTTAGACCCACAGTTTACAAGGTAAAAGGAGGGAATTGGAGATGGAAGTTTGATCTCCCCACCAGTCTGAGAATCTTCACAAGAAGCTCACTCTGGTCCTGTCTCATGAACCATTGCAAGTACCAGGTGGGCTGAAACACCAGGGGTGAACTGGGGACAAAAAGCGGAGGTGCTGATTGCTGAAACTGACATGCAGATCTTGCAGCTGCTCTGTACTCCAATCAGCAGAGATGCCATACTGAGAAAACTGGATGATGCAACAGTCCTACTCTAGGCAAAACCCACAGGAAAGCCTGAATCCCTGGTTAGATTTCCCACAAAGCCCAGGTGCTAATGTGGAACCTTCCTCTTACTTGGAAACAACTAAAAGGTTTTTTCCTTTTAAACAACCTTTGAATTCTAGCACTCTCCTAAGGCTTCCCCAGACCAGGAAGCAATAGCAGACCAGTGACTAAGTTACAACATTAAGCACTAAAAGTCTAACACCACCAAGAATACCTGTAAAAGCTGGAAGAAGTGACCATCTCCTCGAATGTGCGGGCATCAATGTAAAGACACAAGGATTGTGAAAACTCAGGGAAATATGATACCATCAAAAGAAACCAACAAAGCTCCAGTAATAGACCCAAAATAATTGAAGGCCCGTAACATGTCTGACAGAATTCAGAAAAATCTTAAAGAGTTCAGGGAAGCACAAAAGAGTATAGATTAAAAAAATTAAATGAAATTTGAAAAACAATCCAGGAACAAAATGAGAAAATTGACAAAGAAAAAAATATAAAAACACACATAAAAGTAGAAATCTTAGACATAAAGGATAAAATAGCTAAACTGGAAAAGCTCATTATAAAGCTTCAACAACATATTTAATCAGAGGAAAGAATGGGCTTGAAGACAGGACATATGAAATTACCCATCCGAAAAGAAAAAAAGAATTAAAAAGAATTATAGGATACCATCAAGCAAACTAACCTTCATATAATAAGAATTCCTAAAGAAGATGAGAGAGAAAAGAGCCATATTTTAAAAATTATAGCTGAAAGATTTTCAAATCTGAAGAAAGATGATAGCACTCAGGTACAGGAAACTCAGAGGTCACCAATCAAATTCAAAGAGGAATTCCCCAAATCATATCATAATCAAATTATCAAAAATCAAAGATAAAGAAGGAATATTCAAACCAGGAAGAGAAAAAAAAAGCACATTCAATAGAGCCCCAATATAGCTTGCAGTAAATCTCTTAGCAGAAACTTTGCAGACTAGGAGACAGTGAGATATATATTCAAAGTATTGAGAAAAAGATACTGTCAGCTAAGAATACTGTATGCAACAAAGCTATCTTTCAAACATGAAGGACAGATAAAGACTTTCCTAGACCAAAAAAAGAAAAAAAAAACAAACCCTGAGGGAATTAATCAACATCAGGCTTGTCATACAAGAAATCCTAAAGGGGGTCCAGCAGTCTAAAAGAGAAGGATGTTAACATGTAACAAGAAAACATCTGAAGGTATAAAACTCACTGGTAAAAGTAAGAATAGAAATTCAGAATACTCTAGTACTGTAATTATGATATATAAACCAATTATATCTTAATTATGGAGACTAAAACTTATTAAAGATGATAATAACTACAACAATTGGTTGAGAGGCAATATAAAGAGATGTAAACTAAAACATCAAAAAGTCAAAACGTGGAGGGGGAATGATGTTAAAGTATAGTGTGTTTTGTTGCTTTGCTTTTCTTTGCAATCAAAGCTAAGTTCTTTTCCATTTAAAATAACCTATTATAACTATAAAATGTTTTATGTAAGCCTCATAGTAACCACAAAGAAAGAAATCTATAATAGAGACACTGACAATAAACAGCACAGAATTAAAACATACTACTAGAGAAAATTACTTAACCACAGAGGAAGACAGTATGAGAGGAAGAAAATAAAAAATTTACCAGAAAAATGCAAAAAACACTTACAAGAATGGCAACAGAAAACATGTTCCTATCAATAATAACCTTTAATGTAAATGGACTATATTCTCCAATTAAAAGACATAGAGTAGGGCAGGTATGGTGGCTCATGCCTGTAATCCCAGTACTTTGGGAGGCTGAGGTGATTGGATCACTTGAGGCCAGGAGTTCGAGACCAGCCTGGCCAACATGGTGAAACTCCATCTCTACTAAAAATACAAAAATTAGCCAGCATGGTGGCACACACCTGTAATCCCAGCTATTCGGGTGGCTGAAGCAAAAGAATCACTTGAACCCAGGAGGTGGAGGTTGCAGTGAGCTGAGATTGTACCACTGCACTCCAGCCTGGGCAACAGAGTGTGACTCTGTCTCAAAAAAAAAAAAAAAAAAAAAGATATAGAGTAGCCGAATGAATTTTTGTTTAAAGAAAAACAGGACCTAACTACATGCTCTCTATAAGAAACTGCACCTCTGAAGATACATGCAGACTGAAATCAAAGGAATGGGAAAAGATATTCCATGCAAATGGAAACCAAAAAGATCAGGAGTAGCTGTACTTATATCATATAAAATAGACTGAGGTCAAGAATAGTATACAAAAAATAAATAAAGCTATTATATAAATATAATATTATTTATATAATAAATTATATAAATTTCAATTATATAATTTAATAAATGTATAATTTAATAAATTATATAATTATATAATACAATATAATAAATTATATAAAGGAGTCAATGCAACAGGGAATACAGTAATTGTAATACATATGAACCCAATACTAAGGTAAAATGTAAAGCAAATATTAATAGACCTGAGGGGAGAGATTGTTTAGAATATAAAAGTAGTAGGGGACTTTAGCACCCCACTTTTAGCAATAGACATATCATCCAGACAGAAAATTAATAAACATGGAGGTTAAACTGTACTCTAGACTGAATGTACCTAACAGACTTTTACAGAACATTCCACCTAACAACTACAAAATGCACATTTTTCTCAACAGTGCATGGAGCATTTGTCAGGACAGATAATATATGCAGGCACAAAACAAGTCTTAATAAATTTAAAGTCAAAATTATATTAAGTATCTTTTCTGACTGCAATGGAATAAAACTAGAAATCAGTAACAGGAGAATTTGACATAGTGGGCATGGGCATGTGAAAAAAAAGAAGAAAAAAAAAACAGGAGAAACTTTGGAAACTCTACAAATACACAGAAATTAAACAACATGCTCCTGAATTACTATTAGGTCAAGGAAGAAATTAAGAGGGAAATTAACATTTTTCTTAAGACAAGTGAAAATGGAAATACACCATACACAAATCTATGAAACACAGCAAAAGCAGTTCTAAGAGGGAAGTTTATAGCAATAAATGCCCACATTGAAAAAGTAGAAAGATCTCAAGCAAGATGACTTTCACCTCAAGAACTAGAAAAATAAGAACAAACTTAACCCAAAATTAGTAGAAAAAAGAAATAATAGAATGGAATTAAATGAAATAGAGATTTTTAAAACAATACAAAAGATCAACAAAGCAAAAAAAATTTTTTAAAAATATAAACAAAACAACATGCCTTTAGCTAGACTTACTAAGAAAAAGAGAAGACTCAAATAAATAAAATCAAAGATGATAAAGGAAACATGACAACTGATACCACAGAAATACAAAGAATCATAAGAGACTAGGAACAACTAAATAACAATAGATTAGAAGATCTAGAAGAAATGTATACATTTCTGAACACATACAACCTATCAAAATTGAATCATAAGAAATAGAAAACCCAAACAGAACAATAACAAGTAACAAGATTGATGTAGTAATAAAAACTCTCCCATCAAAGAAAAGTCCAGGACCCAATGGCTTTACCACTTAATTCTACCAACATATGAAGAAAAACTAATACCAGTTCTTCTCAAACTATTTCAGAAAGTTAAGGAGAAGGGAATACTTCCAAACTCATTGTCCAAGGCCAATATTATTCTGATTCCAAAACCAGAGAAGGACTTCAAACCAACACCACTGATGAACATACATGCAAAAACCCTCAACAAAATATTAGCAAATAAAATTCAACAGTATATTGAAAAGATCATTCACCATAATCAAGTGGAATTCATCTCAGGGATGCAAGGATGGTTCAACATACACAAATTAATAAAGATGATAAACCACAGTAACAAAATCAAGGATAAATACAATAAAATCATTTTCATTGATGCTAAAAAAGCTTTTAATAAAATTCAGCTTGCCTTCATGATAAAAATTCTCAACAAATTGGACATAGAAGAAACATACTTCAACACAATAAAGGCCACAATGATAAAAACCCACAGTTAACATCATACTGAACAAAGAAAAGTTGAAAACTTTTTCTCCAAGATTTGAAGCAAGATAAGGATACCCACATTTACCTCATAATTTCAACATAGTATTGAAAGTTCTAGCCACAGCAGTTATGCAAAAAGTTCTAGCCAGAGCAGTTATGCAAGAGAAAGAAATAAATGGCATCCAAACTGGAAAGAAGGAAGTCAAATTGTCCCTGTTGGTAGACAACATAAACATATCTATAGAAAAACCTAAAAGACTCCACCAAAAACTGTTAGAACTAATAAATAAATTCAGAAAAGTTGCAGGATACAAAACCAACATACAAAAATCAATAACATATCTGTATTTCAGTAGCAAACTAACTGGAAAAAAATCAAGAGAGCAATTCTGCTTACAATAGCTTCAAGAAAAAAAAATACCTAGGAATAAACTTAACAAAGGAGTTAAATGATCTCTACAATAAAACCTATAAAACATTGATTAAAGAAATTGAAGAGGACATAAATAAATGGAAAATATTCCGTGTTCATGGATTCAAATAATTAATATTATAAAAATGTTTATATTACCCAAAACAATGTACAGATTTAATGCAATTCCCATCAAAATACTAATGGCCTTCTTCACAGAAATAGAAAAAAAATTAAATTCATATGGAAATCCAAAAGACCCCAGAAAGCCAAAGCAATTTGGAACAGAAAGAACAAAGCTGGAGGCATTTCACTACCTGATTTCAAAATGTACTATAAAGTTGCAGTAACCAAAACTACAGGGTACTGGTATAAAAACAGACACATAGACAGATAGAATAGAATAGAGAACACAGAAATAAATATATGTCTTTACATTCAACTGCTTTTCAACAAAAACATCATGAACATGTACTGGAGAAAAGACAGTCTCTTCAATAAGTGAGGGTAGGAAAACTATATATCCACATGCAAAAGAATGAAACTAGACCCCATGTCTCACCATAAACAAAAATCAACTCTAAGTTGGTTAAAGACTTAAACATAAAACCCAAAACTATGAAAGTACTAGAAGAAAACATAGGGAAAACACTTCAAGACATTGGCTTAGGCAAAAGTTTTATGGCTAAGACCTCAAAAGCATAGCCAAAAAAAACCAAAATAGACAAATGGAACTATATTTAACTAAAAACTTCTGCAAAGTAAAGGAAACAATCAACAGAGTGAAGAGACAACCTGTTGAGTGCAATAAAATATTTTCAAACTATTCATCCAACAAATGACTAATATCCAGAATGTATAAGTAACCCAAACAACTCAACAGGCAACACACACACACACACACACACACACAATCCAAAGTAAAATTTCAAAATTAAGCAAAATACCTGAATAGATACTTCTCAAAATAAGACATACAAAACGCCAAGAGATATATGAAAAAATAAATGTTCAACAGGGAAATGCAAATCAAAACCATGGTAAGATATCACTTCACCCCCACTTATGCCCGTAAAGCTATTCAAATTTTTAAAAATTAAAATTCAAAAAAGATATCACCTCGCCCCAGTTAGAATGGCTATTATCAAAAAGACAAAAAATCACAAATGCTGGCAAGGATGTGAAGAATGGAATGCTTGTGCACTGTTGGTGGGAATGAAAATTAATAAATCCATTATGAAAAACAGTATGAAGGTTTCTCAAAAAATTAAAAATAGATAATAAAAACTACACATAACTAATTAAAAAAATCAATGTACTTTAACATAGGAGTAAAAAATTATGCAAACTAACCAAAGGGAAAAAGAAGTGAATGAAACAAAACAGAGCTACTAAGAGCTGTGGGAGAATATCAAAAGGTCTCACATGTATGTGATTGGAATCCCAGCAGACAAAATAATTCAGAAGAAATATTTGAAAAAATAATGGCTAAATAAAGTTACAGTAACCAAAACCACATTATACTGGCATAAAAACAGATACATAGACCAATAGAATAGAATAGAGAACACAGAAATAAATTCATGCCTTTATATCCAACTGATTTTCAACAAAAGCACCACAAACATACATTGGAGAAGAGAGTCTCTTCAATAAATAAGGGTAGGAAAACTATAGATCCACATGCTGAGAATGAAAGAGTTTACCAAATGTAATGACAGCCACCAAATCACAAGTTTAAGAATCTCAGAGAAATCCATTTAGGATAAATTCCCAAACCCACATCTGGGCATGTTATATTTAAACTGCTGAAAACCAAAAATAAAGAAAAAATTGTGAAGATAGCCAAACGGGGAAAAAAGACATTGCACAACAGAAGGACAAATATTAAGAATTACTGCAGACTCATATTCTGAAACTATGCAAGCTAAAAGACAATGGAATGACATCTTTGAAATGCTGAGAGAAAAAAAAAGAATTTTATACCCAGCAAAAAAAAATACACATATTTCAAAATAAAAAATAAAGATGTTCATGCCCCTAAGATGAACGTGAGGGTTTATTGTCAGCAGACGAATTCTATAGTAAATTTTAAATAAGGTTCTTCAGGCAGAAGACATTCAACACCATATACAGACTAGGATCCACACAAAGAAATGAATGGTACTGGAAATATAATATATACTGGTAAAATTTTTTTATTTTTAAATGTTCTAAAACTAGTCATGTGTTTACCTTCTTGTTTTTGATTTCCTATTGAATTGCACAGATTTAGAAAATTGTAGCTTTATTTTAGTTTCCTTTATGACATTTCACCAAAGGAGACATATAAATGCAAACATATATCTACATATATAAATGTTCAACATCATTAGTCATTAGTAAAGTGTAATTAACACAACAAAAAGATAATACCACATACTTATTAAAATGGCTACAACTAGAAGTCTGACAATATGAAGTGCTGATGTGGATGCAGAGCAAATGGAACTCTCATACATTGTTAACAGGTATTTAAAACAGTAAAGAAACTTTGGAAAATACTTTAGCCCTTTAAAATATGAATTAAATAGACACAATAGGATATAACAACACCACTCCAACATAATTATGCAAATAAAATGAAAACTATGTTCATATGAATATGTTTCTGAATGTTTATATTAGTATTATTGATAAATTTTAAAAAACATATTTTTCAACAAGTATATGAATAAAGTAACTATGGAGTACTCATACAATCACATGCCACTGAGCAATAAAAAATAAACTATTGTTCATAAAATATCATGAGTGCAATGGATCAATAAAAAAGTTAAGAAAAAAATTTTTAAAAAATTTTGAAACAAATAAAACTGGATATTCAACATACCAAAACCAATGGGATACAGCAAAACCAGTTCTAAGAGGATATTTTATAGCAATAAACATCTACATCAAAAAATAGCAAAAGATTTCCAATAAACAACCTAATGATGCACCTTAGAGAATTATAAAATCAATAGCAAACTAAGCCCAAAACTAGTAGAAGGAAAAAAATAAAGATTAGAGAAGAAATAAATGAAATTAAGACTAAAAACACAGTATCAACAAAATGAAAAGTTGGTTTTTTGAAAACATAAACAAAATTGTCAAATGCTTAGCTAAACTAATAAGGAAAAAAGATTCAAATAAAAAAATTCAAAGATGAAAAAGGAGACATTACAACTGATACCACCAAAAATTCAAAGGACATTAGATACTATTATCAGCAACTGTATGCCAGTAAGTTGGAAAATCTAGAAGAAATGGAAAATTCCTAGACTGATACAACCAACCAAGATGGAATCATGAAGAAACAGAAAACCTGAACAGACTAATAATGAGAATGAGATAGAAATAATAAAAGGCTTCCCATTAAAGAAAAGCCCAAGACCTGATGGCTTTACTGCTAAATTAAACCAAAAATTTAAAGAAAAATTAATATCAATTCTGCTTAAACTTTTGAAAATAATTGATGAGAAGGAATTCTCCCTAACCCATTCTGTGAGGCCAGCATTACCTTGATTCCAAAACAAAGACACCACAACCACCACCACCACCACAACAACAAAAACCTGTAGGCCAATATCACTAAGAAATGTAAATACAATAAACCTCAACAAAATACTGGCAAAATACTGGATTCAACAACACATTAAAAAGATGATTCATCATGATCAAGTGGGAATCATCCCAAGGATGCAAGGATGGTTCAGTATATGCACATTAACAAATGTAATACACCACATTAACAGAATCAAAGACAAAAACCATAAGATTATTTCAATAGATCCAGAAAAAGCATTTGATAAAATTCACCATCCTTTCATGATAAAAACTCTCAACAAATTAGACAGGGAAGGAGCATACCTTAACACAATAAAGGCCATATATTACAAATTCACAGCTAGCATCATACTCAATGGGGGAAACTGGAAAGCTTTTCCTCTAAGATCTAGAACAAGACATGATGCCTACTTTTATTTAATATTGGACGTCCCAGCCAAGCAAATAGGCAAGAGAAAGAAAAGAAAGCATCCAAATTGAAAATAAGAAAATCAAATTGTCCCTGCTTCCAAGTGACATAATCTTATATATACAAAACCCTACAGACACCACCAAAATTCTGTTAGAACTAATAAACAAATTTAATACAGTTGCAGAATACAAAATAAACATACCAAAATCTGTAGTGTTTCTATATGTCAATAGTAAACAACCTAAAAAAAATCAAGGAAGTAATCTACAGATTTTCTGCAATCCCTATCAAAATACCAATGATATTCTTCATAGAAATAGAAAAAACAATCTTGAAATGTATACAGAACCACAGAAGACCCCACATAGCCAAAGCAATCTTGAACAGAAAGAACAAAGCCGGAGGCATCACACTACCTGACTTCAAAATATGCTACAAAGCTGTAATAATCAAAACAGTATGATATTAACATAAAAATAGACACATAGACCAATGGAACAGAATAAAGAATACAGAAAGAAATTCATGCACTTACATCTAACTAATTTTTGGCAAAGACACCAAGAACACACACTGGGGAAAAAAGATATTTTCAATAAATGGTGCTGAGACTGAATCCCTATCTCTTAATGTATATAAAAATTAACTCAAAATGAATTAACTTAAATGTAAAAACAGAAACTAAAAAACTTCTAGAAGAAAACATAGGAAAAATGACTCAGGACATTCATCTGGACAAGGATTTTTTGGAAAAGGTCTCAAAAGCACAAACAAACAAAAACAAAGATGGACAAATAAGAGTCCATCAAACTAAAAAGCTTCTGCATAACAAAGGAAACTAATCAATGAAGTGAAGTGATAACCCAGAGAAAGGAAAAGATATTTGCAAATTACCAATCCAACATGGGATTAAGAACCAGAATATATAAGAAATGCAAACAATTTAATAACAAAAAATTAATAATTTAATTTTAAAATAGGCAAAAAGACCTCAGTAGACATTTCTTGAAAAACATAAAACAGAAATGGCCCATGGGTATATAAAAAAGTTCAATATCATTAATCATCAGATAAATGCAAAGCAAAATTACAATGAGATATCATCTCACCCCAGTTGAAATGGCTTTTATTCAAAAGACAGGCAATAACAAATGTTAATGAGGATGTAGAGAAAGAGGAACACTTGTACACTGTTGGTGAGAATGCAAATTAGTACAGACACTATAAAGAACATTATGATGATTTCTCTAAAAACTAAAAATAGGACTACCATATGACTCAGCAATCCCACTGCTGGGTATATATCCAAGAGAAAGAAGATCAGGATATTGAAGGGATATCTGCATTCCCATGTTTATTGCAGCACTCTTCACAATAACCAAAACATGGAATTAACTTACGTGATTACCAATGGATGACTAGCTAAAGAAAACGTGCTGTATATATATAATGAAATGTCATTCAACCATAAAAAGGATGAAATACTGTCATTTGCTGTAAGATGAATGGAACTGGATGACATTATGGGTAAGTGAAATAAGCCAGGTGCAGAAAGACAAATATTGTGTATTCTTACTCATGTGTGGGAGTTAAAATAAAAATCGATTTCATGGAGGTAGTAAATATAACGGTGTTTACCAAAGGCTGGAAAGGGTAGTGGAAAAGGGGGGGGTGAAGAGGGATTGGTTAATGTATAAAAATATAGTTAGATAGAAGGAATAAGATTTAGTGTTTGGCAGCACAATAGAGTGCCTATGGCTAACAATAGTTTATTGTATATTTCAGAGCTAGAAGAGAAGATTTGGGATGTTCCCAACACAAAGAAATGATAAATGTTTGAGGTAATGGGTATCCCAATTACCCATATGTGATTATTACACATTGTGTGCAAATATCTAAATGTCATATGTAATACATAAACATGTACAACTATTATGTATCCATAGAAAATAATAAAAAACAAAATTAAATGTTAAAAAGCCAATATAGATGATTCCTTAAATACAATTCCCTAAGAGAAACCAGACCCCAAAGACTATATATTGCATGATTTCATTTAAATGACTTTTTGGGAAAGGAAAAATTCTAGAAATGGAAACTAGGTCAGTGATTTCTAGGAATTGTCAGCTGGAAGAATTTGATTACAAATTCTAGGAATTGTGAGCTGGAAGAAGTCCAGGTTCCATGGCTCATGCCTGTAATCCCAGCACTTTGGGAGGCTGAGGCAGGCAGATTGCTTGAGCTCAGGAGTTCAAGACCAGCCTGGGCAACATGGTGACACCCCGTCTCTACCAAAAATACAGAAAAAAATAGCCGAGTGTGGTGGTGTGTGCCCATGTTCCCAGCTACTTGGGAGGCTGAGGTGGGAGGATCATTTGATCCTGGAGAGCAGAGATTGCAGCAAGCCCAGATTGTGCCACTGCAACACAGTCTGGGTGACAGAAAGAGAACCTGTCTCAAAAAAAAAAAAAAAAAAAAAAGAAGAAGAAGAAGAAGAGAAGAAGAATAAGAAAAAAGATAGAACAAATGAATTTTGGAGGTAATGTAATTGTCTCATATGGTACTGTGATGGTAAACACATGACCATGCATCTCTCAAAATTTCAGAACTGTATACCACAAAGGAAGACTTTCACTGCAAGCAATTCTTTATAAAGCAATCAGATGTGGATGGAACCCAATATGGAATGTAGAATGTGAAAAATAAATCTAACTTTATTATACAGAATGGCATACCCTCATTGAAGAGGGTGGTAAAGAAAGGAGCTGACATAAGATACTTTGGAAAACAGCATTTTTAGTGGATTCTGTAAGGCTAAAAAAAGCACTGTACAAAACATTGTAGTCTAATTGATAAATTTGTTTTTCAGAAGAGGGTAAGTTAGAATTGAAACCACTTTAAATGTAGACTAGGTCAATTAGATAAATATATTTTAGATATGAGCAACAGGTTTCTCACTGTCAGAGAAAAAATTTATAAATAAACAAAAAAGGAATGCCAGAATTAACCTTGAAGAGCTGGATTGGATCAGTAGTAACACTATGAATCTTGTGGATTTTTAATAGATAGCTAGAGAAATAAATGTATATGTGAGTATATACTAACTCACTGAGAAGATCTAGAATTAGTGATACCCCCAACAGCAATGAACACAACTAGTGTCCAGATTGCGGTTTCTAAATACCTTTTTTTTTTTTTTTTTTTTTTTTTTTAATATATAGGGTCTTGCTCTGTCATCCAGGCTGTGGAGTGCAGTATTGCAATCATGGCTCACTGCAGCCACAACTTCCCAGGCTCAAGCAATCCTTCTACCTCAGCCTCCTGAGTAGCTAGCATGTAGACCATGCCCAGTTTTGTTGTTGTTGTTATTTACTTTTTGTAGAGATGGGGGCCTCACTATTTTGCCCAGGCTGGTCTCAAATTCCTGGCCTCAAACAATCCTCCTGCCTCAGCCTTCCAAAGTGCTGGGATTATAGGCATGAGCCACAACACCCAGCCCCTAGCTATTATTCTTAAAAAGAACCAGGACTCCTTAGGCAAGTGATTGATTTCAAGGCTGTGACAGGAAAAATACAAAATAAGACTGGATCATCTCACATTGCCAGAAAGTAATGAGGTGCAAAAAAACCACCAAAAAACAAAAAATGGAGGCTTGTCAAAATGTCATGGAAGTCAATTTTAAAAAGCTCCGAATGACTAAAGCTGAAACAAAAATAATGAAATAAAGTATTGAATTATAACCTAAAGAATAAAGTAAATATCTGTGACTCCACACAGATATAAATAAATGATTAACCATAAATAACTGATAGAGAAGAGACAACTCCACCTTACAGAAAAATCATATTAATAAGTAGAAAAATGAAGAAAATTTAAAAATAAATATTAGAACACTACTGTAATCATTGCTACTGGCAAGGTCCACTAATTAATGCTAATATTTGTGAGTAAAAGTTTAAGAAGAAAGAGGATATTTGCATAATTTCAAAGTGCCTTCCTTCAAATATTTATTGTTACATAGAAAACATAGTAATTTAAAGTGGAGAAGCCTTCAGATACCACAATAACCAGATAATTAAGGTTAATTTCACAAGGAATGACATATTAACATCATGTTATGCACTGGGAGGGTTCTAATACCTCTGTAATATTCTTCCTTAAAATGAATAACCTCGGGAGAAAGAAAGATGGCTGACTAGACATAGCCAGGGGGAACAGCTGCTACTGAGAGACCGAGACAACTGGTACACTCCTAACAGATCTTCAGAGGGAAAGCACTGAGAGTGGATGGAGGGAAGATACAGAAGCTGGACTGAAGCAGGAAGAACCTGGGAATCCTGCATGGGGCTACCATGAACTGGGATTTGTTTCTGGCCCCCAGTGACTCCAGGGGAATGGGTGAGTTGAACTGTCAAGGAGCAAGGGTTCTGAACCAGGCTGAGATGGCTGAAATGACAGAAATAGAATTCAGAATATGGGACATTTGTGGTGGCTCATGCCTGTAATCCCAGCACTCTGGGAGTCTGAGGTGGGTGGATCACCTGAGGCCAGGAGTTTGAGACTAGCCTGGCCAACATGGTGAAACCCCATCTCTACTAAAAATACAAAAATTAGCTGGGCATGGTGGTACATGCCTGTCATCCCAGCTGCTCAAGAGGCTGAGGTGGGAGGATCACTTGAACCTGGGAGGCAGAAGTTGCAGTGAGCCAAGATCGTGCCACTGCACTCCAGCCTGAGCAACAGAGTGAGATTCTGCCTCAAAAAAAAAAAAAAAAAAAAAGAAGAAAAAAAATCAGAAAGTGGAAAGGAATAAAGATCATGGAGATGCAGGAGTACGTTGAAACCCAATCCAAGGAAGCTAAGAATCGCAATAAAATGATGCAGGAACTGAGAGATAAAATAGCCAGTATAGGAAAGACCATAACTGACCTCATAGAGCTGAAAAACACACTACAAGAATTTAATAATGTAATCACAAGTATTAATAGCAGAATAGACCAAGCAGAGGAAAGAATCTCAGAGCTTGAAGACTGGCTTTCTGATATAAGACAGTAACACAAGAATAGAGAAAAAAGAATGAAAAGGAATGAACCAAACCTCTGAGAAATATGCGATAATGCAAAGATACCAAATCTATGATTCACTGATGCCCCTGAAAGAGATTAGGAGAGTGTAAGCAATTTGGAAAACGTATTTCAGGATATCATCCATGAGAATTTCCCCAACCTAGCTAGAAAGGCTGACATTCAAATTCAGGAAATGCAGAGAACCCCAATAAGATACTTTACAAGAAGATCATCCCCAAGAAACATAATCATCAGATGCTCCAAAGTTGAAATAAAAAGCAAAATGTTAAAGGCAGCTAGAAATATCAGGTCACCTACAAAGGGAAGCCCATCTGACAGATAATGGACCTCTCAGAAGAAACTCTATAAGCCAGAAGAGTTTGGGGACCAATATTCAACACTCTTAAAGAAAAAAAATCCAACCAGGATTTCATATCTGGCCAAACTAAGCTTCAAAAGCAAAGGAGAAATAAGATCCTTTTTAGACAAGCAAATGCTGAGAGAATTCATTACCACTAGACCTGCCTTACAAGAGCTCCTGAAGGAAGCACTAAATATGAAAAGATTGTTACCAGCCACTACGAAAACACAATGAAGTACACAGACCAGTGACACTATAAAGCAATCACATAAACAAGTCTGCATAATAACTGGCTAACATCATGATGACAGGATCAAATCCACACATATCAATACTAACTTTGAACATAAATGGACTAAATGCTCCCAATCGAAAGTCACAGAGTGGCAATCTGGATAAAGAACCAAGAACCATTGGTATGCGGCTTTCAAGAGACCCATTTCACATGCAATGACACCCTTAGGCTCAAAATAAAGGAATATAGAAATATCTACCAAGCAAATGAAAAACAGAAAAAAGCAGAGGTTACAATCCTAATTTCAGACAAAACAGACTTTAAATCAATAAAGATCAAAAAAGACAATGACAGGCATTAAATAATGGGAAAACATTCAATTCAACAAGAAGACCTACTTATCCTAAATATATATGCACTCAACACAGGAGAACCCAGATTCATAAAGCAAGTTCTTAGTGATCTTCAAAGAGACATAGACTCCCACACAATAATATTGGGAGACTCTAACATCCACTGACAGTATTAGACAGATCACCTAGGCAGAAAATTAACAAAGACATCTAGGACCTGAACTCAGCACTGGACCTGAGAGACACCTACAGAACTCTCCACCCAAAAGCAACAGAATATGCATTCTTCACATTGCCACATGATACTTACTCTAAAATTGATCACATTATTGAACATAAAATACTCCTCTGCAAATGTAAAAGAATTGAAATCATAACAACCACTCTTTGAGACCACAGCAAAATCATATTAGAAATCGAGGCTAAGAAATCTGCTCAAAACCATACAATTACCTGGAAATTGAACAACCTGCTTCTGAATGACTTTTGGGTAAATAATGAAACTGAGGCAGAAATTAAGAAGTTCTTTGAAACTAATGAGAACAAAGATACAACATACCAGAATCTCTGGAACACAGCTAAGGGAGTGTTAAGAGAGAAATTTCCAACACTAAATGCCCACATCAAAAAGTTAGAAATATCTTAACTTAACAACCTAGCATCATAACTAAAAGAACTAAAGAATCAAGAGAAAACCAACCCCAAAGCTAGCAGAAGACAAGAAATAACTAAACTCAGAGCTGAACTGAAGGAGATTGAGACATGAAAAAACACTCAAAAGATCAGCAAATCCAAGAAGTGGTTTTCTGGAAAAATTAATGAACTAGATAGACCACTAGCTAGAGTAATAAAGAATAAAAGAGAGAAGATCCAAATAAACACAATTAGAAATGACTAAGGGGATATTGCCACTGACTCTACAGAAATACAAATAACTATCAAATAACATTATAAACACTTCTATGCACATAAACAAGAAAATATAAAAGAAATGAACAAATTCCTGGACACATACACCCTCCCAAGACTGAGCCAGAAGAAATTGAATCCCTGAATAGGCCAATAATATGCTCCAAAATGGAATCAGTAATAAATAGCTTACCAAAAAAAAAAAAAAAAAAAAACAGCCCAGGACCAGACAGATTCAAGCCAAATTCTACCAAATGTACAAAGGAGAGTTGGTACTATTTCTACTGAAACTATTCCAAAAAAACTGAGGAGGAGGGACTCCTCCCTAACTCATTCTATGAGGCCAGCCTCATCCTGATGCCAAAACCTGGCAAAGACACAACAAAAAAAAAGGAAACTTCAGGCCAATCCCTTGATGAACATTGATGCAAAAATCCTCTAACAAAATACTGGCAAACCAAATTCAGCAGCACATCAAAAAGCTCATCAACCATAATCAAGTAGGCTTCATCCCTGAGATGCAAGTTTGGATCAACATACACAAATCAATAAATGTGATTCATCACATGACCAGAACTAAAGATTGATTACCTCAATAGATGCAGAAAAGGCTTTCAATAAAATCAAACATCACTTCATGTTAAAAACTCTCAATAAACTATGTATTGAAGGAACATGCCTCAAAATAATAAGGGCCATCTATGACAAACCCACAGCCAGCATCATACTGAATAGACAAAAGCTGGAAGCATTCCTTTTGAAAACTGGCACAAGACAAGGATGCCCTCTCTCATCACTCCTATTTAACATCATATTGGAAGTCCTGGCCAGAGCAATCAGGCAAGAGAAAGAAATAAAGCACGTCCAAATAGGACAAAAGGAAGTCAAACTATCACTGTTTGTAGACAATATGATCCTATATCTTAAGAAATCCCATAATCTCAGCTTAAAACTCCTTAAACTTACAAAAAACTTCAGCAAATTCTCAGGATACAAATGTACAAAATCACTAGCATTCTTATATGCCAAAAACAGTCAAGCTGACAGCCAAATCAGAAATGCAATCCTATGCACAATTGCCACAAAAAGAATACAATACCTAGGAATACAGCTAACCAGGCAGGTGAAAGAGCTCCGCAAGGAGTACTACAAAACACCGCCCAAAGTAACCAGAGATGGCCGGGCGTGGTGACTCACGCCTGTAATTCCAGCACTTTAGGAGACCAAGGCAGTTGAATTACCTGAGGTCAGGAGTTTGAGACCAACCTGGTCAACATGGCAAAACCCCATCTCTACTAAAAATACAAAAATTAGCCGGGCATGGTGGCACATGCCTGTAATCCCAGCTACTTGGGAGGCTGAGGCAAGAAAATTGCTTGAACCTGGGAGGCGGAGGTAGCAGTGAGCCAAGATCTCATGACTGCGCTCTAGCCTGGGTGACAGAGTGAAACTGTGGAAAAAAAAAAGAAGGAAGGAAGGAAGACAAAAAAGAAACCAGAGATGACACAAACAAATGGGAAAACATTCCATGCTCATGGGCAGGAGGAATCAATATTGTTAAAGTAGTCATACTGCCCAAAGCAATGTAGAGATTCAGTGCTATTCCTATTAAATTACCAATGACATTCTTCACAGAACTAGAAAAAACTATTTTAAAAATCGTATGGAACCAAAAAGGAGCCCAAATAGCCAAGGCAATCCTAAGCATAAAGAAAAAAGCTGGAAGCATCACACTACCTGATTTCAAATTATACTATAGGGCTACAGTAACCAAAACAGCATGGTACCGGTACAGAAACAATCACATGGACCAATGGAACAGAATAGAGAGCCCAGAAATAATGCCACATACCTACATACATGTCTGTAGGTGATGTCACATCTGATCTTTGACAAAGCTAACAAAGACAAGCAATGGGAAAGGACTCTCTATTCAATAAATTGTGCTGGGATAACTGGCTAGTCATACACAGAAGATTGAAATTGAACTCCTTCCTTATACCATATACAAAAATTAACTCAAGATGGGTTAAAGACTTAATTAATTAATTACTTTATTATTTATTTATTTATTTTGAGATGGAGTCTCCCTCTGTCGCCCAGGCTGGAGTGCAGTGGCATGATCTCGGCTCACTGCAACCTCTGCATCCTGGGTTCAAACGATTCTCCTACTTCAGCCTCCCGAGTAGCTGGGATTACAGGCATACACCACCATGCCCAGCTAATTCGTCTATTTTTTTTAGTAGAGACGGGATTTTTCCATGTTGGCCAGGCTGGTCTCCAACTCCTGGCCTCAGATGATCAGCCCACCTCAGCTTCCCAAAGTGCTGGAATTACAGGCGTGATCCACCGCGCCCAGCCTTAAAGACTTAATTTAAATGTACGACCCAAAACTATAACAACCCTGGAAGACGACCTAGGCAATACCATTCTGGACATAGGAACAGGCATAGATTTCATGATGAAGACGTCAAAAGCAATTGCAACAAAAGCAAAAATTGACAAATGAGATCTAATTAAAGGCTTCTGCACAGCAAAAGAAACTATCAACAGAGTAAGCAGACAGCCTACAGAATGGGAGAAAATATTTGTAAACTATGCATCTGACAAAGATCTAATATCCAGCACCTATAAGGAACTAAAACAAATGTATAGGAAAAAACAAAAAGTAGTCAAAGAGCAAGAACAGACAGTTTTCAAAAGAAGACATATATGCAGCCAACAAGCATATGAAAAAAAGCTTAATATCGCCGATCATTAGAGAAGTGCAAATCAAAACCATAGTGAGATACCATCTCATTCAAGTCAGAATGGCTATTAAAAAGTCAAAATAGCCCAGCATGGTGGCTCACGCCTGTAATCCCAACACTTTGGGAAGCTAAGGTGAGCGGATCACCTGAGGTCAGGAGTTTGAGACCAGCCTGGCCAACATGGCAAAAATCCCGTCTCTACCAAATACACAAATTAGCTGGGCATAGTGGCAAGTACCTGTAATCCCGGCTACTTGGGAGGCTGAGGCAGGAGAATCGCTTGAGCCTGAGAAGCGGAGGTTGCAGTGAGCTGAGATCACGTTGCTGCACTTCAGCCTGGGCAAGAGAGCAAGACTCCGTCTAACTAAACAACAACAACAACAAAAAAAAAAACAGATGCTGGCAAGGTTGTAGAGAAAAGGGAACGTTTATATACTGTTGGTGGGAGTATAAATTAGCTCAACCATTGTGGAAAACAGTGTGGTAATTCCTCAAAGGGCTAAAAACAGATCTATCATTCAGCTCAGCAATTCCATCACTGGGTATATACCCAAAGGAATATAAATCATTCTAACCATAAAGACACACACATGTGTACGTTCATTTGCACAGGAACAGAAAACCAAATACCACATTTTCTCACTTATAAGTGTGAGAGCTAAATAATGAGAACAAATGGACACATAGAGGGGAACAATACACGCTGGGGCCTATCAGAATGTGGAGGCTGGGAGGAGGATCAGGAACAATAACTATTGGGTAGTAGGCTTAATACCTGGGTGACAAAATAATCTGTATGACAAACTCCTATGACACATGTTAGCCTATATAACAAACCTGCACATGTACTCCTGAACTTAAAATAAAAGTTAAACAAAATGAATAACCTTAATGTAATCGTGAGAAAACATCAGGCCAACTCAAATTGAAGAACATTCTATTAAATACTTAGCCAGTTCTAAAACAATAGAGGAAATAGTGGGACCCTAAGAGGAATTGCTTTTATAAGGTTCTTAGGTCAAAGGACTAAGAAATGAAATAAATTTGAAGTTACAGAGACAACCATTGGAGGAACTGATAACATTGATAATGGAAGAGGCTAGAGAATAAGACTGAGAGGGTTGCAAGTGAGCTGACTCTTCATCTATCATAGTAGGAAATCAGTCATATAATGTCTCAGTTAGTAAAACAATAAACAACTGTAAAGGCATATTGTTGCAATTTATGGTAACAATCTTCAGAAGATGCAAAGGCGGGAAAAGTAAAAAGGGTCAACTCCAGAGACATGGGACTAGTGGAAGAGGAATGTCAGCTAGGTGACTTGCTTTTTATTATAATATTAATGATATTTTTATTTTTTAACCATCTACATTTATTACTTAGATTATTTGTAAGAAATAAATATTTTGTCATAAAAATTGAGGGTGATTATATTTTTTAAAGATTCAGAATTGTCTTTAAAATGTATTTTTTCTCATGTGTACAAAATGGCACTCAATTATAGAAGGAAAAATTAACCCATACAATTTTTTTCAGGAACCTAACTATTTGCACAAAATGAAGTATTCCTGTCCTTCTGAGAGTATATTTTGAATGATCATCTAGTCTGTTTTTATGACTAAAAAAGAGCAACAACAAAAATGATGTAGGAAATTGCTCCTTTTATGCCTGAGTCCCATGATTTTATTCAGCCAGCACATGGCAGGCCAGCTGTTGAATGATATATTCCAAAACGGTCTTGTTCTAATGGTGGTGATAAGCATTATAAAAATATAATAATATCCATTTTAGAATTCTCCTGGAGGAAGGCTTTGTATTTGCAGCAACAGCACATTGTTTCATGTTTGCTAAAAATGCCATCATCAATTTTCCATGCTTTTATGGAACATAAAACTTTATGTATGTGTACACACATGCAAAGACACCATACAGTGCAATCCCAGCTAAAATACATCATATCTTGCACCTTTAAATAACTGCAATTTGGCACTGTGTAGATTACTCCTAGGTCAAATCATTTTATGTATTAACCCAACCCCAGGGTAGATAGATTACATGGCAAAGAAAGCAGTGACATTGTCCTGGCTCAAATGTGTCCTAATATTTGGACAGATTTATGATTTACTACTCTTGTTTGTTGCAAAAAAAAAAAGAGTTATCATTTTCAGTTCTACATTTCTTTGGAAATAAGACCTGCCTTGTCGTTTATACAAGTACAGGTGTTTTGTAAGAGTGTACATTGCACAGGAGCCTTCTGCGGCTTCTACAGAGATTGTACCTTGCCCAGTCGCTCACTCAGCTCAAGAACAAAAGCAGTGGCCAGGCGCAGAGGCTCATGCCTGTAATCCAGCACTTTGAGAGGCCAAGGCAGGCGGATCATGAGGTCAGGAGATCTAGACCATCCTGGCTAACAGTGAAACCCCATCTCTACTAAAAATACAAAAAATTACCAGGCATGGTGGCACACGCCTGTAGCCCCAGCTACTCGGGAGGCTGAGGCAGGAGAATCGCTTGAACCCAGGAGGCAGAGGTTGCAGTGAGTCAAGATCATGCCACTGCACTCCAGCCTCGGCTACAGAGCCAGAGTCTGTCTCAAAAAAAAAAAAAAAAAAAAGCAGTAGAGAGCCAGTGCTTCTCAGTCTGTGATGAAGGATGAAGGGGTATTTTGCTTTTTTCCATTTCACCTCTGTCTCAGAATAATACTTTTAAAACCACAAAAATTACATGCTTGCATGTTGTGACAATATCCAACTGCCATAAAAGTTTCCAGACGCTTACCCTCGCAAAGCCAGGAGAATCCAGAAACAATAACTAGTCACGACAGAGAACTATTTCAGAAAAACACCACAGCAGGCACTGCTTGGCACCTATACCATGAGAGACTGTATGCTGGAAACTGCACCACAGCTGCCCCGGAAGAACTAGTCGCCTCTGCCACCTGCCTGCCGAAAATACTATCTCCCCAAATGTGGTGGCCTCTTCACATTACTCCAAGATTTCCACTTCTTTGCAGCTAGGACTCTGTACATGATCTAGCTTCTGCTTGGCACAGTCCTAGCTGCAAAGAAGTCTGAGAAATGGTGTTAAACTTTCAAGGAGCCAAACTAGAAAGTGATTAAAAGGGAACCAATTTTCAGTATCTGCTTCAAGTTCTCTTGTATTGATAGAAATCCTTAGGTGCTCAGATCCTCTGTGTAAACTATCCCTCACCTAACCCCTGCCAAAAGGGTGAAAGAGCCCTGTGCATAGCTGTAAATATGCTCCCCTGGTCACAGCTGATTGGAATAAGGTAAACCACTAACCCCTGCAGGGCCAATTCCATTTTCTAGGAAATGCTGCAGGAAGTCACAAGTCAATCAGAGTTGAGTGATGAAGATGGCAGGTCATGTAGAGAGAGCCATGGCTGGAACTAAAATATTTTTTTTTTTTTTGAGATAGAGTCTCACTCTGTCACCCAGGCTGGAGTGCAGTGGCACAATCTCGGCTCACTGCAACCTCTACCTCCCAGGTTCAAGCAATCCTCCTGCCTCAGCCTCCCAAGTAGATGGGATTACAGGCACCCACCACCAGGCCCGTCTAATTTTTGCATTTTTCGTAGAGACGGGTTTTCACCATATTGGTCAGGCTGGTCTCGAGCTCCTGACCTCCGGTGATCCACCTGCCTCGGCCTCCCAAAGTGGAATTGAAATATTTCTACCAAGTGCAGATGGAAGAGGAAGAAACCAATCAGTGAGTAGGCCAAGAAGCATAAAGCAAATACCCTAAGCAAACAAGGAGGAGAGACTACACCACCTCTGAGAGTCAGAGTTTATCCTCACTTCCTAAATGCCAAAGAGTTGGCCTGGGCTTCCTGCTCTGGAGATTCAAGGGCAACCCTGGTACTTTCCTTTAGCAGAACTCCTCCAACCAGAAATTAACTGGTTTTGATGGCAGTGGCTGCTGCCATCACGCTGGCTGCGGCAAGGAGGCACGGGGCTGGGGCTGCACACTACATGGAGCCAGGGGGAGCCCCGCCCCTTCAGAGTTAAGTTGGGAGCTCCCCGAGTGCGGCAGCAGCTGCCCGAATGCAAGCTGCAAACCCAGGCCTCCCGCTCCACGGAGCAGGCAGAAGCCCTGCTCTCCTGGGTGGGGCTGCAACCGCCCAAACTGCTGCTGTGGATCTGAGCCTCCCTGGGTTCTTGGGGGGCCCAGGAGCAGGCAGAATCTCTGGCCATAGACTCAACGGCTGCAGACCTGGGCCTACCAGGCTCCACAGAACAGGCAGGCAGGAGCCTGAGACAAGCAGAAGCCCCACGCCTTCCGAGTTGCACCCTTCAGAGTTAGCGCAGGACCCAAGAGTCTTTGCAGCCTGCACCCCTGGGACCCCGGTAAGGGCCCCCCCCACCCTGTCTCTGCAGGCTTGGCGGTGTCTGCTCTCCCTGCCTGGCCTCTCTCCACTCCCTGTGCCCACTGTGATCTGGGAGCAGGGTTGAGGCTGAGCCCTGGGGCCAAGAATGGCAGAAGGAAACAGATAGATTCCCGGGTGGAAGGGGGCAGATCCCCAGTGAGGCTCCACCTTCAGGCCAGGGAGGAAGACATGTAGTCCTAACAAAAGGACTTGAAGGCCTGTGGGCTGCCAGTCCTGCTGACGGGAGTGGGGACTCATGGTGCTTCTTCTGGCTGCCCATGGCTGCCCATGGACCAATCAGCCTGCACTTCATCCCCTCTGAGGTCCATAAAAGCCCCGGGCTCAGTCAGAACAGGGCAGAGGATGGAGAGGACTCAGAGAGGGAGAAACAATGGGGTGGGATGACCCTCTGTAGACAGGAGCAACCCTCTTCAGGGCCTCCTTTCTGCTGAGAGCAGCAGACATTGGGAAGACCAGTAGCAGAAAGGAGCAGCCCTCTCCAGGGCCTCTGTTCTGCTGAGAGCTGAACACTCCACAGACAACCTACCTACAGAGAGGAGCTACCCACTGCGGCTCTCCTCTGAGCTGTTTTAACACTTAGTAAAGATCATCTTTGTCTTATTCACCCTTCACTTGTCTGTTACCTCATTCTTATTGGATGCAGGACAAGAACTCGGGCAAAGGCACCACCTGCCACAGAGGTTTCCAGCCAGAAAATTGACACCCCAGAGATCCTGTAACAGTTGCTGTGTTTGAAGTGTTCACTATTGTTGCTTTTTTTTTTCTACTTTAGCAAAGACGTGTCAGAATTATGATCATGGTCAGAAAGATAGCATCACTAACATACAAAAGTATGTGCTTAAGGAGGGTTGAATATTGTGGCTCATACCTTTAATCCCAACACTTTGGGAGGCTGAGGTGGAAGGATCCCTTGAGGCCAGGAGTTTGAGACCTGTTTGGGCAACATAGCCAGACCTAACTTCTAGTAGAAATTAAAAAAAAATTTTTTTTTAAGTAAGCAGGGCAAGGTAGCTCATGCCTGTAATCCCAACACTTTGGAAGGCCAAGGCAGGCAAATCACTTGAGCTCAGGAGTTGGAGACCAGCCTGGGCAACTTGTTGAAACCCTGCCTCTACAAAAAGTACACGAATTAACCAGACATGGTGGCATGCTTGTGGTCCCAGCTACTCTGGAGGCTGAGGTGGGAAAATCGCTGGAGCCTGGGAGGTTGAGGGTGCAGTGAGCTATGATCACACCACTGCACTCCAACCTGGGTGACAGAGGGAAACCTTGTCTAAAAAAATAATAATGTGGTAAAAAGGAATTTGAGAAAAATAAGAAGAAGAAGGGACAAGTGAGAGGTATGGAGAGGAATCAAGGATGGAAAATTAACCTGTTTCCAGGTTAATAACTGGTGAAAGAACCCTATCCTAATAGCTTGTTAACTGATGGGATGTAGTCTGCAGGTGACCAGGGCCTGTAGAAAGAGTGGAGGACTTCTGCGACAGGGCATAATGCCAGTGCCCAGGGCAGTGCCTGGACTGCTCACACCAAGAGGTTCCCGCTGGAGGTTCTACTCCGTTGTTGGCTGCTTGCTTGATTCCATGCCTAAAGAGTACAGAGGGGATTGTTGGGAACCTGCTGCTATCATAAAGCAATTGGAGGGCCTGGTGGCACACGCTGGTAGTCCCAGGTACTTAGGAGGCTGAGGCACGAGAATTGCTTGAACCAGGGAGGTGGAGGTTGCAGTGAGCCAAGATCATGCCCCTGTACTCCAGCCTGGGCGACAGAGAGATACTCTGTCTTAAAAAAATGAAAATAAAGCACTTGGAGAAGAACTAGAGTACCCATACTCTGGAAATGGAGCTGGGCACACTGGAACAGGCCAAGCTAGGCAGGAAGGAGGGGCACACCCCTCTTACACCTCAGTGCCTTCTCCTTTTGGCTTGAGCTTGTTCATATCTGTTCCCATGCCTTCCTTCCTCCTAACTACATATGATCTGTCTTTTGGACTCAGCTTGAATTCCACCTCCTCTAAGAGCCCCTTCAGACTAGAACATATGTCTTCTTCCCCTAACTTCCTGGGGTATTTATTGGTATTAACTATCACTGGGCACTTATCTGTGGAAGCTCTGTTTTGTTTTTGTTTTGTTTTGTTTTTTTGAGACGGAGTCTCATTCTGTCACCCAGGCTGGAGTGCAGTGGTGCAGTCTTGGCTCACTGCAACCTCCGCCTCCCAGGTTCATCCAATTCTTGTGTCTCAGTCTCTGAGTAGCTGGGATTACAGGCACACACCACCATGCCCAGCTAATTTTTGTATACTTTGTAGAGATGGGGTTTCATCATGTTGCCCAGGCTGGTCTTGAATTCCTGAGCTCAAGCGATCCACCTGCCTCGGCCTCCCAAAGTGCTGGGATTACAGGTGTGAGCCACCATACCCGGCCAGTGGAAGCTTTGTTCTCATGTGTGCATGACATATGCCACCAACTACTCTGTGAGTGCCCATTTAAGAAGGAAGCGATGTAGTCCTAAACAAAAATACAAAACTAAACCTAAACAGAAAGTCCATCTCATAGCATTTTATATACATTATGCATATATGAAATTATACATATGTATATATAAAATGTATGTGTGTATATATGAATATATAATGAATATATATGAACATATATATGAATATACATGAATATATAATGAATATATATGAATATATATATGAATATATGAATATATATGAATATATATGTATATATGAATATATATGAATATATATGAACATATATATGAATATATATGAACATATATATGAATATATATGAACATATATATGAATATATATGAATATATATGAACATATATATGAATATATATGAATATATATGAACATATATATGAATATATATGAACATATATATGAATATATATGAATATATGAATATATATGAACATATATGAACATATATGAACATATATGAATATATATGAATATATATGAACATATATATGAATATATGAATATATATGAATATATATATGGACATACATATGAGAATATATATATGGACATACATATGAGAATATATATATGGACATACATATGAGAATATATATATGGACATACATATGAGAATATATATATGGACATACATATGAGAATATATATATGGACATACATATGAGAATATATATATGGACATACATATGAGAATATATATATGGACATACATATGAGAATATATATATGGACATACATATGAGAATATATATATGGACATACATATGAGAATATATATATGGACATACATATGAGAATATATATATGGACATATATATGAGAATATATATATGGACATATAAATGAGAATATATATATGAATATATGAGAATATATATATGAATATATGAGAATATATATATGAATATAGATGAATATATATGAATATATGTATGAATATATATATGAATATATGTATGAATATATGTATGAATATGTATGAATATATATGAATATATATAAAGATTTATATATATATATGTACATGAAGGATTGGTTCCAGAACCCCTCATAAACCAAAATTCATAAATTCTCAAGTCCCTTATATAAAATGGGGTAGTATTTGCATATAGCCTATACACATACTACACATATTCACAAATACTTTAAATCATCTCTACATTATTTGCAATACATAATGCAATCTAAATGCTATGTAAATAGTTGTTATACTGTATTGCTTATATTATTTTTTATTGTTCTGTTTGTTAATATTTTCATTTGTCAATTGGTTAAATCTGAGGATGCAAAACCTGCAGATATGGAGGGCCAATTATATAAACAGTCATGCATATAACATTTTGGTCAATGATGAACCACATATGTGATTATTAGATTATAATGGAGCTGAAAAATTCCTGTTGCTCAATGACTTTGCAGCCATCATAAGGTAACGTGCAATGCATTACTCATGTGTTTGTGGTGATGCTAGTGTAAAGAAACATACTGCACTGCCAGTTATGTGAAAGTATAAGCACATACAATTATGTACAGTTATGTTATGTATTAATACTTGATAATAATAATAAGTGACTTTGTGACTGGTTTATGTATTTACTATAGTTTTATTGCTATTTTAGAGTTTACTCCTACTTATAAAAGAAAGTACTACAAAACAGCATGCTGGCCGGGCACGGTGGCTCACGCCTGTAATCCCAGCACTTTGGGAGGCGGAGGTGGCCGGCTCACCTGAGATCAGGAGTTCAAGACCAGCCTGACCAACATGGTGAAACTCTGTCTCTACTAAAAATACAAAAATTAGTTGGGCATGGTGGTGGATGCCTGTAATCCCAGCTATTCGGTAGGCTGAGGCAGGAGAATCACTGGAACCCGGGAGGCAGAGGTTACAGTAAGCTGAGATCGCGCCATTGCACTCCAGCCTAGGCAACAGAGCAAGACTCCGTCTCAAATGAATAAATGAATAAATAAATAATTAATTAATAAAATAGATAAAACAGCATGCCATGTTATGCAGGCAGCAGCCTCATAGGTCTCATGTTTACCACATCTCTTGATTGCATTATTTTCTCTTGTGCTTGATGTAACATGCTGTGTTCATCATGGCTCATAATCATTAAAAATTCACAGCTAATGCTGCCAATAAGAGGCCACATTAAGTGATTGACCAATTAAAGGTAACTGGGGATTACCAAAGTGGAAAATCAGTGATTGGTACTGTTCGCCAGTCAGGCATGTCCCATTTCACTATAGCTACAATCTTGATGAAC